>NC_000002.12:121239618-121864618 GCF_000001405.40 Homo sapiens
CCTGGTAGGCCACGTCGGGCCATGGAGAGCACTGCAGGAGAGAGCACAGGGCGAGCTGGGATCTGGAGAGGCGCTGAGCCGTGCTCCCCAGGTCCTCCCAAGCAGGCATGCACTGACACCAATGCATGAGACCCCCACCTGTGAAACGCAGCCTGCGTTTACCCAGTGCCCACAGTGAGCCACGGCAAGGCAGGTTACGAGGGCCACATGAAGGAAACCAGCAGAAATGTTCAGTAAGTCACCCCTGGAGCAAGTGAAGTACCCAAGGGGTCTCTCTGGGCTTCCTAGCAGTAAAACCAGAGGGGAAACATCACAGTCATGTGATTCTTGGGTCCACGAGAGAGAAAAAACGAAACCAGCCAGTTGTTCACAAACAGCTTTTCCTGGGAGAGACAAATTCGTGTAAATGTCTGTTATAGGGAGTACTGGACCACAGGCAACTTCCAAACAAAAAAATAAGCAGTAAGAGTCAGTATTAAAACCTGTGCTATTTGAAAAAAGAATCTGCTGACAGGGGCGGAGGCTCTTGCACAATCACCAAAAGCAGCTCCTCTCGGTGAAATTTGATGGTGTTCATTCCATTTCAGGCATTCTGCTGGGGGCTAAGGGAGATCCACAAACATGAAAGATGTGATCCTTGCCCTCGAAAACATTCTACTATGGAAGCCAAACACAAATGCATGTGGAGTCTCCCAAAGGAAGCAAGGGTTTACAGGTTTTGTCTGCTGGAGAAAGTCTATCCAGCTGAAAAAGTTCATCTCTTCCCTTCCCTGCGATGATGCCTCTTCAGAGAGGGCCAATTTGAAGCATTCCCGAAGATTTACTATCACCCACCAAACTATAGTGTTGGTAAATATTTAAGTATTGTGAGTGTGGGCTCGAATTTGTTGGTGCTAAATCCTACAGCCCAAGGAGGAAAGCTGAACAGCTGATAGAAGTGGCAGCCGGTGCCTCCCAGGGTGGGCTTTCAACTACGCTGCACTGTGGCAAGGGCTTGGACAGACCTGGCATGTGGCTCACCAGGACCTCTCTTCCCAGGGGCAGTCAGCAGAGGAGCAGAGAGGTTGAGGCTGTTAGGGAGAGAATGGTATCAGGAGGTGGGGAACACTCTGGGCAGTGGCACCAGCACAGGCATGAACCAGGTACGGGAAGAAACTGGTCTGGCCTCTAATCCATAAATGCAGTGCTTGCATCCTGCCACTCCTTTGCGGGCCGTGGGGGAGGCAGGTGACTGACCTTCAGTCAGATAAAATGCCAGTGCACATCTATCTGACCACAAAATTAGCTTTTACACTGTCTTCTTGCAAATACCCTCCTGCATGTCCACACACATACACACATACAGCTGCTCGTCAGCCAAGACCGGGCCACTGTTCTCTTAGACGCCTCAAGCCTCACCCCTAACAGCCTTAATCCCACCACGGCCGGCAGGGGCCTTACCACATGGAGGGCCTTCTGAGGAAGTCCAATTATTCAATGAACAAACACCACCACCAATCAGTCAGCCTGACTGCAGAACACAGTGGGAAAGAGTTGCACAAAAATTCCCTGTAAAAAAGGAGGCACTAGCTGCAACTCGTAAAGGGAAGAGGAGGTTAGGTGCAGTGGCTCACGCCTGTAATCCCAGCACTTTGGGAGGCCGAGGTGGGCAGATCACTTGAGGTCAGGAGTTCAAGACCAGCCTGGCCAACATGGTGAAACCCCGTCTCTACTAAAAATACAAAAAAATGTGCTGGGCATGATGGCACATGCCTGTAATCCCAGGTACTGGGGGAGGCCGAGGCAGGAGAATCCCTTGAACCCAGGAGATGAAGGTTGCAGTGAGCCAAGACTGCACCACTGCACTCCAGCCTAGGCAACAGAGCGAGACTCAGTCTCAAAAAACAAACAAAAAAAAAAGGGAAGAGGAAGAGCGAGCTCCTCAGGAGTTCCCATGGACATATGGAGGGTTGGAGCAGGCTGGCATTGCTGTCAGGGTTAACAGAAAATGCAACCAGACAGCAAAATAACAAGTGCTGACACCCTCCAACCCCAGAGATCCCACTGAGAATGGAAACCTGCCAATTGCTTCCCATGTGCAGACCTTCACATGCACAGTTATTCACTGCACCACTGTCTGAAACTCCAAGAGCCCAGAAACAACCCCGCATCCACCAACAGGCCATCACACATGATGCCATGCAGCTGGGTAAGGAACTAGAAAGCTGTAGGCATCAGGCACCAAGATAAGCTAATAATGGAAAAAAGCAAGTTGTGTCTATGTACACTGTTGGTATATAAATGCAGGCATGGGGCAAACGTGTCTACACTGGCTTCACCTGCAGACAAAGTTGGGCCAGATACAGAAGGTTTCTGCCCTGGAGGGGAGAAACCATGAAGCTGGGATGGCACTGGGAGGGATATTTTCTGTTGTACACTCTCTTGTACCTTTTGAATTCAAAACCATGTGAATACATTACCTACTCAAAAAAAAAAAAAAAAAAAAAAAAAGGGAACCTAATTTGGGAAAGCACAAATGCATTCAAAGGGAGCAGAGCTGGAAGTTATTTCTGAAATACCTCCCGGGCCACTGGGTCTTATCAGATGAACACGAGCTCCAGACACTGGAACCCACCACAACAGAATAAGCACTCTCAGAAGTAGTCACCCGAGATGGGCGATTTTCCAAGAATCTAAACCAGCAGCCCTGCTCCTGGTGGAAGACCCTTGGAGGCTCTGTCCCCGCACCCAGCCGGCTCACCTCTGTGAGGATGGTGGTTTCATAGGACGGCTGGTATTTCTCCTTCTCTTGGGCAGTTCTTTTCTCCATCTTCTCCCGGTCAGTCTTCTGTTTCCGATCGGCTCCCTTCGGCTGCGAGCAGAGTACAGAGTCCAATCAGCCCAAAACCAACACAGGCAGCAGCCCCCAAGCCCTCTCCTGCTTCCCACCTCACCCAGGGCCCCAGGGCGCAGGGAGGAACTCAGGGGCAGGACAGCACCTATCTCCCCTCCCATTCTGCCTGAATGCTTCCCCACCTGAGGAACTCGGAACCTGCCACGGGTCATGCACTCTGCTGCTCAAGGGGAAAAGATTGTTTCCCATGGCCACTCGCTTATGAAAAGGAAGCTTGGGGACCCACAAGGAATCCCAGTGCATTCCTTGGGTTACCCAGGGAGAGCAGAGGAAAGTGGAAGAAGTACAGGCTGCTGGTCTGGATTTAGTCTGTGCTTGCAACCTGAGAAATCCTGGCCATAAGCTGAAGGCCTCCTTACCCCCAACTCTCAGGACTCCCGCTAAGCCCCAGCTTACACTCTGTCTGCAGGGGAACGTCTCCATCCAGAGAGAGAGCCTGACAATCATGGGTGCTTTGCAAACCGGGGCAACTTTCAAAGGGTGTACAGGCTTCACAGCTATTATTATTCCCTTCATTTACAGAGTGGGAAACTGAGGCTCAAGGGGTTCATCAGGATGGGAGAGGATCCAAGTGAGAGTGGCCAAGTGTGCTGCATCGCAGGCTGGCCCTGCAGGTACCACCATGGGGCGCCTTCTCGACCTTGCTATGTAGTCTCCTGAGCATGTGCATCTTATGACCTCATGCCTACTTGGCGAAGTCAGATGTAAAGACTCCGAGCAGCGCTAGAACCGAGCAGTTTTACTACCCACACAGCAGGCTACATGTGGTGGGCAGGTAATGAAAACAGTAGTTCAAGCTCAACGGCACCTTGAGGGATTTTCATTCCAGGGGGCACCTTTCTCAGGCTACAGCTTTCGGCTCCCAGATCAAGGGTTTTTAGGGAGCATCTCTTACAGCAGTGGTCCTCAACCTCTGGGCCACAGACCGGTACCGGTCCCATGCCCTGTTAGGAACTGGGCCCCACAACAGAAGGTGAGCAGCAGGTGAGTGAGCGAAGCTTCATCTTCATCTTACTGTGAAGTAAATACTTCACAGTATTTACAGCTGCTCCCTACTGCTCACATTACCGTCTAAGCTCTGCCTCCCGTGTCAGACCAGTGGCGGATTTAGATCCTCATAAGAGGGCAAAACCTTTTGTGAATTGCACATGCAAGGGATCCAGGCTGCGTGCTCCTTATAAGAATCTAATGCCTGATGATGGGTGACTGTCCTCCCCCCGCCACCTCTATATGAGACCATCTAGTTGCAGGAAAACAAGCTCAGGGCTCCCATTGACTCTGCATTATGATGAGTTGTATAATTATTTCATTATATATTACGATATAATAATAACAGAAATAAAGTGCACAACAAATGTAATGCACTGAATCATCCCGAAACCATCCCCCTCTCTTCCGTGGAAAAACGGTCTTCCACAGAACCAGTCCCTGGTGCCAAAAAGGTTGGGGCCCCGCTGCCTTGGAGTGATGCCTGCCCTGGATGAAGCAGGGTGGCAGAGGTCACACAGGGATGTGCGCAACAGATCCAGCGTCCCGGGTAAGAGTGTGGTGTGTGGCAGCCATACCCCCACGACCTGGCTTCCCTGCTCCACCTCCAGCTCCTGTCTCTCAGGAGACTCCTCCTCCCTGCACAGAGGGTACAAGCAAGGTGGGGTTACAGCCAGACCATGGCCGAGCCTGCATGCAGGGCACGCACTGGGCCTTGATGAGGCCTGGAGGGAGCTGGTTGCTCAGACAGGAGCCCTGCCTTTCCCTTCAGAGACCCTGACACCCCACACACAGTCCCAGGGAGCGGCTCCAACAAGCCAGGCTTCCCAGTAACTGGGGTGACCGGCGAACGGAGGGGTGACAGGCAGCTTGGCTCGGCTCAGCCTGGCTTCTGCACATCAGCTGCATCTCTTCTGTGAGTGGGGGCAGGCAGGTGGAAGGACACACCTCAGGCATTCTGAGGAGCCAGTTTTGGGTGACTAGGGGCCCTGCCACCCCTACTCCCTGCAGGAGATGCCAAGGCCTTCCTCAGGGCACTGAGACCACGCAGCTTCCAGCCCAACTCCCCAAGCAACGCCTGGCATGGGTTGAGGAGCCTGGTAGACAGAGCCCCCACTCCTAAGCTTCTGACCCAAGGTGTAGAAGCTCCCACCCATGGGGGTGGAGATGCCTACCTCAATTCTCTCCTACTGCCCAGCACAGCGTCTCCCCCAGGGCACACACCTTGAGAGCAGCAGAACTAACATGACATCCCTGGTGAGGGAGTGAACCGCTGCCTGACGGGGGCCAAGGCTGGCAGAGCAGAGACGCGGTCTGTACATGAGGGGAGGTGGTGGCCAGAGCGACAGTGAACCACAGACTAGGAGAAGACCACAGCACACAGCCATGCAGGTGTCCAGGACCGGCAGATCCCAGAGCAGGCAGAAATACCACAGGGCCGCCACGCCCACTGCTTGGTGGACGTGGTCGGCAGAATAATGGTTCCCAAAGATGGCTGTTTGCTAATCCCCAGAACCTGTGAATATGTCACCTAACATGGCAAATGGGGAATGGAGGTTTCAGATGGAATTAAGATTGCTACGCAACTGATGCAATAGGAAGACTATCTGGGATTAACTGCTTGGCCCCGTGTAATCACAGCATCCTTACAAAAGGAAGAGGGAGGTAGACGAGGAGGTTGGGGCCGCCATGTGAGAAGGACTCAGCCTGCTCCTGCTGGCTTTGAAGACAAAGGAAGAACCATGAACCTAGGAATGGCTTTGGAAGCTGGAATAGGCAAGAGCCCCGCCCAGAGCCTCGGGAAAGGAACACAGGCCCGCTGACACCTTTAGCCCAGTGAGGACCATTTCAGACTTCTGACTGCCAGCACTGGAAGATAATAAATGCACAGAGTTTTTAGTCATAAAATTTGTGGCCATTTGTGACAGCAGCAATAGGAAGCAAGCAGAGTAGAGGAGCACAGCTCCCCTTGGAGGCCACTGCTCTGCCAGGAAAGACAAACACACATCCCTCCAGCCACTTCTCCCTCCCACTTGGGGCCCACATCACTGACTAACCAAGGCGTCCCAAACCACGGAGCTGGGCCAGGGCCTCAGAACCCTGTGCCCACAACGGTCAGGCAGCCCGGCTGTGTGGTCTCCTGAGTGCAGACTCCATCAGCTCATCCTCGGCTTCCTCTACTGCAGCTGTGATGGTGCGTCCCCAGATCACTGCCCAGTGCTCACTGTGGGCCAGGCTCTGTGAGAAATGGCACCATCCCTGTCTCCCAGGGTTGCCACCAGGTTTATGGTTCTACCTGTGGGCATTTATTCCCACATCCGTTCCAAGCATGGGTCTTCCACAGGCCCGTGCCTTCGGTCTGGGGGAAGATCAGCACACACCCAGCTTTCTAAAGGGCCCTGTCTAAAGCAACTCCCTCTTGGGTCTCCAGCCCCAGAAGATGGAACTTTCTCAGCAGGCTCCAAATTCACTTGAATGTGAAACAAGAGGAAGATGGAATGAGCACCAGGGCTGGTTACTCAAGGCAATTCCTGCCCAGGAGGTGGGTCCACTCCTTCTCTGCAAACACCTGCTAGAGCGGCCCCGGCAGACAGGGCCTACAGGGGCTGGGGACTGTGGGGCTGGGGCCTGCTTGGACATGGATTGCCCTCATGCCCTGAGAATGATGCAAGCTCATGCAACCCTCCACATCTCCCTGAGGCCACACAGGACACTGAGCTCTATCGTTGGCTACTATCTTCAGGAAATAATCAGTCCAGATTGAAGAGATGGAAAATAGTGACAGGCGACTGTAGGGAATGAAGCAGGGGAAGAAAAGGGAGGTGAAATGAAAATGTTTCTCTAACAGGAAGCCATTGCAAAGAGAAAAATGGCTTCAAGCCCTCAACAGGAAGATCCGAGGCCAGGCCTCCAGCAGGGAGAGACTCTTGCTTTGATTTTTAAGGAGAATCCAGACGTGAGCACCTGTGGGCAACTGTAATGTGCTTGGGAGAAAAAAAAGCTAAAATGTGCAAATCCCAATCATTCTTATAGAGTAGCGCCGAGGACCGACAGCCAGGACGGACATCCATGCCGATGCTTCTGCCAGAAGCTGAGCGGGTGCCGCAGGTGAAAAGATGCCCCCAGCAGGGCAGCAGCAGCCTGTGGTGCCTGGACTTGAAGCTCGTGTGCATTAGAAGCCCAGGTAGAAGCCATGTGCTAAAGGGATGCTGCGTTCCTCGCTGGGCCTGTAAGAGGAAACTCCAGGGTCTCTGTGGGCGAATGTGACCACAGGCCAGGCCAGCAGCAGGGCACGGCAGAGCCTGCGAAGCCATCCTACCTTGAACACCTTGATCTGGCAGCTGGCTGAGTGCAGGTGCTCCGTGTACTCCCCATTCTCGTTCTGCTTAAACGTGTCAATCTGGACTCGAAAGGGCACTCCCTTCTCGCCCCCGTGCTTCCTGGGGGTGAATTCTGTGCTGATGCAGTGTACCTGGGAGGAGAAACGTTGGGCAGGTGGCAAGGAGGCACCAAGCAGGGTGCCCCTGGATCCCCCAAGCGCCCCCTCTATTGGAGGTGTCCTTCCCTGCTTGGTCAGTGCAGGCCTGCCTCGACCTCCCTGCTTTCCCTGACACTCTGTCCACTCCATCAGGCCGGTGGCCTCCCTGTTCCCCTGCCTGCAAAAGACATACACACCCCCACCTTTGTCTCTTTACTGTGGAGGCCCTGCCTGACCAGCTAAGTCCCCACCACTCCCCAGGCCACTGACCCCAATAACCTCAACCTAACTCCTCACCCAGATTCCTCTCCCTTGGCAAATCCTAGACTGAGGGCAGGGACCACAGCACAGCCCTAACCCCTCTCTAATGTCCTGGTGTCCAGGCTACTCAGGCCAGGCTTAAAGGACAACCAGAAGGCTGGAACCATTTCTGTACTTCTGGTAGGTTCCTACTACATAAATGGCACTCGATATCAATGTATTGTTATAATACTGCAATATTATAAGAATCCATACATAACTGTAATAATAACAATGTAATAATTTTTAAACATATTAAGAGTATTGTAATTGTAAAAAAAAAAAAAGAGAAAGAAAAGATCGCTTTTATTGAGTGATTCCTAGGGACCAGACAGTGCTAATGGCTCTGTATTCATTATCTGATTTGTAAGATGGGAGGTTAGAAAACTAAGAGGCTCAGAAAGGGGAGGAGACTTGCTCAAGGACACACAGCAAGCGAGAGAGCCAGGATCAAGCCAGAACCGCAACCACAATGCCACAGTCACATCCTTCACCACCTTGATCTCACATGGCATATAACACAAGGCTGGATCCACACCAGTGCTTGATAACAAAATAATTCATTCAACAATAGAAACTATAATAGAAAAAATGTTTACTTTCAAATGATTTCTGTTGGGAAATACTCATTTATAAAAAGCTTATATATTCTACGGGCAAAACCCAGATAGAATTCTAAAACCCTCCCCACTCCTTTCCCTAAATATGGACCAATGAGCTCTGTGACTCTTTGCAACACTCATTCTCTCTCTCCTGCAGTTTCCTTCCCAGTGACAGGGAGCAGAAGCTCATCCAGACCCTCCCAGATGGGTTAGTTTTGAGAAACTGCACGCAGGCCACCCCAAAGACTAGGTCTTCCCCTGGAGGGCAAGCTCCCTGTGGCCCACCTGAATGAATGCAGAAGCTCTCTTCGCAGGGTCCCACAAAAACTCGACTGCATTCAGCTGGGTCGGGCTGGCCCTGGGGTCCAAGATACCAACAGACAGTGGAATATCTGCATACACACACACACATACAGAAAGTGCAATTGTCAGCCTCTCCCAAATATTTAGGGAAAGACCCCTGTTACAGGTCCCAATTCCTTCGCCCCAATTTGCAATGCCAAAAGCTCTGAAAAAGTTTTGCATAACTTACTGGACGGAAAGCCTGACCTGAACCACAAGCGCTGTGTTGTCTTCACCCCGTTTTGTATGAACCGTCATTTTATTTTGCTACAGAAATATGACCGTGCTTGGCTGCCTGTTGGAGATGTTCCCTGATGCTCTGGGTACACACATCGTATTGTCATTCTAGCTTCTGAATTCCAAAACCCACCTGGCCACAAGGATTATGGGTAAAGGACTGTGGGCCAGTCCCTGAGGCCCCAGAATTCCATTTCCATTGCCCATCTATCTCTGTGATGCTCACGGTTGTCTTCAACACTTATCAAAATCCTTTAAGGCACCATCCTTCCGCAAAGCCTTCCCTGAACTCCCTGTGAGCAGGTCTCTCAATTCCACAGACCTTTCTTTTCCACTGAAAAAGGGGACTCCTCGAGGGCAGGACCCAGTGTATGGTCAGCTCTGCAAGCTCCCGCGGGGTTTTACACAGAGCAGGTGCAAGCTAAAACGCCTTCTCGGCATAGGTCCGGGTGGCATCCAGGAAGAACCCAATGTGGCCTGGGTGCCTCGAGCCTTGCCTGGCCTCTCCTGGCCAGGAGACTCACCGATGTCCAGGATCCGGTCCCCTGGCCGACTCCACCGCCAGCCCTCCAGCTGCTGGTGCTCCGTATACTGCAGCCGGCGGTCATGGAAGACCACACGGATGATGCTCTGGGGAGGGAGGCCAGCAGGGAAACAAGTGACCGCGGGGGGCCAAGAGGAACCCACCTCTTTTCCCTGAGCCACAGTAAACCCTCCCACCTTTGAGGCCCCTCCCCCTGGGGCTTCCTTTCCCAGTTCTCAAGCTTTGCCCACTGTCCCCTCCTCAGATTCCAGTAACACTAACAACAGCAACAACAGTGATGACTACCATTTGTCCCAGTATTACTAAGTGCTTTACGTTATTAACCCTTTTGTGCAGATGAGCAAACTGCAGCTCAGAAAAGTTCAACGCTGCCAGCCCATCTAATCCCCACCTGGGCAACAGGCTCCAGAGAAGCCAAACAGGGGCTGCGTCTCACCGTTGAGGGCTGAGCTGAACCCGGCCTCTCCCTAACCTTCCAGCTACCCGTGCCCAACCCCAGCAAGCCCAGGTGCCCAGACCCTAATCAAGCCCCTCTCCCCGAGGCAATGAGAACAGCCTGTGAGGCTTACCTTGACATATTTTGTGTTCAGATCTTGAAAGTCTCCCAGCTTCCGATTCTCCAGTAGTCGGATTTCATAAGACTGACCTGGATGGGGGTTAAAAGGACATTTTCCATTTCTGAGTATTTCTAAATTTGGGGTTCATTCAGCTAGCAGCCTTCTCAACACCCTCAGTGCCCATCCAGGCCTCAAGGCCCTGGGGAGCAAAGCAGAGAAGAAAACCCACGACCAGCTCAGCTCACTCTCTGGACTGACATCAGTCTGTCCACCCCGCCAGGTCGGGCCTAGGATACCCCAGACAACACACCGTGTGACCCTACTAGAGATAGCACCTCTACAATGTTCAAATAAACAGAATCCAGGAAAATACAGTTAGCATTAAAATCACTGAACACAAACTCATACATCTTTACAAACCCCCCAATACAACGGGATGGAGAACACAGCTACTTAAGTTCACATTACAGGGTAAATAACCAACCACACCCTTCCTGAGAGCAGGTTTGAAGGAACGAAGAAGCCTGTTAAACATTGTCTCTAATGGCAGAATGCAAAGCATGTTCCCCAGTTAAAAGAATTCCATGTATTTGAAAGGGTATGGAAATTATATTCAGGGACATATAACTAGCACAGGCTGGTCAAAGAATATAAATGGAAAAAACATCCATCCATAACAACAGAACATTTAAAAGCATCTATGAAACCTGAAGGAAATGACACGCATTTTATTGAAATATAAAATATACCATGAATAAATAGGATACACCATGTTCCCAGAAGACTGTTATATATATATATATATACACACACACACATACATATATGTATGTGTATATATATATAATCTCAAATGATGATATCTCAAATGATGCCAATTTTCCCAAAATGTATCTCAAAAAATATATATATATAACTCAAATGATGCCAATTTTCCCAAAATTAAATACTGAACTACAATTTTACAAGACTGTAGCATATATCGCAATTTAATAAAGGGTGTTTTACAAATAATAAAATAAATCATTTAATAATTGGTATTGGCATATCTTTTTTTTTTTTTTTTGAGACGGAGTCTCACTCTGTTGCCCAGGCTGGAGTGCAGTGGCACGATCTTGGCTCACTGCAACCTCCGCCTTGTGGGTTCAAGTGATTCTCCTGCCTCAGCCTCCTGAGTAGCTGAGATTACAGGCGCCTGCCACCACGCCCAGCTAATTTTTGTATTTTTAGTAGAGACAGGGTTTCACCATGTTAGCCAGGCTGGTCTCAAACTCCTGACCTCGTGATTCATCCACCTTGGCCTCCCAAAGTGCTGGGATTACAGGCGTGAGCCACCATGCCTGGCCAGTATTGGTATATCTAATTAGCTTTTTAATTTTTTTATTTTTAATAATTATAGACTCTTAAGAAGTTACAAAAATATGGCCAGGCACGGTGGCTCACACCTGTAATCCCAGCACCCAGCTGAGGCAGGTGGGATCACTTGTGGTCAGGAGTTCGAGACCAGCCTGACCAGTATAGTGAAACCCCATCTCTACTAAAAATACAAAAATTAGCTTTGGTGGTATGTGATTGTCATCCCAGCTACTCAGGAGACTGAGACAGGAGAATCACTTGAACCCGGGAGGCAGAGGTTGCAGTGGGCCAAGATTGTGCCACTGCACTCCAGCCTGGGCGAGAGAGTGAGACTTGGTCTCAAAAGAAAAAAAAAAAAAGTACATTAAAGTCCTGTGTACCTTGTGCCAGCATCCCCCACGGTGGCATCTGATGGAACCATGGTACATTATCAAAACTACAGACCTTACTTCGATTTCTCTGGGTTTTGCATGTTCCCTCTCTCTTTTTCTGTAGGCTTGTATGTGTATAATCTATGAAATATAATCACATTTGGAGACTAGCTATTTATTTCAGAGTGCAGATCCTCACAGCAAATATCAAAACAAGTTATCATTGGATTAAAAAGTCAATTTCTTGTGGAGGAACAGGGAAGATGTTGATCAAAGGATACAAATTTCCATTAGACAGGAGGAATAACTTCAAGAGATCTATTGTACAACATGGTGACTATTGTTAGTAACAATTCATTGTATTCTAGAAAATTGCTGACAGGCTATTTCAAGTGCTCCCTCTACAAAAAAATAATAAATGAGGTAATGCCTATGTTACTTAGCTAGATTCAACCAATGTACAATGGATACGTATATCAAAACATCATGTTGCACATGATAAATACAATTCTCATTAGTCAATGTTTTTAAAAGTCACTTTCTTAAGGTTTTATTTTAACATGAATGACTATCAGATACTCAATAAGGAAGAACTTTCTGAACCTAAAACCAATGGAAAGGACATCTGGCTATATAAAATTTAAAATTACTTCTATGTATGAATGTAAAAACACTTAATACAAACTGCAGACTAGGAAGAGCAAACCCAGTGGCTACGGGCATTCTATTCTATTGTATTCTATTGTATTCTATTCCATTCTATTCTATTCTATTCTATTTTTGAGACAGGGTCTTGCTCTGTCACCCAGGTTAGAGTGCAGTGGCACAATCAAGACTCACTGCAGCCTCAACCTTCCAACTCAAGCTATCTTCCCACCTCAGCCTCCCAAGTAGCTAAGACTACAGGCACACGCCAGCATGCCTGGCTAATTTTTTATTTTTGTAGAGACCAAGTCTCACTATGTTGCCAAGGCTGGTCTCAAACTCCTGGGCTCAAGTGATCCCCCAGCCTTGGCCTCCCAAAGTACTGAGATTATAGGCACGAGCCACCACGCCCAGACAAGAGCTATTATATAGCTCAAAAAGCAATTGATTAGTACCAAGACACTCCTGTAGTGGGTTGAATGGTGGTCCCCAAAAAGATATGTCACATCCTAATCCCCGGAACCTGGAAATGTGACCTTATATTTGGAATAGTAGTCTTAGCAGACACAATTAAGATTCTGAGACGAGGAAGTCACCCTGTATTATCTGGGTTGGCCCTCAATCCAAGTGTGCTTATGAGAAACACAAGAGACAGAAAAGAGAGGAGGCACCATGTGACCACAGAGGCAGAGACTGCTGTGACAGGGTCACGAGTCAAGGAAGCCTGGGGCCACCAAAGCTCAAAGGTGTGAAGTCTCCCCAAGATCCCCCAGGAGCATAACCCTGCCGAATTTCCGACTGCTAATCTCCAGAACCGTGAGAGAATCATTTTTTGTTTTAAGTTAATGCATCTATAATTAACACGTTTGTAGCAACTTGTTACAGCAGCCACAGAAAACAAATACACTCCCACCCTCACCAAAGAATAATGGAATGGACAAAGAATATGAAATTAAATCATTCATTCCAAATGTTTGTTCACACCTATCATCCCCGTGCTTTGGGAGGCTGAGGAAGGCTGGTCTCCAACTCCAACCTGGGCAACACAGCGAGCTGCTGTCTCTATAAAAATAACAATAAAAAGTTTGCTGAGCAACAATTTGATGCCAAATGCGGTGGGTGGGAATCCTAGGAACAGAGAGGCCAGCAGAGCCACACGGCACCATGTTCCTGGAGTTGTCACCACAGCTCCCCACCGGCCATGACACTGGCCGAGCACAGCCATGCCCACTGGGTCAGACTCCGTCTCAGCCATTAGGAAGGTCTCTGGTCACATGCCAGTGAACACTTCTTGACCATGCCAAACCCCAGTGCTGCTCATGGTGACGCGCTGGACGCCTTTCCCATCAGAGGGAAGAGGAGCAAACCCCAAACTCTCATCCTGCCCACTTGCCTGTTCAGGAGATGTGACGCCTAAAAAGGTCTTGCTTCCCTATTCAACATGGCTGACTTTCTGAAAAAGCCAGATTGCATACATTTCCAGGCTCCTGAACCAAGAGTCCAACACTCCCTTGATATCAACATAAAACATGCCTCACACACCCTAACTGGTTTTTCCAATGTCCTCTGCCTTCACAGATAAAGAATGCTGACAGCGGCCCTAGCATGAGGCCCAATGTCCAGGTGGTCATTAAGTGAGTTTACGGGTGCCACAGGGCCCAGTTATAGCACTGACCCCAGGCTCTGCAGGGCAACCTCAGCTCACGCCAAACAGCAAGCACCTCCTGTCCTGTAGAGAGCAACTTCCAGGCCTGAACATAAGGGGCAGCCCTTGAACAAAGGGTAAAGCCATTGAGTGAGGCGTTAGGCCCAGGATCACAGCTTCTCCTGGGCCAGGGATCACGGCTGCAGGAGCCTTCTCCATCAGCAGCAGGGTCCTGATCCACACACTTCACCACCAAATCCTCCTTTCTAGCCATGCAGATGGACATCCAGCCACCCTCTGCATGCCTACCCCCGTGCCAACACAGTGGGCCCAAGGTGACCTCCCACCCAACTCACACAGCAGCACAACAGCACCATCCCAAAAGCCACGCAGAAGGCCACCACCCACAGTCACATACAGGCTGACGAGCGAGGTCACACAGGCTGAACTGACCTAGGGCACAAGGGCATTTCTCTGCCTGGCCGACATCACTGCTGGGCGTGGGTGGAAGCCAGGACAGCGGGCTATGAGAAGGCGCGGGTCGTGTCTGTTCTGCTCATCACTGCGCTGTCTGCACACAGTAGGTACTCAGCAAATGCATCCATGGGATTTCACCTTCTTTACAGTGCTATAGTGCTGTTCTCTGTTAGAATTACAGGGTTTGCCAAAGTTAAGACACATTCTTGCCCTCAAAGGGTTGACAATCCTCTGGAGTACATCAAACAGTCCTGGAAGAGCCGTACTATAATGTTTAAAATTTCTGTAAGAGACAAAGGAGGCCCAAAAGTGAGCAATAGGTATCCAGGACGAGGCGGGGAGTGTGAGACAGGTTCGAACCAGGGGATGAGAAAACATGTGACATGGGCTTTGAAGAGTGGGCAGGATTTCTGTAATTCAGGGGAAGAATGATAAAGAAATCCCAAAGCCAGCCAGGTGTGGTGGCTTACACCTGTAATCCCAGCAAGGGATTTTTGGCCTTTGGGAGGCCAAGGCAGATGGATTGCCTGAGGTCAGGAGTTCGAGACCAGCATGGCCAACATGGCGAAACCCTGTCTCTACTAAAAACACAAAAATTAGCCGGGCGTGGTGGCGCATGCTTGTAATCGCAGCTATTCTACTCAGGAGGCTGGGGCAAGAGAGTTGCTTGTATCTGCAAGGCAGAGGTTGAAGTGAGCCAAGATCATGCCACTGCGCTCCAGCCTGGGGGAGAGAGCGAGACTCCGTTTCAAAAAAAAAAAAAAGGAAGAAATCCCCCAAAGCAAAGCACAGCCAGGCAGAGGGGGAGGAGTGCCTCTAGGGAACAGCTGCAAACAGCTCCATTCACAGGGTGCTTATCTGTGGCAAAGCCCACTCAAGTAGTCACTCACCTGGCTCTCCAGATGAGTGGCACTAGCAGTTAGGATCACCTGCCCTCCTGGATGGGGGAAGCAGAGGCTCAGAGAGGTTACCTGACAGGGGCAAGCTCACATAGCTCATAAGTGGCAGAGCCCATGGCAGAATCTCAGTCAGTTTCCAGAACCCACCACACTTGCCACATCCCACCCAGTGGGTGTCACGTGCTGGGCACAAGACAGCTGTAGTTGTCCATGATCCTCTCTCAACCTCTCCTTTCTGGAAGGCATCTGCTTCCATTCTGCACACAGATTAAAGTGTGCCGAATGTTGTACAGCGTAACTCCCCAAGTTAAGGCTTCTGTTTGTTTCCTACGTTCTTAACAATGATCCAGGAGGGAAAACAAATCATTATAGAAGGTGGTGGTAAAGCCTGTTCTAATTTAGGAATTGTAAAATGTGGGGGGGAGGGGGTGAGAGGGAGCTGGTCTTAGAATCAAGGAAATAGGCTAAAAATAACCAAAACTGAATTGTCACGTAGCCATGTGCCAGTACACTGCAAGCCCTGTATGTACGTCATTTCACTTAGTCCACTCGATAATCCTGTAAGAAAAGTCTATTGTTTCCCTATGTTATAAACGAGGAAATTAAGTTCCAGAGAGGTGAAGTGTCCTGTTAAAGATCAAACCTGGTCTGTCTGACGCCGAAGGTGGAACACGTGGCCACTGGGCCACCCCTCCACACCTGCTGGACTACTGCACCCAATGTTTCGTTCTTGCAAAGGTCCCATCTGGCTCCAATATTCAAGGAGTGTATCTATTACATTTCCCCTGAACTTATTTTTTTTTTTTTTTGAGACGGAATCTCGCTCTGTCGCCCAGGCTGGAGTACAGCGGCACGATCTCGGCTCACTGCAAGCTCTGCCTCCCGGGTTCACGCCATTCTCCTGCCTCAGGCTCCCGAGTAGCTGGGACTGCAGGCGCCCGCCACCTCGCCCGGCTAATTTTTTGTATTTTTAGTAGAGACAGGGTTTCACCATGTTAGCCAGGATGGTCTCGATCTCCTACCTCGTGATCCACCCACCTCGGCCACCCAAAGTGCTGGGATTACAGGCGTGAGCCACCGTGCCCGGCCCCCCTGAACTTCTTGATACTCATTTTATTTCAGGACCTTCTTCTACACATCTAAACCCTCCCGCTTCTCCTAAGGTTCAAATCCCTACTGCCCCATGCCCTCAGCTCTCTGAACCAAGATGGACCTAGAACTCTCATGAATGTGTAACCATGCCGTGGCATAAAATTTGATATTCGTTTCCTTGCGATACACTAGTCCCCCTGAAACACATGTTGCCATACTCTGAACATACTGTAAAGTCATGGCACACTAAAGCCATGTGGTTTTGGCACGGGGAGAAACAGAACAATAGGAAAGAACGAGGAGCCCAGACGAGACTTTTATTTGGAAACTTGATACACGACACTATAAATGACGATGGGTCCATCTTTTCTCAATAGTGTGGGATAACTGGTTATCCATATGGAAAAATTAATCCTGACCACTTAATAAATATAATCAATTCTAGGTGGGCAGGCCGGGCACAGTGGTTCACACCTATAATCCCAGCACTTTGGGAGGCCGAGGTGGGAGATCACCTGAAGCCAGGAGTTCGAAACCATCCTGGCCAACATGGTGACACCCCGTCTCTACTAAAAATACAAAAATTAGCCGGGCATGGTGGTGGGCGCCTGTAGTCCCAGGTACTCGGGAAGCTGAGGCAGGAGAATTGCTTGAACCAGGAGGCGGAGGTTGCAGTGAGGCAAGATGGCGTCATTGCACTCCAGCTGGGGCGACAAGAGCGAAACTCCATCTCAAAAACAAAAACAAACAAAAATACAAAAAATTACCCGGGCGTGGTGGTGGGTGCCTGTAATCCCAGCTACTCAGGAGGCCGAGGCAGGAGAACCGCTTGAACCCGGGAGGCAGAGCATAGGTTGTTGGAGGGTTGAAGGTGCACCCAGCAGAGACTGGCATACAGGAGGTCCTGCAACGGCCCCAGGAAACCTCTGGGTCCAGTAAGAGCTTCAGCAGGAGGTAGAACCATACCGGGCAGGAGTGCCTGGAAAGGCTTCAAGGCAACTCCCTCCAAAGTCCTGGCCCAACCCTACACTGTCAGGCTGTTAAAGGCCATTTAAAAGCTAGCAGGGAAGGAGCCCAGATTACTTTGTGATGAAAACTTGTGAGCAAGTAGCTGCCAGCCCAGCCCAGAGGAGCCAAGGTGACCTTGGGAGTGGCAGGGGCTGGGGAGGCACAGTGACAGGCTCCACTCACCACCCACCCCCACCTCAGGCTGAGCTGAGGCCCCCTCCTGCCTCCCCTACAGCTATAGCCCGAGGGTATCCAGGCAGTACTGTCCCTCCCGGGGGAGGGGTGGGGCTCCTCAGCTGGATTTAGGCTGCCACACCCCACCACCCTACAAGAAGGATGGCCTGGTTCCTGCCCAAGGGCCCTGAGCCACACAAACGGGTGTGGAAACTTCTTACCCCAATCTTAACAGCTGTGCTTAGGCTCTGCCCCCTTGCCCCTCCTGCCCTCCACCCACCTGAAGAGCAGCAGGGGGCAGGGGGGAGGCCAGATAAAATACACAAGTGCTCAACTAAACTTTGTGCTCTCCCTCTTCCCACCTGCACCCCACATGTCCAACACCTCCAGCCCAAGCATCAGCAAACCTTCCCTGTGAAGGGCTGCATAGCAAGTATCTTCAGCTTTGTAGGACATAAGACCGCCCACACTATTCAACTCTGCCACTGCAGCCAGGAAGCGGTCACACACCACACAGGAATGAATGGGCAGCGCTGTAATTCATTCAAACACTGAACTTGGAATTTTCATATAATTTTTCTTCTTCCTGTGGACTTCCTTCCTTCCTCCCAACTGCTTTCGGCGCTTTGCAACTTTGCCCACCCCTCCCTCCTTGAATGAGGGGCTAAGTCACAGCCCCTCAATGGACAACGGAAAGCTCTGAGAACCGGCCCGCCACCAGTTCACCCGAACCAGGTCACCCCTACCCCCAGCACCATGGACAATACTGGTATGTCGTCGGTTTTTAATTAACAGTGGCAGAATTTGGTGTTAAATTCTTTACAGCAAATAACAGAGCTGGAACTTGTCAGCCAAACCCTGAAGAACACGAAAAGATGCTCCACCTCACTCATGTAAAGAAATGCCAAATGAAAACAATGCAGCCACTGCCTGATCACCTGTCAGATGGCAAAAAACTAACAGATTGCTGGCATCCCACAAGGACAGCGATGTGGGGAAATGGGCCCTCGCCTCACACATGCTGGAGCTGGGAGATAACAAGCCACAGCCTATGGGGCACTTTGGTAATACCCATCAATATTAATAAGCGCCCAGCCACCCCATCACCAGGACTCCAGTCTATAGAGCTGCCAGCTTAGGCGCTAAAAAATCTGCCCAAGGCTGGCTATTCAAAGCAGCAGTACTGCTACAGCCCCAAACTGGAAATGAACAAAATGGTCAGCAATCACGTTACTACTAAACCTTGGGGCCACCACAGAGGAAGAGGCGCACAGCTTCACCCAGTGGTGCTGTTAGCATGTCCACCTCCTGCGTGGACCACTGAGGACGCTGCATCACCTACTTCTTGTCCCTGCCCAAAAGGCACCACCTGAATCTCAACATGAGGAAACACAAGCAAACCCAAACAGAGAGACCATCTACAACCTCCTGGCCTGCACCTTCAGAAGCATCGACATCATGAAAAATGAGGGGAGACTGAAGATCTGTCCAGATTCAAGCGGGGTCAGGAGTGGGACAACTGAACACAACGTCCAGTCCTGAACTGGGTCTGGATCAAGGCAAAAACCTGCTACGGGACATCAGAACAATTGGCCCTATTTTAATAGGAATAGATGATAGGTGAGGGTATTATATTGATGTTAAATTCCCCAATTTGATAATGTACTTGTGGTTATATAAAAGAATGTCCTTGTTCTTAGGAAATACATGCTAAAGTATGACTAAGAGATCATGTTGTCTGCTCGGGCGCGGTGGCTCACACCTATAATCCCAGCACTTTGGGAGGCCAAGGCAGGTGGATCACTTGAGGTCAGGAGTTCGAGACCAGCCTGACCAATATGGTGAAACCCTGTCTCTAGTAAAAATACAAAATTAGCCGGATGCGGTGGCTAATCCCAGCTATTTGGGAAGCTTGGGAGGCTGGGAGTAGGTGGGTAATCCCAGCTACTTGGGAGGCTGAGGTAGGACAATCACTTGAATCCAGGAGGCGGAGGCTGCAGTGAGCTGAGATTGCATCACTGCACTCCAGCCTGGGCAATAAGAGTGAAACTCTGTCTCAAAAAAAAAAAAAGATCATGTTGTCTGCAACTAACTCTCAAAATATTCAGCGAGGAAAAAATATATATAATAGAGATATCCATATCGATAGCTATCCCTATCTATACATCCCTTTATAGAGCTATAGATATATATACATCTATAGATAGTTACACATAAATGCACATAGGTGCATCTATATAGATAAAGCAAGTGTGGCAAAACATTTAAAAACTGGTGAATCTGATGGAGGATATACATACTAACCATAATAACTTTTTAATTCTTCCATAGTTTGAAATTGAAAATTACTTTGAATTAGAAGTTAAAAAATAATTTTAAAATTAAGATTACAAAAAGGCTTAGGCAGACCTAGATCTGTTATAGATGTAAAAAGCCATCCACCATACACACACATGAAAAAGCAAGTTGCTGAGTATGTACACAGTGTGACTGCACTTTTGTTTTAAAATAAGTTATACTCAAACCCACATATTTGTAAGTCTAATATATACATCTAACAATGGGCAGAGAAGGACTTTTCCCTGTTAAATTAGATATATCTTCAGTATTGGCCTGAAAAAAAACAACTAGGGATATATTGCATCTGAATTTGAAAAATACAAAACAAAGAAAAGAGGGGAAAGTCCTCCACACTGTTCCAAGTACATAATGGATGCTCACAATACAGCGATTGGTATTTATTTTCCCAGTGTCAGGCTGGTACCCAAAGGCCAATCAGACAGGTGGTATTTGGGGAAGGGAGTCCAGTTCATAGAGCAGGAAACACATGCAGACCATGTAAGACAGGCAGAAGCCCCATCAACCCAGGGTCTCATTGAGAGATCACCCTGAAGAACCCACAGTACACTAGGACCGTGCCCATTTCAGAGATGAAGAAACTAAGGCCCAGAGAGGTGCTGACCTGCCCAAGGTCACAGTGCAAGTTAATGGCAAAGACTAAGTAGCCTACAGCCTGGCCCAGGAGAAGAGGGGAAAGGGAGCTGGGGTCAGGTCAGATACACCACCGGGGTTGACTCAGACCCCTTGACACTCCAGGACCACAGCTGAGTTCTTAAATCTCTCAGCATTTCACTCTCAACATCTGCAAAATGTTCTTTGCAGAAGTCTTGTGAGGATTAAATGAGATAATGTACTTCCCGCCCACACGTATTAATAGTAAGTACTCAGCAAGGGCCAGCCAAATAACAGGTATCGTATGCGCCCTCCTACGGAGCCCTACCCATGCACAGGTCACTGTATTCCGTGCTGCACACAGAAACTGTCCTCCAGCCCTCACACAGCTCCACACACCAAGTGACCTAACTGCCAAGGTCACAGAGCCAGGAGAAAGCCCAGCTGGGATACACCCCCAGGCAGGGATAACTCCACCAGGCCATCCACTGTCTTCCAGGATCTGCTGCTGCAACCACAGCACTGCCCAGAGCAGGCTGCCCCTCTCCCAGTGGGCCTCCCCTGGGTCGTGCCCACCAGGTGCTCCTGCAGAGCAGCATGGAAAGCCAGAGTGGCTGTGCCCCAGTGAGCAGAACCCAGCACAGGGCCTCCTGCCTGGATCACAGTGTTCCCAAGAGCAGGAGGCAATTGCCCGAGCTAGCCAAGATTTACAGGTTGTTTACTTTCCTACAGTTACTGGTTTGGGTAATTAATGCCACATAAAACATAATGGAGGCCATCATTACCAGTGAGAAAGGAGGGCTGGATGCCAACTGTCTGGTAATAACGGTAGATGCAGAAAGCACAATCCTGAACTCATCGTGCCCAGCACACACGGCTGACCTTGTCTCTTGCACATGTGCAATACTAGGCAAGTGTCTGTTGACACAGAGCGCTCACACAGAAGAAGATGGTATGCTTCAGGGAAAAGGCTTTGCCAGCAACACACCCTAATCCTGAGCCTGATGGACTATCACCTGCATGACCTTGGGCAGGGCATTTGACCTTCTTTTTGCAGCTGCTTATGAATGCCACAGGCTAGGCATCATGTCTGGCGTAAGATGAATCCAAGTAAACACTTGGAAGATAGTTACTGGGGGCTCCTTAGAGAAAGGACTGTTTACAGAGCTGGGGCAGGCAGAATACAAGATGAGACTTAAGCATCTGTAGTGCCAAAAGGTGAGGAAATGCTCAAAAAAGAATGAAGCCATGTCAGAGCAACACAAGCACCAACCCAAAGGAGCTCTCGATGGCCACAGCTGAACAATGTAAACAACACAATAAACAGCAAAATGATTTCAGTTTTACCCACAGAATAAAATAACTATCCATGAGTCTATACTGATATAGTAAGTGAATAAATAAGTTAATGGTAGAGAAGGAAAAACTCTTTTATAGTAGCATTCCAATTACAGAAGAAAATCAACAGAAAATCACCATTAGGCAACCATTACAATAATAACTGGTGTGGACACAGTCCAACAACGGATGCTAAAATAAGTGGGCAAAGATTGAGAGGGAAAAAGCAAAGGGTAAACAGTCTCCAAGTCATATCCTCCACCCCAAGATTATTTATCAATTACAAAGGAGGAGAGGTAATTTTACAGTGGAGAAACCTGGCAGACACTACCCTAACTAAATCAGCAAGGTGAACAGCACCAGCAAAAGACGTATCAGCACCATGATCCCCAATGCACTGCTGGGGATACGATGTCACTTCAGTAGTAGTCTTGCCAAAAATGTATAAGCCCAATCTCATCATTTAAAAAACATCAAGCAGACTCAAATTGAGGAGCATTCTACAAAATCAAGCTTTTGGCCAGGCATGGTGGCTCATGCCTGCAATCCCAACACTTTGGAAGGCCAAGGCAGGAGGACTGTTTGAGCTCTGGAATTGAGAGCAGCCTGAGCAACACAGAGAGACCTCGTCTCTTATTTATTAAAAATGATAATAACAAAATAATAATAGGCCAGCCACAGTGGCTCTTGCCTGTAATCCCAGCACTTTGGGAGGCCGAAGCAGGTGGATCACGAGGTCAGGAGTTTGAGACCAACCTGCCCAACATGGTGAAACCCTGTCTCTACTAAAAATACTAAAATTAGCCGGGCGTGGTGGCGGGCGCCTGTAACCCTAGCTACTCGGGAGGCTGAGGCAGGAGAATGGCTTGAACCCGGGAGGCGAGGCTGCAGTGAGCCAAGATTGCACCACTGCACTCCAGCCTGGGTGACAGAGTGAGACTCCGTCTCAAAAAAATAAAACAAAATAAAATAATAATAAAGCTCTTTAAGTCTGAGGGTCCCGGAAGACAAGGAAAGACAAAAGGACTGTCACAGATCGATGAAGACTCAGGAGACATGGCAACTCCCCTGCAGCGTGGGATCCGGGAACAACGGACAGTAGTGGGAGAACTGGTAAAATGCACACAAAGACTGTAGCAGACAACAGAATTCTATCAGTGTCAGTTCCTGGTTTCAGTAATTGTACCACTGTTATGTAATAGGTTAACATTATGGGAAACTGAGGACAGGGTACCCAGAAGTCTCACTACTATCTTTGACACCTTTATGTCTAAATTTATTTCCTCCTCCACAAAATACACTGGGTCTCCATATGAACATCGACATGCTCATAAGTACCTGGACACTTAATAACCATTTTTTAAATTGTTTGATTTGCTCTCATACTGGGAATATTATCTCTTTTTTCTATATTTTGTTTGTTTGTTTGTTTGTTTTGTGATGGAGTTTCACTCTTGTTGCCCAGGCTGGAGTGCAATGGCACAATCTCAGCTCACCGCAACCCCCATCTCCGGGGTTCAAGCAATTCTTCTGCCTCAGCCTCCCAAGTAGCTGGGATTACAGGCATGCGCCACCACGTCCAGCTAATTTTGTATTTTTAGTAGAGATGGGGTTTCTCCACGTTGATCAGGCTGGTCTCGAACTTTCCGACCTCAGGTGATCTGCCTGCCTCGGCCTCCCAAAGTGCTGGGATTACAGGCATGAGCCACCATGTCTGGCCCTTTTCTATTTTATTTTATACTTTGTTATTGCTGGTACATAGGAATTCACCAGTTTTGCTAGTTGAATTTGTATCCATAGTAGATGAACAATATGAAACTGTAGATAACTGACTGATTTTGATTTACAAAATGGCAAGTGCATATGGTTTAACCTAATATAACGGTTCTTGAAGACGCACAAGCAAAAAGCCGAAAGAAAAATGAGCAATGGATATCAACTGTCTGTTTTTGGCAAAAAAAAAAAAAAAAAAAAAAAAGGGCATACAAACACATGAAGATGCTTAATTTCACTTGTAACAGTTACGAGAAATCAGACAAATACAAATCAAAATAAGGTGCTGCTATTCTCCATGCAAATTAGAAAGGATTCAAAATGTTGACAATGCCAAGTGTGGAGACAGGTGTCCTCTTGTACAAGAGGTAGGGATATAAACAGGTACTATCTCTTTGGAAGGTGATTTGACAAGGCCTACAGAAATCCTAAACACATATATCACTGCCATTTGTGTGTGTGTGTTTACGACAAGGCCAGATAAGCATCTTTGCTTGTTTATGCATGAAAATATACTGGAGCCAGGGATAACATCAGCTGCCTCTGAGGAGGGGCACTGGGTGCCTGGGGCAGAGGTGGGTGACTTACCATAATCCCTTTTACCACTTAAATTCTGAACCAAGTAAATGCATTAACTTGCCAAAAAATAAATTTTGAAAACATGAAGAAAAAAGAAAAAAAGCCTGCCCTGTAAGTTAGTAGGATAAAGGACAGTAAAGAGTAGAAAAACCAAATCTCCAAAGATAAGGGCAGAATCATGACTCACTCAGGCACCTCTGCTCCAAGCCCTGCCACCTACATAGGCTTGGGGCTCAGGAGGGGGAACCCGTGTGCCGGGCTGAGAGTGGTCGCATGGCCACATCAATTGACCCCAGGTCTCGAAGGCAGGGCCCAGCCCACCCAGCCACTGGCTTTCCACTTGCTCATATCCAACCCCCACCACCTACCTGCTCCAGGCAGTCCCATTTTGTGTCCCAGCCTCTGGTGAGAAGGCCTTTCTGGAGCAGTCTCTACTAAGGCAACACAGCCTGCTTCTCTCTCATACCCAGGGTATCTAAGGACCCTCTCTGAGACTGCTCCTCTATTCCCAGCCTCTGGCTGCAGAGTGGAAATGGGGAAGGCGGGGACAGCCAGGGTCAGTTACACCAGGCCCACCTCTTGGGCCACGGGCCACCTTGGTCCAAGTGAGCAGGTGACCAAGCCAGACTCGCAGTCCCCTCCTGGGAGTGCAGAATCAGGAGGGGAATGAGAGCACCTGTCTCTCTAGGCAGCTGAGGCCGTGTGCTCTCAGGAGGCTTTGGTGGCCTTGCTGTCTGCTATCTGGCCACCAGGGCAGGGATGCTGGTGGGCAGAGCTTGCAGAAGGCAGATGCCCAGAGAGGAACCGACTGAAGAGTCAAAGAATGCTCCCCAACATTTGAGCCCCTGGTTCCCGTGCGCTTCGGGGGCCCAGCTTTGGGACACTCTGCTTTATGAGGCTGGCAGATGGCTGCCAGTCTGTTACCCATACCCTCTCCATCATAAAGACAGACACTAAACAATAAATAACAACAAATAACAAGTGCTGGCCGGGGAGAAGCTGGATCCCTCCTGTATTGCTGGTAACAATGTAAAATAGTATAGCTGCTTTGGAAAACCGTCTGGCAGTTCCAGAGTCACCATTTGACCCAGCAATTCCCCTCCTACAAATATAACCAAGAGAAATGCAAACATAGGTCCACACAAAAATGTTTACACAAAGGCTCACAACAGCATTATTCACAATAGCCAAAAAGTAGAAACAGTCCAAATGTCCATCAACTTTTAATTTAAATAAAACGTGGTACATCCCACAGTGGAATATTATTTAGCAATAAAAAAGGAATGAAATACTGATATATGCTCAACATGAAGACCCTTAAAAACATGATGGACAGAAAAATGCCGCCACAAAAGACCACCACTTGTGTGATACCATTTATGTGAAAAGTCTAGAATAGGCAAGTGGGTAGAGATAAAGTAGATTACTGGTTGCCTGAGGGCGGGGGAAACGAGAATGGGGAATGAGTGCTAGGGGTACAGGATTTCTCTAAGAAGGGACAAAAATGTTCTAAAATTAGTTGTGATGGCTAAGTATATTTAGTTGAATAATAAAAAACATTGAATTTTATACAGTAAATGGGTGAATTGTAGGGTATGTGAATCATATCACAATAAAGCTTTTTTTTTTTCTTTGAGACAGGGTCTCACTCTGTCACCCAGGCTGGAGTGCAGCGGTGCAATCTCGGCTCATCACAACCTCCACCTCCCAGGTTTGAGTGATTCTCCTGCTGCAGCTTCCCAAGTATCTGGGATTACAGGCATGAGCCATCACGCCTGGCTAATTTTTGTATTTTTAGTAGAGTCGGGGTTTCACCATGTTAGCCAGGCTGGTCTCGAACTCCTGACCTCAGAAGATCCGCCTGCCTCGGCCTCCCAAAGTGCTAGGATTACAGGCGTGAGCCACCGTGCCTGGCCAAGAGTGGCTCCTTTAAAACAAAACACAAAACACCTTCCTCATTCAGAGCAGACTCTGTACACATTCTTCCAAGTAGTAATCTTTTTTTTTTTTTTTTTTGAGACAGGGTCTCACTCTGTGGCCCAGGCTGAAGTGCAGTGATGTAGTCTCGGCTCAGTGCAGCCTCGACCTCCGGGGTTGAAGCGATTTTCCCACCTCAGTCTCCTGAGTAGCTAGGACCACAGATTTGTGCCACCACACCTGGCTAATTTTTATATTTTTGGTAGAGATGGTGTTTCCTTATGTTGCCCAGGCTGGTCCTGAACTCCTGGGCTCAAGTGATCTGCCCACCTTGGCCTCCCGAAGTGCTGGGATTTAATCTTTTTTTTTTTTTAATAGTTTTTTTTTCCCCCAAGTAGTAATTCTAACCATAGCACAGTGGCCCCTGAAACCCGACTCAGGATCCCATTTCACTAACAGCAAAGTGAGTCTTCCCATCTCTGACCTTCCTTCCTTCCCTCTCTCCTCCTCCAAATATCCACAAAAAATTGCCAAAGTTAGTGGCAGAAGGAAAGTAACACTTACTGAGACCCTATGATGTACCTGGCCCGTTAATGTGATTTTTCCATAATGTACCATATAAATCATAACCCTATTTCTGCAGTTACCAGAGCAAGGTGAGAGTGTAAAGTTTATTAAACCAGGGTCCTCTCCTCCAGCCCCACTGATGGTCTGTCCTGACTGCCAGGCACCTGCTTGGTTTAGAGGCAGACAACAGCAGGGTTCCAGGCAGGCAGTTGCAGTCACCTGGGACTAGCAAGGTTTTGATGCTTCAGTGAGTGACTGTGTGTCTGTTTTTCCAGATGGGTCATCAAGTCACGAAATGAAATTTTAGGGACTTGCTTTAATCCGTTCTCAATCGAGGAAGTCTATCACATCCCCAGTGAAAGGGTGACCTGCCCTGGTCTGTACTAAGTGCTGCTGAGTGACTCACCAGGGCTTCCAATGCTTCCGTGCTTTATGACACACTTCAACTTCAACAGAAAATCTTTTGGCTGGCTCTTTTTCCTTCAAAGTATTTCCAAAATACAGATGATTTTAATATAATTATTTTTTTCATTATTTATTTATTTATTTATTTATTTATTTATTTATTTATTTATTTTTGAGATGGAGTCTCACCCTGTTGCTCAGACTGGAGTGCAGTGGCATGAGCTTTGCTCACGGCAATCTCTGCCTCCCAGGTGCAAGTGATTCTCCTGCCTCAGCCTCCTGAGTAGAGTTAGCTGGGACTACAGTGCCTGCCACCACGCCCAGCTAATTTTTGTATTTTTAGTAGAGATGAGGTTTCACCATGTTGGCCAGGCTGGTCTTGAACTCCTGGCCTCAATCAATCCACCAGCCTCCACCTCCCAAAGTCCTGGGATTACAAGCATGAGCCACCGCACCTGGCCACAATATTTATTATTTTACAGATAGGGTCTTGCAATGTTGCCCAGGCTGCTCTTGAACTCTGGGCTGAAGGCATCCTCCTATCTCAGCCTTCCAAGTAGCTAGTACTATAAGCATGAACCACCACATCCAGCAATGTGATTATTAAGAACATATTATTCTGGAATTGGACTGTCTGGAATTCAATCACATAAGTATGATGTTTTAATTAACTGGCCCATTACTACTTAAAACATAATTAAAGTTTGACACGACCATGTAGACACCTATGAACATTAAAAATCTTTTTTTTTTTTGGGACGGAGTCTCGCTCTGTCACTCAGGCTGGAGTGCAGTGGCGCGATCTCGACTCACTGCAATCTCCGCCTCCCGGATACAAGCGATTCTCCTGCCTCAGCCTCCCGAGTAGCTGGGACTACAGGCATGTGCCACCATGCCCGGCTAATTTTTTATATTTTTAGTAGAGATGGGGTTTCACCGTGTTAGCCAGGATGGTCTCGAATTCCTGATCTCAAGTGATGCGCCTGCCTTGGCCTCCCAAAGTGCTGGGATTACAGA
Organism: Homo sapiens; assembly: GCF_000001405.40. Classification (NCBI taxonomy): domain Eukaryota; kingdom Metazoa; phylum Chordata; class Mammalia; order Primates; family Hominidae; genus Homo; species Homo sapiens. Next base: position 121,267,774 of record NC_000002.12, read on the forward strand.
CAATGAGCCACAACGCCCAGCCCTAAAAATCATGTCTATGTGCTATAAGCTGTGATAAGCAATCTGTACAAGTAACCTCGTATTTATTTCAATACATTCTGATTGGTTTTCAAAACAACAAAGAAGTCCAGGCATGGTGGCGCACATCTGTAATCCCAGCACTGTGGAAGGCCAAAGCAGGAGTTCAACACCAACCTGGGCAACACAGGGAGACCCTGTCTCTATAAAATATATGTTAGCCAGGCTAAAGATTGCTTGAGCCCAGGAATTCAAGACTGCAGTGAGCTACGATCACAGCACTGTACTCCAGCCTGGGTGACACAGAAAGAGTCTGTCTCTCTAAAACAAACAAAAAAACAATAACAAAACACACCCCCTATTAATTTATTGGTATTTTTATTAGTTTAGCCTGAGATTCACAAATTACGGAATTCACAAATTTCACATTTTGGAAAGCGTTTGTTCTTTGTTGTTTTTTTCTTTTAAACCTTTGAACGTGGTTTACCACATTCTTTGCTGATTAAACATTTTTATAAATATTTACATTTTTTTTAAGTTTTGGCCTATAGTATCTTTCCCATTTATTTATTTATTTATTTAGTAACAGGGTCTCACTGTTACCCAGGCTGGAGTGCAGTGGCACGATCTCGGCTCACTACAGCCTCAACCTCCTGGGCTCAAGCGATCCTCCTGCCTCAGCCTCCAGAGTGGCTGGGACCACAGGCGTGCACCACCTTGCCCCAGCTAACATTTCTAAATTTTATATGGCCAAAATAAAGTATCCCTATATGGCAAAAAAATACAACAAAAATATTATATCATTCTCCAGGCTATACTGAGGTAAGTGTTATGCCTATTTTACAGAAAATGCAGTTGACAGGTTCAGGGGAGAAGAGAAGAACCAGACTGGGAGCTGGGTACATCCAACTCCAACATTCACCACTTTCAATGTGCCACTCAGTTGTTAGGAAAGGCTAATTAATAGTGTCATTCAGGCTGGCATTTGAGGGAATGAGGGAAAGGTGTTTACTTTAATAACACATACTAGATACCTTTCACGGCCATACAGAAGGACCTGCTTCATTCTTGTCACAGCTGCATATTATTCCACTATATCAAGTTTCTACATTCAGTCAGTTATTGTGGGACAATGTGATGATGGCCATATGGAAATTAACAGAGTTGGAGCCCTAATGTATTCCTTATGCACCATAATAAATGTCAAAGTATCAAAGATTAGGGAAAGGCTTTTTTTTTTATTAAAAAAAAGATGGATATCAATAAAATCTTAAAGTGAAGAAGGCATTTCCTAAATGGGACATGAAATACAAAAATAATTAAGGTGAAGTCCAATAAACCGGATAATAAAAATTTATCTTAAAAACTTTTATGGCTGGGCGCAGTGGCTTACACCTGTAATCCTAGCACTTTGGGAGGCTGAGGCGGGGGTGGATGGCTTGAGTCCAAGAGTTCGAGACCAGCCTGGGCAACATGGCAGAATCCCAACTCTACAAAAATACAAAAATTAGTCAGGCTTGGTGGCGGCCATTTGTAGTACCAGCTACTAGGGAGGCTAAGGCAGGAGGATCACCTGAGCCAAGGAGGTTGAGGCTGCAGTGAGCTGTAATCGCACCACTGCACTCTAGCCTGGGTGACAGAGGTGAGACCCTGTCAAAACAACAACAACAAAAAAACTTTTATTATGGGCTGGGTGCAGTGGCTCATGCGTATAATCCCAGCACTTAGGGAGGCTGGGGCAGGAAGACTGCTTGAGGCCAACAGTTGTCGACCACGCTGGCCAACATAGAGACCCTTTCTCTATAAATTAAAAACAAACAGCAAAAATTATGTAAAAGAGGCCGGGCCTGGTGGCTCATGCCTGTAATCCCAGCACTCTGGGAGGCTGCAGCGGATCACTTGAGTTCAGGAGTTCGAGACCAGCCTGGCCAACAGGGCAAAACCCTGACTCTACTAAAAATACAAAAATTAGCCAGGCGTGGTAGTGGACACCTGTAATCCCAGCTACTCAGGAGGTTGAAACAGGAGAATCACTTGAACCTGGGAGACAGAGGTTGCAGTGAGCAGAGATTGCGCCACTGCACACCAGCCTGGGTGACAGAGCAAGACTCCATCTAAAAAAAAAAAATATATATATATATATATGCAAAAGAAATAAACTAATTTAAAAAGGAATGAAATGAATGAAAAAGTGGGAAAATATTTCCAGTACATATTATAATATCCCAAATATACAAGCAGCTCTTACAAATAAATAAGGATGAAAATCTCACTAGAAAAATGGGTAATCACATGAAAGGCAAAAAGAGTAAAATGAAAAAATATTTCACATCATTGAGGAAAGGAGAATTAAAAGAAGACCCTATATTTTCCCCACCAGTTACCAAAGGGTAAACAGTGTTGGCAAAGGCAAAGAAAAACAGACCTTCTTCAGTCATTTAAAGAAGTGATGTATGCTAGACACTGGGCTAGGCCTCGCAGTGAACAAGATGACCAAGTCTCTGCCCTCAAGTTTATATTTCATGTGTGGCAGAGACTGGAAAAAGATAAGGGAGGAGAAAATAAACAAGTATTCAGATAGTTATTGTTCACAAAGTACAAACTGGCACAACTTCACTGGAAGGCAATCCGGCAGTACCTACCAAAATGTCATGCTGGCAATTCTATTTCTAGGTGTGTATCCTACAGCTATTTTCACTCCCGCTTAAACACAAAGATATACATAGATGTTCACGGATTACTAGAGCACGAGGTTATAACTATGAAAACAATGGAAACAAGCCTAATGTTCCTCAACAGAACAAGCTATACAACAGCCATACAATGATTGTAGTGTAACCAGTAAAGATCAGATTTTGCTTATTATATTTTTAAATGTACTCATGTGGAAAGACATTGAAGATATTTTGTTTGGGGGAAAAAAAAAAGCAGCAGGACACAGTGGCTCATGCCTATAATCCCAACACTTTAGGAGGCTGAGGAGGGGAAAATTGCTTGAGCCCAAGAGCTCTAGGCTGCAGTGAGCTATGATTGTGTCACTGCACTCCAGCCTGGGCAACAGAGCTAGACTCCATCTCTAAACACACTTTTTTTTTTTTTTTTTAAAGCAAGTTGTTGGCCGGGAGTGGTGGCTCACACCTGTAATCCCAACACTTTGGGAGGCCAAGGCAGGTAGATTACTTGAAGTCAGGAGTTCGAAACCACCCTGGCCAACATGGTGAAACCCCGTCTCTATTAAAAATACAAAAATTGGCTGGGCATGATGGCAGGTGCCTGTAATCCCAGCTACTTGAGAGGCTGAGGCAGGAGAATCGCTTGAACCTGGGAGGAAAAGATTGCAGTGAGCCGAGATCGCACCACTGCACTCCAGCCTGGGCGACAGGGCAAGACTCCGTCTCAAAATAAAAATAAAAAAAAAAAAACAAAAAAGCAAGGTGTCAAACAGCAAATATAAATATGATCCCATTTGTCTTAAAAAGCAAAAGGTACACGTGGCGAACATATATAAGGTTATATGCATGTTTGTCTATGGAAGCAGATATATATGGGTTAAAGTATGACTACGAAAAATCTGGAAGGTAGAACTATGGCACATTTTCTAGAGTATATATGGTTTGGCTGTTCTATTTTATAAAAGAATGTACTACTTTATACTCAGGAAAAAACAAGGGGAAAACATTTTTTTAAGTAATACGTTTTAAAGTCATTTGGTTTATTCAGTTTATATTCCCAAACTTCAGGCTAAAAATTAATCTGGAAAGAAAACTTCAGCTATGGAAAAAAGACAATAAACAAAATAACTAATCCTTTGCCTCATTCCTTAAATTCAAAGTCACTGATATAATTGGTAAGAAGGAAAAATATAACTGGGTACTTATTGTTTGCCAGGTATTTGTTGTTCACGTAACCCACAAAGTGAAACTGTCCTGGTTTCATAAATGAGGAAACTCGGGCTCCAAAGAATCAAGTGATTTCCCTGGAGCAGAAGCTGGTCAAAAAGACAGAACTGCAAATCTGTTTGGTTCTAGGAGCAGGGAAGACAGGACTTTCCCCTGAAGCTCTTATCTCCCTCCCTGAGGTTGCTGTGAGTGGAAAACAGGAGGGTTGGGGGTAGGGTAGGAGCAACTGATAATGGACGTTTTTTTCCTCTCCAAGGAGGCATTTTCTCCCCACTCCATTCCTTCCCCCCACAAAGCTTCATCCACCCTCCCTCAGAGCTGCATCAGGAGTACCAAGTGACAGAGCTCCTGCACCGAAGTGCCTGGCCTAGAATCCTGCCTTCAGGAACTCCAAGAAAAAGCAGCCAGAGAAAGAAAGGGTGCTTCCCCTTCCAGAACTCCCTTTATTATTGCACCCCACTTCAATCACTCTCCTGGCTTTCAAACTTACATGATATAAGAGGGAAGCCTGATTTCACCCTCTCAGCTGGTCATCTGTAAGATGGGAACGACGCATCTTGGGAGAACAACCCAGAAGAGAGTATCAGAAAGTGCTTTCCAAATTTTCAAGTGCTAACAAAGAAGTACCACCCTAAAGGCTGAGGTTCTCGCCTACCAGGTAATACAAACCCTCCTTAACATGATAGTTTACGGCATTTAGGAGTTCAGTGCTTTTTGTGATCTTTATTTCTAAAATGCTATTTCAACACCTTGCATAGGAAATTCTCCGCAGGGTTATGTCCCTCGTGTGGTTGTACAGCGAGTGAAGAATGAACGGAAAAGTGAAGCAAGCCTTCCCAAAGCTACCACCGTTTAACTCTAAGAGATGCAGTTCTTAGCTTTAGAGCCAACCCTGTGTTAATCTTTGAATTGGGAAAAGAGAGGATAAAAATCAGCAAAAGTTATCAAAGTCTCAACTCGATGACCTTGTTAACTTCCAAAACAGGATTGGCGAGATGCTTCCTCTTTATTAATAACAATGGCTGACATGTGAGTGCTTGCTATGTGCCCGGCATTTCAGTGTTCTACATGCATTAGCTCATTTTACCCATATGGCAGCACCTACTTTGTAGGGAGTTTACTTCCCCCATCTCACAGGTAAGGAATTGGAGGCAAAGAAAGGTTCAGTGACTTGCCCAGGTGGTTGCCAGATGGTTTAGCCTCAGCAAGGCAGGTGGAGTTCTAGGTCAGATATCTGGTCTACCTCTCCAGCCATATCACTCATATTTCCCCTTGTGTTTGAAACCCTCATCATCCTGAACTGCTTAGGATTCCTGGGATAGACAGTGTGTTCAGCTGCACCCCCATGCTTGCCTTTGCATGTGGCTTTTCTTTCTTCTCACCAAGCCACCATCCTCTTCCAACCAATAGGAAATTTTACTCCATGAATGAATGAAAGTAAGCATATTATGAAAATTCATTACTATACTTAAGACTCAAGAGTTGTTTTGACAGAAAATATCAAAGCATTCCCCACCGCAAGTCATTTTTGCAATGTTGTTTCTTATCTCAAGCCAGAAATCCCCATGCAGATTGCCTGGGGTTCTCTCTTCTCTGCTCTCCCGGACTCCTCCTCCTCCACATCCCTTGTCATCCCTCCACACCCTCCTCATCCCTTCCCTCAGGCTCCAGCCTTCGGGAAGATATGTCTACAATGACCTTTGGCCACTGACAAAGAGGAAGTTATCTGGAAGTTTGCAAACCTCTGTTCAACTCTCTATCCACCCCTTGGAAGGACCTTTTCAGAGGAAGAGAACAGAGTTTGTTTTTCAAATCATTTTCACCATATCTAAAACTAGCCACTCGGCTTGGTGATAGGACATCCCTATGAAACACACATGTCCAAGCCACAGGTCCTCAAGGCATTTGTTTGACACGGCACTGAGAAATGGGCATCCAGTGGTTTAAGTGACTTTTTGATTTATGCCTACAGCATCTTTTCCATGTTTTCAGAGAACTTTAAACACATCATTACAAGGAAGGGGAGAGGACCTGTGATGGCTTCACAAGAATAATGCAGTAACTACCATAGAGGCTTATAAACACTTAATAGCAGGCTTTTCAATTAACGAAAAATGTCTTGAATGATGTGTCAAAACTACTTTTTAAGAACTGTATCTTGGCAGGCCAAGGCGGGTGGATCACCTGAGGTCAGGAGCTCAAGACCAGCCTGGCCAACATGGCTAAACCCGGTCTCTATTTAAAAATACAAAAATTAGCCTGGCGTGGTAGTGGGCGCCTGTAACCCCAGCTACTCGGGAGGCTGAGGCAGGAGAATCGCTTGAACCCGGGAGGCAGAGGTTGCAGTGAGCCGAGGTCACACCACTGCAATCCAGCCTGGGCAGCAGAGCGAGACTCTGTCTCCAAAAAAAAAAAAAAAGAAAAAAAAAACCAATTGTATCAATGCCTTTGGTCATATGATGAAGAATAAGCTACTTAAATGAGGTACACTGAAAAAGATATCTAGTGCAGCATTACTGATTGGTGGGGGGATAAAATCATGCCTATTTTTAGATTTTCTAAATATTTACAGAGCACCTACTATACTCTCAAGGCACTCAGCTTAATACTGAGGATACAGGTTGAGCATCCCTAATCCAAAAATCCAAAACCTGAAACTTTTTGAGTCCTGACGTGACCCCACATATTGTCCACATGGGCGGCTGAGATCATCTTTTCTGATGACTCGATGTACACAAGCTTTGTTTTATAAACAAAATTATTTAAAATATTGCATAAAATTACCTTCATCTTATGTGCCTAAGGTGTATATGAAACATAAGTGAATTTTGTGTTTAGATGTGGGTCAGAGCCTCAAAACATCTCATTATGGATATGCAAATATCCAAAAATCCAAGAAAATTCAAAATCCAAAATACTTCCAATCCCAAGCATTTAGGAAAAGGGGTATTCTTCAGCCTATACTTTAAAATTTTAGGGGCCAGGCAGTGGCTCATGCCTGTAATCCCAACACTTTGGGAGGCCAAGGAGGATTGCTTGAGCTCAGAAGTTTGAGACCAGCCTGGGCAACATAGTGGGATCTTGTATCTACGAAAAATAGAAAAATTAGCTGAGTGTGGTAGCACATGTTTATCCCAGCTACTTGAGAGGCTGAGGCAAGAGGACTAATTATTCCAGGAGGTGGAGGCTGCAGGAGCCATGATTATGCCACTGCATTCAGCCTGGGTGAAAGAGCAAGAAGACCCTGTCTCAAAAAAAAAAAAAAATTATTTAATACATGGCTCAGCCCTATAGAACTTCCATTCTATTATGGGAGGCAGACACTAAAACAATTACACTGTATATTTTTTCCAGCAGTTATGACAATATTCTGCCCTAAATAACAAAAGGAAATAGTGAAATAACATGTAGAGGCTGGGCGCGGTGGCTCACACCTGTAATCCCAGCACTTTGGGAGGCCAAGGCAGGTGGATCATCAGTTCAGGAGATCGAGACCATCCTGGCTAACACGGTGAAACCCCATCTCTACTAAAAATACAAACTGTTAGCCAGGCATGGCGGCGGGCGCCTGTAGTCGCGGCGCCTGTAGTCCCAGCTACTTGGGAGGCTGAGGCAGGAGAATGGCGTGAACCCAGGAGGCGAAGCTGGCAGTGAGCCGAGATCGCGCCACTGCACTCTAGCCTGGGCGACAGCACGAGACTCCATCTCAAAAAAAAAAAAAAAAAGAAATAACATGTAGACATTTTACATGTTTAGGATACTTTTAATAATAATGGAAAATGTTATTACAAGAACAGTATTTAATAAAAGCAAGAAACAACCACATAAAGCATAATCTCATCCATTTGTTTTTTTAAGAAAAAGTATAGAAGTAAGTCTTTTTTTTTTTTTTTTTTTTGAGACAGGGTCTCGTTCTATCACCCAAGCTAGAGTGCAGTGGCTCAATCTTGGCTCACTGCAACCTCTGCCTTCTGGGTTCAAGCAATTATCCTGCCTCAGCCTCCCAAGTAGCTCGGATCACAGGTGCCCGCCATCACGCCCAGCTGATTTTTGTATTTTTAGTAAAGATGGGGTTTCACCCCGTTGGCCAGGCTGGTCTAGAACTCCTGACCTCAGATGATCCACCTGCCTCAGCCTCCCAAAGTGCTGGGATTACAGGCGTGAGCCACCGCGCCCAGTTGAGAAGGAAGTCTTAACGGTTATAACCCTCTGTAAGAATAAATTATTGGGAACGGCTAAAAAGAATACTGAGAGGAACCTCTCTGACAAAGGAAAACATATTTCTAAGCTACAAAAATTAGTTCAATGAGGAATTCGGCAAGAACATCAGCAGCACAGGACAAGTCTGTATATTGCTTGCCTTACAATTTAGGATATGGTTTGTTTTTAAGTTATACTTAAGTTCTGAGATACATGTGCAGAACGTGCAGGTTTGTGACATAGGTATACATGTGCCATGGTGGTTTGCTGCACCCATCAACCCGTAACCTACGTTAGGTATTTATCCTAATGCTATCCCTCCCCTTGTCCCCCACCCCCCGACAGGCCCCAGTGTGTGATCTCCCCTCCCTGTGCCCATATATTCTCATTGTTCAACTCCCACTTATGAGTGAGAATATGCGGAGTTTGGTTTTCTGTTCCTGTGTTAGTTTGCTGAGAATGATGGGTTTTTTAATGTTTCACAAGTGTCCCAGCATTTTGAGAGGCCGAGGTGGAAGGACTGCTTGAACCCAGGAGTTCAAGAGCAGCTTGGGAAACATGACAAAACCCCATCTCTACCAAAATTACAAAAATTAGCCGGGTGTGGTGGCGCACAACTGTAGTCCCAGCTACTCAGGAGGCTGAGGTAGGAGGATCCCCTGAGCCCGCGAGGCAGAGGCTGCAGTGAGCTGAGATGGAGCTACTGCACTCCAGTCGGGGTGATGGAGCAAGACCCTGTCTCAGAAAAAAAAAAAAAAAGAAAGCCAACAAAAAAAGTTTCAGAATTGACTTTCTAAATTTGTGAGATAAAGGTAGGAAAAGTCAGGCAATAACTAGAAAATAAACAAACTCAGATCTTCATATCACATCATAAATTCCAAATGCATTTCAGTAAGTGTTAAAATTTAGACACCTCTAAATGAAATTCAGAAAACTACTCAGCTAATTGATTTTGAGATGAGCAGCCATTTTCTTTTAAGCATAAAAGAAAAGTTTATTTCAAAGAATGAAAGATTTGATTTGACCATAGACATTTAAAATAGATCTCTACAGAAAAAAAAAAAAATCACAACATATACCTTACACCATAAATATAGTTATCACCCAACGAAAGTTAAATGGCCTGCAACCATCAGAGAAAAATACTTGCAAAAAATGGGAGCTAAAAGGTTGGTATTCTTCATAAATAGTATGCCCTTATCCATAAAACATAAACACCCCAACAAAAACGTGCAAAGGACAGGAATATAATAAACAAATTAAAAAGATCAATAAATGTATTTTAAAATATCCAACTGCATTAACAATCACAGAAATGCTAATTTAAGGCCAGGGGTGGTGGTACACACCTATAGTCACAGCTACTCAGGAAGCTGAGGAGGGAGGATCACTTGAGCTCAGAAATTTGGGTCCAGCCTGGGCAACCCAAGCCAGACCCCAGCTCAAAAAAGAAAAGAAATGTTAGTTTAGGATTAAATTCCATGTTTCACTAATCAGATGACAAAAAACAATAACCAATATTGGAAAAGAGACAAAATGTATACTGCTGGCTGGCACGTAAATTGGTGCATTCTTCTGAGAAAGCAATTTGGTGATATGCATCAAAAGCCTCAATGTTCAAATCCTTTGATCCAGAAATTCTACTTCTTAGGTATTTATTTTTAAAATACATAAATAATCAACATTTCACAGGAAGATTTATATGCAAGGATGTTGTTCATCATAATAGTATTTAATTTCTAACTGGAAACTAAGTGGCCATAATATGAAACAGTTAAAGTCATAGAAATATACAATGTAATACTATGCAGCCATTAACAGAAATGCAAGTCCTCAAATCATTTTCAATGACATGAGACGGCTGACAAATATAGTAAATGAAAAAAAGGATATATGTCTGTAACATAATCACAGAAAGATATATATACAAACATGTAGAAATAAGGTTAGCAGTGGTTTCTGGTGAAATCGGAGGGGATTTTAATTTTGTTTTAATTGTCTTCCTTTTGCTTTTCTAAATTATTCAAACTTTCTATAAAGTAGATTATTTTAATAACCTACAAAATATAATTTTAAAAATATAAATATACCAAATTAACATGAGATGATGAGACCATAGAGGTAACTCCTTTTTCTCTCTTTTTTTTTTTTTTTTTTGAGACGGAGTCTCGCTCTGTCGCCCAGGTCGGACTGCGGACTGCAGTGGCGCAATCTCGGCTCACTGCAAGCTCCGCTTCCCGGGTTCACGCCATTCTCCTGCCTCAGCCTCCCGAGTAGCTGGGACTACAGGCGCCCGCCACCGCGCCCGGCTAATTTTTTGTATTTTTAGTAGAGACGGGGTTTCACCTTGTTAGCCAGGATGGTCTCGATCTCCTGACCTCATGATCCACCCGCCTCGGCCTCCCAAAGTGCTGGGATTACAGGCGTGAGCCACTGCGCCCGGCCCTTTTTCTCTCTTTTAACTGATCTATGAGAGGATCAACTTTTAAAACTCTTTTTAAAAAAACCTAGTAGGCTGGGCACAGTGGCTCACGCCTGTAATCCCAGCACTTTGGGAGGCTGAGGCAGGTGGATCACCTGAGATCAGGAGTTTGAGACCAGCCTGGCCAACATGGTGAAACCCCGTCTCTACTAAAAATACAAAAATTAGGTGGGCGTGGTGGCACATGACTGTAATCCCAGCTACTTGGGAGGCTGAAGCAGGACAATCGCTTGAACCCAGGAGGCAGAGGTTGCAGTGAGCCGAGCCTGCACCACTGCACTCCAGCCTGGGTGACAGAGCAAGACTGTCTCAAAAAGAAGAAAGAAAAAAAAAAAAACACCTAGGGGGTGGCCAGGCCTGGTGGCTCACACCTGTAATCCCAGCACTTTGGAAGCCCAAGGTAGGTGGATCACTTGAGGCCAGGAGTTCAAGACCAGCCTGGCCAACATGGAGAAACACCATCTCTACTAAAAATACAAAAATTAGCTGGGTGTGGTAGCACACGCCTGAAAAACCAGCTACTTAGGAGGCTGAGGCAGGAGAATTGCTTGAACCCAGGAGGCAGAGGTTGCAGTGAACCGAGATCGTGTCATTGCACTCCAGCCTGGGAGACAGAGCAAGACTCTGTCTCAAAAAAAAAAGGAGTTGGAAGGGGTAGAGGAAAGGTAAGGAACTCAGCTAATGGCCTTACCAACAGGAGCAGGGGCCAGGGCAGGGACAGACACACAATATCTTGGTCTAGGAGCAAGACCTCAGACCTTGGACCCACTCTTCAGCACCACAGGACTTAGCCAACAAGAAGAACCACATCAAAGCTCAATGGATGCTATAAACATCTCATTTTTGCCTGCTAAATTTAAGCAAAAAAGCAGAGGCCCAAAGAGGAAAGAAAGTGCTCAAAGGTGCATAACCAGTTGGTAGCACTTGACCTTCCATGAAAGTGAAAGGCAAATGGCAAAAACCATTCCACACAGCGGCACAGATGCACACTTGGCCACATCACCCACCAACCATGGCCACCGTCCGCTGCAGATGGTGCACAGGTCTCCGGGCCTGAGCAGGAAGCTCTAAAGCTGAGGGAGCTCGGCTGAGCAAGAACAACTGAGGCCAGCAGAGCTGCCCTTGGGGATAAAGCATCACCTTCCACTGCGGCCCCTCCACAATGAGAGGGGGTTGCTTCTACCCAGAGGGAGGCAGACAGAGCCAGCTGCTACTTCTGAGCTAGTTTCTTGGCCCAGAAGCTGGCAAATTCAGCAGTAAGCAGAGAGCCTGATGACCAAGTTGGACTTCCACCCTGGCTGGCTCTCCAAATTGAGGAATCAAAGTTCGCGGAGAGGAAGCTACACATGTAAGACAAATTGCTACGACACCGCAGCTCCCCTGCAATTCCCTGTGACCCCACAGAAACCAGCGTTCCTCTGCCCGTCTGCTCTGCCCATTGAAAGTAGAGGGGTATCATACCAGTCAGGGGTAGAGCAGACACACAGTCCTTTGCTCATCCTTGCTGGATGCCTGGGTGGGTGGCCAGAACTGTTTCATGTCTGGGGCACACAAACAATAAAAGATAAAGCAGAAGGTGACAAATCCACATGATGCCAGGGTGGTCATGAGACGACCCAGAAGAAAGTGCAAAAAACGCATACTCATAATCATGATAGAACCACAAAAACACCATCCATCAGGACACTTGCCCACGTGTTCTGGAAAAGGGAACCAGCAACTGAACAACCACTATCATACCAGGCACCTCACAGACCTTCATTCTTTTAAACTCCACAAAATTATACTTCTTGTTTTACACATGAAAACACTGAGGTTCAGAGAAAAAAAAAAAAGGCAGCTCCAAGTCACAGAGCTAGGAAGTGCCAGAGTTGGAATTCAAACTCCAAAGCCTGTTTCCCTCAGGACATGGTGAGGGAACTTGTCCCCATCACCACAGAGGACTTTTGTCTAGCATGGATGGAACCCTGCTCCGGTGCTGCGCAGGACACAGGCCAGCCATCCCATCACTGCCAGGTGCAGCTCCAGGACCTGGGATGCTGACGGTACTCAGTGTATGTCTTCAAAGGACACAATCATGGTCACAATAAATAATCACCATGTGTCCAGGCACAGTGGCTTAGGCCTATAATCCCAGCACTTTGGGAGGCGCAGGCAGGTGGATCACTTGAGCCCAGGAGTTTGAGACCAGCCTGGGCAACATAGTGAGACCCCCCCAGCTCTACAAAAAATTTAAAAATTAGCCGGGCATGGCGGTCTACACCTGTGATCCCAGCTACTTGGGAGGTTAAGGTGGGAGGGTCACTTCTTGGGTTGAGGAGGTCAAGGGTGCAGTGAGCCATGATCATGCCACTGCATGCCAGCCTGGGCAACAGAACAAGACCCCCTCAAAAAAGGAAAAAAAAAAAAAAAGAAAGAAAGAAAGAAGGAAGGGAGGGAGGGAGGGAGGGAAAAACAGAAATAATGCTAGCATCTGCTCCATGGAGGGGCTATAGGAGGAATGCAGAGTGTTACCCTGTTACCCGCGTGAGGTATCTGATGTTTCCATTTTTCAGATGAAGACACTGAGGCTGGAGGGGGTCACACAGCTGGAAAATGGAATCTGAACCTGCACCTGTTCTCTTTCCCGAGCCCGACCTCGCCCGACCTCACCCACCGTAACAAAGTCACAAGGCCCAAATGGGCCTTTCGCATCAGCTCCCCACTACTTCTGGGTTCCGCCCTGGCCCGGGGCCTCTGGCCACTACCTTGGTTGAGGTAGGTCAGCGTCTCTTCATGCAGCTTCACGGCTGGGGACGTGGCAGCACACAACACATATTGCAGGGGTGGCAGGCGGGCCTCGTTCTCGGGGGACAGCTGGGGTTCCTCCTGCTTGAAGATGGGCAGAGCGAGCACATCACTGCAACACACGGGAAGCAGAGGTCAGGAGCAGAGCCCCAGGGGGCTCCTGCACAGAGCCAGGGCGAAGCTAGAGAGACGACGCAGACCACCGGGGCCCAGGGTGACACGGCACGCGCATCGCAGGGTGCTGGCTGCACTCCTGCAACCCTCGAATACTCCAGATGCTTTAAAACAGAGGAAACCGCTCCTTCGTGACTCTAGTTTCACTCAATGACCCCCCAAAACACTGATTCAATCAGCCCATCAAGGAGGTAAAAGGGCAAAGTTAGCTAACATCTACAGAAATCCTCTCCATGCCAGAGACAGGCTAGCAGCAAAGGGACCTCTAAGACATTTATTTGGTTTCTATCCACAAGCGATCACTCATAAAGTTTCACTTTTAGAATAAAAATCTAAACAAACATTTTTATTTTTTAATCAACAATTCCATTTACCGGCCACTTCTCATAGCAATACAACTCTGTCCTCCAGGCTCTGTAAACTATGCAAATGAACAAACCACTTCCTTCCCTCCCTGAGTACCCAGGTTGAGACATTCCTCCATCCCTTCTAAAGAGAGGACAACTGGACACTGTTTTCAGGGTCATTCTAATCTGTCCAAAAGGCAAACAGGAAGGAAGGACCTTGGCTTCAAGTCTGTGTTTGTGTGGTTGTTTTTTTTGGGCGGGGGCGGGGGGGACGGAGTTTCACTCTTGTTGTCCAGGCTGGAGTGCAAGTGGCGTGATCTCGGCTCACTACAACCTCCACCTCCCGGGTTCAAGCAATTCTTGTGCCTCAGCTTCCTGAGTAGCTGGGATTATAGGAATGAGCCACCACACCTGGCTAATTTTTGTATTTTTAGTAGAGACAGGGTTCCACCATGTTGGTCAGGCTGGTCACTAACTCCTGACCTCAGGTGATCCACCCTCCTCGGCCTCCCAAAGTGCTGGGATTACAGGTGTGAGCCACCGCGCCCAGCCCAGTCTATTTTCTTATCCAAGTGGGAAATCTTGAAATCCTTGCTCCAAGTTTCTTTTCCTCCACCTCTTAACAAAACTCTCCACATTAAAAAAAAAAAAAAAAAAAAAAAAATGAAGTCATCATCCTGCGACTTAGGGAGGAACTTGTTTCTGGACGTATTTTTTAAGCCAGGAACAGTGGCTCATGCCTGAAATCCCAGTACTTTGGGAGGCTGAGGTGAGAAGACTGCTTGAAGCCAGGGGTTTGAGATCAGCCTGGGCACCATAGTGAGACCCCACCATCTCTAAAAAAAAAAAAAAGGAAAAAGAAAGAAACAAAAAACCCAGCATTTTAAAAATGCCCTTACAAGGGACAAAGAATTCCTTGAGAACATGAATGACCTACAGGCAGGCAAGGCTTGTGTAAGGTCTCTAAATTATGAGCAGCACATAAACAAGTGCCAAATAAGTGCCAGTGCTCTTATCTTGATAACCCTCTTCCCTTCGTGGGTCCCTGACTAGGAATCCAATTAGCTGACCCCACTTGTCTGTATAAACAGAGTCACTGGTACAATCTGTTCCTCGCACATCATAAACAAGCGTCTCTACAACACAAACCCGGCACACACCCCATCAACATCTCATCAATTTTGAGAAGAAAAAGCCTGGCATTGAGCACACACCTGGAAAACCTGCCCTGTGTGGGCCTCCCCCGTCACCATCCACTGCCGAAAAATAAGGGTGCAAGGCCGTCTCGACTTTCCCCCACAGGGCGTCTTCCTTTTGTCAGAGCAGGGCACACTCCCAGCCCGGGTGGTTCTCTAGGAACACTGAGGATTGCATAATTTCATGTTTGCCCAGACCATGTCAAGTTAATAATCCACGGACTGCTGCCTTTAAATTTTTTAAACAGGGGCGGGTGGGCAGAGGAAGTTAAGAACCATCCCTCAACAGTAACTTGTTTCAAGCCTGGCATCTTTATTTGCCAAGGAATAAAAGTCACGAGAACATCAAACAGAAAGGGGGAAGGGAGTAAAGGCCTCTACCCTGGTGAGGTCAGACAGCTTGCAGAAGTTCTGCCAAGTGAGGAGACGACCAAAAATAAAATACAAAAAACGCAAGGAAAAGGACCAGACCCTCCCTCTAGAGTCAGGGGACCAGGGGCATATGCACAAACCGCCACCTTGGCCCTCACTGAGGGCAAAACTCCCAGCTTCCAAGAAGTGAAATAAAAAAGGGCAAGGACTTCTTTATCCATGGTCCCCCGATGACCCCAGAAGCCAATATGGCTTTACAGCACCACCCACTCCCAACGCTCACCCTCCTCCTTTCACCAAATCCTAAAAGGTACCTGAGCTACTCCAGACAAACTTCCATCTCGGTAGCAGATGTCAGAACTGTACCTCCCAGGCAAGGGAGAATTGTTCCCTAACGGGGTGAGGACATTGTAGGTATCTAGGAAGTTTCAAGTACACTCACCTTCAACTCAGGGTCACCTTCAAACTCATTGTTAAGATATGGCAACATACTTAATGGCAGCAAACTAAAACTTAGCCAAAGCTACAACTAAAACTTCAGTACAGTAAAAATGTATTCCATTGTAGCATTTCTTGCAAGTGAATGGACACTTAATCTCTGGGTGATTAACATCTCCTCCTGGGCTTCCCTCTGGTGACATCACCGTGGTCTGCCGGGTGGCTGTCAGCCTTTAAGGCTCTAGACCTTTGCCATCTCCGACTACTTTGGCCCATGAATAAAAACAGCAGATACATCCACTAAACCCAATCATTCCCCCGCCTCCAGGAAAAGGGGATGTCTTCAGGGAGGACAAATACCTACCAGCAGCCAGGAATTACAAATAACGTTTTAAGATCTAAGTGGGAACTTCTTGGGGCCAAAACTAGCACTTAAAGGTAGCTCTAGTATGGGGGCTGTCAATGCCTGTGACTCCTTCGGCCTCATCATTCATTTTCCTTGAGCCCATATCAAATGCCCTTTGGGTTAAATTAGGCACATTTCATAAACTGTGACTAAGATGGAAATAAGGACAGGCTAAAGCTGGTTCAGGCGAGTTCACAAAGTGAAATGACTGCCCATTAGTCCCGGCCAGCAGCAGAACAGGGAAAAACAATCCTCCGGGAGCGAGAGCACACGGGGTCCTACTGCTAAGAGGGGCCTGTGGGGAACTGTGCAAAACACGCAGGACTTACTTTCCCCTCTGAAGGGCACTACTCAAATCCCTCCAGCAGAAGAAAGATTTCCATCAAGGGCAATAACCACGCGGGCCTCGGGCGAACACGCGCAAGACCATCGCGGGAAGTGGGGCGGCCTGCCCCTCCGAGCCCGCCGCCCGCCCCTCGTCCAAGGAAGGGCACTGCAGAGGGCGCGAGGCTGGGAGAGGGGCCCCGGCGGAGACGGGCAAAGAGCAGGGGACGAACTTCCCCGGGCCGGGCACCAGGCTGCTGGCAGGAAGTTTCCTCTGCTTCTCCGATACGCGGGGGAGAGGAGGGCCGCAGGGGGCGGACGGGCCAGGGGAGGCGGCGGGCCGGCAGGTGCGCGCCCTGCACCCTCTCTGCCGCCTGGGAGGAGCCCTCGCAGACATAGGGCTCTGCGCGCTCGCCTCCCCAGCGGGCCCCCAACTCCGCACGTCGGGTCCCGCCGGCGTCCATCTGTCAGTCCCTAGGCGGGACGCTGGGCGGGTCTCTCAGTCCCCAGAGGGCGGACAGCGGGGAGGCCAGGGCCCAGCAGGGGCGCCCCCTCTCCGCCCCTGGACGTCCAACGGCGCCCGGCCCGCCGGCCCGGCCCGAGACCCGCGGGGACCGCGCGCGGCCCTTACCGCAGGTAGCTGCCGGAGTTGTGCTGGTTGTAGTGCTCGGGCTGCGTGTGCCAGAAGAGCATGGCTGGAACTCCCAGCGCGCCGACCGGGGCGCGGCAGCAAGCGCAGACGCGGGGCGCGCCGAGGACCCAGCGGCGGCTTCGCGCTCCGAACCCGCGGTGCCGGCCGGCTCGGCGCATTTATCGGCGGCCCAGGGGCGGGACAGCGGTGAGACCCGCCCCCCAGGAAGCGCGGCCCGGAGGGCGGCTCCCCGCGGCAGCCGCACCTGGCTGACTCCCGCGCGTGCCTTTCCGGCGAGCGAGCGCGCCTCCGGGGCGGCCAGACCAGAGGGCTCTAGGGCCGGCCGGGTGCTCTCCCCAAACTCCGATGTGGGGCTCAGGTGACCCTTGCCGCCCCCAACCCGCTCCACACGGCCCCTCTGGCCTCTGCTCCCCACTCTACGCCCAGGGCCGGTCTCCAGAGCGGCTCCGAGATTTCCAGCCTAGGCCCTCTCTGTCGCCTTTCCTCGCTCTTGTTTTTTCATAGCACTTCAGACGCTCTGAAATCATGGGGGTTTTTTTGTTGGTTTTTTTTTTTTTGAGACGGGGTCTCGCTCTGCCACCCAGGCTGGAGTGCAGTGGCGCGATCTCGGGGCTCACTGCAACCTCTCCTCCCAGGTTCAAGCAATTCTCCTACCTCAGCCTCCTGAGTAGCTGGGATTACAAGCGCCCCCCATCACGCCTGACTGATTTTTTTATTGTTAGTAGAGACGGGGTTTCGCCATGTTGGCCAGGCTGGTCTCGAACTCCTGACCTCAGGTGATCCGCCCACCTTGGCCTCCCAAAGTGCTGGCATTACAGGCGTGAGCCCCCGAGTCAGGCCGACATTTTTTTATTTTTTATTTTTACTTGTGTACTGATTGTCTTTCCCATTAGACTGTAAGCTCCAAGAGGACAGGGCCTGGCTCGCTTAACACCCCGTTACCTGCACTGCCTAGAACAGTGCATGGGACATAGTTAAGATAAATGTTTGTTGAGTAAACATAAAAAAAGAAAAAAGGAATGCACCAAAAGAGTAATCAGAGAAGCCTTCCTGGAGGAGGTGACATTGAGCTGAGACCTGATGGATGCAAAGGAAGCATCTCTGTGAACATCACCTAGGGAAAAATAGTTCCAGGCATAGTTCCCTACCCCCTTGGCAACAGTGACTGCCAAAGCCTTGAGGAAGACCTACTTGGCATGGCTGGTCTTGAGGAGAGCTTAGGAGATGAGGTGAGGAGGGCGGGGAAGATCAGAGGGCCTGGCAGGCCAGGACAAGGAGCTAGGATTTTATTCTGTGTTTTAAGCAGAGGAGTCACATGTATGATTTGCCTTTTGGAAAGATCAGTCTGGCAGCAGTGTAGACAGTGGGTCATGGGGTGGAGGGGAGGGCCATTAGGAGGGAGTGGAGTTCCCTGGAGCCCTGACCCCTATCCAGGTGCTATCCGGTTCTCCAGTACATGGCACAGCACCTGGCACAGAGGAGATGGGGATTCTGTCCCTGAGTATTAATCCAGTCAAATGACATCCCTTGGGGACCTGGTCCAGAACTCCCCACTCCCCCACGCATGGATGTGGGTAAAACCCTCCCTCACTCTGCTGTTCCTGCCCTCCTCCCTCCAGCCATAGGTCACAACTGGCAAACCACTTCCTCTGTGCAGCCCTCAAGGACTGCCCCCCACTGTTCTGCCCTGTTAGGAGAATGGGAATATTTCCCCGGCTTCAGGTGGTGCTGTCAGCAGACAGTCCCCCAGCCATCGGCTTCTCCAGGAACTGCCCCTGCTCAGAGAGCAGCCTTGCCCTCTGTCATGTCCCTCCTGGGATAGCCCACATCCCAATGACTATCCCAGCAGAAGTATAAAAGCTTGGCCATCTCTGCCTGACTGGGGACAGTGCTGATGGGGTATTTTAGCCCCAGGACTCCCCATGAAGACAGTCAAAGCTGTCACAAGACCTGTGTCCTGCTCAGGGTCTCCCTCCTGCTTCCTTCCAGTTCCTTGCCCAGGGGTTACTCTTAAGGGAACTTCCAAAGAAACATCCTGAACACCGACCCCCACAACCAACCTCACCCCATCAGGGTCCATGACAAACCCATTGTTTAAATGGGAGACACTCTGGGGTGGTCTGGAAAGAACATGTCCTTTGCTGGACTCGTCCTTGAGTTCTAACAGGAGAGGTCCATGGGTAAGCAGCAGTGACAGTACAGTGTGGTCAGGGACGTAGAGGCTGCCCTGGGAACACAGAGGAGGACTCTGGAGCTCCGAAGAGGCTCCAGCATGAAGTGATATCTCCTGATGGATGGGTGAGTGGAAGTGAAACCAATCTGTGGAGATGGAGGGAGGTTTCCGGCCCAGTAGACGCTCCTGCAAAGGCCTGGAGGAAGGGCAGTCAATATTATTAGATGGTTCAGACCTGGGTTTACTACTTAGCTCCATCTGAATCTATGACCTTGGGTGGAGTAAATTGACCTCATGCTGCTTCTCCCATCAAGAGGTGGTGTCTGTTTCCCTCCCCTCCCCCTTCCGCCTGGGCTGACCCTGTGACTTACTTTAACCATAGAATGCAGAGGAAGTAATGCTTTTCCCTTCTGGGCTGGCCCCTAGGCAGCTTCTCTTTTTTTTTTTTTTTTTTTTGAGACGAAGTTTCTTGTTGCCCAGACTGGAGTGCAATGGCAGGATCTCAGCTCACCGCAAGCTCTGCCTCCTGGGTTCAAGCGATATTCCTGCCTCTGCCTCCTGAGTAGCTGGGATTACAGGTGCCTGCCACCACACCCAGCTAATTTTTTATATTTCAATTAGAGACGGGGTTTCACCATGTTGGCCAGGCTGGTCTAGAACTCCTGACCTTCAGGTGATCCACCCACCTCAGCCTCCCAAAGTGCTGGGATTACAAGCATGATAGGCAGCTTCTCTTAACTCTCCCAGAGCTCTGAGCCACCAGGTAGAGTCCAAATGCCCCATTGGAGAGGGAGACCTGGTCAGCCTCCAATCCCTCTGGCCACTCCGCAGAGCCCATCTAAGATGCCCCAGGGGATTGCCTCCAACCACACCTCATAGAACTGAGGCAAGCCCTGCCCACCCAAGCCCTGCCCAAAATGCAGGCTCGAGAGCAAATGGATGGCTGTGGCCTTACGCCACTGAGGTGTGGGCTGGTTTGTTTCATACAAATGGAAAAATGATACGCTGGGCCCTGTGGATCTGGGTTTTGCTATTGGGAATAATAAGGGCTCATTTCATGGTTGTGGTGAAGCTTAGGTTCAGGTGAGTTTAGCTTCTCAGGGATGATGGCTCTCATGACCTAAGTATGACTCTCTGTATTTTGGGTCATTGCCTACTTTCTCTCTCTTTGTAGGTTTTTAACTATGGGAGGGTAGAATTCAGCAATGCCTACAGAGACAGCATTTGAGTCACACTGTGTGAACAAAAATGCATATTTCTGCCCATGACTCTTGGGTGTTACAGGGCCCAATTAGGCCTAGTCTGGACCCCTGGGGCTTCCAGGCTGCTGAGGAGGAGGAGACAGATGTGCAGGAGATGGCCTGCCAGTTCCTCTTTTATTCTGTGAATGTTCACAGTTCCCATGTGGTGGGAACATTGATTTTTACTATGCACCAGACCCAGAGCCATGCACTGTCATCTCCCGACACTGAGAAGAAGAGACATCACCTGACCTTCTGATTGAAGAAACAGGCTTGGGAGGCTGACTGCCACAGCTGGGATTTGAGGCCAGGCCTGTAAATTCAACAACCATACTCCGACTCTCATCCATTCCTGTCTTAAGGCCCGGCATTCCTTTCTTCACCCCACACTGGGCAAAGGTGCTGTGACCAGATGTCCTCTGCTCCCAGGATCAGCCCGGGGTCCCTGCAGAGGCAGCAGAAAGGGGCCCACTGAGTACTCAGGTGTCACCCCCTTAGCAGCCCCACAAGGGATTCCCAGCTGCTCTCGAAAGAGATCACGATGAATACTGGGGATTCACGTCTGAGAAGATGGTTTTGAGGCATGAATAGGAGTTGAAGGATGGCCAACGTAGAGGGCGGAATTGAGCCAGAGGGAAAGCGTGTGCACACATGTTTATCACAGTTTATCTTGGGATCAGCAGCGCTGAACGAGGGAAGCAGTGAGCAGAGGACAGAGTTAAGCTGTGAGGCCTCAGTGGATCCTATATGAGCTCAGGGCCAGGCTGGTGCTCCAAGTTGTCCAGAATTTGGGCAGGGGTTCAAGCCTTTCTATACCACCTTGACCAGTCATGGACAGATGTGGTTGCCCTGGGGAAGGGACATCACTTTGGGCAAAGCAGCTCAGCTGAGTCCTGGAGAGGGACCTGTCAGTGTTATCACCTGCCAAGGCTCCCTGCAGCAGGGGCTTGAGTGCCGCAGCTGGAGAGGGACACTTTGGCTGGACATGACAGCACCCACCACGCTCTCCAAGCTCAGAATCTTTGTTTATGGAATGAAGATGATGATGCCTCCCTGATGGAGCCGTTGGGAGCATTAAGACAGTGATGGAGCGTGCAGGGCAGGCTTGCCTGGCTTCTCTAAGGCACTTTGCTTTTCAGCCCTGGGTCAGCAGTCTCGCTTTAATTTCTTCTTGAGTGTTCAACAGCATGTGGTTCATCAAAAGCCCTGTGTGCTGGTAAGGATTACATTCTCTGCAAGTAACAGAAACCCCAAAATGAAGTGGCTTAGAAGAGATAGAGGCTTATTTCTCCCTCAAGTTCCAGAAGTCTAGAGTTCATGTCACCCGCTAAGGTACCCTCTTGGCACATACGGCTGTTGAGCACTTGAGATCTGGCTGGTCTGCATCGAGGTGTGCTGGAAATGTAAAACCTGTATATAAAAAAGGAATGTAACCTAGCCCCTCAGTAATTCTTATACAGATCATATAATAAATAACAATTTGAATGTATTTGGTTAGATACAATATTATTATGAAAATTAATTTTACATTTATTTTTACTTTTTTTTTTTTCTGAGACAGCGTCTTGCTCTGTCGCCCAGGCTGGAGTGCAATGGCGCGATCTCGGCTCACCACTACCTCCGCCTCCTGGGTTCAAGCAATTCTCCTTGCCTTAGCCTCCCGAGTAGCTGGGATTACAGGTGCCCTGCCACCACACCCGGCTAATTTTTGTATTTTTAATAGAGTTGGGGTTTCACCATGTTGGCCAGGCTGGTCTTGAACTCCTGACCTCAGGTGATCCACTGGCCTCGGCTTCTAAAAGTGCTGGGATTACAGGCGTGAGCCACCGCGCCTGGCGTATTTTTACTTTTTAAACATTTACATACATGGCTGGTATTTGTGGCTTGCATTATATTCTTTCTTTTTTTTTTTTTTTTTTGACAGAGTTTCTCTCTTATCGCCCAGGCTGGAATATAATGGCACAATCTTGGCTCACTGCAACCTCCACCTCCCGGTTTCAAGCGATTCTCCTGCCTCAGCTTCCTGAGTAGCTAGGATTACAGGTGCCCACCACCGTACCCGACTAATTATTTTTTGTATTTTTAGTAGAGATGGGGTTTCGCCATGTTGGCCAGGCTGATCTCAAACTCCTGACCTCAGGTGATCCGCCCGCCTCGGCCTCCCAAAGTGCTGGGATGACAGGCACGAGCCACTGTGCCCAGCCGCTTGCATTATATTCTTATTGGATGCAATTTGTCCCAGAGCAGCGGTTTCTCAACCAGAGGTTGTTTTGCCCCCAGAGGACAATGGCAATCTGGTGGGTGGGAGTGCTATTGGTGTATGGTGGGTGGAGGCCGGGGATGCTGTTGAACATCCTATAATGCATAGAACAGCCCCCACAACAAAGAATTATCCAGCCCACAATGTCAGTAGGACTCAGGTTAGGAAACCCTGGTCTAAAGGTAATAGGTTGTACAATGGAAGGGAAGCCTTCTGATGCCATGTTTGTTTGCCAGGTGAACCTTCCATTTGCCGGGTCGTGGCACAGTCTGAAATGGCTGCTGGAGCTCCAGCCACTATGACAGTATTCCTGCCAGCCACAGGCTGAAGGAATGGGAGAAAAGGGCATACCTCTCTCTGAGGAAGATGGACACACCACTTCTGCTTTTTTCCTATTGACTAGCACATAGTCACCTGGCCTCCCCCTTGCTATACGGGAGGGAGGCTGGGGAATGTAGTCCTTATTGGAGTGGCATGTGCCCAGCCAAAAAGCAGAGGTTCTTACTGAGGAAGATGGGAGAATGGATTTGAGGGGGAAACTAGTACCGGCCATACTCTGCCAGGGGCACCAGGCGTGGAATGTTATTCCCATTTTACAGATGAAGAAACCGAGGCACTTTGGTGAGGGGACTTGCCAAGACACAGAGTGAATGACAGACCCAGGCAGGAACTGAGGCCTCCCGACTACTGACCGTCTCTTCATACCTTGCTGTCCTGCAAACTTGGCTCCATCACATTTGTATCCTTGAACCCTATTTTCCAATGGCCCATATTGTCATCTCAGATGTGGTTCATCTTCATGTCTGATCCTAGCTTCTCAAGAGAGGAGAATGACTTTTCCAAGATGTTTCTTCAAATTCAGATAAAGTCCCACGTGGCCTTCAGAGGATCACCCCAAGCTCAGTTTCTACGCTTTAGCAAATGTACATGGTCACATGAGATGTTAACAGAGGGGGAAACTTGGGGAAGGGGATATGAGAATTCTGTTTATTATATTGCTAACTTTTCTCTAAATCTAGAATTATGCCAAAATACAAAAATTTATTTTACAAATCTTTCTTCGGAATTCAAATGGTCAACTTAAAATTTGGGCAAGTGTGGTTTGGTTTTCCTAAAGCAAAACTCACCTGCATCATTGACATTAGTCATTTTGTCATGCACCAACTAGCCTTTGTGTGGGGCTACTACTGGGTGGGGGTATATAGTCTGGGCTATTTGGTGCATGACAAAATGGGGGCAGGGCAGAGACTGGGTAGGGGCATACTCTGTCTCTCTCTCTCTCTCTCTGTCTCTCTCTCTCTCTCTCTCTCTCTCTCTCTCTCTCTCTCTCTCTCTATATATATATATATATATATATATATGTTGTTTTTTTTTTTTTTTTGAGATGGAATCTCACTCTGTCGCCCAGGCATGAGTGCAGTCATACGATCTTGGCTCACTGCAACCACCGCCTCCCGGCTTCAAGTGATTCTCCTGCCTCAGCCTCCCAAGTAGCTGGGATTACAGGTGCCTGTCAACTCACCTGGCTAATTTTTGTATTTTTAGTAGAGACGGAGTTTCACCATGTTGGCCAGGCTGGTCTCGAACTCCTGACCTCCGGTGCTCAGGTGATCCACCTGCCTTGGCCTTCCAAAGTGCTAGGATTATAGGCATGAGCCACCGTGCCTGGCCTACATATGAGATATATATGTATATATACACACACACCCCCACCTACTCAGGGGTATAGCAACTCCTCCTAGACTGGGTGGGAGATAGATAGATAGATAGATAGATAGATAGATAGATAGATAGATACATAGATAGATAGATAGCTCCCATCCAACCTGGGCTATTTGGTGCATGACAAAATAGAGAGAGAGAAAGAGAGACAGAGAGAGAGCGCATGCTGGATTGTGAAGTACAGTGGTGTGAGCTTGCTCACTGCCCCCTCAAATTCCCCGACTCAAGCAATCCCTACACCTCAGCCTCCCAAGCAGCTGAAACTACAGGCGCATACCACCACACCTAGCTAATTTTGTTTATTTTTTACAGATGGTGTTTCACTATGTTGTGCAGGCTGGTCTCAAACTACTGGAGTCAAGTGATCTCCTGCCTCAGCCTCCCAAAGTGCTGGGATTATGGGCATGAACCACTACACCTGGCCATATGTTTGTGTGTGTATATATTTTTTTTTTTCAAAAAAGATGGGGTGTATTAGTCCATTCTCGCATTGCTATAAAGAAATACCTGAGATTAGGTAATTTATAAAGAAAAGAGGTTTAATTGGCTCATGGTTCTGCAGGCTGTACAGGAAGCATAACATCTTCTTCTTGGCGTCCACTGAGGCCTCAGGAAACTTCCAATCCTGGAAGGCAAAGGGGGAGTGAGACGTTTCACATGGCCAGAGGAGGAGGAAGAGAAAAGAGAGGGGGAAATTGCTACACACTTTTAAACAACCAGATCTCGTGATAACTCATTCACTCACTATCACGAGAGTAGCACCAAGGGGATGGTACTAACCCGTTCCTGAGAACTCCACCCACTTCCAGCACTGGGGAGCGGGAAATTACGATTTGACATGAGATTTGGTGGGCACATAGATCCAAGCCCTATCAGGGGGTCTCACTGTATTGCCCAAGCTGGTCTTGACTCCTGGCCTCAAGCAATCCTTCTGCCTTGAACCCCAGTCCCTCCAATGCAAAGACCCTGCTCTGACTCTCCTCCTCCTCCCTCTCCGGCCTAGATTGCTCCCATCAGTCCTTCCAGCAGCAGTCAAGTATTCTCATTCTGACAAGGGCTGCCCTGCTCCCTGCTCAGTAGTCACAGCGAATTGCCCTGGGTGGAGTTGGCCACATGCACTTTGGCACAGTGCCCTCCCTCTAGGGCCAAACAAACACCCTGTTATCTGCTTCACACCTCCTTCTGCAAAACGCCCTGTTACAGGTGCCAGTCTCTGCAGGGGGCCACGGGGAGCAGCTCTAACCCAGGGACTGCGGCTCCAGAGACATGGAGGAAAGCAGTGAGTGAGACTACACAAAGCCCCTGGCTGGGGGCACGGCTGAGGCCAAGGAGGGAGAAAACACAAGTGCTCCCCATTCATTAGCCCGCTTAACTCTCAACATCCTAGGGAGGTAGATGTCATCACACCCACTTCACTGATGAGAACACCGAGCCCCTGAGATTCAACAACTTGTCCAAACTTGCACAGCTGGAGGACGGTAGAGCCAGGACAGGGCCCAGGGTGGTCCGGCTTGAAAACCCAGGCCCCATCTGCTGTACCAAGCTGAAAGGACAGGTCAGACAAGAAGTTGGAAGAATTTTCTTGAAGAATTCGACACACTGGGGGCTCCCCAGCGAAAGAGCACAGCCAGATCACCCTATAGTGACAATGTGTCAACAGCCCCTCCCATACACTCTGAGCTACCAGGGCAGCTCCCAATATGAGCAGGTAATCGTGGATTGCTCAACACGTGAAAAGGGGCTCTACCATAAGAGATAGAGACCAAAACACAAATGCAGTCATGGGGTGTTGGGGACCAGAATCAAATGGGAGGAACTAGAGACTGCACACAGAGAGAAGACATTAAGAATCTGTCAGGAGCCGGGTGCGGTGGCTCATTCCTGTAATCCCAGCACTTTGGGAGGCTGAGGTGGGTTGGATCACTTGAGGCCAGGAGTTTGAGACCAGTCTGGTCCACATGGCAAAACCCTGTCTCTACTAAAAATACAAAAAAATTAGCTGGGCATGGTGGTGCACACCTGTACTCCCAGCTACTCGGGAGCCTGAGGCACGAGAATCGCTAGAACCAGGAGGTGGAGGTTGTGGTGAGCTGAGATCACACCACTGCACTCTAGCCTGGGTGACAGAGTGAGACCCTGTCTCAAGGAAAAAAAAAAAAAAGAATCTATTGGGTATTGGGGCCAAACACAGTGGCTCACACCTGTAACCTCAGTGCTTTAGGAGGCTGGGGCAGGAGGATCTCTTGAGGCCAGGAGTTCAAGACCATCCTAGGCAACATAGTGAGACCTGTCTCTACCAAAAAAAAAAAAAATTTAAAAAGGAATCTCTTAGTGTTGGCATTGGCCATCCCTGAGCTCTAGCTCAGGAAGGCAATGGATGGTCACTGTGTCCTTTGGGCCAGCCCTCATGAATAGCACACACACTATGCACTGCAGCAGCTCTCCAGCATATGGTTGCAGAGTTTGTGCTCTGCAAGAAGCACTAGCCAAGGTGGGGGCTAGGAGACCCGAAGTTCAGCCCGTGCTCCTCTCACCAAGCCATGTACCTGGCATGGGGCTGCACCACCTAGAGGAAAATCACCAAAAGTACCACCTGCTCATTCATCTGAGTGCCCATGTCTGTACCCACCTGGGGCCACACAGGCTGTTAAGTTTCTGTACTTTTTACACCTCAGCTCTTTGCCTCTCTACTGTTCCCACTTCCTAGAGCACTTGCTCCTCAGTGTCCTCCTCCCTGGCCCTAGTTTGCCTAACTGACTTTCATGAGGTTCAGCTCAGCATCACCTCCTCCAGGAAGCCTTCCCTACCCGCCCAGAAGAGTAGGCCAGGTGCTCCTCTCCTTCACTCTAAGCTCTGTAGATGTTGGTTCAGTACAACCTCACAGCCCCACAAGTCCAGGCTTAAGATGTCACAGGATCCTTAGGGTGTTGCTTCACCAGCCAGAGACCTCTGTGGCTGGTGGCACCTCTGCTTGGGTTTTGCTTGCACCTGCTGGGCTCATTCCTCCCACTCAGCCTGGCAGGCTGCATTCGGCTTGCACTACCAGCCTGGATCCCACACCTGCTAAGGGTGGGATCCCACACCTGCAGGTGGGAGTGTTGAGGGGTGTGTGAGCAAGCGAGTGTGGGGTCCGGCCACTGCTCACAGCCAGGGGCACCAACTGTGGCAGGGAGGGCATCTCCAGGCGCTGGGTCCATGCCAGGCTGAGGGTGGACTAGACATACCACAAGTGGCTTCTGCTGCGGGCACCAGCATCTGGACAGGGGGAATGTAATGGCACCTGAAAGCTCGGAGACACTGGGAACTGCAGAGCCCCAAAGAGGGTGTTAGAGCCTGTCACAGTCCTGGTTTGGGGAGCCCTGAGGTCTGGGCTCCCAGAAGGGCCACAGCTCTTCTCTCCTTCTTGTTGCCCATAATGTGGTGAGCAGGGGACATGCTTCAGTCTTGTTTGTTCTACAACTCTTTCAGTCCCAGTATTCATTGGATTGCAAGTTCTTGTACTGCATCTAGGAAGAATGAGGTATGCAGACAACTGGAGGGTTAGCAAGGCAGAGAGGAGCGTCACTGAACAACAGAACAGCTCTCAGGAGACCCAAAGTGGGTAGCTCCTTTCCGCAGGCAGGTCATCCCCACCTGTGTGTGAGTCTGGCTGAGTCTGGGGTTTTTATGCGCTCAGAATGGACGAAGTGCATGCTGATTGGTCCATGGTCAACCATGGGCAGGCCTGGAAAAAGCACCATCCAGTTGGCCAAATGGTCATCAATGAAGTTCTCACTCTGTGCTGTGGACTTCCTCCAGAACTGGCAGCCTTGCCCCCAGGCTTCAGGCCATCCCTGGCCTGTAGGTGGAGTTTCACCAAGGACCCATCCTTCCCACCTAGGAACCTGTCTGCTTCCTGCTGTCATCAACATGTCATCCACGGTGCCCAGGCTGTTCACACTAAGGGGCAACTGCAGGCCCTTGCTGAGCTGCCCTCAGGCCCCTGGCCTCCCTCCCATGCTCGTCAGTGCCCAAGGTCTGGAGGGGGCTGAGGTGAGGAGGGGGCTGGTGTGTCAGCTCTGTGCCAAGCATGTGCACAGCCAGCTGGGTTGCAACAGCACCTGGGCACAGCCACAACTTTGCTCCAGAATCACAGCAGGCCCCGGGAGTGAGAAGAGGCCTGAGAGCAGGAGCAGGCACTTCTGAGCCTGTGGGGGCCAGGAGATTCTCAGGCCCCTGAGAGTACAGGGATGCCCCGGTTTGAAGCTGTGGCTGGGTGGCTGCATCCATGCCTGGGAGTACAGGGGTCCCACCCTGCCAACTCAGTAGGGGGCAGGCCTCCCACCTGTTCCTGCCCCACCAGCTCTGGAGAGAGCATAGCCCCACCTGCACCACCCCTGCTGCAGCTGGTGTCCCCACAGCGGCTTCTCCAGATGGGCTGCCACTGCCATCAAAGAGAGAAGAGAGGACAAAGCTTGCCAAGAAATGAGGTTGAGCTTGGGAATAAGACAAGCCTGGCTTCAAGTTTGCCTTTGTTACTTACTAGTTCTGAGACCTTGTTTAGTCCGTTTTTTTATTGTTGTTTTTGTTTTGTTTTTTGGGGTTTTTCTGTTTTTTGTTTTTTTGGAGAGAGGGTTTCTGTCATGCAGGCAGGAGTGCAGTGGCACAGTCATGGCTCACTGCAGCGTCAACCTCCTGGACTCAGGTGATCCTCCTACCTCAGCCTCCTGAGTAGCTGGGACTACAGGTGCATGCCATTATGCATGGCTAAGTTTTATATTTTTTGTAGAGACAGGGGTTTCACTATGTTGCCTAGGCTGGTCTGAAACTCCTGGGCTCCAGTGATCCACACACCTTGGCCTCCCAAAGTGCTGGGATTAGAGGCGTGAGCCACTGCACCTACCTTTGATTAGAGTCTTAACCTCATTTATCTTGACTTTCTTCCATGTGAAATGGGACTACTTCCCAGGGAAGTTTTAAGGTTCACGTGAGATATTGTGAATGAAGTGCCCGGCACAGCACCAAATACGCACTAGGTGCTCAGTTAATGTTTGCTTCTCTTCCTTGGGTTCAGTCCTACCCAAAAGCATGGATGGCGTGTGTGTGTCTGTTGCCTGCCGAGCATGGTCTGATATTGGAGAAACGTAGTCTATGCCCCCGCTGAGATCAGAGAACAGCAGCTGTCCTTGGACTGCTCCTACTGTGCTGCCTCCAGTGGTCAGAGGCAGGGATGCCATTCCTCATTGCCTTTTCTGTGAATGCAGCAGGCACTTGCCACGGTTGCCTAGAATCTTTTGTGCTCTTCCCCATGCTTTGTTGACAGATATTTCATTAAATCTAAGCTGCCATCAATTGTAAGATGCATCATTATTTTATGGAGCAGTAAGAGGAAATGCAGACAGTTAAACACAGGCATAATGCTTTCTTATCATTTAGCATTTGTATTTTGTTCTTGAAAGATCTCATTTAAGGCCAGGCATGGTGGCTCATGCTTGTAATCCCAACACTTTGGGAGGCCAAGGCGGGCAGATTGCTTAAGCCCAGGAGTTCGAGACCAGCCTGGGCAACATAGGGAGACTCTGTCTCTACAAAAATACAAAACAATCGCCAGACATGGTGGCTCGTGCCTGTAGTCCCAGCTACTTGGGGGGATGAGGGATGAGCTCCAGCTACTTAGGCATCAACTTGAGCCTGGAAGTTTGAAGATGCAGTGAGCTATGATTGTACCACTGCACTCCAGCCTGGGCAACAGAGTGAGACCCTGTCGCAAAAAGGAAAGATCTCATTTCTATTTAGTGAAGTGTAGATCTCTCTTGTGCATATATTTTAATTTTTTGAGATGGAGTTTCGCTCTTGTTGCCCAGGCTGGAGTGCAGTGGCATGATCTCGGCTCACTGCAACCTCCACCTCTCAGGTTCAAGCAATTCTCCTGCCTCAGCCTCCCGAGTAGCTGGGACTACAGGCATGTGCCTCCACGCTCAGCTAATTTTTGTATTTTTAGCAGAGATGGGGTTTTACCATGTTGGCCAGGCTAGTCTCGAACTCCTGACCTCTGGTGATCCACCCGCCTCGGCCTCCCAAAGTGCCAGGATTACAGGCGTGAGCCACCGCGCCCAGCCCTTGTGCATATATTTTAAAAGGACCCACATTTATTGCAGAGTCTTCTGGATCCCTTTTATACTCAGAATCGCCTGTGTTGCTGGTTTGGCACCATAGGCGGTGCGCTGGGCCCTGATGAGCATTGGCGTTGCAGCATTTTTGAAGAGAGTGCTTCACCGTTGGCCCAGGATTTCCTTCCAAGCCGCTGATGCCCCCTCTGCACTCTTTCAATGCAGATGCTCTCTTGGTCTTAGGCAGAGATTTCATGTGTGTGCAGGCAATGTCAACCACATTACCAAACTGCCAAATGGCAGAGGCATCACCAACTGTCAGAAGCATCCTGATTTCAGAGACATGAAAATGTGGGGAAAATGTGTGTTTTAGAATCAGTGAAATACACTGGCTCCCCAAAACTGTGAATCCTGTCTTTTTCTTAAGGTCAAAATTTGGTAAGCTACATTTCCCAGCCTCCCTTGCAGGCAGTGACCCAACTTCCGTCAATAAGATGCACCCATAGGAGGTTTTGATTTGGAAGCAACATGAGGAAGCAGGATGGGTGGAGGTGGTCTGTTGCTGGTATAGGAGGCAGCAGAGACAGTGTTTCTGGGGTTCATCACAGCAATTAAGCAGTGCGTTGTTTCTGGAAGCTTTGCCTGGACCTGCTTTTTTAGCCCTTCTAGCAATTCTGGTGGGGATAAATTCCTCTCTGCCCCTACTAGTTAGAGTTGCCCACTTAAAATCTTTTTTTTTTCTTTTTGAGATGGAGTCTTGCCCTGTCACCCAGGCTGGAGTGCAATGGCACCATCTTGGCTCACTGCAACCCCCTCCTCCTGGGTTCAAGCGATTCTTCTGCCTCAGCCTCCCGAGTAGCTGGGATAACAGGCGTGTGCCCCCGCATTCAGCTGATTTTTGTATTTTTGGTAGAGACGGGGTTTCATCATGTTGGCCAGGTTGGTCTGGAACTCCTGACCTCAGGTGATCCACCTGCCTCAGCCTCCCAAAGTGCTGGGATTACAGGCGTAAGCCACTGTGCCAGGCCCGCTTAAGATCTTTTATTTCCTTTTTCCTTGTTAACAAAACCCTGATTTTACGGGGTGTCAGCAGTGTGTGCCCAGCTAAAAAAAAATCTGTATTTCCTAGGCTCCTCAATGAGAGGGCTAACCACATGACTAAATTCTGGCCAATGAGATGTAAGAAGAAGTTGATGGGCGGAGCTTTGGGGGAAGATTCCATAGCAGGTGAGCTGGCCTCAGTGTGTCCCCCAAGGTAAGGTCCCTCAGATGTGTTGTATGGGTCAGCTTCCCAAACTAGGGTTTCCTTTTATTATTGTTAGTTGTTGCCATAGGGCACATATTTGAGGGAAGTAGCTTCAAAAACAAAATCACACCCTGAAATATTTATTTGGAATTCTGGTAAGGCAACAAAAATATGAAGCTTGAGGTTTCCTGCTGTTTATTGATAACCTCCACGGGAGACAGGGGACATTCTTTTGGTTCTGTACACAGGTTTGTACATAGCATGTTTGTACACAATCCCCATTCAGCATGATAGGAGTCTCTAGGCACAAATTGGCCACGTGTTTCTGTAGATAATGTTAGTGCAGAAAAGATTTGACAGGCTAGAAGCTGACTCTATTGCCTTGCCTTTTCTTTTCTTTTTTTCTTTTTTTTGAGATGGAGTCTTGCTCTGTCGCCTAGGCTGGAGTGCAGTGGCACGATTTTGGCTCACTGCAACCTTTGCCTCCTGGGTTCAAGCGATTCTCCTGCCTCAGCCTCCCAAGTAGCTGGGACTACAGGCTTGCGCCACCAGGCCTGGCTAAGTTTTGTATTTTTAGTAGAGACGGGGTTCACCATATTGGCCAGGCTGGTTTCAAACTCCTGAACTCAAGTGATCCGCCCGCCTCGGCCTCCCAGAGTGCTGGGATTACAGGCGTGAGACACCGCACCTGGCCTGCCTTGCCTTTTCTGAAGTAAATTTTGAATTATATGACCACTGACTTTTGTTTTATTTTGTATTTTCAAGCTTTGTCACTGAATTCTTTAATGTCTGTCTTACAGAAAACCCGTATTTGTAACTCCACAAATGCTGATTTTCCTCACATTTGTCCTGTACCCCTTTTGGTACCCTCAGAAGTTGATTTTGGTTTTCATGATGGGACTGTTTCTTAGTGTTTTGAATTGGAATAGTTTTGCCTCCTGAAGCTTTAAAATATGGTTATAAGTTTTTTTGCAGATTAGGTGGTCCTGTGTAGCATTTGTTGC
Organism: Homo sapiens; assembly: GCF_000001405.40. Classification (NCBI taxonomy): domain Eukaryota; kingdom Metazoa; phylum Chordata; class Mammalia; order Primates; family Hominidae; genus Homo; species Homo sapiens. Next base: position 121,300,804 of record NC_000002.12, read on the forward strand.
AACATGCCATGCCTGTTTAACACTGGATACAGCACTGGCTCATTACATTCTGTTGAACCTAGTGGTGAAATCTGGGTAGGATTGTTCCCACCTAAAAGTTCCTAATACTTTATACAAATACATTTTATAGCAAAGGAAGATGGGAGAGAGAGCCAAATCAGTTGACCAGCCTCCTTTTGCCCTTGCCTTTTCTGCTTCCTCCCTGCTTTGAAGGGAGATGTGAAGGCTGGAGCTCAGGCAGCCATGTTGGGAAAGCTAGATGCCCATTCTAACGTTGAGCAGAAATACAAAAGGAGCCTGAATCCCTGGAGACATCATGGAGCCATCACTTCAGCCTTGGATTACCCATCAGATCCTAGTTGATACTAATCGATCCCAATTTGGTATCTCAAAGGGGGGCTGCAAGTTACAGAAATCTGCAGTTTGGGAATTGGCTGAATGGAGAAGGTTGGGTTTGGGGCTGTAAAGGTTAAGTTGTGGTGAGCTGAAAGGAAGGGGAAGGGAGGAAGGGAAAAGAGAAGGAAAGGAAAGGAAAGGAAAGGAAAGGAAAGGAAAGGAAAGGAAAGGAAAGGAAAGGAAAGGAAAGGAAAGGAAAGGAAAGGAAAGGAAAGGAAAGGAAAGGAAGGAGGGAGGAAGGAAGGAAGGAAGGAAGGAAGGAGTTTTCTGCCCACTGGGAAGATCTAATTAAGGGTGTTGCCTTTCCACCTGGACTTATTGTTTCAAATGACCTCAAGGCATGGGCAGAGGGGGATGGGCAAAGGGCAGAGATCATCAGTTACAGAGCCCCAAATTTTCAGACTAAAAAAAATATTTTTACAGTAAGTATAATAGTGATGGGATTAGCATCCAGAATATATTAAGACTATCCATAAATCAATGAGAATGCAACAAACCACCCAGTCACATAATGGGCAACAGAATTGAAAGGACATTTGCTCAGAAGAGGGAACACAAATTGCCTGTAAATACATCAAACATAGCTCAACCTCATTAGTAATCAGGAAAATGAAAATTCTGGCCCTGAGATAAGATTTCAGTCAAAAGACTGGCAAAAATTTTCAGAAGACATCAAGTATCGGCCAGGATATGATGGTGTACATTGATGTAACACTGCAGAAAATAGTCTATCAGGAAACAGTCAAACACGTACATACTCCATGACCCAGTGATTCCACTCCTAAATACACAGACCTTCTCTACTTATGCTTACAATGATTTGACGTATGATTTTTCGACTTTGCAATGCTGCAAAAGTGATACACATTCAGTAGAAACTGTACTTCGAGTATCCACATAACCATTCTGTTTTTCATTTTCAGTAGTGTATTTAATAAGTTGCATGAAGACTGGGCATGGTGGCTGATGCCTGTAATACCAGCACTTTGGGAGGCCGAGGCAGGTGGATCACTTGAGGTCAGGAGTTCAAGACCAGCCTGGCCAACACGGTGAAACCCTGTCTCTACTAAAAATACAAAAATTAGCCGGGTGTGGTGGCCCAGCTACTCAGGTGGCTGTGACAGGAGAATCGCTTGAACCGGGGAGGCAGAGGTTGCAGTGAGCCGTGATCACGACATTGCACTCCAGCCTTCGAGACAAAGCAAGACTCCATCTAAATAATAATAATAATAAGTTACATGAGCTATTTGATACTTTATAAAATAAGCTCTATGTTAGATGTTTTTGTCCAACTGCAGGCTAATGTATGTGTTCCGAGCACATTTAAGTTAGGCTAGGCTAAGCTATAATATTCGGTAGCTTACGTGTATGAAATGCATTTTCAACTTACAATATTTCCAGTTAACAATGGATTTATCAGGATGTAACCCTATCTTAAGTTGACAAACATTTGTATTTTCTGGAGAAACGCTTGAACATGTAACCAGGGATCTGTTGCAAAAAATCTTCAGAGCAGCAGTGCATATAAAAATAGGGGCAGTTGGCCGGGCGTGGTGGCTCGTCCAGCACTTTGGGAGGCTGAGGCGGGCAGATCACGAGGTCAGGAGATCGAGACCATCTTGGCTGACACGGTAAAACTCCATCTCTACTAAAAATACAAAAAATAAGCTGGGCATGGTGGCGGGCACCTGTAGTCCCAGCTACTCGGGAGGCTGAGGCAGGAGAATGGCGTGAACTTGGGAGGCAGAGCCTGCAGTGAGCCGAGATCGTGCCACTGCACTCCAACCTGGGGGACAGAGCAAGACTCCGTCTCAAAAAAAAAAAAAATAGGGGCAGTAAGGACCCATGATCAACTGTAGAATGGCATAACGTTTCTTAGCAGTGAAAATGGAATCAATGTAGCCACTGCATCAACATGGTTCAATCTGAGAAGCATAATGTTGAAAGGAAAAACTCAAGTTGTAGGAGGATTTTTTTTCTATTTGTAGAAAGTGCAAAAAGGGGAAAAACTCAACAATATAATAGAAAGAAATATGTAAATATGTGGGAAAATGTAAAGAAAAGTAAAGGAATGGTTAATACAAAATCAAGATTTAAGTCCCCCTGGGGAGAGAGAGAGGATGTGACTGGAGAGGGGACCCGGGCTTCTAAATTGTATGTTCTGTTTCTTAACCTAAGTGTGGGGGGTGGAGTGAGAACATGGGGGTTTGTTTTCATTTTGAAATGTCTATATCTATGATATGCACTCTTTTATGTATGATGCATTTCACAATCAAAACAAAACAATCAAAAGAAAACAAAATCAATCACAATCAAAACAAAACAAAAAAACCTGGGAGAAGCAAGCTATTGGCCTGTGGTTACTTGCATGTAGATTTGACCAGAGTAATATACCCTGCAAGCAAACTTACTATATTACAAAAAAATAGAAAATCAAAGGCTGGCCACATGGCTCTGACCCTGAACTCATGCCAACAGGAAGCCTATTGCAAAAGCCCTAATTATGGTTTCTGGGAGGGGCATGTCCTCAATGCCCACACCAGCCGTGGCCCGGAGGGATAATGGGCCAGGAAGATCCCCATGGATGGCACACCCAGGAGTGCCTCATGAGCTGGCCAAGGGGACTCACTCCACTGCCCAGGCAGCAAGGCTTCAGGATGTGATCACATTCTGGGGTGGTGATTGTGATGTATTTCCTAGTGTCTCTTTTTTGAATGAGTTTTTGTTGTGGATGCCCCATTCTTTCTCTACCACTGTATTTTAGGTGTGTTTGGGACAGATGATTTATCTTTCAGATTATGAGTTGCAGGTCCCTAACAAGATACATCCCCCTCTGATGGAGAGGACAACACACCACCCAGGGACCCTGGACTTTGAGCTGGTTACAGTCACTGGATGACAGGTGGGCAGGGCACATGTGTTCTGTGGATGGGAAGGGCACATGATGGGTGATAGATGGCCCAGGGAGAAGACAGAGTGGAGACTGCTCTTGGTCACCAGTATAAACATCCCCTTTCTTCCTTATTAATCAAATCCTGATTTTGTTGGGGGAACAATGTGCTTAGCTAAAACAAACACAAAAACTGTATTTAGCAGTCTTCCTAGCAGTTGGGCAACCATGTGACAAGGTCCTGACCAATGAAATCACGTGAAATTTGAGTGATGCTTCAGGGAAAGCGTCTTAAAAATATATATATAACTCAGCTAACAAGTGCCCTTCTGCCCTCGCCTTCTTTCTGTTGTCTGGAACGTAGACATGAATGTTGAAACTGCAGCAGAAATCTTGTGGTCATGAGGCATTCTTTTTTTTTTTTTTTTTCTGAGACAGAGTTTCGCTCTTGTTGCCCAGGCTGAGTGCAATGGCGTGATCTCGGCTCGCTGCAACCTCTGCCTCCTAGGTTCAAGCGGTTCTCTTGCCTCAGCCTCCCGAGTAGCTGGGATTACAGGCAGGCACCACCACGCCTGGCTAATTTTGTATTTTTATTGGAGACAGGGTTTCTCCACGTTGGTCAGTCTGGTCTCGAACTCCCAACCTCAGGTGATCTGCACACCTCGGACTCCCAAAGTGCTGGGATTACAGGCGTGAGCCACTGTGCCTGGCCAAAGCATTCTTCATGATAGAAATGTGGACAGAATGTCTGTGTTCCCGCCAAATTCATGTGTTGGAACCCTAAACCCCAGTGAGACTCTATTTAGAGTAGGGAAGTAATGAAGGTTGAATGAGGCCATAAGGGTAGAACCCGATCTATAGGATAGGTGTCCTTAGAAGAAAAGAAACCAGAGCTCCCTTGCTCACTCCCACTGGCTCTGGGTTCCCCATTCCATGCTTAGAGGAAAGACTATGTGAAGACAAAGTGGCTGTCTTCAAGCCAGAAAGAGGGTGCTTACCAGAAAGCAAACCCCTGCCAAGAACCTTGATGTTGAACTTTCAGCCTCCAGAAGTGTGAGAAAATAAATTTCTGCTGTTTAAGCCAACTAGGCTGTGGTATTTTGTTATGGCAGCCTGAGCTGACTAGGACAGGAATCGTGTGCTATCATTAGATGGTAGCACAGAAAGATGGAAGAATTCTGTGATAAATCAAGGAGCCAAGAAATAGATAATTCAATGCTGGTAGTTGGAGACTTCAACCTCACTTTCAACACTGGATAGAACTGGGCAGATAGAAGACTTTAACAACACTATAAACCAACTAGTCCTAAAAAAATATCTATAGAACACTCCACCCAACAACAGTAGAATGCACATTCTTCTCAAGCACTCGTGGAACTGTTTCCAGGATTGACCACAGGCTAGGTCATAAAATGAGCCTCAATAAATTTAAAAAGATGGAAATCATACAAAGTATGTTCTCTCACCACAATGGAATTAAATTACAAATCAGGCCAGGTGTGGTGGCTCACGCCTGTAATCCCAGGACTTTGAGAGGCCAAGGTGGGTGGATTGCTTGAGGCCAGGAGTTCAAGACCAGCCTGGGCAACATGGCAAAACCCTGCCTCTAACAAAATTACAAAAATTAGCCAGTCTCATAACTCAGTGTCAAAATAAATAAATAAATAAAAATTAAAATAAAATAAATTACAAATCAGTAAAAAATGAAAATTTGGAAAATTCACTCATATGTGGAAATTAAGCAACATATACCTAAGCAGTCAAATGAAGAATGGGTCAAATAAGTCACAAGGAAAATTAGAAAATACTTTGAGACAAATGAAAAGGAAAACATATCAAAACTCATGGATGGGCTGGGCACAGTGGCTCGTGCCTGTAATACCAGCACTTTAGAATGGTGAAGTGGGAAGGTTGCTTGAGCCCAGAAGTTCAAGACCAGCCTGGGCAACATAGTGAGAGCCCATCTTTACAAAAAAATTTTAAAAAATTAGCCAGATGTGGTGGTGCACACCTGTGGTCCCAGCTACTTGGGAGGTTGAGGTGGGAGAATCCCTTGAGCCCAGGAGTTTGAAAGCAGCAGTAGGCCATGTTCATACCACTGCATTCCATCCTGGGAAACAGAGTGAGACCCCATTTCAAAAACAACGACAACAAAATAATGGATGCAAGACAGACATCAGTAAGATGGTAGACCAAGAATATCCTGGCCAGTATTCCCCATGGAAACATTAAATAAACAACTGGAGACTGGTTAGAATACCTTTATGGAAGCTCTGGAAATCACTCAAGATTTATAGCAAACAAGATTTCATGATGTTTTGACTTGCCTATGCTCCATCCCCTCCCCAGCTGGTGCACTTTGGGGGAGGCAATGTCCTGGTTCCCAGCTTCTTTCCATAAGTCAGAGGGAGCAGAACCAATCAAGTACACCACATTCTAGGCTGTCCAGGGGCTGCCTGAGGGATTGGTCTCTGTAATTGTCTAACTTGGAGCTCAGACAGCCAAAAGTGACAATGCTCAGATCTCGAGCTGGAAGAACCTGTGGGAAGCAATGGTCATAGCTTCTGAAAACTGACCTGCAGACCCCTGAGGTAAGAAATTACTGATTAAGGAATACAATAGAATACCTAAGACCTTGAGAGGAAGCAGGGGGAGAATCTAAGGGGAAATTAAGACGTTTAAAGGTAGGTGGTACATGCCTGTAGTCCCAGCTACTCAGAAAGCTGAGGCAGGAGGACTGTCTGAGCCCAGGAGTTTGAGGCACTAGTGTGCTACGGTTACACCTATGAAAAGACCTGGGAACACCTTATGCCTTCATGCCTGGCTGATTAGTGGTCTGCATGAGACAAGTCTGCAAAGACTGGGAAAGGTGGCTGTTTTGTCAAATGCCCAATTTTTAACAAAGGATCACAAAGTGTACAAACAAATAGCAAAACATGGCTAATTCAAAGGACCAAAATAAATCTTCATAAACACAGACATCAACCTTATTGCACAAAGTCTTTAAAACAATTGCTTTATATATGTTCAAAGAACTAATGGCAAACATGGACAAAGAACTAAAAGAAGGCAGGAAAATCATATATAAACAAAATAAGAATATCAACAAAGAGATAGAAATTATGTATACATAAAAAGAACCAAACAGAAATGCTGACACTGAAAAATACAATAACTGAATTGAAAATTTTACTGCCCGTATTCAATAACAGATTCGAAAAGGCAGAAAAAAATAATCAGAAACTTGAAGACAGGTCATTTGAAATTCTTGAGTCTGATGGGCAAGAAAGAAAAAAGAGTGCAGGAAAAAGTGATCAAAGCCTATGAAACTTGTGGGACACCATCAGGTGGCCCAATACAATCACTATGAAAGTCACAGAAAAAAAGAGAGAAAAAGGGTCAGAGAGATTTTAAGAAATGATATGACCCCAAATTTCCCATATTTGAGACATGAATATACACATTCAAGAAGTTTAATGAACTTCAACTGGATAAATCTAAAGAGACCCCCACCAAGATGTGTTATAATCAAACTGTCAAAAAGCCAAAGACAAAGAAGGTATCTTCAGATCTCCAAGAGAAATGCAACTCATCAAGCACAAGCGGTCCTCAATAATATTACCAACAAATTTCTCAGCAGAAACCATGCAGGCCAGAAGGCAATGGGATAATATGTTTAAAGTACTGGAAGAATAAAACCTGCCAGTGGAGAATTCTATATCTGGCAAAACCATCCTTCAAAGATGAGGGAAAAATTACAACATTTTTAGATAAGCAAAGTTGGGAGAAGTTATTATCACTAGACTTCCCTACAAAAATAGCTAAAGGGAATCCTTGAAGTTAAAATGAAAAAACACCAGATAGTAACTTAAAAGCTCTTTGAAAGTATATAGTTCTCTGGTAAAGGTAAATAAATGGGCAAATGTAAAACCAGTATTACTGCGATTTTATTTTAGAACTTCACATTTTATTGTTCTATGTAATTTAAGTACAAAAGCATAAGATATAATTATAAATATATGTTAATGGGTACACAATATATAAAGATATAATCTGTGACATCAATAATGTAAAGTGGAGGGGGCATGGCTGTAAAGGAAGGGTTTTTGTTTGAAATTCAAGTGAAGTTATAGCAGTTCAAAATACATTGTTATAGCTTTGGGATATTATATGCAATCCTCATGGTAACCACAAAGGAAATACATATATAATATACACAAAAGAAAATAAGAAAGGAATCAAAACATCTCACAACAAAAAATCAACTAAACACAAAGAAAGGAAGTAATGGAGGAAATGATGTACAAAAATTCTTCAAGACATACAGAAAATAAATAACAAAATACCAATAGTAAATTCTTCCCTGTGGGTAATTACTTTAAATGTGAATGAATTAAACTTCCCAATAATAAGACATAGATTGGCAGAATGGCTTTAAAAAACAGTGTTTCTATGTTACAGCATAAGAGACTCACTTTAGGGTTAAGGATACACATTGGTTAAACGTGAAAGGATAGAAAAGGATATTCCAAGCAAATAGTAATAAACAAAGCAGGGATGACTATGTTAATATCAGACAAAATCGATTTTAATGATAAAAGGGTGAATTCACCAGGAAGACATAACAATTATAAACATATATGCACCACACATCAGAGTTCCTCATTATATGACGTATCAACTGAATTAAAGACAGAAATAGCTCTATGATAATAGTAGAAGACTTTAAAACCCAATTTTCAATAATGGATAGAACAACCAGACAGAAGATCAATAAGAAAATAGGGGATTCGAACAATGCTTTAGACAAGTTTGACCTAAAAGATATATACAGAACATCTACCCAGCAACATCACAATACACAATTTTCTCAAGTGCACAAAGGCCAGGGAGGGTGGCTCACACCTGTAATCCCAGAACTTTGGCAGGCTGAGGTGGGAGGATCACTTGAGCCCAGGAGTTCAAGGCCAGCTTGGGCAACATAGAGAGACCCCATCTCCACAAAAAGAAATTTAAAAAATTAGCCAGGTGTGGTGGTGGCAAATGCCTGTAGTCCCAGCTACCTAGAAGGCTAAAGAGGAAGAATTACTTAACCCCGGGAGGTCAAGGTTACAGCGAGCCATGATCATGCCACTGCATTTCAGCCTGGGCAACAGAGCAAGATCCTTTCTCAAAAAAAAAGAAATAGAGAGAGAGAGAGAGAAAGAGAGAGAGAGAGGAAGGCAGGAAAGAAGGAAGGAGGGAGGGAGGCAAAGAGGGAGGGAGGAAAGGAAGGAAGGAAAGGAGGGAGGGAGGGGGGGTAAGAGGAAAGGAAAGGAAAGAGAGCAAGAAAGAGAAGAAAGAAAGAAAAGAGAGAAAGAAAGAAACAAAGAAAGAAATAAAGGAAAAAAGAAAGAAAGGAAGGAAAGAAGGAAGGAAGGAAAGAAAGAAAGAGAGAGGAAGAAAGAGAGAGAGAGAAAGAAAGAAAGAAAAAAAAGAAAGAAAGAGAAAGAAAGACAGAAAGAAAATTATCCAGAAGAGATCATATGTTAGGGCACAAAATAAGTCTTAATACATTTTAGAAGATTAAAATTATGCATAGTGTCTTTTCTGATCACATTGGAATGAAACTAGAAACCAATAGCAGGAGGAAAATTTGAAAATCCACAAATATGTGGAAATTAAACAACACACTCTTAAACAACCAATGGGTCAAAGAAGAAATCACAAGGGAAAATAGAAAATATCTTTAGACAAATTAAAATGAAAACAGGTTTCTGCTTTTTTGGAGGGCAGTGATCTAATCTGCAGACACCATATCCCCTCTTCCACTTCCTGCTGCAGCCAATAAAGGCCGTTGCTACCATAAAAAAAAACAAAACAAAACAACAACAACAGGTTTCCTCTTTCACCAAGGACCCACCAAGATGAGTCATGTTCACACCAAAGCCGTGAATAAGGTGGCCTGGGTCATCACAGAAAAGCACTACATGAGCCTGGGCAACAACTTCCACATGAACGTGTGTGTGTGTGTGTGTGTGTGTGTGTGTGGAGATTGCTATTATCTCCAGTAGGAAGTCCTGCAACAAGATAGCAGGCTATGTCACACATCTGATGCAGAGGATTCAGAGGGTCCCAGTAAGAAATATCTCCATCACATTTTAGGAGGAGGAGAGAAAAAGGAGAGATAATTCTGTTCCTGAGGTCTCAGTCCTGGATTAGGAGGTCACTGAAGTAAATTCTCACACTGGGGAAATGCTAAAGCTTTTGGACATTGGCAGTCTATCCAACCTGCAGGTCACTCAGCCTGAAGTTGGGATGAATTTTAAAATGCCACGTGGAACTGTTTTGACTCTTTCTGCAATGTTATAATATTTTCAGTAAGCCTGAGACAACAGCAAAAAATAAAAAATAAAAACACAAACTAATACTTATGGGATGCAGTATAAAGAGCGCTAAGATAATTCATAGCTGTAAACACGTTAAAAAAGAAGAAAGATTTGAAATCAACAACCTAATGTTACGCCTTAAGGAACTAGAAAAATATCCCAAACCTAGCAGAAGGATAGAAAGGATAACGATTAAAGCAAAGATAAATAAAATAGAGAATAGAAAAACAATACAGAAAATCAACAAAACCAAGAGCTGGCTCTTTGAAAAGATCAACAAAATTGAAAACAAACCTTTAACTAAGTAGACTTAAGAAAAAAAGAGAAATGTAAAATAACTAATATCAGAATGAAAGAAGGGCCATTCAACTTTACAGAAAAAAAATTATAAGAGAGTACTAGAGGGCTAGGCACCGTGGCTCACCCCTATAATCCCAGCAGTTTGAGAAGCTGAGGGGGTTGGATCATTTGAGGTCAGGAGTTCAAGACTAGCCTGGACAAATAGTGAAACCCCGTCTCTACTAAAAATACAAAGATTAGCCCGGTGTGGTGGTGTGCACCTGTAATCCCAGCTATTCGGGAAATTAAGGCAGGAGAATCGCTTGATCCTGGGAGGCGGAGGTTGCAGTGAGCCAAGATCGCACCACTGTACTCCAGTCTGGGCGACAGAGTGAGACCCTGTCTCAAAAAAAAAAAAAAAAAGAGTACTAGAATAACTGCATGCCAAAAATATTACATAACCCAGATGAAGTGGACAAACTCATAGAAACACACAACATACCAAGAGTTGATGAAGACACAGAAACTCTGAAAAGACCTATCAGTAGGAGGGAGATTGGATTCAGAACCAAAAACCCCTCAACAAAGAAAAGCCTAGGACCAGATAGCTTCACTGGTGAATTCTACCAGACATTTAAAGAAGAACTAACACCACTTCTTCTCAAACTCTTACAAAAAATTGAAGAGAAAGGAACATTTTCAAACTCATTCTGTAAGGCCAACATTACCATGACATCAAAGACACTGCAAGAAAATAAAACTTCAGACAAATATTGCTTATCAATATTGATCCAAAATTCCTCAACAAAATTCTGGTACACCAAATTCAACAGCATATTAAAGGAACACTATGACTAAATGGGATTTACTTCTGGAATAAAAAACTCCAAGGATGGTTTAACATATGAAAATGGATTAATGTAATACAACATAGTAACAGAATGAGAAAAAAAATGACCATTTCAATTGATGCAGAAAAACCACGTGACAAAATTCAATAACCTTTCATGACAAAAACAATCAACAAACTAGAAATAGAAGAAAAGTACCTCAACATATTAAAAGCCAGATATGAAAAATCCAAAGCTAACTTAACCTGAATGGCCAAAGACTGAAAGCTTTTCTTCTAAGATCAGAAAGAAGACAAAGATGCCTGGTTTCACCACTTCTGTTGGACATAGTACTGGAAGAGTCCTAACCAGAGAAACTGGGCAAGAAAAAGAAGTAAAAGGCATAAAAATTGGAAAGGAAGAAGGGAAATTATCTCTGTTTGCAGACAATATAATCTTACATGTAGAAAACCCTAAAGATTACACACATACACAAACTACTAAATGCATTCAACAAAGTAGCAGGATACAGAATCAACAGGCAAAAATCAGTTAATTTCTATACACTAACAATGAACAATACAAAAATGAAATTAAGCGAACAATTCCATTTATAACAGTATCACAAAGAATAAAATCCTTAGGGATCAACTTAACCAAGGAGGCAAAGAACTTATACTGAAAACTACGAAATGTTGCTGAAGGAAATTAAAGAAGACACAAATAAGTGGAATGACATTCCATGTTCATGGACTGGAAGTCTTAACACCGTTCAGATGCCAATGTTACTTAAAAGTGATCTACAGACTCAAGGCAATCCACACTGAAATCCCTACATTGTATTTTGCAGAAATAGAAAATTCCTGGGGCTGTGTGTGGTGGCTCACGCCTGTAATCCCAGCACTTTGGGAAGCCGAGGCAGGCAGATCACCTGAGGTCAGGAGTTCAAGACCAGCCTGGCTGACATGACAAAACCCCATCTCTACTAAAAATACAAAAGTTAGCCAGGTGTGGTAGTGTGCACCTGTAATCCCAGCTACCTGGGAAGCTGAGGCAGGAGAGTCATTTGAACCCAGGAGGCGGAGTTTGCAGTGAGCCGAGATTGTGCCACTGCACTCCAGCCTGGGTGACAGAGCAAGACTCTATCTCAAAAAAAAAAAAAAAAAAAATTCATATGGAATCTCATGAGACTCTGAATATTCAAAATAATATTGAAAAAGAACAAATTTGGAGGTGTCACATTCCCTGAGTTCAAAACTTCCTACAAAGGTACAGTAATCAAAACAGCGTGGTACTGACATAAACATATACACATAGAACAATACAATAGAATAAAGAGCCCACAAATCAGCCCTGAATACATGGCCAAATAATTTCAGACAAGGATGCCAAGACCATTTAATAGGGGAAGGGCAGTACTTTAAACAAATGGTGTTGGGAAAACTGGATATCCAAAAGCAAAAGAATTATGTTGGGTCCTTATCCTACACCATGTGCAAAAATTAACTCAAAATGAATAGAAGACCTAAATGTTAGAGCTAAAACTATAAAACTCTTCTAAAAAATATAGGAGGAACACTTTATGACATTGAATTTGGCAATGACTTCTTAGTAATGATACCAAAAGCACAGGCAACAAAAGGAAAAATACACAAATGGGACTACATAAAAATTTAAAACTTTAGCAGAGAAACAGAAACTACAAAAAAGAATCAATTAAAAATTTTATACTAAAAATCATAACATCGGAAACAAAAATTTACTCGATAGGCTTAACAGCAGATTATAAATGACAGACGTATAAGTGATATTGAAGCTAGATCAAGGGATCTAATCTGAAGGACAGAACAACAACAAAAAATTGAAAATAAAAACACAATCTCAGGGAACTGTAAACAATATTTAAAAACCCTAGTACCCTTGTATTTGGAGTCTTGGAAAAAGAAGAGAAAGAAAATGAGGTGGCAAAAATATTTGAAGACATGATAGCCAACCTTGTCTCAAATTTTGTGGGCACACATTTATAGATTCAAGAAGCTCAGCAAACCCCACACCAAATAAATACCAAAAAATCACAAGGCATATGATTGTCAAATAGGTGAAAATCAAACATAAAGCAAAAGCTTTGGAAATAAAGAAAAATAATACATAATATACAGAAGATCAAGGATAAAAAAATGTGTGTTCCTCTCATCAGTAACAATGAGAGTCAAAGACGGTGGAACAATATCTTTGAAAAAAAACAAGAATTGGCTGGGCGCGGTGGTTCACGCCTGTAATCCCAGCACTTTGGAAGGCCGAGGCAGGTAGGTCACCTGAGGTCGAGAATTCGAGACCAGCCTGACCAACGTGGAGAAACCCTGTCTCTACTAAAAATACAAAATTAGCTGGTCGTGGTGGCGCATGCCTGTAATCCCGGCTATTCAGGAGGCTGAGGCAGGAGAATTGCTTGAACCCAGGAGGCGGAGGTTGTGGTGAGCCGAGATCGCACCATTACACTCCAGCCAGGGCAACAAGAGTGAAACTCCGTCCCACCCCCGCCCCCAAAGAAAGATATTTTCAAATAAATGAAAACAAAGACAATTAATCACTAGTAGACCTGCACTATAATAAATGCAAAAAGATGTTTGTCAGGCTGAAAGGAAATAATACTAGAAAGAATATCTAGGAAGGAATGAAGAGCACCAGAAATCCTAAATATGTGTATCAATATAGCCAGGCGAGGTGGCTCACACCTGTAATCCTAGCACTTTGAGAGGCCAAGGTGGGTAGATCACCTGAGGTCAGGAGTTTGAGATCAGCCTGGCCAAGACAGTGAAATCCCATCTCTACTAAAAACACAAAAATTAGCCAGGCATGGTGGTGGGCACCTGTAATCCCAGCTACTGGAGAGGCTGAGGCAGGAGAACCACTTGAACCCAGGAGGTGGAGATTGCAGTGAGTCTGAGATTGTGCCACTGCACTCTGTCCTAGACAGGACTCCATCTCAAAAAAAAAAAAGTGTATAAATATAAATATACAATTTTCTCTTGTTTGTTTGTTTGTTTGTTTGTTTTTGAGATGGAGTCTTTCTCTGTCACCCAGGCTGGAGTGCAGTGGCGCGATCTCGGCTCACTGCAACCTCCGCCTCCCATGTTCAAGCAATTCTCCTGCCTCAGCCTCCTGAGTAGCTGGGATTATAGGCACACACCACAATACCCGGCTAATTTTTTTGTATTTTTAGTAGAGATAGGGTTTCACCATATTGGCCAGGCTGGTCTTGAACTTCTGACCTCAAGTGATCCTCCCACCTCAGCCTCCCAGAGTGCTAGGATTACAGGTGTGAGCTACCGCACCCAGCTGACTTTTTTTTTTTGAGACAAGCTTTTGCTCTGTCATCCAGGCCAGAGTGCAATAGTGTGATCACAGCTCACTGCAGCCTCCACCACCCAGGCTCAAGAGATCCTCCCATCTCAGCCTCTCAAGTAGCTGGGACTACAGGTGCACCTGTAGGCCCAGTTAATTTTTGTATTTTTTGTAGGGATGAGGTTTTGCCATATTGCCCAGGCTGGTCCTCTTGATGACTTTAAGATGCATTTGATTGTGTAAAGCAAAAATCATGGCATTGCGTATGGGGTTTACAGCATATGTCAAGGTAATACATATGACAATTACTAAAGGATGGGGAGAGTACATGTATCTACATAAGCACAGCCAAGGTTTCTGCATTTTACATGGTGTGGACAATATTACTGATATTTATTTCCAGTGTAATTCCACTGTGGTCAGAGGACATGCCCTGCATGATATCAGTCCTTCTAAAAAACTTATGCAGATTTGTGGCTGGGAGCGGTGGCTCATGCCTATAATCGCAGCACTTTGGCAGGCCAAGGCAGGCGGATAATTTGAGGTCAGGAGTTCAAGACCAGCCCGACCAACATGGTGAAACCCTGTCTCTACTAAGAATACAAAAAAAAAAAAAATAGCTGGGCGTGGTGGCACATGCCTGTAATCTCAGCTACTGGGGGAGACTGAGGCAGGAGAATCACTTGAACCAGGGAGACAGAGGTTGCAGTGAGCCAAGATCATGCCACTGCACTCCAGCCTGGGCAACAGTGAGACTCCGTCTCAAAAAAGAAACAATTATTCAGATTTGTTTTATGGCCTGGAATCTAGTTTATTTCAGTGTAAACATGTACCCCGTTTTCCACCTGATATCAAGAACATGGTAAGGATGTCTGCTTTCCCTAAGCATTGTGCTAGAGGCCCTAGCCAGTGCAAGAAGGCAAGAAAAACGTGGGGAAAAAGGCAGGCCAGGTGAGGTGGCTCAGCCCTAAAATCTCACCACTTTGGGAGGGTGAGGAGGATGGATTGTTTGAGCCCAGCAGTTCAAGACCAGCCTGGGTAACATGGCGAAACCCTGTCTCTACAAAAAGTACAAAAATTAGCGGGGCCTGCTAATGTTCACCTGTATTCCCAGCTATTCTGGAGGCTGAGATGGAAGGATTGCTTGAGCCTGGGAAGTCAAGGCTTCAGTGTGCCACTGCACTCCAGCCTGGGTGACAGAGCAAGAAGAAAAAAAAAAAAGAGACACAGACCAGAAGAATTAAAATTGTCTCTATTCTTAAGAACTCTGCAAAATAATTACAAGAATTTAAAAGATAATTTAGAAAGGTCACACAGTACAATTTAGTGTGCAAATAATTAAAGATTTAAGTTAAAATAATTTCCCTTTATACCATCATACCATCAAAAAGTATACAAGTCTTGGAGGCAAATTTTTTTTTTTTTTTTAGTTGGAGTCTTGCTTTGTCACCTAGGTATCACAATCAAGTCTCACTGAAGCCTCAAATTCCTGAGCTTAAATGATCCTCCCGACTCAGCCTCCCAAGTAGCTGGGACTACAGGCACGTGCCACCACACCTTGCTAATTTTTAAATTTTTCATACAGATGGGGGTCTCACTATGTTGCCTAGGCTGATCTCAAACTCCTGGGCTCAGATAATCCTTTCGCCTCAGTCTCCTAAAGTGTTGAGATTACAAGTGTGAGCCACCACCCCGGCCCCTCTGATAATTTTTGACAACCAAAAATACCACACATCTCCAAGTTACCACCAGCAAAGAACCACTGAGAATCTTTTATGTCTTAAAGCTTTGGGATTGACATAGCCAGAACTCGGGAGCAGACTTGACTCTACAGGTCGCTGAATCACAGTGTAGGTTGAGCTTCCAGCCTCACTAGGTTCCTCTTTTTTTTTTTTTTTTTTTGAGACGGAGTCTCGCTCTGTTGCCCAGGCTGGAGTGCAGTGGCACGATCTTGGCTCACTGCAAGCTCCGCCTCCCGGATTCAAGCGATTTTTCTGCCTCAGCCTCCCAAATAGCTGGGACTACAGGCGCATGCCACCAAGCCCGGCTAATTTTTTAATTTTAGTAGAGACGGGGTTTCACCATATTGATCAGGCTGGTTTTGAACTCCTGACCTCAGGTGATCCACTCGCCTCGGAATCCCAAAGTGTTGGGATTACAGACGTGAGCCACCGTGCCCAGCCTAGGTTCCTCTTTTAATAAGGCACAGATAGACAAAAAGCAGGGCCTCAGGTGTTGGGGGAGGACTGCCTAGGAGGAGGATTCAGGGACACAAAGGATCCCGTACTCTTGAGCCGTCTCCATCTCCCTGCCCTGCCAGTGGAGATACTCACTCCCCCATAGGAGGAGGCTGCTCCAGCCTTGTCTGAAGGCCCTTGCACAGGTGTGACAATCCTCCTTACGCCCATCCTTTCCTGACCTTGGAGTGTCCTCCAAATCCTAGCATACTTTAGGACAATACTTACAAAGAAAACCTGGGGGGACAAGCTTACACACAGAAGTGATAGTAAGATTTTGGTATTTTATATCAGGAACAAAAAGCACTCGGGGAGTCTATGTGGGGGTGGATTCTGAGAGTGAGAGATGAAGTCGGCAGGAACAAAATTTCAGACCTGTATCTGTTTTGAAAATAAGTGTACTTACTTCAGATCTTGGAATTCCCAAAACTCTTAACTATACTTCCTGAATCTGCTCCCCTGACAGCCCTCCCCATCTCTGTACAGTTGCCCCTTGAGCAGTGCAGGGGTTGGGGCACTGATCCCCACCCTGCATGAGTTGAAAATGGGCATATAGCTTTTTTATTTTTGAGACGGAGTCTCGCTCTGTTGCCCAGGCTGGAGTGCAGTGGTGTGATCTCGGCTAACAGCAACATTCACCTCCTTGGTTCAAGCGATTCTCCTGTCGCAGCCTCCTGAGTAGCTGGGATTACAGGTGCCTGCCACCACACCCAGCTAATTTGTGTATTTTTAGTAGAGACGGGATTTCACCACGTTGGCCAGGCTGATCTCGATCTCCTGACCTCAAGTGATCCGCCTACCTCGGCCTCCCAGCGTGCTGGGATTACAGGCATGAGCCACCAGGCACGGCCTAAATAAACATATAACTTTTGACTCCCCAAAAACTTAGCTACTAATAGCCTACCATTAACTGGAAGCCTTACCAATATGATAAAGAGTTGAGTAGGCCAGGTGCGGTGGCTCACGCCTTTAATCCCAGCACTTTGGGAGGCTGAGGCAGGCAGATCACGAGGTCAGGAGATCGAGACCATCCTGGCTAACACGGTGAAACCCCGTCTCTACTAAAAACACAAAAAATTAGCCGGGCGTGGTGGCGGGCTCCTGTAGTCCCAGCTACTCGGGAGGCTGAGGCAGGAGAATGGCGTGAACCCGGGAGGCGGAGCTTGCAGTGAGCCGAGATCGTGCCACTGCATTCCAGCCTGGGCGACAGAGCGAGACTCCGTCTCAAAAAAAAAAAAAAAGAGTTGAGTAACACATATTTTATATATATATATGTATACATATATACATATATATAAAATATACATATATAAAATACATATATATGTATTTTATATACATATGTATATTTTATATACGTATATAAAATATACGTATATAAAATATATATAAAATATACATATATATACACATATACATATATATAAAATATACTGTATTCTTAAAGTAAGCCAGAGAAAAGAAAATGTTATTAAGAAAATCACAAGAAGGAGGAAATATATTTATTATTCAGTCTGTGGAAGTGGATCATCATAAAGGTTTTCATCCTTGTCATCTTCATGTTGAATAGGCTCAGGAGGAGGAAGAGGAGGGTTTGGCAGAGGTGGAAGAAAATCCACGCGTAGCTGTTCCCATGCAGCTTGAAACCGTGTTGTTCAAGGATCAAGTATAATTGCCTAATCCAGCCTTTTAAGATCTCAGGCCAAAAATGTTGGAATCAACCTCAGCTCTTTTTTTTCTCTCGCTCTATATTCAATCCATCAGCAAAATCTGCAGGATCTATTTCAAAAACATATTGAGGCTGAGCATGGTGGCTCATGCCCGTAATTCCAACACTTTGGGAGGCTGAGGCAGGAGGATTGATTGAGCCCAGGAGTTCGAG
Organism: Homo sapiens; assembly: GCF_000001405.40. Classification (NCBI taxonomy): domain Eukaryota; kingdom Metazoa; phylum Chordata; class Mammalia; order Primates; family Hominidae; genus Homo; species Homo sapiens. Next base: position 121,319,031 of record NC_000002.12, read on the forward strand.
ACCAGCCCGGGCAACACAGTGAGACCCCATCTCTACAATAAATAAAATAACTAGGTGGGCGTGGTGGTGTGTGCCTGTAATTCTAGCTACTCCGGAGTCTGAGGTGGGAGGATCCCTTGAATCTGGGAGGTTGAAGCTGCAATGAGCCATGTTTGCACCAGTGCACTACAGCCTGGGTGACAGAATGAGACCCTCTCGAAAAAAAAAAAAGAAGAACAAAGAAAAGAAAAAAAAAGCCTGTGGTGACATGGACAACACTGCCTGAAAGGGGCCCTGTGTTTGGCAGGGAGGGAGGGATCATGGGTGGCAGAGGCCATGTAGCAGCTCCTCCAGAGGCAAGTCCATGAGACTTCTGGTGACATTGTCTGAGCCTGGGGTCTCTGGGACTGAATGAGATGTGGCAGCCCAGCTAAGCTCCTACTTGATTTATGCAACCAAAAAGCTCCAGGTGTTGAGGACGGATATGTATGTGACCTGAGAAGGCACAATACAGAGTCCCTGCCCCTCACCCAATTCCCAGAGCTCAGTCTCCAGCCTGGGTTCCCAGGAGTGCAGGGGAGGCTGGAAGTCTTGAGAAAAACCCCATGCTATCATCACGAGGATGGACTCTCAGTCGTCACCTGGGCCTTCCCTAAAGGTGCATGTGGATGTTTACCAGAGTAACTGTGCACTGGACACAATCTTTTTTAAAAATTATTTTGTTTGTTTTTGTTTTGAGACAGGGTCTTATTACTCTGTCACCCAGCCTGGAGGGCAGTGGTGTGATCATGGCTCACTGCAGCCTCCACCTCCTGGGATCAAGCAGTCCTCTCACCTCAGCCTCTTGCACACCACTACCCCTGGCTAATTGCTTATTTTTTATTTGTGTAGAGATAGGGTCTTTCTCTGTTACCCAGGCTGGTCCCAAACTCCTGGATGCCAGCCATTCTCCCACCTTGGCCTCCCAAAGTGCTAGGTGGCGTGAGCTACTGCACCTGGTCTGGACACGATCTGAGCTCATGCAAATTCCTAGGAAGAAAAAAAGAATTGTTACTGCAGTCCATTTGTCAAATGGGTGTTTTGGGCATCAGGTGATAATAGGTGGACTTTGGGCCCAGGGGCATCTTGTGTGACCGGTAGGTCTGTAAACACATCCTGTGGCTGCTGTGCCTTAACAACTTTCAGAATCTTGGCTGGGGCTCTTTGACCCAGGAGAGAGTGCTGTTACTGTTGGAAGAGCTAAACAGAGACCTCTGGGTTCCTCCTGTCTATGAAAATAGTTTATTAAAAGCTGCACCACATCCCTGTTTGAATTTCAAAGATTAATACCACCATCAAAGACTTCAAAGATGCAGAGGTCATCCGTACTGTGGCCTCGCGGACTTCACATATTTAGCCTGTAGACAAGACAGCTGATCCTTGGGTACTGGGAAATTTAATAAGGTGGTGACTTCAAATGCAGCTCTTCCATAGACCCTCTCCTTACTGATACAAATCATAGACCCTGGTACCTGGCATTCAGCTATTGATCTGAATAGAAACAGGAAACACTAGGAATTTTATTTTTATTTTTTGAGACAGGGTCTTGCTCTGTCATCCAGATTGGAGTGCAGTGGCACTATCACGGCTCACAGCAGCCTCTACCTCCCAGGCTCAATCAATCCTCCCACCTCATTCTCCCAAGTAGCTGAGATTACAGACATGCACCACCACACCCAGCTAATTTTTGTATTTTTTTGTAGAGATGGGGTTTCACTATATTGCCCAGGCCGGTCTCAAACTCCTGGACTCAAGCTATTCACCTGCCTCGGCCTCCCAAAATGCTGGGATTACAGGTGCGAGCCTCTGCACCTGGCTAGGAGTTTTCTTTTAAATTGATACATAATTTATATACCATACTCGTTACCCTTTTAAAGTATACAATTCAGTGATTTTCAGTGTATTCTCAAAGTTGTGCAACTATCACTATGCTTTCTTTGGAACATTTTTATGACCCCAAAAAGATCCAGAAGTTTACTGGTACCTGACAAGGAACTAAACACTCCTTTGGTACCTTGCCTTGGAACGATGTCACCTCTCTGGTTCTGGGCCACGACATAGAGAACTGTGCCACCTCATTGTCCACTCAGACATCTTACAGGATGCGCTTATACCTCAATGCATCCCGTGGTGCTCAATGTGTCTGTGGTGGCTTTGGAGCAAAGCCATACCCTCTTCTTCTTCTTTTTTTTTTTTTTTTGATATGGAGTCTCACTGTGTCACCCAGGCTGGAGTGCAATGGCACGATCTTGGCTCATTGCAACCTCCACCTCCTGGTTCAAGCGATTCTCCTGCCTCAGCCTCCCGAGTAGCTGAGACTGCAGGTGTGTGCCACCACGCCCAGCTAATTTTTTGTATCTTTAGTAGAGATGGGGTTTCACCATGTTAGCCAGGATGGTCTTGAACTCCTGACCTCATGATCCACCTGCCTCAGTCTCCCAAAGTGCTGAGATTACAGGCATGAGCCACCGTGCCTGGCCAGCCATACCCTCTTTTGTGAGTAACCAGTCTCCCGAGAAACAGCTTTCATTGTGGTTGAGAGTGAATATCCATGAGATACTAGATTACTGTGAACATGGAACTGAACAGCCCAACGTGCACTGAATGTCGTCTGATCTGCCAAGCCATGGAGTCTTGTATGCCAGCAGCACCCCACCCTCGAATGGATGGGAGCAGGCTCGTGCAAGTCCTGCAGGCACAAGCAAGTTGCACGAGCAGGTTGTCACCCACCCAGTATGCCTACTCCTGTCACCCTTCCTCCCCACAAACACCCCACGAGCAGTTGACAGGGGAGGAAAGCAAGGAAGTCTGGTGTCTGATGGCTCTGAACAATATGCTGGCACCAGCAGAAGATGGATTTCTGGGCCGGGCGCAGTGGCTCACGTCTGTAATCCCAGCACTCTGGGAGGCTGAGGCAGGTGGATTGATTACATGAGTCCAGGAGTCTGAGACCAGCCTGGGCATGACTCTACTACAAATACAAAAAGAAATAGCTGGGCATAGTGGCACACACTTGTAATCCCAGCTACTTGGTAGGTTGAGGTGGGAGAATCACCTGAGCCCAGGAGGTCAAGGCTGCAGTGAGCCGAGATCATGCCACTGCACTCCATACCCTGGGCAACCAGAATGAGACCCTGTCTCAAAAAAAAGAAAGAAAGAAAGTGCCGAGCTCAGTGGCTCATGCTTGTAATCCCAGTACTTTGGGAGGCCGAGGTGGGCACATCACTTGAGGTCTGGAGTTTGAGATCAGCCTGGCTAACATGGTGAAACCCCATCTCTACTAAAAATACAAAAATTAGCCGGATGTGGTGGCACGTGCCTGTAATCCCAGCTACTTGGGAGGCTGAGACAGGAGAATCACTTGAACCCAGGAGGCAGAGGTTGCAGTGAGCAGAGATAGCACCACTGCACTCCAGCCTGAGTGACAGAGACAGACTCTGTCTCAAAAAAAAAAAAAAAAAAGAAAGAAGATGAACTTCTGCGGAGCTCAGCCCTACTCAGTGGGACTCTGAGGACAGTGGAGACGGGAAATCCTCCCCAAAGCCCAGAACCTCAAGGATTACATCACGTATGATCCTCTTGTCCAGGAGAGACGATATGAGGTGTGGACCTCTCTAATTTGTGTGTGGTAGCTAACGGTCAGTGGTCAGGAATTTGGAAAAAGCAAGACGGGCAAAGACTGGTAACAAGAGGGTTAAAGAAAGAAATAGAATGAACCCACAATGTGAGGATATTTGTGTCTTTTGTGAATGTTCCCCAAAGGGTGCCCATTGCAGAGGAGGTTTTAAATAATCTCTTTCCCTAACCAGTACTTACTCATCGACAGAGTGGAACAGTGGCAGGGGATGGAGGTTATATATTGGTTCAACAGCATGGAATTGACCATTCCAGAGCCAATTTAGCTATGGCCACTACAGAGTGCCCAAGCGACCTACTGCAGAAATCAACCCTAAGCCTTCAAAATGGCATCATACCCTGGGGGACCAGTCTGCCACCTGCTGGGGGTTGATTGTACTGGGTCCCCTCCGTTATCAAGGGGCAGTGATTTTTTTCTTATTGAAGTAGGGATTAATTCTGCAAGTGAGGCCGGGTGCGGTGGCTCACACCTGTAATCCCAGCACTTTGGGAGGCCCCGGTTGGCAGATCACCTGAGGTCAGGAGTTCGAGACCAGCCTGGCTAACATGGTGAAACCCCGTCTCTACTAAAAATACAAGTTAGCAACTAAGTTAAAAAAATGTAAAATAATAACTTAGGTTAGATCACTCCCTAATTCTACTCAGGGTAAATAGGCAGAATTCAATGTGGGTCCCATGATTCTTGCCCCACTGGCCAGATGGCTGTAGAATGTCCTTCCCTTGCCTGTGGGCAGGCCTGACCTGATCACATGAGCCCTTTACCTCCGGGTCTAGAGGTCAGGGATGAAGTCAGAGAGAGATGAAGCTGCAGCAGATGCTTTTCTGTTGGCCTTAAAGAGTGCTGTGGTCTGACTGTGTCTCCCAAAATTCCTGTGTTGAAATCCTTACCCCTGAGGTAATGGTATCTGGAGGTGGGGCTTTGTGGAGGTGATGAGGTCATGACAGTGGAAGCCTCGTGAATGGGACTGGTGCCCTTAGAAGAAGCCCAAGAAAGAGCTCTCACCCCTCCCACCAAGGAGAACACAGGGAGAAGGCACTGTCCTTAAGGAACAGGCCCTCATCAGACACCGAATCTGCTGGCGCTGTGATCTTGTACTTCCAGGCTCCAGAACGGTGAGAAATCAATTCCTGTTGTTGACAAGCCCCCAGGTTATGGTACTCTATGATATTATAGCAGCCGGCATGGACCAAGAGGAGGAGGCAAACTACCACGTGTGGAGAGGGCCACAAGGCAGAAGAGAGTGGCAGGAAAGGCCGCCCCTAGGAGGTAAGGGCATCTCCTGGCTGATGGCTGGCAAGAATCCAGGGACGTTAGTTCTACAACCACAAAGAACTGAGTTCTGCTAACAACCACGTGAGCCTGCAAGAGGACCCTAAGCTCCAGAAAGGAACTCAGCTCAGCCAACTTACCTTCTTTCTTTCTTTCTTTCTTTCCTTCTTTCTTTTTTTTTTTTGACAGAGTTTCACTCTTTCACCCAGGCTGGAGTGCAGTGGCGCAATCTCGGCTCACTGCAACCCCTGTCCCTTGGGTTCAAGCGATTCTCCTGCCTCAGCCTCCCAAGTACCTGGGATTATAGGCACCCACCACCATGCCCAGCTAATTTTTGTATTTTTAGTAGAGACAGTGTTTCACCATGTTGGCCAGGCTGGTCTCGAACTCCTGACCTCAGGTGATCCTCATGCCTTGGCCTCCCAAAGTGCTAGGATTACAGGTGTGAGCCACCACGCCCAGCCTCAGTAAACATCTTGATTTCAGTCTTAGAAGACTTTGAGCAGAGGAGTCAGTCAGAGAACCCAAGATTGGACTCCTGACTATGGAAACTATGAAATCATACATTTGTGTTTTTTGAGCTGCTAATTTTATGGTAAATTTTTATGCAGCAATAGAAATGATTACAGAATGCACAGAAACATGTTTATATATTTTCTTTCATATATGCACATATATAAAATAAAATTGGGGGAGCTGGGTGCAGTGGCTCACACCTGTAATCCCAGGATTTTGCGAGGTTGAGGTGGGCAGATTGCTTGAGCCCAGGAGTTCAAGACCAGCCTGGGCAACGTAGTGAAACCCCGTCTCCACTAAAAATACAAAGATTAGTCGGTTATGGTGACACCTGCCTGTAGTCCTAGTTATTCCGGAGGCTGAAGTGGGAGGATTACTTGAGTCTGGGAGGCGGAGGCTGCAGTGAGTCAAGGTTGCACCACTGCACTCCAGCCTGGGCAACAGAGCAAGACCCTGTGTCAAAAAAATAAAATTGGGTTTATATTATATATATACTTTTGCAAATGGCTTTTGTCTCTTAATACGTCATAAGCATTGATTACCATTTCGATAGTTTAGTTTTAAAAAATGAAACTTTTGTGTGTTTGTGCGTGCAATGGGGCATACTTGGGCTCTACAGTGAGGTCAGACCCTTCAAAACAGGAGAGTTCTCCTTTAGGAACTGGACTTTCATTTCCTTTTGGTGGGAACACAGCAACTATTTCAGTAAATGCCATCTCTTTCCTCAATAACACTGTAAACTCTTTGAGAGCAAGATTTATGCCTCCTATTCCTTTTTATTCTTCTTGGGAATTAATTCAGTGCTGAGCTCCCTTGATAAAGCTGTGGTATGTTGGTGGTGAGAAAAATGTCCTGTGGCCACTCCAGGTGCTAATCCTCTCGTTTCTGGCCCAGAATGGCCTGACCTTAAGAACCCTGTTGTATTAGTCTGTTCTCAAACTGCTATAAAGACGCTACCTAAGGCTGGGTAATTTATAAAGGAAAGAGCTTTGATCAACTCACAGTTCCATATGGCTGGGAAGGCCTCAGGAAACTTACAATCATGGCGGAAGGTGAAGGGGGAGCAAGGACCTTCTTCATGTGGTGGCAGGAGAGGAAAGTGTAAGCAGGGGAAATGGCAGATGCTTATAAAACCATCAGATCTTGGGTGGGCATGGCGGCTCATGCCTGTAATCCCAGCACTTTGGGAGCCCGAGGCGCGCGGATCACCTGAGGTTGGGAGTTTGAGACCTGAGGTCGGGACTCCATGACCAACATGGTGAAACCCCGTCTTTACTAAAAATACAAAATTAGCCTGGTGTGGTGGCACATGCCTGTAATCCCAGCTACTCGGGAGGCTGAGGCAGGAGAATCGCTTGAACCCAGGAGGCGGAGGTTGCAATGAGCCGAGATCACACCTCTGCACTCCAGCCTGGGCAACAAGAGTGAAACTCCGTCTCAAAAAAAACAAAAACAAAAACAGAAAACCATCAGATCTCGTGAAATTCACTCACTATTACGAGGACAGCATGGGGGAAACTGCCCCCATGATTCAAACACCTCCCTCCCTCGACACGTGGGGATTACAATTCAAAATGAAATTTGGGTGGGGACACAGAGCCAAACCATATCATCTGTTGGGGTTGTGTTAGTTTACTAGGGTTGCCATATCAAATGCCACAGACTGAGTGACTTAAAAAACGGAAATTTATTTTCTCAGAGTTCTAGAAGCTAGAGGTTTAAGATCAAGGTGTCAGCAAGGTTGGTTTCCTCTGAGGCCTCTCTCCTAGCCTTGTGGATGATTCTCTTCTTCTGTGTCCTCACATAACCTTTCCTTAATGCATGTGTGTCTTCGTCCATTTTATGTTTCTATAACAAAATAGCACAGACTGGGCAATTTACAATAAACAGAAATGTATTTGGCAAACAGTTCCGGAGCCTGGGCAGTTCAAGAGCATGGTGTCAGCATCTTGTGAGGGCTTTCATGCTGCATCATCCCACGGTCCAAGCCAGAAGGGCAAGAGCAAAAATCCACTCCTGGAGGCCTTTTCTTTTTTTTTTTTTTTCCCCAGACAGGGTCTCACTTTGTCACCCAAGCTGGAGTGCAGTGGCACAATCATGGGTCACTGCAGTCTCAACCTCCTGGACTCAAGCAGTCCCCTCACCTCAGCCTCCCAAGAGTAGCTGGGACTACAGGCACACGCTAACTAAGCCCGGCTTTTATTTTTTGTAGAGATGAGGTCTCCCTATGTTGCCCAGGCTGGTCTTGAACTCCTGGACTCAAGTGATCCACCTGCCTCCACCTTCCAAAGTGCTAGAGTTATAGGCGTGAACCACCATGCTCAACCTTGGAAGCCATTTTTTAATGACATTAAGCCCATCCATGAGAGTGGAGCCTAATCGCCTCTTAAAGGCCCCACCTGGCCAGGTACAGTGGGTCGTGCCTGTAACTCCAACACTTCGGGAGGCTGAGGTGGGCGGATTGCTTGAAGTCAGGAGTTCAATACTGGCCTAACCAACATGGCGAAACCTCATCTCTACTAAAAATAGAAAAAATTAGCCAGGCATGGTGGCACACGCCTATAGTCCCAGCTACTTGGGAGGCTGAGGTGGGAGAATCACCCGAGCCCAGGAGGTCAAGGCTGCAGTTAGCCAAGATCGTGCCACTGTGCTCCAGCCTGGGTGACAGAGTGAGACTCCATCTCCAAAAACAAACAAACAAAAAATGCCAGGCATGGTGGCTCATGCCCGTAATCCCAGCACTTTGGGAGGCCTAGGTGGGTGGATCATGAGGTCAGGAGATAGAGACCATCCTGGCCAACATGGTGAAACCCCGTCTCTACTAAAATACAAAAAATTAGCTGGGTGTGGTGGCACACATCTGTAGTCCCAGCTACTCAGGAGGCTGAGGCAGGGGAATTGCTTGAACCTGTGAGGTGGAGGTTGCAGTGAGCCAAGATCGCGCCAGTGCACTCCAGCCTGGGCAACAGAGCAAGACTCCGTCTCAAAAATAAATAAATAAATAATAAATAAAAAACAAAAAAATACAAATACAAAAGAAAAACCCAGCAGCCATGCAGCTTTGGGGAAGAGGATAGAAGGGGTGGAGTATGCAGGGAGTTGGGAGCGCACCATTATCAGAAGAGGAAATCCTCCCTACCTTTCTACTTTCCACTTAATATTAACTGTCAGTAATCCCCATGTCTTGAAGAATTTTTTGGACATACACTTTTTTTCTTCAAATTTTATTTTAAGTTCAGGGGTACGTGTGCAGGATGTGCAGGTTTGTTGCGTAGGTAAACATGTGCCATGGTGTTTGCTGCACAGATCATCCCATCACCTAGGTATTAAGCCCCTCATGCATTAGCTATTCTTCCTGATGTTCTCCCTCCCTCATCCCCTCTGGCAGGCCCCAGTGTGTGTTGTTCTCCCCCATGTGTCCATGTGTTCTCATATTTGAGCTCCCACTTATAAGTGAGAATATGCAGTGTTTGGTTTTCTGTTCCTGTGTTAGACTGCTGGGGATAATGGCTTCCAGCTCCATCCATGTGCCTGAAAAGGACATGATCTTGTTCCTTTTTATGTCTCCTTAGTATTTCATGGTGTATATGTACCACATTTTATTTATTCAGTCTACCATTGATGGGCATTTAGGTTGATTCCATGTCTTTGCTATGGTGAAGAGTGCTGCAATGAACATATGTGTGTATGTATCTTTATAATAGAATAATCTATATTCCTTTGGGTATATACCCAGCAATGGGATTTCTGGGTCAAATGGTATTTCTGCCTCTAGATCTTTGAGGAATTGCCACACTGTCTTTCATAATGGTTGAGCTAATTTACACTCCCACCAACAGTGTAAAAGCATTCCTTTTTCTCTACAACCTCGCCAGCATCTGTTGTTTTTTGACTTTTTATTAATAATATTCACCATTCTGGCTGGTGTGAGATGGTATCTCATTGTGGTTTTGATTTGTATTTCTCTAATGATGAGTGATGTTGAGCTTTTTTTCATGTTTGTTGTCTGCATGAATGTCTTCTTTTGAGAAGCATCTGTTTATGTCCTTTGCCCACTTTTTAATGGGGTCCTTTGTTTTTTTTTTTCTTGTAAATTTGTTAAAGCTCCTTGTAGACTCTGGATATTAGGCCTTTATCAGATGGATAAATTGCAAAACTTTTCCCTAATTCTGGTAGGTTGTTTGTTCATTCTGATGATAGTTTCTTAAGCTGTGCAGAAGCTCCTTAGTTTAATTAGATCCCATTTTTCAATGTTTGCTTTTGCTGCAATTGCTTTTGGTGTTTTCTTCGTGAAATCTTTGCCTGTGCCTAGGACATACACTTTTAACTGGCTGGATGGTCTTCCACCAAAAGGCTAAGCCATCATTTGTTGAGATGTTTTCTCTTCAGTTGGATGCTTTAGTGGTCTTGTCTCTCCGTGGCTCAGAGTTCCCTATTACAGATGATGGTATCCCCTCCAGCTAGTTTACATATGTATTTAGAGACAGGGTCTCGTCCTATTGCCCAGGCTGGAGTGCGATGGTGTAATCTCAGTTCATTTTAACTTCCGCCTCGTGGGCTCAGGTGATCCTTACACCTCAGCTTCCCGGAGTATCTAGGACTATAGGCATACAGGCATGTGCCACCATGCCTGGTTAATTTTTTATTTTATTTTATTTTTTGGTAGAGATGAGGTTTTGTCATGTTTCCCAGGCTGGTCTCACACCCCTGAGTTCAAGTGATCTGCCAGCCTCCACCTCCCAAAGTGCTGGGATTACAGGTGTGAGCCACCGTGCCCAGCCCCCCTCCAGCTAGTTTAAGCAGAATGGGACTTCTTAAGACATTTAGGTAGTGGACATCATCATTGGGAGGGCCAGGGTGCCAGGGGTGGGTGCCACCCAACCAGGAACAACAAGAGACAGGGAAAATTCCTTTCCAAATCTTGGCGGCTGCCACTTGCAGCTTGGTAGCTTTGAGACTGAGGACAAGCTAGAACCTGCAACTGAGATGCCCCACAAGAACCAAATGTCACCACCACTGTGTCCATCCTTAACAAAAGCTGCTTCTCATCTTGTGAGGTGCATCTATCTCCCTGGCAGAACCTAGCCATACACGAAGCCCTAGCATTGAGGGAGAGGGAGCTGGGTCCCACCATAGAGGCAGGCATGATGGGGGGATGGCCCTCAGACTCAACCTCTCCCCACTGCAACCTGACATTTCGAGAGTAGCCACCACCCCATGTGCACCTGCCTCTCTGAGTGTGTCTCTCTTGCGTCCTCTTTCCTATACTTTTGGAAAACGTCTCACAGAGAATATGGGACCTCAGACTTGGCTGGAAAAGCAGGACCCTGTGTGATTAGTGCTAATTTGGATAGCATCAAGACCATTTCAAATCCCTTTGGCTTTTGTTAGGAGGCAAAACCAGGCAGAGAGGAGCCAAGGAGGAGCAGGTGGCGAAGGAGACAGAGCCCGTTAATGCTCGGGCCAGAGGGGCAATGCCCAGCCCTTCCCCACCGCCATGTGCAGAAAGTGTCCCACAAAAGCTGACAGTATCCTGTATGTGGAGTCGTCCCCTCAGACACAGGCCTGTTAGGACACTGGGCAGTCTCACGCAGGGTGGCTTTCCTTGGATGGGAGTCCACAGAGGTACTCTCAAGGCTCTGTAAATTCTCTGCAGGAATTTTACATTTGGGGGTTTTCATGTCTGTGATTGTCTAAAGAATCAATAGGAGACTCACCTAAATTATGGAGACTCACCTAAATAACCACCTTATAACTTGGGATTCTCACACAATTTTAGTCTTTAAATTATGAAACATTTGATAATGCAAAAGAAAACATAGAACATAAATGATAGTTATGGGCTGTAACAATAAAACACACACCTGTGAACCCACCCCCAAATTACAAAGCAGAACATCATCTGGTCATTGAAACTGAGGACATGCTCCCCCGGTCTCAGTCCCGTCTCTCCCGAACAGGCAGTTACTCTCCCGAATTTGTTTCCTAACCACTCATTTTGTAGAGTTTTACCACACATGTGTGTCTCTAAGAAAATACATGGTTTTGTTTTGGTTATTTTGATCTTAAAAAAAGGCAAGATGCGGCTGGGCCCGGTGGCTCACGCTTGTAATCCCAGCACTCTGGGAGGCTGAGGTGGGCGGATCACCTGAGCTCAGGAGTTCAAGACCAGCCTGACCAACATGGTGAAACCCCATCTCTACTAAATACAAAAAATTAGCCGTGCGTGGTGGTGGGCGCCTGTAATCCTAGCTACTTCGGAGGCTGAGGCAGGAGAATAGCTTGAACCCGGGAGTCGGAGGTTGCGGTGAGCCGAGATCGCGCCATTGCACTCCAGCCTGGGCAACAAGAGCGAAACTCCATCTCAAAAAAGGAAAAAAAAAAAAAAAAAGGCAAGATGCTCTGTGCTTTCTTCTGTGACTTTCTCTTTCCCCCCAAAACGGCATTCCCGATTCCCCATGTGATAAATGCAGCTGCAGGTCCTTCCTCTTCCCTTCATGGTATCGCTCACGTGGGGAGTCCAGTTTCTCGACCCCTTCTCCTCCCCGGGCGCCTTTGTGCTGTGTCTCGTTCTGCACACCTTTGCTCCAGGGTGTGCCCCAGAAGCAGAACTGCGGGTTGTAAGGTACGCACATCTTCTCCTTTACAGACTGTTTTCCACATTGGTCACGCTGCTTGTAACTTTAGGGCTAAGAGAAGCCAAAAGACTCTCTGAGTTTGCAGATAAAAATGGGGAAGCCAGGTTAGACCCCAGGCCGGCTCCACGGCCAAGCACGCTCCCCCACTGAACCGGCTCAACTGCCCACCCGACAAAGTACAATGGCTGCCAGGATGTGCAGGTCGTGGCCACGTGCTCTTATATTTCATTTATTTTTATTTTTATTTTGTATTTTTTGAGATGGGGGTCCTGCTATGTTGCCCAGGTTGGTCTCAAACTCCTGGGATCAAGTGATCCTCCCACCTCAGCCTCCCAAAGTGCTAGCATTACAGGCATGAGCCACGGTGCCTAGCCATATTTGCTCTTTTTTTTTTTTTTTGAGATGGAATCTTGCTCTGTCACCCAGGCTGGAATGCAATGGTGCAATCTCGGCTCACAGCAATCTCCACCCCTCGGGTTACAGCGATTCTTGTGCCTCAGCCTCCTGAGTAGCTGGGATTACAGGCGTGTGCCACCACGCCCGGCTAATCTTTTTTATTTTTAGTAGAGATGGGGTTTCACCATGTTGGCCAGGCTGTTCTCGAACTCCTGGCCTCAAATGATCTGCCCACCTCGGCCTCCAGAAGTGCTGGGATTACAAGTGTCAGCCACCATGCCTGGCCGTGTGCTCTTTTATTTCAGTGATTTACAAATATCCCATGAGGTAGATACTGCTGCCATTGGCACTTTTTCCATGCAGAAGAAGAAACTGAGGCACGAAGAGTGAAGTAACTTGCCATGGCCACACAAGAGTTAGGATTTGAACCCAGGCAGTTCAGTAGCAGCCACTGTGTTCTCAGGTACCATGGCAGGGCTCCCAGCTAAGTAGAAAACACTGTAAGCCTCAAGTCATGCCCTTGAGACCACATCCTAGTTGGGGAACCACAAACTAGTCATTCATTCATTCATCCATCCATCCATCCATCTGTCCATCCATCCATCCCGCACCAACCATGGGCCAGGCTAAGTGTTAGGAATACAGAGGTAAAGGACACAGGCCCAGTTCTTAGCCACAGAGATGACTAAGATGACAAATAATTGCACAAATAGATACAAAATGCGTAACAAGTTTAGGGAGGAAAAACAAAAGGTCTAATTTAGAATATTCTCCAAAAAAGGAAGGGGGCCTGGCACTTAAGCTGGGACCTGAAGGATCTGTGAAGTTAGCCAGAGGAGTGCTTGAGCAGGTGAGTGCATGCGTGCATGTGTGCAGGTGTGTGTGTAGACAGGGGGCCAGGCACAGCCAACAGCAATGCAAAGGCCCCGAGGCCAGGAGGCAGTGCCTGGGGCACAGCGGCACAAGATGGGGTGGTGGAGAAGGCAGGGGCCAGGTGGCGAGCCCTGTAGGCCATGTTCGAGATTTTGGAATTTTATCCCAGAGAGTGTGTATGGCAGTGACGGGTAGGAGGTAGGCATTGCAAGGTTTGACATGAAATAATGATACATCAGAGGAACATTTTTTTTTTAACAGCATGGGCCTGTAATCCCAGCACTCTGGGAGGCAGAGGCAGGAGCATCGCTTGAGGCCAGGAGTTCAAGAGACTGAGGCAGGAGGAATGCTCGAATCCAGGAGGCTGAGGTTTCAGTGAGCCGCGATGGCGCCACTGCACTCCAGCCTGGACAACAGAGTGAGACCCTGTCTCTAAAAAATAAAAAAACGGAGGCTGGGCGCGGTGGCTCACGCCTGTGATCCCAGCACCTTGGGAGGCTGGGGCAGGCAGATCACGAGGTCAGGAGATTGAGACCATCCTGGCTAATACGGTGAAACCCCACCTCTACTAAAAACACAAAAAATTAGCCGGGCATGGTGGCAGGTGCCTGTACTCCCAGCTACTTGGGAGGCTGAGGCAGGAAAATGGCTTGAACCTGGGAGGAGGAGGTTGCAGTGAGCCAAGATCGCGCCACTGCACTCCAGCCTGGGCGACAGAGCAAGACTCCGTCTCAAAAATAAATAAATAAATAATAAATAAAAAACAAAAAATACAAATACAAAAGAAAAACCCAGCAGCCATGCAGCTTTGGGGAAGAGGATAGAAGGGGTGGAGTATGCAGGGAGTTGGGAGCGAAGGGCTGGGTAGGAGAGGGTCCCAGCGGCATCTTCTCCATGGGATGCTGTTTGCAGGGGGCTGCGGGGGGCTGCTGGTTGCGGGTGGGCTGAAGGGGGAGTGGAGGGTGGGGAGAGCCTGGCATCAGTGTCCACAGACTAGAGAGCAGCGAGCAGTGGGAGACGGGCAGGGAAGCCAGGCCTGGCAGCACTAGGTTTGAGGAGCCCAGGGACAGCGTGGAGGAGGCTCCTGGCAGACGTTGGGGGTGAGGGGTGAACGGGAGGGGATGCTGGCCCCGTCCTGTCCCCAGCCCCATCATCCTCCCAGGTGGGAAAGCCGCCTGGAAGCCCACGGTTGTCGTGTGAATCTTTCGCGTGGACTGGGGGGTGATAGGGCAGAGACTTTACATCGGTCGTTCATTTGTCCAGAACTTTGTTGAGCGTCATGTGTCAGAAACGGGGGCGGGGACCTCCATGATAGTAATAATACAGGAATTATGATGGCTGACATTTGCTGAGGCTTCCGGAAGGGTGTCAGAGACTTTAACAGTGTGCTAATCCTCACACCCTCACACACACACCCCAGCCCTGCCTCCCCAATTCCCATCTCCTAGGATTTTACAGAGGAAGAAACTGAGGTCTTCGTAAGCTGGAGTCATCTGGCTATTAAGTCACAGGCTTCAAAACACTCAGGATTGGATTCAAGCCCCAGATTCCAGCACCCAGGCGGGCCTTTCCCCAACCAGGCCCACTGAGCAGTTGCCCGGGAGTACTGCGGAAATGTTTACCACGAGCTTGGTGTCAAACAGCTGGGCGGGCCTGCCTGTGACCACGGCCCACCTGAACTTGCTAACAAGAGTCAGGCGGATGGAAAATGGAACAGAGGCTCAGGGAAGGGACAGAGTTACAAAGCAAAAGACTCCGGTTCAGTCCAGAGCTAGACTTCCTGGGTTTGAATCCCGGTTCTCTTACGAGAGAGACCTGTGACCCCAAGTGAGTTACTCAGAGTCTCTGTGCCACTGTTTCCCATGTGCAAAACGGGAATTATCAAAGGAACTGCCTCATGGGGCTGTTGTGAGGATTAAATCAGAAAGCTCAGCAAAGCATCAGAACAGAGTTTGGCAGGTGGTTTCTGTTTTGTCATTTTGAAACAGGGTCTCTGGCTGTCACTCAGGCTGGAGAGCAGTGGTGCAATCAAGGTTCACTGCAGCCTCCACCTCCTGAGTAGCTGGGACTTCAGGTATTTGCCACTACACCCAGCTAATTTTTAAAACTTTTTGTAGAGAAGGGGGTCTCCCTCTGTTACCCACACTGGTCTTGAATTCCTAGGTTCAATAGATCTTCCTGCCTCAGCCTCCCATAGTGCTAGGATTACAGGCATGAGCCACGGCACCCGGCCAGCTTGGCAGTAGTAAGCACTCATAGGTCCCAGTTCTTGTTCCCACTGAAGAATGAGCAGGTGTCCAGGGGAAATGGCAGGACAGCAGACAGGAAAGCAGGAGACCAGAGGAGAGGCATGGCCGGAGTGCTGGCCCTGGACATACCTCCAGAGCCTTCCAAGTCCTCACGGTGGGGGAGCAGAGACCACGGTGGTGCAGAGCCTGAACCACCGCTGTAGGAGGCCATACTGCCCACCCCACCCAGACTGTTCCCAGGCACTTGGCAGGGCACAGGGGGAGGCAGGGCATCCCGGAACTGCCGGGAAGTGACCCAGGAACACTGTGTCTCCAGGAGCTCCAGGGCCCGGCAAGTCCACCTGGAGGCCAGGCACCTGCAGCTGAGGAGGGCATGGCACGAAGTATTTTAATGTCTTTTAAATACATAGCTGGGATGAGATACCCATTCACATGACCTTTGTCCGTTCCTGCCTGGAGCCACTGAAGTGAGTTAATAAATACTGGAGGAGGTGGGCTGAGCCTGCGGGGGAAGAGCTGTCCCCTGAGGAGGGAGCTCTGGCCCAGGCGGCTTAGGCCATCATGGTCTTCTCTGCTAACAGCATCCCATTTCACTTTCAAAAGTTCTCGTCCTCCCATGCTGAGTTAGGTGGTCACCATAGTTACCTGTAATGACAGGGATGGCCTGACATTCCTGAGGCCATACCTTGTTTTCAGCCACAGCCTGCAGGATTGTCCCCAGCCTTGGGGTCAAACCACCTGTCACATTTTAAGCAAAATGCTCTACAATCCCAAGTGGGGTCCCCAGCCCTGTAGCGGCGGCGCTGCCCGGGTACTCTGCAGAGACGCAGGTTTTCAGGCTGCCCCAGCCCTACTGGTCAGCAACGCAGGCAGGCAGTGATCTGCTTCACAAGCCCCGAGGGGTTCTGATGTGCACTCTGAGTCCTCGTAACTCCAGGGGGAGATGGAAGGGTGCAAGGCCTGATGAGGGGAGGGGAGCACTGCTGGACCAAATGCATAGCGGGGCCTGGCACAACTCCATCAGTCACTATGTAGCCGTGGCTCCTCCTGTGCCTGTTTCCTCATTTGGAAACCGAACACAACAGTGCGTCCGTCGATAGTATTTCAGGACATGTCCTACAGCAAGATGCTACAGACCAGAATCTTGCAAAGTGTGAAGTTCATCAGCCAAGAATGCTAACAGCCTCAGTACCCCACCCTTCACTGGTGGCCTGTGACCCTCTGAAAAATGGCAAGGACTTCCTGGCAGCCCTTGGTAAGGTAGGGCAATGGCACCAGAGTTGGAGAACCACATATAGAAAGCTGAACAGGGCTGCTGTGTCTGAACCTGGTCCCACCGCCCAGGGTTTTTCTTTTGCTAATAAATAATGGTCTCTGACTGCACATGCAGGTGTGCCTGTCGGGGGGGGGGGGAAGGCGGGTGACATCACCCTCTTGTGCATTTCCGGGTCCACAGTAGGAGGCAGGGCAGGCGACCATCGGGAGCATTTATTTCGGGCCAGCTGCTTCACTTACATCATCTCCATGAACTCTCATGGCACCTCTGCTAGGCAGTTATTTTTTTCATTTTTCTCTATAGTTTTGAACACAGCCAGGCAGTTCTTAACCCAATTCATAAATGAAAAGACTGAGGCAGGAAGTGATCTGCCCACGGGGGGCAGGGGTGGAGCTGGGATTCTAATCCAAGTATCTGTGATCCAGAGCATCCTGAGGCGTCTCAGGCGGGGTACAAGGTGGTGGGCCACAGGAGAAAGGGGCACAGTGTCACTGGATAGTGGCACTCGGGACGAATCATGGAACATGATGGAAAACAACTTTTTAGTAAAAAGTAAAGCTTCAAAATGTGGTCTATCCATACAACAGAATATTATTCAGCCTTAGGAAGGAAATTAAAAATGTGAAAAAATGCAGGTGAACATGTGTTTATAAATTTAAAAAAGAAATTCTGATACATACATGGATGAACCTTGACGTATTAAGCAAAATAAGCCAGTCACAGAAAGGCAAATACTGTATGATCCACTTATGCGAGATGCCCGGAATAGTCAAATTCAGAGAGAGGGAAAGTAGAATGCTGGTTGCCAGGGGCCTTGCGGGAGGCAGGAATGGGGAAGTTATGCTTAATGGGGACAGGGTTTGTTTTACTAGTTGAGAGCCCTAGAGAGGGATTCCAGAACACCATGATGGTGATGGTTACCCAATGACCTGAATATATTTACCACCACTGAACAGCACACTTACAAATGGTTAAGATGGTAAATCTCGTGTTACGTGTATTTTGCCACAATTTTAAGACTTGAAGGGAAAAAGGGCTTCAAAGCAGCGGCTGTGGAGCCTGTGATGTTGTGCATTTGCTCCCAGAGGCTCTGCTCTTGCCCTGCCTAGCCTGCTCCAGTCCCCAGTGACCAGCAGAGAAGAACCGCAGGCATGCAGGGGAGCCCGGCTGCTCTCAGCGGCTCTCCAGCTCATCTCGGGATTCGAGGCTGAGGCTTTCTCCTGCTTCTACCTTTCCGGGGAGCCACTGTTCTCACTGATCAGTTGAGGAAATGGAGCCGATGAGGGAGGCCCCTGCTCACATGGCCTCCAGGAGCGTGGGTGGGATTCTAGCCCATGCGTCTCACCTCCCACCTTGTCACCGCACACACGGCACAGCAACCAGCTCCCAGGCGACTCCATCAGATGTGATATTTCCCCAGATTGACCTTTTTAAAAAAATGTATATTAATATATATATTTTTCAGATGGAGTATCACTCTGTCACCCAGGCTGGAGTGCAGTGGCATGATCTCGGCTCATTGCAGCCTCTGCCTCCTGGGCTCAAGCGATTCTCCCACCTCAGCTTCCTGGGTAGCTGGAATTACAGACACACCACCACACCCAGCTAATTTTTGTATTTTTAGTGGAGACGGGGTTTTGCCACGTCGCCCAGGCTGGTCTTAAACTCCTGAGCTCAAGTAATCCGCCCGCCTTGGCCTCCCAGAATGCTAGGATTACATGGGTTGACCTCTTGATGTCACGAGGGGAAAGAGCTCTTCTGATGTATGATTCCTCCTGAATCCTTTATCGAAATGGCTGTGTTCTGATCGCAGGGGGAGGGGATCAGCTGTCTGCAGGGCATGGTGGTGGTAAAGACATCATCAAGCAGAACATTGAATTAAGTCTCATTTATTCTAGGGCAAACTCAAAAGGGTTTTTTTTTTTTCTTTTTTAGCAAATCCTAGCACATTATTAACAAAAAAATCTGTACATTTGCCATGATACACTTGAAAGTGAAACAAATAAGATATAAATACAGATATGGATGTAACATGAAAAAGCCCCCCCCCCCAAAAAAACCCAAAAAACAAAAAAACCCACCCAACCTGGGGGTGTGGGGACCATGCGTGTGAACACAGTGCCAACATAACTATTTTGGTGGCTGATATTTTTTCAGAGCACTTCTTTATTTCCAAACATTATTGTTAGCAAAGTCCTGGTGGGATTCTACAAAGTTCTTATTTGCTGTCCTTTAAAGTGTAACATTACGCTTGATAAATAAAGGGTGGCAGGGAAAGAAAAAGACTGATGAGACAAAGTCAGTTGCATTACCTGCACAGGGTGGTAAGCTAGTGAGGCGCATAGAAAAGGCAGGCCCGTGGCATCGCCGCAGGTCCGGGAAGCACACACAGTGTACTTGAAGGAAGCTGCGTGCCCCGAGGACCGGCTGCACCCTGCCCAGACCCTGGCTGCAGGGGAGGCAGCAGCTTGGAGGAAGCAGGGAGTCAGCCCGCCCAGCCCCGCAGTGGAGCAGCGGGGGTCTTGGGCCCTGGCCAGTCCGGTAGACAGGGAGGCAGAGACAGGCTTAGGTGCTCTGCTCTTTTGTGTTCTGTTTTTCATTGGAACAGGGGCCCTGCAGGGAGGCGGCGGCAAGGCAAGGCAGCTGCAGCTGTCAGGGTCTAGGGGGCGACGGTGGGCTCGGCGCCCTCCCAGTGAGGTGGTGGCGGCATGCGAGTCTCCTCGGCGCGGCGGCAGCAGTTTTCAGATTGAGGCCAAGAGACCTGTGACGTGATTGTATCTCTAAGTCAGGAGACTGAAGACTGGGCGAGTGACATTCAAGGCTAGCCCTTTGTGAGTACTATGAGGACGTCCAGCAATGTTCGAGATCCTTTCTAAGTACACTGGGGACTGGGGTACCTTCTGGGAGTCAAAGAGCTCAAGGAGAAAGGTCTTTCTAACTGCATTAGGAATAAAGAAACTCATGGATAACCTAGCCCGACGCACATTCCTGCAACAAAGGGGTCAACAAGAGACTCCCTAATTCACTTGTAGAGTGTAAAAAAGAAATACCATTAATGACATATTAATAAACAAACAGTACTTATCAACAAAAGACCTGGTCCTGCTATATTTTGAGCCAAAGCTCGTCAGTAATACCCAACCCCTTGAAACGCGTCCCTCAAGTTCCCTAAACAGCAGCAGTGAGGTACCACACATGTGTAGGGTGCACGCACAAACACACACAACACCACACACACACACACACACACACACACACACACACACACGTCAGCACCCTGGCTTTACTGTTCCTATGCACTATGGGGCCTTCATTTTCAGCCCATGTTTCCAAATCAACATCAGTCTTTCCCAGCTTCCTGCATCCAATGCAGAGGGTCAGGGCAGAGGGGTCTGTGGAAATGATGTTAAGAATCACGTGCTCTGGCACCCAGCCTCTGCTTTCAGTCCTAGCAGTTGCAGTGGGCTCTGCACTGCAATAGCAAATACGTTATTAGAATTAATCTCAAAAGAAGCATTTTCCTTATGGAAAAATCAGTTCAATTTATAGGATCTAATACAACAGTAAGAGACAATAGAAGTCCTCATGATTGCATTAAGAATTTCCATTTGGCTTAAGAATTTTACTCAGAATTTATTTAACCAGACTCCAAACCTCTAGTTACTTTTATTGGAGTAATTAGGCTCTAAAGGTGTTTTTAAAAAGGGGGCCTAGTGGTTCGCTGAGGAGGAAGAGAGACTCTAAATGTGTGTTCTTTTTAAGTGTGTTTCTAATCCTGTTTTTCTGCAATCTGCTACACCTCATAATTACTTTTTTCCTTAAACAGTGACTATTTCATCAACAGACATTCAAGGAACTACTTCAGTTTATAAAATTAAAAAAAATTGTGATATCCAGTCTCTCTAGGCTTTTCTTGGCTCTTAATCCCACATTAAACTGAGAAGTCAGAACTAAGATGGTAAAGATGCCATTTACCAGATTAACTGAGACCATGTTAGAACTGAACGGCTTAGGCAGAACTTTGAGGGGAGGAAACAAGTTGGTGCTCAATCTGAATCACCGTGTAGCCCAGAGATGAGGGTCTTGGCAGAGCCCCCATGACAACAGTGTTCCCAAGGATCTCAGCAGTAAAGATGAAAGACTTCTTCTTTATCTTCTGTGCTTCATGAACTGCCATCTCAGGCATCCCTAAATGATGCCATACATTTATCTTATTTTTGTGTCCAGATTTAAACTTGAAGAATTCCTTTGCATGGAAGCTCTGGGGTAGGGACCTTGTCGGTGGAGTCGATTAGGGAGAGCTGGAAGGAGACTGTCAGGGTGCACTCCCAATTCTACGCTGAAAGCCAGGGCAGTCGGCCTCCAGTCTGGATATGACAAGCAAAATTCCCAGCGTTTGTTAAAAGGCCATCTTCAGACTGTTCTTGCCAAGACTTGATTCCCATTTTTAGTAGGTCTCAGAACACAACTTAAAGATATATCACCTTTCGTGGTGTCAGCTGTGAAAGGGGCCCCACACAGACCATACGCACAAGAAAATAGGCTAAGGAGGAAGAACACAAAGTAACACCCCACCCCACCCCCAAATATGTTATTAACTGAAAAAAAAAATGCTACTTTCTACCAAGTAGTGGCTAGAGCGCTCTGATTTTTAAAAACTGCACCCCACACACAGGGTTTCGCCATCTCAGCAGGCTGTACAAGACATGTTTCAGTATGGCTCTTTTCTGTTCTTATTCCTTTTGTTTTGTATGAAGACTGCAATACAGGCCTTGCTTCCTTTACATTCAATACCAGTAAGATTCTACAGAAAAGCTGGAAGGGACCAAAATACTGATTGTAATAAATATTTGTGGGCCTCCTTGTACTGACTGGGCAGCCGATGAAGGGGGTGGGGAAAGGTCTCTGAGAGGCACCACCGATTGCTTCTAGGTCTACACAAGAGACAGGTACTGCCATTAGCTGTGCGTGGAGACATCGGAGGAGGAGCTGCTGTTGCTGTTGGTGGTCTGGGCCCTCTTTATGTATAAGTTTAGTAGCTTCATCTGAAAAGAGAAGATGAAACTGAATTAGCAGGAAGAAAAGCAATCAGAAAGTAGAAAACAGCAAAAAGAATCCCAGGTGACAGTAAGGAAACAGCAAGTCCCTTAGTTCCCTTGGTTGAGGAATTCATTATAAAAACATGTTCTGAGTGCCTGCTGCCCATCCAATGCATCTGCCAGGTGCTAGGGCCACAGAGGGAGGGAGGAGGCCAGAGTCCAGAGGAGAGGGAAAAGCCGTGGGCAATTACAAGACCACCACCAGGTGTCACAACTAGGTGGGCCGCAGCAGCTCATGGAGGAAGGGATACGGGGGCAGGGCCATTCATCTCAAGCACGACTGCAGCCCAAAGGCTCCATCAGAGCCAGGGAAAAAGCAGGGTGAGAACCCCGCTCCACAGGGGGGAAGTGGCTGGGCCAAGGTCAGAGGGCAAATCCTCTAACCTTCACACCTTTAGCCTCTTGAGTAGCTGGGACTACAGGCATGTGACACCACGCCTGACAGTACTTTAAATGTAAATGGATTAAACTCTTCAATCAAAAGACAGAAATGGGCAGAATGGATAAACATGTGATCCAATTATATGCTGTCTATAAGAAATTCACTTTAGATCCAAAGACATAAATGGATTGAAAATGAAAGGATATAAAAAGATATTCCATGAAACAGTAATCAAAGGGAGCAAGGCTGGCTATACTAATATCAGACAAAACAGAGTTGACATCAAAAAAGCTTCTGGAGATAAGACTTCGATACTCCACCCTCAATAATGGATAAAAGAACCAGACAGATGATAAGCAAGCAAATAGAGGACTTAACCTGATAAACCAACTTGATCTAACAGATGTATATGAAACTCAACAACAGAACACACATTCTTCTCAAGGGACACATTAAGTTTCAAATCTATTGAAATTTAATTTGTGATTTAACATATGGTTTATCATAGGATTTAACATATGATTGAACATAGACCATATGTTCAATCACAAATTAAGTTTAAATAGATTTAAAAAGATACCAAAGCATCTTCTCCAACCATAATGGGATGAAATAAATCAATAATAGAAGGAAAACGAAAAAAAATCATAAATTTATAAAAATTGAGTTAACATATTCTTAAACAACCAATGAGTAAAGAAGAGATCATAAGGTAAACTAGAAGACATATTTAAAAAAAGAATTTTTTTTTTTTTTGAGACAGGGTCTCACTCGGAGGCCCAGGCTGGAGTGCAGTGGCACAACCTCAGCTCACTGCAGCCTTGACCTTCCAGGATCAGGTGATCCTCCCACCTTAGCTTCCTGACTAGCTGGGACCAGAGGTGCACACCACCATGCCCAGCTAATTTTGTATTTTGTATGATGGGGCTTTGCCATGTTGACCAGGCTAGTCTTGAACTCGTGGGCTCAAGCAATCCTCCTGCCTCGGCCTCCCAAAGTGCTGGGATTACTAGCGTGAGCCACCGCACCTAGCCTTAGAAAACATCTTGAGACAAATGAAAATGATAAGACAATTTTTGGGGATGCAGCAAAAACAGTGCTGAAGAGGGAAATTTAGAGTTATAAATGCTTACATTAAAAAAGAAAGCTCTCTAATCAACAACCTAAACTTTTATCTTAAGGAACTAGAAAAAAGAACTACATCTAAAGCTAGCAGGAGAAAACAATAAAGATTAGAGCAGAGATAAACAAAATAGAGAACAGAAAAATAGAGAAAATTGGCTGGGCATGGTCACGCCTATAATCTCAGCAATGTAGGAGGCTGAGGTGGGAGAATCGTTTGAAACCAGTTCAAGACCAGACTGGCAACATAGCGAGACCCTATCTCTACAAAAAATTTAAAAATTAGCTGGGATTATGTGTGCCTGTAATCCCAGCTACTTGGGGAGGGGCTGAGATGGGAGGATGGCTTGAGTCCAGGAGGTCAAGGGTGCCAGTGAGTCATGATTGTGCCACCGCACTCCAGCCTGAGTGACCAAAAATTAATTAATTAATTTATGCATGCACAGACATGGTCTTGCTGTTGCCCAGGCTGGTTTGGAGCTTCTGGCCTCAAGTGACCCTGCCAAAGTGCTAGAATTACAGGCGTGAGCCACCCACTCCTGGACCAGTCAAATAATTTTCAACAAGCATGCCAAGACCGTTTAATAGGGAAAGGATCATCTTTTTAACAGATAAGAAATCGCCATCAGGTTATTTATTTTCAACAAATGAGATACCCATCCTCATCTCATAGAGGACGGCTATTAGAAATAATGAGAAATAAATTAGAAAAGTGAAAAATAAAAACAGAAAATAACAAGTGTTGGTGAGGATGTGGGGAAATTAGAACCCTTGTGCACTGTTGGTCAGAACGTAAAATGGTGCAATCTCTGTGGAAAACAGCAGGGAGGTTCCCTGAAACATTAAGGACTTGAACAGGTGCACCAGTGTTCATAGCAGCATTATTCACAAGAGCCAGAAGGTGGAAGCAACCCAGGGTCTATCAACAGATGAGCAGATAAACAAACCATGCAATCTACACACAATGGACATTCAGTCTTGAAAAGGAAGGAAATTCTGACAAATGCTGCAACATGGATAAGCCCTGAGGACATTATGCTAAGTGAAATAAGCCAGCCACAAAGGACACATACGATGTAATTCCACTTATATGAGACACCTGGGGTAGTCAAATTCATGGAGACAGAAAGTAGAAAGGTGGATGCCAGGGGTTGGGAAAGAAGGAAATAGGAAATTATTGTTTAATGGGTGCAAAGGTTCAGTTTTGCAAAATGAAAAAAGTTTCGAAGATGGATGGTAGTGATGGTTATACAACAATATGAACCACACACTTAAAAATAGTTACAATGGGTCGGATGAGGTGGCTCACACCTGTAATCCCAGCATTTTGGGAGGTGGGTGGATCACTTGAGGTCGAGAGTTCGAGACCAGCCTGACCAACATGGTGAAACCCCATCTCAACTAAAAATACAAAAACTAGCTGGGCGTGGTGGCAGGCGCCTATAATCCCAGCTACTCAGGAGGCTGAAGCAGGACAATCGTTTGAACCTGGTAGGCGGAGGTTGCAGTGAGCCAAGATCACGTCACCGCACTTCAGCCTGGGTGACAGAGTGAGACTCTATCTCAAAAAAAAACAGTTACAATGGTAAATTTTATTATACCACAATAAAAAGACTGGAGGGGGGGAAAAAGAAAAGAATGCTTGTTCAAGGTCATAAAACTCGTAAGTGGGGAACAGAGACCAGAAGGCAAGCTGACCCCAAAGCTAGTGTTGCTGCCCTAGCAACATGGCATCTCTCCAAATGTACTACAGAGGTTCCTTCCCTTCATCAGACCTCTTCGTACAGAAGATATCTCTTCCTGGTATCACTTATTTTTTTTCTTAAAAAAAAACCTTTTTTTTTGAGACAGAGTTTCGCTCTGTCACCCAGGCTGGAGTGCAGTGGTGCGTTCTTGGCTCACTGCAACCTCCACCTCCCAGGTTCAAGCGATTCTCCTGCCTCGGCCTCCTGAGTAGCTGGGATTACAGACATGTGCCACCACACCCACTTAATTTTGTATTTGTAGTAGAGATGGGGTTTCACCATGTTGGTGAGGCTGGTCTTGAACTCCTGACCTCAGATGATCCGCCCGCCTCGGCCTCCCAAAGTGCTGGGATTACAGGTATGAGCCGTGCCCAGCCTTCATTTATTAACTTCATTTAAGCAAAAGGAGAGCGTGTTCCCATAGGCCTGTAACACTGGAACACAGGGAGCCATGACTTGATTCTCTTTGTTTCTAGTCAAGGAAATTGAGACAGACTTAGCACCAGGTTCTGCCTGCCAGCTACCATCTGGTTGAGGAAGGGAGGGAGTTTGTATTAGGAGATGTGTACCTGAGTCTACAAAGTTCATATGAACATACCAGAGCTATTACATGAAAAAAAATTTAGGCCAGACACGGTGGCTCACACCTGCAATCCCAGCACTTTGGGAAGCCAAGGCAGGAGGATCACCTGAGGTCAGGAGTTCGAGACCAGCCTGGCCAACCAGGCAAAACCCCGTGTTGACTAAAAATACAAAAACTTAACCAGGCGTGGTGGCGCACGCCTGTAATCCCAGCTACTCGGGAGGCTGAGGCAGGAGAATAGCTTGAACCTGGGAGACAGAGGTTGTCTGTGCCACTGCACTCCAGCCTGGGTGACAGAGCGAGGCTCCATATAAAAATAATAACAATAAAAAACTTAACGGCTGGATGAACTGGGCTACGAAAGCAGAAAGATGTGAAGGCCAGTCTCTCCAAACCCCTGAGGAACTAAGGTTGTAACTGGGGGAGGGAAGGCGCTGGCTCCCGGTCAGGAATGTGGGTTCTGGACCCAAAGCTTCACCAAGAGTGGCAGCAGCGGGTCAATTGCCAAATGGGGAGGAGAAAACACCTGGATTTTCTGTCCCTTATCCAAAGGTTCAAATGAGTTGATGGGACAACTCTCTTACTCAAGAAAAGTAAAAAGTGCCAGACAAAACCAAGGTGTGACTCATGTTCTTTTTGGATGAATTTTCCATTTTATAAATGTAATTCCCTTTGTGAATTGTATCATTGAAGGTCCTCCTGGTCAGCAGGAATCACCTACAAATCCCTGATGGAGGTAGGAGAGCTGGGGGGACTTTTGCTCTGTATCTTTCAGATAATTAGGAAGGGGATCTGATGAGGAGCCTGTGCAGCAGTAGGGCAAGGAGAAGGAACTGGAGAACAGAATAAGGTCACCCCCAAACCATGCACTGCACACCTGCCTCATACACCTCTTCCAGCCTATCTGCTGATTCCTGTTTACAAAAAGAGGACAGTGTCTCCTCTGGACCACCGGTTCTCAACCAGGGGTGATTCTGCCCCCCAGAGGGCATCTGGCCAGGTGTGAGACAGCAGTGATGGGTGCTATTGGCACATGTCGGTATAGACGGTGGTGGTCAGAGATGCTGCTTAAACTTCCTACCACACACAGGGCAGCCCACCTCAACAAGGTGGCCCAGAGTGTCAACAGAGCCAAGGTAGAGAAACTCTGCTCTGAACACCCCAGCCAGAGCTTTGCTTCCCCAGAACTCTGGAGAAACAAGGCTCTGGCTGTTAATGCTCACCAGCTGTATCAAAGCAACAGCTCAATCTGAAATGATGAAATGGGCCCCACTTGCCAATTCCTCCTCTCATAAGAGCAGGCGCTTCTGGTTTCATGTTTTCCACTGGCTTCGTTTGATAGAGTGGTTTGTATAAAAAGGTGGGGATTTTAAACTCCACAGAGATGCGCTTTCTCCACAGGCAGGTCCTGAGGCCCCAGGCCCAGCTGGCCTCCTCTCTGGGAACCAAGGCCTCACCCCTTCACCATGCCTCTCCTGCCACAGCATAAGGCCGGGTTTTTAATCTGCTCTCACCAGCCTAGCATGTCACATTTGAGTTTGTTGTTGTTGTTGTTGTTTTAATTAAAACCAATAAGCAGTCTAGCCACTCTCATTTTCAGTGACATCCATTTTGGTCCATTTTCTTCCCCTGATTCCAGACACCCTTAAAGGAACATTAGAGGCAGCAGTGTGAGTAAGAAGTCTGCCTCCTGGAGTCAGGTCTGTGCCGTGGGGCACGTTAAGGGGGATGACCATGCCCACAGGGATGTTGCCGTAAACATGAGTCAACGCATGCAAAGTGCGTAGGGCTGCCCTGTAGGCTCAAGGTGAGAGCCAGCTGTTGCCACCACTGATGCCCATGAGGGACTCAGCTCTGATTCAGCAACTGCTAAGCAAGCAGGTAAATTTCTTTAGTGTTTCCATGAAAAATCGGATGGTTTCTAATTAAAGTTGTTTTTCTTTTGGAAATAAACCAGCAGCTCAAAATCAGCATTTCATAAACAGGAGTTAAGGCAGACTATGTTGTGTAATGTCAGTCTTACCTTAAACTGATTTCACTGTATAGTTCATTTTTATATTTAGAAAAATCCTCTTGGAGAAATAAGGCCCAGCTAAAACACAATGAACAAAACCTGTCTGGAATCCAGAGCTGCAGTCAAATGGATTTATGACAAGCTGGCAGAGCCCAGGTGTGCGTATCAGCCCAGGTAACACTATACATACCTTGCTCCCTGTGAGCTGTGCAAGGTGAGGTTTCAGGTCTTCTCCGATTACGGAATAAATTGCCACTAAGCAAAACACGCTGGCCTTACGCACACTACTTTCGGTGTTGTCATAACCCTAGAGAGCCAGAAGGGAACACGAAAAGGAAACCAGATCAAAGATTCATTCCATAGCCAACATCTCATCAACGTTTCCACAAATGCCCTCAGAGTTCAACCTTGGACTTGTCAGTAACAACCAGGATAGACCTCAGCCCCGCAATGGAATCCAGACAGCTTTCACCCCAAAGTGGTCACAACTTAGCATCAAGAGAAACTTGGTTTCTGGGGTGCAGAAGCAGGAGGGTGGAGAGTCCCAGACTGGTCTCTGAGTCTGCACAGGTATCACCGTGTAACAAGCTGCCACCCAAGAAACATTGTAGAGGAGAGAGAATGAGAAAAGGAAATGAAGGGGAAAGAGAACTTGGTTTATTCCCATTTCTCCCAAAGGTAAACCAAATTTCCTTGTGAAAATGCCTTTAAAGAAATGAGAACATCATCACTCGCTCTTGTGAGCAAAACCCCTCTACCCTCCAGAGATTGCTGGGGAACGTCTGGTCCCACAGCCTGATGTCCGTGTCCCTTTGAGCTGGGCCTCCATCTATCTGTCGGCCTCATCCTGGCCCACACCCAGCTGGGGCTACCTGCTGCTGTTCTCCAAACAGCCTGGGACTCTTCAGTCTCTGTGCCTTTCCCTTTGTTTGGAATAATCTAGTCCTCAACAATTAAGTGTTTAGTCCCCAAGCCAAGTGCCCAGCAAACAGCAGCATTGATTAAATGTGATGCTAACTCCTCTCTACCTTTCCCCAGTGAAACTCCCTCGCCAAGGGCCAACTTGAAACCACCTCTTCTATGAACCCTCTCTCCCCCACCCCCCACCCCAACCTGGAAACCCCTTCTCTACTGTCATGTAGCCCATGGTGACACCTGTCATTGTCTGTGTGGCTGCAGAGTAGGCTGAAAATCCTCTGAGGCAGTCCACACAGTGGAACGCAGCTGCTTTATGCCAGTCTGTCTCACTTACTGTCTCATGCTTAGAAGAGTTTCAGTAAGTATTTGTGTGCTGCATGAGACCAAGGACCATGGTTTGATTTACACTCCATGGTCCACCTCGCCCAGGGCTGGGGCTACAGCAGGTGTGCAATAAGGGTTTGTTGAAAGAATGGACAAAAAAATGATCAAAGTATGTTTATAGTAAACAGAAAGTTCATTCTGTGAGCTGCCAGGAAAGCATTCTTAGTGCATTCAGGAGAGGGGGTGAGCTGGAAGCCGACAGAGGAGGCTGTGAAGTGTCCCTGCCACACGGCCTCACAGGTCCTGCCTGGTTTTTCCTACCCGTCCCTGCCAGTGAAGGAGGAGCACAAAGCCCTTACATTACTTCAAGTTAGGCAACCCCACACAGGCCGGGGGCAGGCCCCACCAACACGAGGGCCTACCTGCAGCAAGCCTGGGATGATGTCGACAAGGAGCTGCAGCAATGACTCCTTTGCGATCCTCTCGACGACTTTGGTCTGCATCTTGATGGCAGCAAGGTTGATGGGGTAGTCGGCCGTCTGGATGATGGGGCAGAGCACCTTGATGCACTGCTCCGGGTGGATGGAACTGGCCAGTGTGGACGCAGCCTCCTCAGCCGCTCTCACCACCTGAAACACCCAGTTCCCCCAAAGAGTGAGCTCCACATGCCACATGAAGCGAAAGACCAAACATCACTTTTGATTTCAGAGGCCAAAGGACAATGACCTCAATGTCAGACGGCAGCCATTGCTTCGCCTGGCTCAATTGTTAAACACAGAGTGGTCTGCAGGGTGATTTTAAAGGGGAGCGTGGGCCACGGAAAGGCAGGTCTAGGGGATTCTAGGAAAAACCTTAGAAAAGTGGTACTCGGCCGGGCGCGGTGGCTCACACCTGTAATCCCAGAACTTTGGGAGGCCGAGGTGGGCGGATCACGAGGTCAGGAGATCGAGACCATCCTGGCTATCACGGTGAGAACCCATCTCTACTAAAAATACAAAAAATTAGCCGGACGTGTTGGTGGGCACCTGTAGTCCCAGCTACTCGGGAGGCTGAGGCAGGAGAATGGCATGAACCTGGGAGGCGGAGCTTGCAGTGAGCCAAGATCGCGCCACCGCACTCCAGCCTGGGTGACAGTGCAAGACTCTGTCTCAAAAAAAAAAAGAAAAGAAAAGAAAAGAAAAGTGGTACTCCAAGTGCAGCCCCCTATCAGCCCCAGCAGCAGTGCTGGGAACCTGTTAGAAATGCAACTTCTCAGGCCCACCCAGACCTGCTCACTCAGAGATGGGCCCCAACTGGAGGAGGGGGTGCAACGAGCTGTGTTGGTAAGCACCAGGTGATTTCTAGACACACTAAAATTGGAGAACCTCCGCCCTAGAAGACTAGGACCTGAATACAGAAATGCTTCCCAATGGCTTGTGGGACACCTACAACTGGAGCATCTGCAAAGAAGCCTGGAGGAAATCAGAGTGACTTCAATGCTGGCACTTCCTGGAAGAGGCCCACCTGCCAGGCAGTTGAGGCAGTTGGGAAGGCACAGAGAGAAGCCCCTGAAAGGGTTTTCCTGAGGAATCTCTTCTGGAAAGTTGCTTTTCTAGGACTCTGTGCTCACGATGACCCCTTTGCCTTCCATTTTTAGGGAGGTACATGAAATGGCCATCTCATGGTCAAAGGAGCAGCCTCTGACCTCTGGAGGGCCACAAGACCCTTTTGTAATAAAGATGGAAGCAAAATGCAAAACCCAATGAGCAAGAAAGAGGACAGCAGAAGGCCTGGTGGAAAGAGCCTCGGCCTTGGGCTCAGGGAGCAGGTCCCAGTCATGCTAGTCCCAAATGCTAAAACTCCATGTCCTCATCTGTAAAACAGGGACGTCACAGAGATAAATGGTGAGCAGTACTCAAGATATAGTCAGTAAAGGATGCTTACTACTACCAATGGCACAGAGTACACATTATATAAATGACAGATAAAGACAGGCACCAGGCTATACGCACATGGATTTTCTTACAAAGTACAACAGAACTCGAATACTTTTTGCCTACTGCCAGCCCTGACTGGGCTAGTCATTCCATCCAGATTCCTTTTTGCATTATGTTCTGTTACTCAAAATAACTCAGCTCTAACTTCATACAACAAAAAGGTGAAGACTACCAGCCCACAGCTTCAGTCATCCCAGCCCTTGTGAGTGAAGCAAGACAGGCCCATGGAAACAGCATATGGATCATCTGGAAAGCTGCTTCTAGTTATGGGCATGAAGTGGGTGAAGAAGTCTGTACAAGTCAGGGAGTGTGGGAAATGGACAGGAGGCCCACAGAGAGGCCACCTGAGCTGTGTAGCAGACAGGCCCAGGGCTGGGCTCAGAGGCCATATAAACTGCTTGGGGTCACTTTGGGGCCCTCACTGAGGCTCTCCTGGGGCTCTGGGAAGAGACTGTGGCTCCAGAAGACGCTCGGCTTCACCTTCAGCCCAGGGCTACACTGTCCCATGAACAGGGCTCACTTCAGGGAGTGTGCATGAGTCCATGTGTCAGCTCTGCTCTGTGGAATGGTAAAGGGAAATTTTTCCAACACTAGACAGCTGAGTTCATCTCATTAACAATGGACACGTTTGGGGCCAGCCGTGCTGCTGTTAGTGGGTTTTTCACTATGAAGCCCCATATGAGCTTTGGCTACTCACACCCACTACCTGGCACTTACCACTACAAAACACCTGGAAGAAAGTGCATCAAGGGTTAACGCTCTTTCTCTCAGGGCGGTAAGATAATGGATAACTTTGTTTTCCTCTTCATACTTTTTAGATAGATAGAAAAATTGCAATGAACATTAGGCTGGTGCAAAATTAGTTGCAGTTTTTACCATTACAATATAACCTTTGTAGCAAGGAAAATGTATTCCAGAAAATCTACTTGAACTGTCTGAGGCCAGGGAAAACTGGCAGCCCAGCCCTGGCTCAGGGTGGAAGGTGGCAGGGCAGTGCACTTGAGGAGCAGGCCGCACCTCATTCGTCTTCCTGAAGGGAACCCCACCCCAGCATACGGGAGGTGCTCCGTGGTACAGCCAGCGCCATCATCATGACTGTTCCTGCTGACCTCCCACTCTCCATAAAGCCCTTCTGCTGAACTACAAAACTCACTGTCCCTCAGATGTGGCTGACACACACGTCCCAGCCCCTGCCCAGGCCTCCCTATCAGACCAGTGACACTTTTCCCCCAACTTCTGTTCCTCTGTCTGTGACATTCACATGGCACCATATGTAGACGGCTTTGTATTTCTGGTGGCATTTCCATGTGTGTTTCTTCTTATCAAACATCCAGGAACTGAAACATTTCTGTTGTACCTAAGTACCCACTAAGCTGGGCATTTACCAGGAGCTTAGTACTTACTGAGGGACTGAGAATTAATTCTCCTAGCTGTCTGAGAATATGTCCCACTTAAAGAAGCCCTACCTCCCTCAAGTCTTTCTTGTTGGAGGTCTTTTGTACTTTCCCTGGGAGGACCCGCTAACTCCTTGCAGCCCTGAGTAAAGGCTAGGAGTTTCATGAAATAAGATCACCACATCCATCACCACGTAGCCGGCACCCTGGAGTGAACACACTGCAGCCACCTCTGGGGCCTACACTGGGATTATGGATGAATCCCTGGTGGAGCTCCGGATCAGCATGGCTTAAGGGTAAGTACTGTGTACAGGTCAGAACACCCAAGATTCGCCTGTGCTCACTATGTATGTGAAGGTCAGGCTCGAGGACGAAGCACTGTAGAGAGGCAATTTTATTTTAAAAGTCATGTCCAACTCTCAAGCACCTCGTAAGATTCTTTCCTCTCATTTGTGCTCTGTGTGTACGTTTGTTCACCCAGCACTGACCAGGTGCCTCCTGTGTGTCAGAGACTGAGCTCAAAGCTCAGGCCACAGAGCTGAGAAGGACCGGGCCACCCATGCTCTGGTGGTTGAGGGCAGAGTGAGGGTAGTCTGTGCAGAGGGCCAGCATGAGGGTGTGGAGACCCAGGAAGGAGCCAGATGGCAGGGACCTGCTACCTGATGCACTTCTTGTGGGTGGCCAGGATTAGATGGGAGGAGGAAGGAGCATGGATATGTGCAGAAGGCTTCTTTGGTGTTCTGCGGGCCTTCCTCCAGCTCAAGGGCCCTCGGCCATGCACAGCCGGCCTGCCCTGCCTCTGCCTCGTCCGGGCACCTCAGTGAGCAGGCCTTCCCCTTGCCAGCCAAAGCGTCGGACTCAACATGGACGGCATTGACTCCATGCATGCCACCAATGTACAGGAAGGAGCCTATTTGAAGGAAGCCCACTGTGATTTCTTTTTCTTGCCAATTCAAACTCCTGCCAAAGGTAGCTCTTTCCACACAGGTCACCTGAAAGCAGAGTGCTGTTTAGACCCTGGTGTGTACGTGTGGCCTTTCACTTTTTTACCCCGACAAAGGCAGCCTCCAGAGTTAGATGAGCATATTCTCAGCCTCTGAGAGAAGCACAGGAGACAAACCTTAGTTGAATCCTCTGGCAAAAAACTTCCTTGGTCTAAGCTTCCATTTTTTAATAAAAACTCCTAAAATGAGGATTTTATTTTTAATTTTTTGAGACAGAGTCTCACTCTATCATTCAGGCTGGAGTGCAATAGAGTCATCTGGGCTCACTGCAACCTCTGCTTCTGGGTTCAAGCGATTCTCATGCCTCAGCCTCCCAAGTAGCTGGGATTACAGGTGCGTGCCACCACACCCAGCTAATTTTTGTATTTTTAGTAGAGACGGGGTTTCACCACGTTGACCAGGCTGGTCTCAAACTCCTGGCCTCAAGTGATCCACCCACCTCAGCCTCCAAAGTGCTGGGATTACAGAGCCACTGCGACCAGCCTAAAATGAGGATTTTAAAGTATCTACTTTCACAGTTATCTGAATTGAGACAAGATGTAAACCAGCTTGGTATATTTTAGCTACAAAACACATGATGGCTAAGCCATACATGGAGGCTCACACCTGTAACCCCAGCTACTTGGAAGGCTGTGCTGGGTGGATCACTTGAGCCCAGGAATTTGAGACCAGCCCGGGCAACATGGAGAAACCCCATCTCAAACAAAAACAAAACACAAGCTAGGTGTTGGTGGAGGAATGACACCAGAGTGGAGCTCAGCAGCAGAGGCACCACCAGAAGGCACAGCAGCTGAGCCGGGAGCTCCCAAGTTGCTGGGGATCGGGGGTGAAGGGGGCAGAGCTTTGTGACCCCGAGACTCCACAGAGGCCCAGTCATCACACTGAATGTTCTAAGAATGGGTAACACTGGTAAGCCAGCTCCTTCCCTGGGGTCCAGTGCCAACATCATGATGGGTATGCCCTCTCCAATGACCTCTAAGATGCCTGAGGTTCCTCAGCAAGGCCTAGCTCCTTCCTGCCTGTGTGGTGCTTCCTCTCCCTGCCCACACCCTGCCCAGCCACATCTCTATGCCCCTGGCCAAGTCATCCTGAGGACTTACTGCAACACAACTCCCAGGAAGCCTCACCATGTGTATGCTTTATTTTATCACTGCAGGTAAATATTTTGCTGAAATTGTCCCTCCCACTAGACTAAAAGTTCCTTGAAGGCAAGATCCCATCTTAGCTATCTTTCTATTCCCATGACTGGCACAATGTCCAGTATACGCCAGGTGCTCAATAAATAGCTGTTGAACTAATTTCCCCATAGTGTGCGTGTGCACATGCACGCACACACACACACACACAGATAGGGTCTTGCTCTGTTGCCCAGGCTGGAGTGCGATGGTGTGATCATGGCTCACTGCAGCCTCGATCTCCTGGGCTCAAGCGATCCTCCTACCTTAGCCTCCCAAGTAGGTGGGATTACAGGCACACATAATATTTTAAGTTTTTTGTAGGGGTCTCAGTATGTGAGATGGGGTCTCGCTATGTTACCCAAACTGGTTTCAAATGATCTGCCCACCTCAGCCTCCCAAAATGCTGGGATTACAAGCATGAACCACTACACCCAGGCCAGCGTACATATTTTTAATGCTCATGACTCACAAAGTCACATCTGGAGCATGCCACATTGACTTGGATTTACATTTTTCCTAAGGAGCTAGCACAGAAAACTAGGAGCATGGCAGGTTATCTACAAATGATCAACTTGGGCTGTAGAAAAATCTACTGTACCAGGCCCAGAGAGTCCCATTCCAGGTGACACACTGGAAAAGCAACAGACTAGTTCTTTGGAAAAGAGACTTCAGCTCAGGTTTTTCCAGTCACCAATTGTCTGAGGAGGACCGGCATGTTTCTTGGAAGAGCTCTGTCAGGTAATGGGTTACCTCAGACGGGGCGCTTTTCTTCCTCCTCCATTTGTGCAGGTCTCAGAGTCTGTGTGTGTTTGGGAAAGCCAAGCACGTGGCTGTGTACCTATGTGGCTGAGTTACACACAGCTGAGTGGATGGTGAAAAGTGGAAGGAGACAGTCCCTCTCTTATCTAATCTGGCCTAGCAATGAAACCATGCTCAGAAACTGCTGGCTTTCTAGTGCAAGAAATTACTGCCCAAGTATCATAACACACCAGCCTGAAAGCTAAGGAACTTTTAGGCCTCTGTTTTCAAAACCTGGAGAAAGAAACAAAAGGTCAGAAAACACCGGATTCTGTAGCGTATCAAAATTAGAAAGCACTGATGCACAGGAGTCAATATCTGAGGTCCCCTGGGAGGTGGGAAGCAGCTCAGTGGGTGGAAAGAACACGGCTCTGGAGACAGGATTCAAGAGTCAGCAGCATTGCTTTCCAGGCTTGACAGGAGCAAGCTAAGGCCTCCTGGTGCTCTTCGGGGTTGCAACGAGGATTAGTGAGGCCAGGTAACTGATTGCCGGGTTCGTGGTGAGAACTCGTGGTTTTCCTTCTCTCCTCCCCATCTCCTGCACTCTATTGCCCTTCAGGTTAAAGTGAATTATCCTACAGAGAGCTGCTGGGAAAAAAGGCTGTTTCAGATCTGCTGAGCTGAAACCCAAACCCAAGGAGCCCTTCATCTTACAAAAATCCAGGAATTCTGGATGTGGCCTGCATGAAGCATTTGGTGAAATGTATCTATTATTTTATTTTATTTTGAGACAGAGTCTTGCTCTGTTGCCCAGGCTGGAGTGCAGTGGCGCCATCTTGGTGGGTTCAAGCGATTCTCCTGCCTCAGCCTCCGAGTAGCTGGGACTACAGGCGCACACCACCACGCCTAGCTAATTTTTTTGTATTTTTAGTAGAGACAGGGTTTCACCAAGTTGGCCAGGCTGGTCTCAAACTCCTGACCTCAAGTGATCTGCCCACCTCGGCCTCCCAAAGTGTTGGGATTACCGGTGTGAGCCACCACGCCCGGATGATCAAATGTATCTAATGTGGATGAGGGCTTTGGTTCTAAAATGTCTGAAAATAAAATGTCAGAAGCTGCACATTAAGATGGGTAGTTTGAGGCCCTCTTTTTCACTGGGGTTAGAGAAAGTTTCCCAAGACAGACGCTGGTTTTGGCAAGGGAGGTAGGTGTTCTCAACTTCCCTCTATATGCCAAACCCCTGGCTTTGGCAAGCTGCCTGAATCAGGGTGAACTTCAGGTTTTGCCCCTGTGTTCTATGTAACATAAGAAGCAAAGATTATAAATGTAAGCAAACAGAGAGCAAAAGTCAACATGGGCAGCAGAAACAAAGGAAGACAACACCACTTAGTACACAAGGTGGCCAGAAGTGGCAAGGATTTAGAAAGGGGTGAGGGACTATTCAAAGAGGACAGGATCAAAAAGACTTCTGGGTTATAATCTGCCTTGAAGTCATCAAAAACTATTCCAATTCTGCTACAGTCTCATTAGAAACACAGCACTCCTTCACCTTTCAAAGTCAGTGAAGTAATAGTGTCTAGCTAAGAAAAGCGTAATTTTCACATCTAGCTTTTTAAAATTGGATCATTACTCAGAATACTGGTGAATGTTTGCTTAAAGGTTTCTTTTAGCACAAAGTTTTCAAAATTTGGATTGCATGTTTTTTAGGTTCACAAGGTTTGATCTGGCTCTGTCACAGACACACCAGAATAACTGGTTGAGTCAAAAAAAAAAAGCAAAGGTCCAGGAACAACAGTGGCTGGAATCAAAGAACTCTTCATAGCAGCGTCTTGAGCTTAGCTACTCAATCGTGTGGAAGCTAAGGAAGAGTTTAGCGCCACCTTCTGGGAAAGGCCAGAAAGACCTTAAAAAATTGGATTGACCCTGAGTTTAAGTATCCACCAGTAGACTGGGGAAAAACGACCAATGCCCCAGATTGGCACTGACATGGTCCTGGGATTTACAACGGAGTGCCAGCATGGCCCTGAACCTGGGACGAGAGTCCTCACTTAGCTAGGCTCAGTACCAGAGGGAGGGGAGA
This sequence comes from Homo sapiens, assembly GCF_000001405.40. Taxonomy (NCBI): domain Eukaryota; kingdom Metazoa; phylum Chordata; class Mammalia; order Primates; family Hominidae; genus Homo; species Homo sapiens. Next base: position 121,356,460 of record NC_000002.12, read on the forward strand.
AGAAAAGTTCCAGGCTATAAGTCTGGAGACCTGAGTTTTGGCTCTGGTTCTGGCATCAACTAGCCAAGCGAGCTTGGGGTAAATTTCTTCACTTTCTATGCCTCGGTTTTCCTCATCAGTAAAACGAAAGGGAGAATCTGAATCAATTATTTTAAAAGTATTTCAGATTATAAAATCTTATCATCCAACTCTACCTGATGAGTCTTTTCCCCTGAAAAATGTGCATGCACAAAATTCCAGGAAGCTTTGAAGATCTTGAGAAGTAGTGTCTGTATGAAATGACCTCTAACAAGACAGTCATCACATCCTTGCCTGGAAAAGGAGATTCAGGGCAACACAATGGATATCTTCAAATGTGGTCAGGTTCTTAGGTGGGAGATTTATTCTGTTCTACTCTAAGGGGTAGAACTAGGGCCAACAGGGACAAATGATGAGAAGGAGTGGAAAGAGGGGCTGGGAGCCCAGGAGGTGGTGTGTCCTGCTGTCCTGGAGATGCTGCAGAGGCTGGGCTGGCCTCTCAGGAGGTGCTCAGCATCAGATGGGAAGCTGGGCAGCACGTTTAAGGCTTCTCTTTGGCATTCTAATTCCGGTATCCATCTCTAAAAACCCATGGCATTTCCTAGCCTAACGCTGACAATGTACCGGCTACCCCAGCACAAATATAGACGGATTCCAAACAAAGCAGTAGTCAAAAAATACAAGTCGTATTTTTGACTGGTGTTTTAGAGTTTACTCAATTGCATTTAATAGCTTCTTCGGTGTATTTAGAGAAATGCAGTTATATCTGCTTTATGTAGAATTTTAAAAACTTGACAACAATTCTATTCAAAATCAGTCTACTTTCTTCAATGGAAGAGTATAAAAAGGATACTATCTTCAATTTTCAACAATGTCAACCACCTTACCTCACTTGACTTTAATGCTAGCCTCTCAGCGCAGGGTATAAAACACCTGCCCCCCACCTCCCACCCAGCATACAAGTGCTTTAGATATCCAGAGTGTCTATGACTTGTCCACAATCACAGCCCCCGAGCTGGCAAAAGCAGCATGTGAACCCAGGCCTTCAAACCCCAAACTCAAAGGTTTTGACATTAAGTTATGGCTCTTTCTGAAGCTACAAGAACTAAAGGGCAGGTGTCACATCTGGCTCCTTGAGAGTCAGTTCATCAGCGAGGCAGAACTACTCCCCTACCTATGAATAACAGCAGGAGCAGCCGCCACCACAGCTGCCACTCAGAAATAGACACTGTGCCTGGCACTTTACAAGCCTGTGAGGTGGGCTATGTTTCTCCACTCGACACAGAGAATATGAGGGCTCACAAAATGGTAAGTCTCCTGCCATCTTGGCTCAGCAGGGTTCAACCCAGGAGTGTCTTCCAAGCCCATGCCCCCTCCCTTGGCCACATGGCCTTGGCTCCTAGCTAAAGTTCTCTCCCTATGTGCTCCTTTTCAGCCCATCTCAGGTTCTAACTCCCTAAGGAACTCTTCCTTGACTATTCTAGCCCACTCCTAAACTCCTGGTGTATTTCACTTTGAACCACACGACTCTGCTTTAACCTCAACTAAACCGTAAGGACCTTGAAGACTACAGTACACCACTACCCATCAATCATCAAACATTTATTGGAGTTTGTGCTGTTAGTATGACTGCTGGCTCAGTAACTTGGAATCTCTCAATGAAGCTAAACAGGTTTTGGGGTTTTGTCTTTTTATTAAAAAGCAAAAACCTACAAAGGAAATGGGGCTTCTGGTCATATCCCAAGGTTGGGCCTAGGGAAAACTGAAAATTTAGAATTTGAGGATTTTGGTTTGCTACTCAACAGCAACCTGTATTATCTTGAGGCTGGATGAAACACAGATAATCACCTAGTCCACTTGATAGGGTAAGAGATAAGGAAAAACCAAAGTACAGAGGGGTAAAGGCATTTCTCCAGAGTTCATGCAGTATATTATTTCCCAGTGCCCATTGATACAAATGACTGCTGCCCTGAGAGGCACCTAAGGGCCATTCCTGAGCGCAGGGGGTCTGGCTGAGATGAGGTCAGCTAGTGATTCTAACTGGTATTTGATCACATATCTTCTCTGGCACACTGGTGCTTCTCTCTGACTATGGCATTTGTCTAAAGGACTGCATGAGATACCATGCTGGCTGGGCGAATCAGAAACCAGACAAGTTCCCAGGAAGTTCTCTTTCTTTTATAAATAACTTTGGTCTGATTTTGCCATTTTAATTCTTTAAAGTCATAAAATAAAAAGTTAACTAGAAATGATTTAAAAATAAAACCCCTGAAGACATACTACTGGTGGTTTTATATTTATCTAAGAATCAAACTTCCCAAAACAAGCCAAACCACTTGAAGCTGGATTCTGGTGCCTTAAACACCACGACCTTTGTGTGTGTAGCAAGAAATGTTTGGTGATCCAGCACAGTGACATGAATGATGCTAATATTTTCCTCTTTTAACAGACAAGTGTAACTGGATATTCACTAATGTGGCAAAGTTCAGAATAAGCTAAGTCTAATGATCAGAAAACCTCAATTACAGAATATCTTCAAAAAACAGTTGGGCTTCTTTCAAGTTTAAATAAAACATTTACTGTGAACTTCAACATTATGGGTACTATATGCACATCACACTGACTGGCAGCAACAAATATTCTTGCATTAAGTGTGCATACAATGATTTATAATTAGTATATCAACTATTTCCTGAGAAATGGGCACTTTTGAAATGAATAAGGATGTCTGAGAACAGTTTTATGTAGCAACATTTGTATAGCATATGACAATTTTAAAAGCATATTTCTATATCATAATATCTTTCATTCTCACAGCAGAGCTGCTTATTCAGGGTTATACTAAGATGATGAAACTGGGGACAGCTGGACAACAGCAGACGCAGGACTAAAAACCAGGTTTTCTGCCTCAAGATTTTTATCTCACACTGACCCCAGAATCTCTTTGTAGTATCAATTCTCTTATTTAATCCTCTCTTTTTAATCACCAAAGGAGAGGTTCTGTACCAGCTCTAACAAACAGATTACAAATTCTAATATAAGAAGAGTTCAAATTCATGGAGTTCTCTTGGAAACAGAAAATGGGCTCAAAATTTTAAAAGGTCACTCTCAAGGCCTTAGCCCTTTAAGGTATTTGCTAAATGCCAACTCTACTGCAAACCACGGTAACTTCATTAATGAGGCACTGAAACTCAATAGCAAAATTTATTTACTAAAAAGATAAAGAAGTTAGATAATGAAAGAGACTTACTCAAATAGGGACTATGAAAACATTATGTCTAAGCTCAGAAACACCAAATTTTAAAATAAAAACTCTAAATTGGTGTCCAAATCCTTCATCTATCTTGCTTACTATAGAACATGTATGTTAGCTTTGGATGAATGGTGTCTGAGACAGATTTGGTACTTGGCACATTTTCAATGTGTAAGAAACACATTCTGCACATATAGCTTCTTTTGAAAGAAACTGACAAAGCAGACGCTTGCTTATATGAGAAAACAAGCCATCTTATCGTCAGTCCTATCTCATCCATCTTCCCAAACAGCTTTTGTGACAAATTTCAATTTACAGAAATTGTATTTCAAGAAGCTGTCCTTCCTCGCTGCAGTCACATAGTCAGAGCCACAGTGCACATGCTGGTGTGGTAACGTCACGCTGGCAAGAGAAGGGCAGCTGGTGCCAATATCTCTAAAAGCAGCCCCATGTTAACCTGCCGAGTCTTACGCTCTTCATCTCCTGCTGAAGCCCAGTTTTTGTCTGGGAATATAAAACCAACTAGCTTCTTATTGAGAACGAAGCTCCAAGAGAGCTAACTTTGGGATAAACAAACTTTGGAAGTATTAATAAGACAGGAAAATAGACTATGACTTTGTATGACTAATAAAGTAAGTCTAGAAACATTTCAGATCCTTTTCAATAAATGTTTGGAGTCATAAGAATTGAATGCAATGATAAGAAAATGGAAGGACTAGAGAACTATTACGTGCCATATTAATATGCCAACAAGATGCCTACAACACAAACTTTATGTGCATCTCAGCCTTCTGCCCTAAAAAATGGCAAGAAGGAATGGGAAAAGATTGGTTAAAATAAGAGGAAGATAAGAAGAACTTCAAGGGAAAAGAAAAAAAAAAAAAAAAGGAACGAAAAATGAAAACCCAACCTCAAACCTAAATACACAGGTTCTTGAGTTATTATAGTGGCTCCTGGCAAAGTGACAGAGTAAAGTTTTATAAGGAAACTCCAAGGGCAATGAGTCAAGGTGAGTCAAACTATGCAAAGCAGGAAGGCCTGCCAATGCAGGCACCGTTCCCAACACATCTCCTCCACCAGCTCTACCACAAGTCAGTAACAGCAGCATGGGGACCCTTGAACCCGAGTGCTGCTAAGTTTATTTTAAGCAGGATATATATTCTGCTCTTTTCCCTTGGGCAATTTAAAGGGCCTCATACCTGAGAATTTTCTCTCCTAAATTTCTAATTTTGCAGAAAAAAAAAAATCTCCCAAGAAAAAAGCAAATAACAAACCAATTACTTAATGTTGTTAACTTATACTTCTTAGGACTCAACTTTAGACAGATATCTTCCAACTGGAGAGTCGGTAAGTGCGTGCCAAGACACCATGGACGGCTTGGCATTTCATTTAAATGCCCGAGTCTAAGTATGTACTGCCCCATGAAAACAACTGATATCATCTCTATGTAAAGGTGCAGTGGCTCATGCCCGTAGTCCCAGCTACTCAGGGGGCTAAGGCAGGAGGACTGCTTGAACCTGGGAGGTGGAGGTTACAGTGAGCACAGGTTGTGCCACTGCACTCCAGCCTGGGTGACAAAGCAAGACCCTGTCTCAAATACAAAGCACAACAAAAAGAACATCATTTTAATTTCATTTTTTGATCACGTATTCTCATTAAGGAGAAGCAATTATGGTTTAAAAAAGTTAGCACATGCCATTTGCCCCTTAACGGAGACACAAAACCTAGCTAATGTCTCAGTTCTGCCAGTAACTGCTATGCATACAGTTCCTCTAGGACAAGCTTGTCCAACCCGTGGCCCAGGATGGTTTTGAATGCAGCCCAACACTAATTCATAAACTTTCTTAAAACATTATGAAAATTTTTTGTGGTTTTTTTTTAGGCTCATTGGCTATTGTTAGTGCATTTTATGTGTGGCCTAAGACAATTCTTCCAACGCAGCCCAGGGAAGCCAAAAGATGGGACACCCCTGCTCTAGGACCTTCCCTCCTCACCTGGGAATCACTATGTTGATCGTACTAGCTCATCTGGTCTTCACGTTTTTTAAATGAGTTATTATAAATGAAAAGTGCTTTGTTCAAATGTGAGTTATTATCACCATCATGCAACCAAGCCAGATTTTGGAAACCCAGTTATTAGTCTGAAAACACATCCATCCCCTGTGTACTGTGTGCTGTTCTAGGACTAGCAGGTGAAGAGAGGCCCAGTCTGAGGACAAGACCCTCGCCCTTGCTGAGCTACAATTGTGGTGGAGATTTGAAGAGGTCACATCAGTCACTGCTCAAGCAGTCACACAAACGCCAAACAGAACTATGATCTAGGGTCTGACTCTCTATGTAGACGGAAGAATTGTGTTAACTATAATTCCCTTCATCCACGAGTGTGCTCACACGACAGTCACACATGAGCCAAGAGCTCAAACTAAGCAAGTTGTTATGTCTCACTCTGGGGTCAAACCCATTACCTGGCATGCTAAGTTTTCTGAAGTTCCAATATATGAGTTTGTTTCCCACAGTTCCTTTTACTGAAGGGTGTCACTGAATCATTTGTATCTGGACAGCTCCTGCCACCTCCCCATTCTCTGTAGGCTTCTAGCCACTTGAAAGCCTGGTGAGGCATAGGGGCTGGACAATCCAATAAGCAACAGGCTGAGTTTTTGCTGAGTGTGCACCCTCTGTGGCATGTGTGCAGGACACAGAGACATGTCCTGCCACTCTCTACCAGGTAGCTGAGGTCCCAATGCCAGGAACTGCAGAGATAGCTTGCTAGCATTTTAAATACTCAAAAGTGAGTGGAAGAGGCACAGCAGGGCTGCCACCACTCAGCCTCATCTTGCAGAGAGAAGCACACTGAACGGCTGGGAGGGAGGAAGGTCAGTACAGCAGCCTGCTACCCACTGTTGGCAGGCGCTGGGCTGGAATCATCCCTGGTCATCTCATTTAATTCTCATGAGAAACTTTGTGAAAATATCCATTCCTATTTTACACACAAGGAAACGGAGGCTCAGAAGGTGAAATGACTGGTCCACTTATCTGGAGCAAGAAGGCATTGGTTCTGGGACTTGCATGTCTGTGATTCCAAAGCTGGTCTCCACCTCCCACACCAGACTACCAGAGGCTAAATGCCAGAAAGCAGCAGCAGACCCTTCCCTTCCACAAAGGCAGCTGGAAGCACGGACATGGAACACATCCCAGGGGCAGGGCAGGCCTGCTGGAAACAGTGAGCAGGAGCTAGGAACTGAACAAATGGCATTGGCCCTGGAACTATGCCACTGCTCAGCAAGGACGACAGCAATGGGGACTCCACTCTGTATTACGACATGGCTGAGTTCCAAGGAAGGGGCTCTTAAGCTGTGCACTGATTCTGATTCCTCTATCTCCATGTCCAAACTGCTCCTCATGACCCGTCTGTTCAGCACCCCTGGCCACATGACTGACTCACCTCCTTATGGGAGTCTTTGTGGGCTTCCAGAGTCTTCATAATCGTCAGCTCGGCGTAGTTTTTAAATCTTGCTGGTTGATTTCTCAGAATTTCCCTCAAAACTCTTAACGCCAGTGCTCGAATTGAATGCTAGAATACAAAGGGAAAGGAAGACATCACCAAACACCACACAGCACTTTCACACACAGCAGTCAGCAGGGTCGGCAAGGCCAAGCACCCAGTTCTGGGTTCCCTGGAACCTCGCAGAACCCTCTAAACAGATCACACAGTTCACTTGAAATCAGCTTTACTTGACACTGGCTCTCTAGACATCAGCTCCATGAAGGCAGGCACTGTGCCTTAGGGTGACATTCCCAGGACCCAGCGCCTGACAGGCACTGAGAAAAGCTACTTGAACGAGCCATGCACTTGAGACCAAATGAGGATGATATACCTAAGTTCATTATCAGTTTTCTGGGGATTTCCAGATTTCCTGAGGCTTCAGGCTACAAATTATGCTTCTGTAAAATGTATGAAAGAATGTGTATAAAGCACCTGGATGTTTCATCAACACAGCCTGTAAGAGTGAACTCCACCTAAGGACAGTGGAAGGCCTGTCATTATTCCTGACCTTCCATGTGATGAGATCACTGGGTGTGTACAGGCCTCGAGTTGGTTAAGGCCAGAGTCACGCATCTGGAGGAAAGCCATTCCAAACAGACTCCTGATCTCAATAAAAGAGAACGTAGTTTACACCAAACAGAGCCAGAAAGTACATCCTGATTCTTTGCCACTCATCTGTACAGTTCACACACTAATACACCATTTACCTGTCTTCTACATGACATCACTTTATCTCCCAACAGAGCCAACAAGGCATAACTGCCTTACGAGCCAATACTTTGTTTTTTTTAAAAGTATTTTTAAAAAGTTTTTTTTAAAAAAGTAAAACAGATTACTTATTACCATTCTTCTATTTTTACTTATCCCTAAACCAAACCATTAATCCAAAGCATCAGAAAGCTATCTGAGTCACCACGGCATGGCATGCAGCAGCCTCCCTGTCACTCAGTTGCCATGCAAGTCCCCTCTAGCTGGCCCTGGGCATGGCCTGCCACCTCCTGGCAATCCTCCCATCCCCTTCCTCCAGCCCCTCCCCACAGCACTCTCTTCTCATTTCTCTTCTCCATGTGGATGGAGAAACTTTTTCTTGTAGAGGTTTAATTCTGGTAATTCTCAGCATCTATTCCTGTTTCCATATAAGGGACCAGCTCCACAGGTGGGAGAAGGCAGGACTTTGACCAGATTACTCCCCCCTTTAAGAGTTCTCTATGTGCGATGTGCAGATCACAGACCAGGCATGTCAGAAATGCCTAGTTTGTCACATTCAAGTGTCCCAGCATGATGAAGCTTTTTTTATTTTTAAATTAATAATACAAAAATCAGAATCATGCTTCTGGAACCTGCCACTTGACTGATTAAAATTATTGGAACTCTTAACATATGTAGGGGGGGACCAAGATGGAATTTCATGGAATGTAGCATTTAATCAGGTCTTTTAAAATGAAACTTTTTCTCAATTACATATGAAACAAAAATGAAACTCACAAGTAAAAAAGTACATCCTAAAAGACCACATTCTATGCTAATAAAGTTTTAAGAAATTCTGTGTTAAAGCAACTAGATGCAGGAATGAAGTTTCCTCAACTACTATAAACCCAGTTGCAGACCATGCACGTAAGCCAAGCAGCAGCTTGTTGCTGATAAAAACATGACCTTACTAAACGTGCTCAGAAAATATGTGAAAAATGAACAAATAAATGTTTTGATGTAAACAGTAAGCACAACCCAGAAAGTAAAGCTGAAGCTAAGCCCAATAAGAAAAGGACATCGTGACCCCATTACATGGAAAGGGGCAAGATAAGGCCAAACCAGCATCTCACGTCTTTGTCTCCAAGGGTCTCCAGCAGCAGGAGCAGAATGGTCTTGAAGTGCTCCTCCCAGACACCAAGGCTGTCTTCCCGCGTGATCTTGAGCAGCTCCAGCAGGGCTCCCTTCCGTTCCTCCACTCGCTCATTGTGGTTGGACAGCTCTTTCAGAAGGTCAGCCACCAGGTCAGAATGGTCGATGGGCACTGGTGAAACACACCAGACATACGTCACCTCGTGAGGAAATGCCCAGCACAGGGGCTTGCTCAGTGGTGCGCAGTGATCCTTCCCTTCCTGCCTCCTCTCCCAGAGGCGATGCCTCCTTCACGGTTCCCCTCCCACCCTCCGCCCTGCTTCGCTGTCCGGCCTCAGCCTACACACCCTCCACCAACCTTCTCACCAAGTTCACTGTGAAAGCAGAGGTGCGAGACCAGCTGTCCAGTACCAACAGTCAATGTCTTCACCCTTCCTTGCTATCTTTTCCCTTCTACTTCAGACAAAGAGAAGAAATGCCTGTATCCGCCAAAGCCCCTCCTCAACCCTTTTATTTTCTGAAACTCTCTCCCACTGCCATGGTCCTGAGTCAGACCCACCACTGGACAGCCTCTTACCAGGGTCAAATCTACTCTCATACACACATACTCCTCAAGGCCTCCTCACCATCACATCTGATTATCCTCCATTCCCTTCTCAAATGTCTACAGCTTAGGAACCAGCATGGTGAACAAATACCAGTCAAGGTGTTTGGACTACTGGTGGACTATCTATGTGGAGACTAAAAACTGGCCCAAGATGACTCAACATAGTTACCTGCAGGGCTGTGAACACGGTTTCTATGGCAGAAAGGCACATCCTTTCTCCTCCATGTTCTTTTAAGAAACCTGAACTCTGAATATTCAACTTTAAATAGAGAGGATGAAAAAACAAACAAATCAGACAAGTTATTAGGAACTACTTAAATGTGTATTTGCATACTTCTTTAGCTTCTAAGATTGGGTAGCAAACACACAAGAAAGTCTGAAATGGTAAAGAACTCTGTCATTTCCTCCTGCCTTCCTATCTTTTCCTCCTTTTCTTTAAGCCTTTTAGTACACAGTTGGTGAATAACCAACACTGTAATTTCTACCCTAATCAAGATCTATAAAGGATAAGGTAAACAATTCTATAAGCAATGAAAACAAATAGTCCACTTCTCCCAGGAAGTGCCAGTCCTTACAAACACTATACCCTAATAGCTCACTGTCCAGTAAACAGATGTGTGGGCAGAGTCTGAGATGCTACCCACCAGCATATAAGCAATTAATAGCCAAGTGATTAGGCTTTTAATCCCTACAGCCATTTCTGCTTTCAAACAGAGAACTCCTCTTCTACCTTAGCATTCCCCTACTGTCTGATCCCTGCAAGAGGATCAGCTTTCTTTTCTTTGTGCCCCGACTGGATCTGGCATCTGCCTCCAGCACAGGCCTTCTCTGGTACTAGTGTGACCACTATCAGTCTGCTCCCCTGACAGACCTTGAGCTCTCTGAGGCCAGGCACTGTGTCTCATGTGCCTCGGTCCCTGGCAACCCATACACTTCATGACACACGGTAGGCCCTTAGTGAATGTTAACTATTTAGAATTCTAATGTAGGTTCTAATTACTCATTCAAACTTGAGAAATAAAACAGGCTTCAAAACAATATTTTTTTAAAAGCACTATCAAATCGAAATAAACCAAATCATGTAACATGAGAGGTGAAAAAATAATTCAGTTCCCGAAAAAAACACCATTGTACAAATACATACTCATCACTCACTAGTTTATTCAGTAATGGACACTGGTCTTAACACAGGAGCCAGAAAGAAACCAGACTAGCTCTGCTTCTGCTCCCTACTTCCTATGTTATATGCTTACGTTACATTTTGGGCAAATCTTTCTGACCCCATACTTAGCTTGGCACCACACATGGTAATGCAAATGCTCAGTGTGTATGTCAAACCCCTGCCTCCCAAATGCAGCACGGAGGTCAACACAGCTCCAGGGAGACCTGGTTACAAAGCAGGTGTGAAAGGAGAGGGAAGCCTCAGAGCAGTGCTTCAGGATCTCACTCCACAGCTCGGGGAGCTGGGAAGCAGGTCCAAGGCCTTCACAAAGGCTGAGCCCGCGCTCGCCATCCTGTTTGTTCCTACACCCCTGGCCTACCTGGGCCCTGGGTTCTACAGCAAAACCTTCCTGATGGTAGAGTTGGCCTTCCCTCATGCTCAGCTGTGGCAGTGGCTACTTCATATCACGTGTGACTGTTTATTTCCTCACTGCCCCGCTACTTGTGCTTCTGTTCACTGCCATGTTCCCCGTGCCCAAGCGCACAGTAGGGATTCAGTTAAGTAGTGCCTGAACAAATGACTAAGCAGAAAGAACAGACCCAGCGTCTCCATTTACATCTGACCAGTGGGCCTGGTGCTGGCCAGACGGGAGGGAGCACAAGGGAAGCACTTCTGGGTGGGGACAGTTAAGAAAAGAGACACCAACCGTCTCGAAGCTGCTCCATGTCGTCATCGAACACAGCCTCTTTCAGGGCGGTCTTGTCGTAGGTGTTGATGGCATCTGAGTAGGGGTACGGGTTGTAGTCTCGCGCCCGCGGCCCCGGGAAGGCGCGCGGAGGCTGGGTGTTGAGTAGTGAGGTCTTGTTATCCAGAGCTGTCCGGCCTCCTTCTACTTCACTACCCCCCCGGCCCTCAGTGGCAGGGGAGGCAGCGCCCCCATCGCGGGACACCTGCAGCACAGCACACTGTCAGTTCCCTTCTGGGACTTGTAATGGACATTTCCTTTGAATGCTCAGAAATATTAAGAAGGCCAGAGATTTTCACTTGAAATATGTATGGCCAGTGACAAAAGGACAGCTACTAGTACTGCAATGTAAAAATACCAAATCCGTAAACTACCATAAAAGGAACAATATACCTGCATTTATTTGCATCTAGTCTTTACGCTTTAAATCTCCTTTACTTTGTAATTTGATGATCCACTTTACCAAGATGTTTTCTGAGGGATGAAAGGCTCAGAAGCCTTTCCTTGAGAAGGAAAGGCTGTCCACTCACACCCCTGCTTTCAAGCACCAGACCAGCAACGGGGGCTTCTCACTGCGGCCCTGGCCCACATCCACAGACAGAAGCTCCTCCAACCGCCATCATTAAGTCTAATGGGTGTCATCCATCCCCAGATTAATTCCTTGTACTATATGTATTCCTGCCTAGTGCTGGGCCTCGGCGCTTCACAATCTCCTATGACAGAGAACTCAGCACCTCCTAGGCATATCATTCTTCTTTTAGATATTTCTGACTCAGAGTTGTTATGCTGGGTCAAAGAACAGGACTTTAGTATTTCCCAAATTTTTTTTTTTTCCCTAGTATATTCTGAATGTTGTCTTCAACAAATTCAACCGCTGGCCCTCTGACTGGGCCCTTGACATGGTATCGACAAGAGCAAATCACTTTTGCTTTTAGGGTCCTCTGCTGTGGGGCACACCACTGGTCTAGCCCCTTTGTAGGTGGCAGTGTAGCCCAGCAGGTGTGGGCTGGCTGCTGGCAACGGGGACAGACTGTTTTCCTCATCCCAAACATCTGACTACCCAACAACGGTGGAAACATTCCAGGCAGCCAGAACACATTGGTGACACCTATGGCAAAATTTTTACTTGTGCTGATGACAAGATACATTTCTCTCACTTTGTGCTAATGCATTTACACTTTTTTCCGGTTTTGGAAAAGTAGATGTAACATACCATTTTGATCATTCCTAACATACCATTTTTGATCATTCAGTGTCATTAAATACATTCATGATGTTGTGTAACCATCACCACTATGTATACCCAAAACTTTCTCATCATTCCCAACAAAAACCCTGCATCCTCATCCCTCTCCCTTCCCCACAACCCCTGGTAACCTTTATCTTACTTTGTCTCTTGGAATCTGCCTATGCTAGGTACCTCAGATAAGTGGAACTGCTGAACACATTCCACTGTGTGTATATACCACATTTTGTTTATCTGTTCATCTGCTGATGGGCACTTGGATTGCTTTTGCCTTTTGGCTCTTGTGAATAATGCTGCTATGACACACTGGTGCACAAACATCTGTTCAAGTCCCTGCTTTCAATTCTTTTGGACTTGAATCTAGTGGAGGTGCTGGGATGCATTTGGTTTCTAACACCCACAAACAAAATTTTATAATTAAGATGTAAAAATAATACATAATATATGCGTAGACAGAAACAAATTAAGACTAAAAAGGTATAAATCAAATCTTAACAGAGGTTTTCTCTGGGTGGAAGAAAATTCATGGATGGTTTTAATTGTTTCTTTTTATAAGTCTTCTAAAAATACCATTATAATGAAAAATTATTTATAAAAAAGGTAAGCCATTGAACAGGAGGTTTAAAAAAAACAAAAAAAGAGAAGGGTTTTAAAAATTTCAGACATTTAAAAAATAAAGCTCAACTCCCAATTCTAATCACTGTTAACAACAAAACCTTACTCCCTCAGTGTGTGTCTCCACGCAGGCTTTACGCAGCAGGAACCCGGTGTGCACGCTGGCTTCTGTTTTCCTTTCCCTACAGTGCAAGCACTTCCCGTGTGGATGAAGTTTTTGTAACCACCATGTTTAATCACACCACTACCTCTACTTGTGTTTTAAAAAAGATTTACTCAGATGTTCCCCTTTAATATTTTTGCTACTGTAGATAATGCTGAAATAAGCTATCTTATGGAAATGACATTTTTTTTTCTTCTGTTGAGTTCTTTCTTTAGTGTAGATTAACCATACTGGGTAAAGAATATGCAAATCACTTTTGCTAAATATAATTTTACTGAGTTCCAAAACATTGTATCAGTTTCCCATGGCACCAACATTACACTAGATCCTTATGCTCTTTCTAGTATTAAATGTTGTAATTTCTATTAAAGCAAAGCAGAAGAGAACCTTGATATAAGTCTGCTGTATTTCTGTAATTGACCGTAAGGATGGGCTTTCTCCCTATGTTGAATGTCTTCATTTTTGCTGTGTGCATCACCCTCCTACTGCATCTGACATTCATCCTATTGGCTTGTCTCCCTATATTGGGTTTCCTTGTTAGGCTTAAGAGGAGATGTACTGGCTCCCGAGTCTTTCACATTTAACACAGTTTTATATCCACCTCAATGTTTTAACTAAACATATGGTAAGTGGTGGCTAAGATGGTGAATTGTGAAGCTCCTCCATTCTTCGATTTTCTTTCTTTTTTTTTGAGACAGAGTTTCACTCTTGTCGCCCAGGCTGGAGTGTAAATGGTGCAATCTCGGCTCACTGCAACCTCCGCCTTCTAGGTTCAAGCGATTCTCCTGCCTCAGCCTCCCAAGGAGCTGGGATTACAGGCATGTGCCACCAAACCTGGCTAATTTCTTGTATTTAGTAGAGATGGGGTTTCACCATGTTGGTCAGGATGGTCTGGAACTCCCGACCTCAGGTGATCCACCCACCTCAGACTCCCAAAGTGCTGGGATTACCAGCATGAGTCACCATGCCTGGTCCATTCTTCGATTTTCACTGCCACCCTAGCTTTGCTGCTCGAGGCCACATTCTCCAGCAGGAACAGCCACTGCTCTGACATGCAGCATCTTCATGGCACTTCCTGACTCCTCCTGGCCCTGCAGCTCTGCCACTGCACTCCCCCCACTCCACCTGTCCCTAGGTGACACTGAGGCTTCCCAGGCCTTGCCCTCTTTATTTTCTCCCTCCCAAATTTCACTTCTTTCAACTCTCATCACAGTATTTTTACACTTGACAAAATCAGAAACCATCTAAATATACTGAAACAGGACACTGGGTGCCCATCTACAGAACATCATCCACAGGAGGAATCATTGAGAAGCCACAACTCACACAGGAACTGACGGAAAAGCACTCATGCCCTATGCTCAACAGATGGACAGTGTGATATTACTCTTACAAAAGCAATACTCCACACACTCCCCTACACACATATATGTATAAATATACAAAAAGGAATAGAAAAATACACCCTATAGTGTTAACACTGGTTATCTCTAGAGATGGTGATTTCTTCTTTTTCACTTTCTAAGTATCATTTTTTGGGCACATATTAAGTGTGTGTGTGTGTGTGTGTATATATACATATATATATATTTTTTTAAGGGACACAATCTTACTCTGTCACCCAAGCTGGAGTGCAGTGGCACAATCGTAGCTTACTGCAGCCTCAAACTCCTAGGCTTAAGCAATACTCTCACTGCAGCTTCTCGAGTAGCTGGGACTACAGGGTGCACACCACCACATCTAGATAAATTAAATTTTTTTTTTTTTTGTAGAGACAGGAGTCTCCCTATGTTGCCCAGGCTGTTCTTGAACTCCTGGGCTCAAGCAATCCTCCTGCCTTGGCCTCCCAAAGTGCTGGGATTGCAGGCGTGAGCCACCATAATTGGAAAAAGTAACCCCTCACGCATCCATCTTTTCTACTGTTCTTGATAGGAGTTCTGTTTCCCTAGTCAGATTCCCCCATTCCTCACAACAAGTCCCCCGCTTCAAAGCAGGCCTCCTTCCACTGCCCTGAGAAACCGGCAGTGGGAACACGCTCTACTTCCTGCCTCAAGCCCCTAAAGCCGCCCTCCTCCCTAGCTAAGACCAGTCATTCTACCTGGGCCCTAATCTCACGTCCCCACGTCCTGAAGGATCGCATCCAATCATCTGCTCTCCTCCACTGTGTAGGCAAGGTTCTTCTCTCCACTGGCCCTGCTGGGAGAGATCTCTCCCATCTGAAATGCCCTTTGATCCTTATTTCTCTCCAGTTTGTTCCTCAACTTCTTCACCCACTGTGATCTGGTTTCCATTCTCAACTCTGCACTCAACTGTGCTCACAAGATCCAATGTACTCCTGGAAGTAACTAACTTTGGATATTGCAGACTGTAACTACGTGTAAAGTTTATTTAAGAAGAAAAACATGGAAATCCAGTGAGCCCATTCTCGAAGGAAAGGTCTTAACTTTACATCAAAACATTGGCAAGTAAATGTGTATTTTATATCTTTTAGGTTAAAATAGAACATTTAATGTGGATAATAAGCAAATAATCCAATGGAGCCCTTTCATTTCATATGTGACCTGTTATCTCTTTGCAGCATGGCCCCTTTGGCTAGAATGTCCTTCCTGAAATAGTCTCCCTTATCTTCTATGCCACCACCCTCTCCTGGTCTCCCTCCTGTCAGCTCTAGCTTCTGTCCTTCCCTTAGTGTTGATGCTCCTTAGGATTCTGTCCTTATCCTTTACCTGGTGATTTCACTTACTTTTCTTTAGTTATCTTCAAGCAACTAATCAATATCTCTCAAATATCTAACTTCTGCCTAAATCACTGGCTGAAACAGACTGGTATATCCAAAGTCTCGATGGATATATTTGCTTGGATATTCCATAATTCCTGCAATTTGCATGTATTCAAAAGAGAATTCGTTATATTTCAAAGAGAGCATCTCCTTCTAGGGTAATATTTCACTGAATTGCACTAGCATTTGCTCGACAGCCCCAGAAGACTTCTGATTCTTCTGTTTCTGCTCATGCCCTATTCAATCCCACTTCCTTCTGAATTATTCTCCATTCCATAGTTACAGTAGCCTGTCTAAAATATAAGTATGACTATGCCACTTCCCTGCTTAAAGATCCTTCAATGACTCCAGTATCACCAGGGTGAAGTCAAGGCATTGGCTGGGAATACCCCAGTGAGCACATCCTTCCTGCTCTGAATCTCCCCAACCACTCCTCATGCCCACTCTTCTCCACTTCAGCCACTTCGAATAGGAAATCACACCATGCCTACATCCATGTCTTAGTCTTCAAACAGGCCCTCCTGACTATAACCCTCCTACTCGACCTAACAAACTCCTCTGGACCTCCATGCTTCAGTTCAGAGGTGACATAATCTCTTTTGCACATCTGATATGGTTTGGCTCTGTGTACTCACCCAAATCTTATGTCAAATTGCAATTTCCAATGTTCGGTGAGGAACCTGGTGGGAGGTAATTCGATCACGGGGGTGGAATTCCCCCTTGCTGTTCTCATGATAGTGAGTGAGTTCTCATAAGACCTGGTTGTTTAGAAGTGTGTAGCACTTCCCCCTTCGCTCTCTCTCTTGCCTTGCCACCATGTGAAGACATACTTGCTTCCCCTTTGCCTTTCTGCCATGATTGTAAGTTTCCTGAGGCCTCCCCAGCCAGGCCTCCGGTATAGTCTGTAGAACTGTGAGTCAATTAAACCTCTTTTCTTTATAAATTACCCAGTCTCAGGTAGTTCTTTATAGCAGTGTGAGAACTAACTAATATAGAAAATTGGTACCAGAAATGGGGTATTGCAATAAAGATGCCTGAAAATGTGGAAGCAACTTTGGAACTGGGTAACGGACAGAGGCTGGAACAATTTGGAGGGATCAGAAGACAGGAAAATGAAAGAAAGTTTGAAACTTCCTAGAGACTTGTTGAATAGTTGTGACCAAAATGCTAATAGTGATATGGACAGTGAAGTCCAGGATGAGGTGGTCTCAGATGAAGATAACGAACTGGAGTAAAGGTCACTCTTGATGTGCTTTAGCAAACAGACTGGCAGCACTGTGCCCCTGCCCTACAGATCTGTGGAACTTTGAAGTTGAGAGAGATGATTTAGGGTATCTGGTGAAAGAAATTTCTAAGCAGTAAAGTGTTCAAGATGTGGCCTGGCTGCTTCTAAAAGCCTCTGTTCATTTGCATAAACACAAAAATGACCTGAAACTAGAACCTATATTTAAAAAGGAAGCAGAGTGTAAAAGTTTGGAAAATTTGCAGCCCAACCAGGCAGGAGAAAAGAAAAACCCATTTTTGGGAAGGAATTCAAGGCTGCAGAAATTTGCACAAATAATTAAAAGCCGGATGTTAATAGCCAAGACAATGGAGTAATGTCTCCAGGGCATTTCAGAGACCTTCTTGGCAGCCCCTCCCATCACAGACCTGGAGGCCTAAGAGGGAAAATGGTTTTGTGGGCCAGGCCCAGGGCCCTGCTGCTTTCTGCAGCCTTGGTACATGGTGCCCTGCATCCTAGCTGCTCCAGCTCCAGCTATGGCTAAAAGGGGCCAACGTACAGCTTGGGCCATTGTTTCAGAGGGTGTAAACCCCAAGCCTTGGTAGCTTCCATGTGGTGTTGGGCCTGTGGGTATGCAGAAGGCAAGAATTGAGGTTTGGGAGCCTCTACCTAGATTTTAGAGGATGTATGAAAATGCCTGGATGTCCAGGCAAAAGTCTGCTGCAGGGGCAGAGCCCTCATGGAGAACCTCTACTAGGGGAGACAGAGGAGAAATGTGGGGTTGGAGCCCCCACAGAGTCCCCACTGGGGCACTGCCTAGCAGAGCAGTGAGAAGAAGGCCATAGTTCTCCAGATCCCAGAACGGTAGATCCACCAACAGCTTGCACTGTGTGCCTGGAAAAGCCGCAGGCACGCAATGTCAGTCCATGAAAGCAGCTGTAGGGGCTGTACCTTGCAGAGCCACAAGGGTGGAGCTGCCCAAGGCCTTGGGAGCCTACTCCTTGCATCAGTGTGCCCTGGATGTGAGACATGGAGTCAAAGGAGATTATTTTGGAGCTTTAAGATTTAATGACTGCCCTCCTGGGTTTCAGACTTGCATGGGGCCTGTAGTCCCTTTGTTTTGGCCAATTTCTCCCTTTTGGAATGGAAGCATTTACCTAATGCCTGTAGTTCCACTGTGTCTTAGAAGTCACTAACTTGTTTTTTATTTTACAGGCTCATAGGCGGAAGGGACTTGCTTTGTCTCAGATTAGACTTTGGACTTGGACTTTTGAGTTAATGCAGGAATGAGTTAAGACTTTGGAGGACTGTTGGGAAGGCATGATTGTGTTTTGAAATGTGAGGTGATGAGATATGGGAGGGGCCGGGGGTAGAATGATATAGTTTGGCTCTGTGTCCCCACCCAAATCTCATGTCAAACTGTAATTCCCAATGTCGGGGGAGGAACCTGGTAGGAGGTGACTGGATCATGGGGGCAGATTTACCCCTTGCTGTTCTTATGATAGTAAGTTCTCATGAGATCTGGTTGTTTAAAAGTGTACAGCACTTCCCTCTTCACTCTCTCTCTCCTGTTACCATGTGAAGATGTGCTTGCTTCTCCTTATGCCATGACTGTAAGCTTCCTGGGGCCTTCCCAGCTGTGACTCCCATACAACCTGTGGAACTGTGAGTCAACTAAACCTCTTTTCTTATAAATTACCTAGTTTCTGATTTTTTTTTTTTTTTTTTTTTGAGACAGAGTCTCACTCTGTCACCAGGCTGGAATGCAGTGGCACGATCTCGGCTCACTGCAACTTCTGCATCCCAGGTTCAGGCAATTCTCCTGCCTCAGCCTCCTGAGTAGCTGGGACTACAGGTGTGCACCACCAAGCCCAGCTAATTTTTATATTTGTAGTAGAGACAGGGTTTCACCATGTTGGCCAGGATGGTCTCGATCTCTTGACCTCATGATCCACCCGCCTCGGCCTCCCAAAGTGTTGGGATTACAGGTGTGAGCCACCGCACCTAGCTGGTAGTTCTTTATAGCAGTGTGAGAACTGACTAATACAACATCCTCCCTAGGCACCACAACTAGCCACGGGTCTCCTGGATGCTGAGCAGTGGCCATACTCACTGCACCATGATCCTGTGCTTATCTGTCTGCCTCTCCCATGAGACTGGAGCTCTCAGAAAGCCATGGTGGTGTCTGGTTCAGGCTCACTATTTTTATTACATCATGAAACAAAACTATGTCCAGAATAAACAAAAGCAAACTGAGAAAAAAGGCACTTAACATTCCTTGAAAAGATAGCTGAGGGTTGCTCTTTTGAAATTTTGTAAAATTAATTACCTTGGGCCTCTTAATACTATTTTATGGTTATTATAAAAAAGACAAAAAATAACAAAGGTGAGGTTTTGGAGAAAATGAAATTTTTATATACCATTGGTGAGAATGTACATTAGTATAGCCATTATGGAAAACAGTATCGTGGTTTCTCAAAAACCTAAAAATGGAACTACCACACAACCAACAATTCCATTACTGGGAATTTATCCAAAGAAAGGAAATCAGTATATCAAAGAGATGCCTACACCCTCATGTTTGTTATAGCACTATTCACAATAGCCAAGATACAGAATCAATCTAAGTGTCCCTCAACAAATGAATGCATAAAGCAAATGTGACATATATACACAATGGAATACTATTCAGCCATAAAAAGAAATGAAAGCCTATCATTCACAGCAACATGGATGAACTGGAGGACATTAAGTGAAATAAATGAGGTACATTAAGACCGAAATCATATATTCTCACTCATTTATGGGAACTAGTAAGAGTTGAGCTCATAGAAGTAGACAGTAGAACTGTGGTTACTAGAGGCTGGGAAGGGGTGGGGGGGGGGTCGGGGAGGAAAACAGGCTGGTTAATAGCTGCAAAATTGCAGCTAGGTAAGAGGAATAAGTTCTAATGCTCTATAGCAGGAGTCCCTAATCCCCAGACCATAGACTGGTATTGGTCTGTGGCCTGTTAGGAACTAGGCAGCACAGCAGGTGAGCAGTGGGCAAGTGAGTGAAGCTTCATCTTATTTACAGCCACCCCACATTGCTCACATTACTGCCTGAGCTGTGCCTCCTGTCAGATCAATGGCAGCAATAAATTCTCATAGGAGCGTCAACTCTATTATGAACTGTGCATGCGAGGGGATCTAGGTTGCGTGGTCCTTATGAGAGTCTAATGCCTGATGATTTGTCACTGTCTCCCAGCACCCTCAGACAGGGCCAACTAGTTGCAGGAAAACAAGCTCAGGGCTCCCACTGATTCTACATCATAGTGAGTTGTATAATTATTTCATTATATATTACAATGTAGTAACAATAGAGATAAAGTACACAATAAACGTAATGTGCTTGAATCATCCCCAAACCATCCTCCCACCAACTGGCCTGGTCTGTGGAAAAACTATCTTCCACAAAACCAGTTCCTGGTGCCAAAAAGGTTGGGGACTGCTGCTCTAAAGTACTGTAGGGTAAATACAGTTAACAACAGTTTATTGTGTATTTCCAAAACACTAGAAGAGAGAATTTTTCAATGTTCCCAACATAAAGAAATGATAAATGAGGTGATGGATGTACTAATTACCTTGATTTGATTATTACACATTCTACACATGTATCAAAATACCACTTTGTATCCCATAAATGTGTATAATTATTACATGTCAACTAAAACTAAAAGGAAAACATTATTTTAACTACAGGATAAAAATAATGATGAAGCTCAGTAATCATGATGGTCAGTGTTCAGAAGTCTCATTATCTGTCATTTAACTCATACAGAGTTCTCTTTTAGCCTAGGGATACTTACAATATCACACTCCTTTTTGCCATCTCGTTTAATTGGCTCATTCAGATCTTCTTGGCTTCGAAAACTAAACTTTTCAATGGCTTCTGTAACTCCACGTAGAGAACTATAGATTTCTTCAGAGTTCAGGTTCTCTGTATCATAGTCCAGCATGCTAAAGATAAAAAATATTTTATTTCTTAAATCGAGGCATATACATAGAACTGAGATATGGGCATAAGTTACTTCCCACAATTTAAAGAATAAGACATATTTATAGTTTTGTTTATTGGGTGATTTGGAATGAAAAGGAGACGTCTTTTGTTAGAGTACCACCACCGGACAATTACACATCTTCTTTGTTAAATCTGCCAAACACATTACATCAGCACTCAATAAAAACCAGTGGGAAACAACAGTAACCACGAGAATGCAGGAACTCAAAGAGTGACACTGGTGACTGAAGGCACGAGATAATGAAAGTGGAAAAATAACTTTCTTATTTTGAAGATGGAAAAAAGGAGTTTGGTTGTTACTGGTCTCAAATGTACAAACTTAAGAGGAATGGGCAGTTGGAAATAAAGCTAGTACTATAAGCAAATTTCAAAGGAGCAAAGTAAATGACCTCACAAGGCTAGGTTATACTCCCAGGTATCCAATCCAGAAAACAAATAAAACCCTATTAAAACAAAACAAAACAAAAAACCCTAGACTCAAAGTCAGATCCACCCTATGAACAGGCCCAGAAAGTAACTCTCACATCATCTCACCCATGAGCTTGCTATTAATATCAGACTCTTCTACATGCTTCTGTTTGGAGTTTTATAATCAAAGCAGATTTTATAAAAAGTCACATTCCTGGATGGACATCTAAAAATCCTCATAAAAGCAAGAAATATTTGTTGTTCACAGAAAAGTGTTATTGACTGCTGTCTTTATAGACATTGGGCACAGCAAAACATGAAATGAAGCAAAAAAGCCAAACAATCCTTTTTGGTGCACTGCAGTTTGTCAACAAGTGCCTTTTAGATGTCTGGAAAGTGCACTGAAACAGGGAGAATCCTGAGAACAAAAACCATCCTGAGAATATAAAAGAAAAGCATGGGATGGATATATCAGCATAAAGCAAGCAAAACACGAAGCAACAGTCAACCAAGGGCAAGTTAAAAAAAAATCTTAGTTTAAATGTCACTTGTTTCAAGAAAGTTTCAAGAAAAGATCAGATGAATTCGTCTAATTTAATTTTTAAAATAGTCCTGAGCTATACTGAGGATTGCTAGGGACACGCGAAGAATCCTTGGCTGTAAGCATGCAACACTGTTTAAGGACTAAAGAAAAGCAATCTTCCTGTTCTTCAAAAGAGTAGTAACTGAAGAAACGAAGTATCCTTCCTAAGGGCAACACAACCAATCCTGTACATTCCCAAAGTGAGTTTCCTGTAATGTAAAAATGATGAACATTTAGTAAATACTCTTCCTTAAGTATTCTGCCTTAAAAAAAAAAAAAAAAAAAGTTGGGGCAGATGAGCAAGGTAAGATTTGGAGAGCTCTCACTTGGAGTGGCCAGATCTCTACTGGCTTGATGTAGCAATGATCCAAGTGTTTTCTAGGGCTGGTGCTGGTAGGTTCTAGAGCCCAAGAGCTGACCACAATCTCAAAGATGGGAGCTATTTGTCTAGAATTGCAAATATGGCCCAGATAAAACCCACCTTTCCTGATGAATGAATATTTGGAGAGTTCACAAAAAAAAAAAAAAAATTCAACTCAAAGATTGACTTGAGCATCAAACAAAAAGAAATGTGAACCTTGAACAGGTTTGCTGTTGAAATTCCATGTCTAAACTGACAGGAGGTAGAATAAAAAACCTGAAGAGAATTTAAGATTTCAACCTCTTCTATGTTCACAAGGCTGTCTGTCAAAGAGGCAACACTCCTTAGATGTGAGAAAGGCATGACCAAGGGGCCAGAGGCTCCCCCGCTCCTTCTGAGGACACCACAATACTAGCTTTTGTATGGACAAGGCATTTATACATCTGGCCAGTACACTATTTTTTATATATAAAGACTGAGTATTATGACTCAAACAAAAAATATATATACAAGATGTAAAAAAATGCCTTAAAATACTTTTAATCACAACAACCAAAAATAACAGCATAGCCCATGCAAAAGAAAAAAAATCCAAAAAACTGAAAGAATGATGGGATGGACAAGAGGAAGTCTGGGGGAACGTTCAAGTTTTTTTAAGGGATGTCACAATATTATTTTCCATATGTCGCTTCAGATAATGTCAGCTTTCAGATAATTCATCTCATTATTCTTAACCTGAACTTTCTTAAAAATATTTCATTTCAGATCACATCACTTCACTATTACAATAGCCTCTTTTTAAAATAAGAAAATAAAGGATTCTGCCAGGTAATTTCCTCCTTCTCACTTTCAATTAATAAACCAACTCAAACTCCCAATTCAGGAGCACCATTTGCAGAACCAAGAACAATTGAAGGTGTCTTCTTTTAGACTCACTAGCCTGGGGTTTGAAGTATCTCCTTGGTATGAAGCTATAACTGTGAGCTGCAGGTGAGAGGCATAACTGCTTACCTCTAGGAGGAAACAGACCATGCTACTTTCTTTGCTATTTTTATGCTTTGGCTTGAATTATATTTTTCCAAATCAGTATCTGTTAAGTTCTCACTTAAAGGAAAAAGGAACTTCCCATGGAAGCCATCATCAGGGAGGGTAGATATTGTGTCCTCACAAGCAGTATATGAGGGAGCAGCAGGACGGCCTCAGAAGCTGACTGAGAAGAGACCTGGGGAAACCTCAATCTGCCATCTGCCCCACAGCCTGTCTTGTTTCAGCCCTGAGACAACCCCAGGACATAATCCTTGGGTTAGAGGTCAGGCCCTGATCACCTGTAAATACTCTGGTTAGACTCCAGAAGGGCTCTCTTAGGGTTTTTTAGATTAGGGAGAATTCCTTAATCAGCCAATAGTCACTGACCTAAGGTTAGGCCATGCCACCCAACATGGAAGCTGAAAGCAGCCCTGGGCTTGCCCGCTAAAGGATCCATGTCGTGGGGAGGGAGGAGAACATGGGGTCAGGTCTCCAAGAGAGAGAAACTGGAGAGAGAAGCCTGCCTTCTTCGTCATTTTGTAGGAAAAGGGTACAATGTATAGAATAAGGATAGTCATTCTTTGTTATGGAATCAATAGGATTTTGGCACAGAACAAATAGACAGACATACAGATTCCCTCTTAGTTTTATGTAACTGATAGGTTTTCTAAATGTAAAAGTCTCTAGTCAACTATCCCTGCCTCCAATGGGCAACAGAAGTTATAAGTATTCAGTAAGCATTCTCTCTTAATGAGTTAGGTCAATATGTATCGTGTATGTATGTGAAAGATGATCCTAGGAATGGGATGTGCTCTGGAGGGGCAATCTTGATGGCTGGCTGGTGGTGAAGCTGAGTGCCCATGAGGGAATACAGGTCAACATACTGGGAGATAGTCAACCAACTGATCTTACACTTGGAGGCACAGCTAACCTTAAAAAAAAGAAAAAGGAGTGACCTGCTTTGTTAACATTAAAGACAGCAGCCGTCTCCTCGCCTGCTTGCCCTAACCTTGTGTATCTAGAAACATTCATCGCAGGGTTCTCTGTACATTTTAGAAATGACTTTTAGAGGTATAAGAGCTTCAAAAGGAAGGTGTTGTTAAAATATTTCATTTACTGTTTTTGGCTTCACTATGTAGATTATTTGTATTCCACAAAAGTCAG
The DNA here is from genome assembly GCF_000001405.40 of Homo sapiens. Taxonomy (NCBI): domain Eukaryota; kingdom Metazoa; phylum Chordata; class Mammalia; order Primates; family Hominidae; genus Homo; species Homo sapiens. The sequence goes on from NC_000002.12 coordinate 121,381,253, forward strand.
AATGCAAATCTGCACAAAAGCTATCTATGAAGTATTTCAAAAGTAACAGGTCTTTTTTTTTTTTAACCCTTTTCCTATCACACCCTCTATTATAGAGGATAGAAACTCATCTCACAAAGAACAGTGACAGCTGGACTGCCCAGTGCTCTAACAGGTTTCTAGGGAAGAGATTCTCTGATCTTTGGACCTTATAAAAAGCATCCCCAAGAGACCCTGAAATAGACATCTGCAGTACTATGTGGACCCTTCTTTGTACCACAGATTCAGCATCTGAGGGAAGCCCACCCCTTCTTCCAGACTCATAACATTGTTGCATAACCAGTGTCCATGATGCCGCATTCAGCATCAACTGTGGGGGTGCGTGAAGGGACTGACGTTTCTCCTTCTTAGAGGCAGGGCATCCTTAGTGAGCTGTAACAGTTATCCTGCCTCTTGGGGACTCCTTTCTGGATCTGTGTGCTCAGACTACCCTCATATGACAGTATGTTAGGAAAGAAATCAGTTACAAATAGTCAATAGCAAGGCTGAGAGTGACAGGTATGGTTTGGGAAAGAGGTCTTTTTGGCTTCTCAGGGGAATGTCTTCTGCACTTTAGACGCATGCTAAGGAAACTGCTCCCACTATTGCCCACGCTGACCTCACAGCATTTCCTGAGGTCTTTCTGGGGGCTGAGCACTGCACTGTACAGAAAGGCCCACAATAATAGGTGGTGATGAATCTGATCAGCTTATAAAGGGTCATCTGTCCCTGTGACACAGCAGGAACCATACTTGTGAGATTTGGCAAAGATCACACACCTGCTCACACTTCTCACCAAGGCTCTACTCCTGCTATGTGACACCAAGGAAGGGACCACACTGGAGGCAGCTTAGAGGCTTTCCCAAAGACCTGAGACGACCTTGGAAATGCAATAATATTGTGACACCTCAGACAAGTTTGACAGGTAGCTTGTTACCTGGGAGAGTAAGAGCGCCTGAGAGCCTTGTGGGAGGGAGCGGTGGGGATGGAGTTAGGCTGAGAAAAGGGAGGTGGGTGCTTCGCTAACCCGTCGGCACTCCAACCCCATAACCGACTGCAGTGATCAGAAGAGGAAAATCAGAGAGAGAAATACAAAAAGCAAAGGGGAGGGGAGGAGGAAAGCACTACACACTAAGTGTCTTAGTCTCTTCTTTCCTTGACAAAGTTCTATTAAAGTTAATCAGAGCAAAATTAGCACTTCATCATACAGAGAAAAGAACAAATTTTGTTTTACAATTTGGTCCTCGATGAGACTGCTTTATTCTTTCCCCTCCCAAACGTGGAATGTGTTTACTACTTAAAATCACATGAGATTCCAAGAGTGTCTATGCGTGAGACTGTGTGTATATGTCAGTATGAGGGGCTGTGTGTATCTGCATGCACTGGGAAGGACATAACACAATACACAAGAAAATATGGATGCTCACTTTCAGTTAACTCATCAGTTATTTTAGAAAGAACCAAAGAAGAATCATGGGGCCTTAATTCAAATCGGACCAGAGGGACTCCAGCAGGAGGACTCAGAGACCGTGCTACTCTGACCAGAGCTCTCCAGCATGGAGCAGTGCATTCTTTGGTGCTGTGATCCAGTTGGATGGCGTTCAGAGACAGCACAAGCTGTTTCCTTCTGAAACAACCGTAGCACCACTAGAGGGCTAGCATGTTAAGTCTCAGCTGGGCAGCTCAGAGTGCTGGGTCATAAAAACCAAATCCCTCTGCTCATACCACCTAATATGAGAACTGAAATTCTCTGGGGAACACAAGTATTCACCTTCCCTTCATAAATGTCACTGGGTGCCTGGGCTTGCAGAGGCCCTGAAGGAGAGTTCTAACAACTGTTGCAATTCAAAAGGATGGAGGGAGAGACTGGGAAAGTGGGGAGCTGGCTGGCTGGTGATGTGGGGTAAGGCCATGGGTGGAGTCCATGGCATCAGTGCCAGGGTGCCTACACAGCAGCCCTGCCTGCCACTGGCATTCACTGGCATCGTCACAGCAGGAGCCTCTGCATGCTAGTCTCCCCTGAGCACAGGTATGGCTCTGCTTTACAAGGAAAATAAGGCATTGAGATGCAAAGTCACTAGCATACAGAGGCCTAAAGACACACTGGTCTCTGTGTGGGGCACACACTGGGTCAGATGCACACACTGGGTTGGAGGTGAGGGCATAGGAGGGATGCAGGTGACACCTCAGGCTGGGCCTCTGCTTGGGGAAGGAGTGGCAGAACACCCACCTCCGAGTGTGGGGTGGGGTCTCCCTGTTAAGCCCCACTTTGATTCTATCCATACTCTGGATCCTCTCACAAGATGACTAAAAATTACTTCCTATTGCTAGGGACATACATGCTATTTACACAGAGTCATCCTGCTCTATGACATGTTTGCCAAGAACATATGGCAGACCAGAGCAAGGACCACCATATACTTTTTTTTTTCTTAAAGGAAATGGACTTCAGATGACTTCTGAAGCCCCTTGCAACTCAGTTTTTCATTTACCGTAAAATCATATTGGGTAAAAGATAAATATGTACTTCACATATTTATAGCACATAGATCTCTTCTCCAAATACCAAGTGGTATTTGTGTATTAGCTGGTAATAGGAAGTTTATTCTTTCACACAGAAATGATGTCTAACGGAATGTTTTACAAAAGTTTAACCTATTATCTACAGCATCTCTACTACTACTGGGTTGATAAAAAAAAAATGACTTCCTCACTGGTGAGATATATATATATATATACACACACACACACACACACACACATATATATGTATATATACACACATATATGTATATATACACACACACATATATATGTATATATACACACATATATATGTATATATATATACACACATATATATGTATATATATATACACACACACACATATATATATATACACACACACACACACACACACACATTTTTTGTTTTTAAGACAGGGTCTCATTCTGTTGTCCAGGCTAGAGTGCAGTGGCATAATGATGGCTCACTGCAGCCTCCATGTCCTGCGCTCAAGCAATCTCCCCACCTCAGCCTTCCAAGTAGCTGAGAACACAGGTATGTGCCACCATGTCCAGCTAATTTTTTATTCTTTGTAGAGACAGGATCTCACTATGTTGCCCAGGCTAGTTTCAAACTCCTGGGCTGAAGCAATCCTCCCACGTTGGCCTCCCAAAGTGCTGGGATTACAGGCATCAGTCACGGTGTCCAGCCACTAGTGATATTTTTAAACAATTATCAGATTTATCATTTTAGAATAGTTTCTCACTATCATCATGATCCAAGTATAGAAATTTTGGACTAAAAAAAAAAAGTTTATTTTGACAGTTAAAATTAGACTTAAAACAGGCCAGGTGTGGCGGCTCATGCCTGTAATTCCAGCATGTTGGGAGGCAGAGGTGGGCGGATCACCTGACATCAGGAGTTCGAGACTCCGTTTCTACTAAAAATACAAAAATTAGCTGGGCGTGGTGGTGTACACCTGTAGTCCCAGCTACTCAGGAGGCTGAGGCATAAGAATCACTTGAATCCCAAAGGCGGAGGTTTCAGTGAGCAGAGATCATGCCACTGCACTCCAGCCTGGGTGACAGAGTGAGACTTAATCTCTAAATAAATTAATTAATTAATTAATTTGACTGAAAACAAATAATTGGTAATAGCTTTTCCCCTACAGAATAAAATAACACTGTCTGGTCAAGATAACTCAAAGAAATGGCAGGTCACAGAAAATCAACATTTTAAGAGCAATGCTCAGAAAAAATAGCTGAGATTATATACAACAGATCTGTCTATCTGTCTGTAGTCTCCTTAAATGAGGTAACCTAGTCAATTCTATTTAGTGCAATAATTCATTTCTTTTATCATTTTCCTGTTAGAAAATATGTAGCCTATTTAAATATTTCTAGTGACATGATAACATGAAGCAGTTTTTCCCACTGCTGGACAGTTTTAGTTGCGAGAAAAATCATTTCTTCTGTAAGCTCAAGTTGGCTAAGGCCATCTGGCTATTTACACACTGAATGACGGCAAGTTAAAAAAAAATATTTTTCCAAGAAAGAAACTACATAAATAATTCCCTAAATAAGAATTTGATAACAAGAAAATATTTAGACCACACATGAACTACTGAATATTGAAAATAAATCTCTTTGTTTCTTCCACTGATCTGTAACTATAAATACAAATTAAGATGAGGCCAATTAAGAAGGAATAATGACCTTGAAAAACACAATTTTTAATGACTTGAGGACCCATGGAGACTGACTTAGCCAGTTTTAGCTCTGATGAATGATACTAACAGCACTATCAAGTTTTTACTTAGATTAGTCCAAATAATAAAATGCTTAATTTGAGTTATCCCTTTTGACTTACTAAAGAATGTGCCACCCTAAGAATGCAATAACTAAAAGATGTATGAACTGTATATTATGGAAGAAAAGACTTCCCAATTAATGTTGCATAACTATCTCTTCTAGACAGAGGCGACAATTTACAGAAAATTCAAGTTTTCCATATAATTTTCTCCACTAGAAAAGATAATTTTATGATTTTACTGTCACCACTGTACCATCATATTCAAAAGTCAAGCATATTTTCATTAGTCTCTGGCCTCAATTATTTAATTGTAACAGCCTGTTGAAGCCATGACAACACAGACCAAATCTGGAGACATGATATCACATTGCAGTCTACCTGAATATAGTGCAGAGGGAAACTTGAGGGAGTAAACATAAGGGCAATCTGAACAGCAAGATAAGATAGCTATAGAAAATACTTTGTTTCACCAAGAGGAAAACACAAATTTCTTATGTTCCAAAGTATTTAAAGGATATGAGGAACTGGAAACCTTCAGTGATAAGGAAGAAGTGTGGGAGATTCTTGATCATTTAAAAAACTAAATGTAAAAGCAATTATGTTTTGATATCTTCCTAGTAACAAGGACCCATTAAAGGGAAAATAGCATACTTGTGGTATTTGCATTTCATTTTAAGATCCTGGTGTCAGCAGCCCTCAGGACACAAGCTTACTGGTTTGTATTGTTAGTGATCCCAAAGAGTTAATCCTGTAGACAAACAGAGCATGTGTGCCCCTTGCTGGTCCAGACACTGGCTCTCTCCTAAAAATTTTGGCCTATAGGGCAACTGCTTTGAGTGGGGCCATGGGTAACTCCCAGCCCATGTGAAGGGGTCACTAAAGCCACCATGCAGTCTTCTAAAGGCTCTTGTCAGATGGTGAAGTATTATCTAAAGATCCCAAGACAAAGCAGTTTCTCTTTTTAAATCATTGCCTCAGCTTCTATAGGGCCAATATTTGCACGGTCCCAACAAGAGTATGCAATGTTGATCCAATTTTAGTTCCCAGATTCTAAATCACAGTCCTTCAGAGCAGCATTCTGCTTCAAACATGATAGCAACTATGTTTAGAATGATTACTTGGTTGAAAAACTACCCTAGACTTGGTGTAACTGACTATAACAAGTTGGCTTGGATGACTAAATACCTTTAGGTTCTACCACTTGCAGAATGGGTAATGAGCTTCTACATGGATTCTATGTAAAACAGTACTAAATACAAACTTTTAGTTGTAGGTACTATTAGGTACTAGTGAGTGTTTAGAGCTACAAGAACGAGAGAACATTCAGCACACATGACTCATCTTACCACAGAAGTTAACCCCTTTGCATAAGATTATACAGTTACAATTTGAGTGAGGACTAGAACCCACGGTTCTTGATACTCAATATTCTTTTTGTTATTTAGCTTAGTCTAAAAATCTAGAAATAGGATGCACAGCAATTAAGGTGCTTTAGTTTCTTTACATCTGTGGAAAGTAAAGAAGTGACCTTACCTTGGAGACAGACCCCCATGGGAACAGTTGGTGGGTGAGGTCAGGGGGCTGGTCCTGCTGCTGGTGTGTCGGGAGGGCGTCCGGCCAATCGTATTGCTTGGAGAGCCCTGGGGTGAAGCAGAATAGGCATCGTTATTCAAGGGCTGTATATAGAATATATTCTATTCTTTCCTTGGTCTTTTAACCCACATGTAAATAAATGGGTAGAATCTGCCCAGGATGGTTTTTTTTTTCCCTTAGAATCATAAGGCCAATTTTAAGTGTATATAAACCAAAAATGAATAATCATCATACAAGCACTCCTGGAGTCAAATGATTGATGTTGGGTGTGCTAGAGTGACAGACAAAATTGAGCACTTGCATCTTTCCAGTGTTGAAAAATAAGACCAACTCAGTGAATGAATGACTAACTGGATAACCTAGTGAAAATGTAGTTGACTGAACAACCTGAGAAAAAACGGCATACTTAAATATCAGATTCATTCATTCACTGGGGCTTAAGATGGCCCCATCCTCAGGATGCTCGACATTTCCTGAAAGAGGACAAGGAAACGGGGTATTCTATTAGAGTAGGTTCTAGATAAGGGCTACGCAGAGGTCATGGACATCACATAGGCACCAATCGTGACCAAAGCACTCACCACACTGGTGTTACTGGAATTCTTGAGGTGGTTGTGCAGGAGTTTGGTGGCACCATCCTGGAATGTTTTTGGCAAGGCACCAAGTAACATGGTAAATTCAGGAGTATTCAATTCAAACAGAGAGATTAGCACAATCTGTGCTGCCTAGAAAAAGGAACCATGATTAATTTATGTAATGTACAATAGGTCATCAAAATGTTGATTAAAGTTGTTTAAAAAAATATTTTATAAGTAAAATCACTAATAAGAGGGCATTCTAGGCATCAAAAACAAAAAAGCATCTGAAGAAAATAATACCAATCACAAGCAGTCTGACTTCAATCGGGAAAATAAACTCTGGCTTCATTTTAATGCCCTCTGGCCTTGGAATTCCACAGCACACTAATAATAAATTCCTAGAACTTTTCTCTTGTTGTCTGGTACTAGGAATGAAGCTGGTTAAGTAGGTAAATGAAACAATTAAAAAATTTTAAAAAGTTTAAGATTGATCCCACTTTAATAATTCAGAACTGAACAGGGATCTCAGTACACCCTGGAAAGCACATATTTTTAAACAAGCTGCATTAGGTTATCTTGTGAAGCCATACTCCTCTTGACTAAGAAACATGAGAAAACGAGTATAAATACCTCAGAAAAACTTCTACTTTTACACCTATAAACCAAGGAGAGAGACTTTGAGAAGCAAATCAGATTTCGAAGGAGTCTACGTTAAAAACATGCTCTTCTGCCTTTTGGAAAATGTTCTACTTTTGCTTATTAATTGAGTCAACACACTGCAAGCCTGCTTGTAGTGATTGTGGTAGCGAGGTAGGCAAAGCAATGAGCTGGAACAAGAGTGGTCAATGAGGCTCGGGCTTCTAGTAAGTGATGTGCTTTCTATGGATTTAGTAGCAGGCAATCTGAGCTTAAAGCACAATGCCTGAGGAATTAATTACAATAGTTTTCATTTATAAAAGCTAAGCCAAAAAAAATTTAGTAAATACTAATTGGCATTTCTAATTAATTTCTAAGAGTCAAGAGAAAGAAAAAGACATAAAAAACTGTCTGTGAATATAATCACTTATTTTTCATTTTTAACCATAAAGACTTTACAAACATAAAGTCCTTCCAAAGACTGTAGTTTTTAAGATTGCAGTAATTATTCAGAATTTTTTTCCATGACATAGAATATTACACAAAAAATGTGCTTGCAGAGAAATTCTTTTGGAAATAAACATCACAAAATATTTCAATGCTTTTACAATGCTAAAATTAATTATAGGTCCAGTTAGGACAAAATTACTATTTTGTGCCTGGAGTAGGAAAAGAAATCCAAAAACCCAAAGGTATTTAACCAAAAATAAGAATTATGAATTTAAAAATATAATCAAAAGTTACTTTTTTAACATTTTGAAATCATTCATTAATCACAGTATTGGGCAAAAGTACATTACTTTTTTCCCCTTTAATTTCAAATACAGTCATTAATACCTTTTCCACCCAAATTAAATAAGTGGTCATAATATTTTTATGACATGGGCAAAAAGCATTATTATTACTTGTACTAAAATACACTTTTCTGCATTTCATTTTGGAAACATTTTAAACAAATTATCTGAAGGAATCTATTTCACCAATTTAATGTACTGTTTATTTGATATGCATATTTGCATAACAGAACAATTTCCAAAACTCATGCAAAGTAACCTGCATATTTTTAAAAAACATTGTATTAGGTGTTAGAAAAAAAAAAAACAATGCATGCAGAAAAATAATGCACTACAAGGAGGAAAGAAAGCAGCAGCCTGGAATTGTAGCAGGGAAAACACATCAATTTAATTAAAAGATATTGGCACTTAAATTTTGTTGGTTGAAAATGGCATTTGAAAGTTATAAAATATATGATTACATTCTTGAATAGTACGCTTTTTATGTGAAATGTGCCACTGCCTTTATTTAAGAGACAATATTTCTTCCCAGAATGTTACCTAATGTCCAAGCTAACTTGAGGCTTTTCATGATGCAAATTATTAACTTAGAAGCTTAGAGTGTTTCCAAAGTAAAATCTTTTAAAAATAAGATCCAAGTTCTAGAAACGGTAGAAAGTATCATTTAAATATACATTTTTTTATTTTTAAGAAAAGAGACAGGGGTCTCATTGCCCAGGCTGGAGTGCAGTAGCTGTTTACAGGTCCAATCATAGTGCACTGCAGCCTCGAACTCCTGTGCTCCAAGCAATCCTACTGCCTCAGTCTCTGGAGTAGCTGGGATTATAGGCATATGCCATAGTGCCGGGCCCAAGTATCCAATTTTTAAAAGATTTTATATCAGAGTTTTGCCACGAATTAGACTGTTACTGTTTTCAAATATTTTATCTCCAACCCTCTGAATCAGTGAGAGGTTAAAATATGGAATCCAAGCAAGGAAGAAAACTGGGTTATATTTATCATTACCACCAATATGATCTCATTAAACAAGTAATTCCAGATATGGAACTGGGCTGGAGAGATGCATTAAAAAAGCCTGGGGCATAGCTCATGTTTACTAGTGACTCAAAAAGTGGAGTACGCCACTGTTCTTGTCGGCATATGTGAACTGTTATCTTCGTAAGAGGCAAGACCGTTAGGCAGCCAGATGAAAAACTCAGAGTACTGCTGACTTTTTCTAATGGGCAACCCTAGGGCAATTTATTTTAAGGATCACATGGCAACTTAAAATGAAATGATTCTCACACACACCCTCATAGAGGAATTTGAGAGGTGGGGTTTGTAAAAGGTTCTTCACATCTCACTGCTACCATTTGAAGACAACTCCCAGGGACATCAACTGTCTTGAATGTTGCACATCTTATAGCAGAAAGGAATTCTCCCTAGCAGATCAGATCAAAACAAAGCTTTACCAAACACTTCAGTGTTTGTATTAATTTGGGAAAACAAAATTTGAGAGGAAAGGCAGAGTTTTCCAATTTATTAAACAACTCACTGCTCCCTTCAGACTCTCATTAAAAACTGCTTCATAAAGTCACCAAAGAGAAACTATTTCAAAACCCTCAGACATTTCTCATTTAGTATCTCTCCTTTCTTTTTTTCAAGAGATGGGGGTCTTGCTATGTTGCCCAGGCTGGAGTACAGTGGCTATTCACAGGCATAATCACCGTGCACTGCAGCCTTGAGCTCATGTAATCCTCCTGCCTCAGCCTCCCAAGTAGCTGGGACTACAGGCGTGTGCCACTGTGTCGGCCTAATATCTTTCGTTTTTACTATTCTATTAAAACATGGTAGTGGTTGACATAAACATGGCTATATCACTGAGAAGGTAGTTAATCATAAAACACACCACAACACAAACGTCGACACAGGCACACATACACACGCTCATATATTATTATATTAATTTTACATTTCTCAAAAGCTTCCCAGAGCCTTCACAAGGGCAACTGGTATTAATAATCTAAAATGCAAACAGTGAAGTATGCTGTTTGAAATTAGTACACAGTTTTCAGTCTACCTGTTTACAACTTTCTTCCAAGTTTCCTTCTCCAGGACCAGAGCAGGTTGAAGCTGACCTAGTGGGGAAATCCTCACCTACTCGACTACGCTGAAGTGAGGACTGGCAAACAGGAAAGTTGGGAGGATTGAATCAGAGAGAAGCAGAAAGTGCCTAAACATGGCAATCTGTTAGCTATAAAAGCATTTGGCTTCTTAGATAAAATCAGCAAGACACACATGATTGAAAGTAAGGAAGAATCAGAATAATAACATTAGCTGTCAGTTTTAACCCTCAGTAGTATCACTAGGTCTTTTACTTAATAATCTTGAAAGTAGTATTCTTGCTACAGGTGATGAAATGGAAGATGTCCAAATAAGACTTGAAAGAGTCCGGGCGTGGTGGCTCACACCTGTAATAATCCCAGCACTTTGGGAGGCCAAGGTGGGCAGATCAACTGAGGTCAGGAGTTTGAGACCAGCCTGGCCAACATGGTGAAACTCCCGTCTCCACTAAAAATACAAAAATTAGCTGGGTGTGGTGGCATGTGCCTGTAATCCCAGCTACCCAGGAGGCTGAGGCAGGAGAATCGCTGGAACCTGGGAGGTGGAGGTTGCAGTGAGCCGAGATCGTGCCACTGTACTCCAGCCTGGCCAACAGAGCGAGACTGTCTCAACAACAACAAAAAAGACTTGAAAGAGACTCGCAGTCACAGTTAAGCTGAGATCCAGCTATTTGATAGTAAAACCCATAGCTTTCAGACTAGAGGCATGCTGCCTTTATAATCATATTTTTTTAAAAGTCAACTAGATATCTCATCTTTTGAAGGCAATTTATGTATTAATACTTCTCCCTGCTCTAGCCAACAGCATCTTTATACTTCTAGGTTTCTTCGCCACGCCTTTTTGCCCACACTTCTCAAAACAAGGTTTGGGGGCTAAATCTGTTGCTTCATTTGACAAAGAGAGTCACATGTGATAAGCAAACATACAGGCATTTTAAATTCCAAAATGTAAACATATAATTAAAATTCTACTGCCATTACCACATTCCCTTTGATTGATCACCTGGCTTCCTAAATCTTAGAAAAAATTCTGGTACTCAGTTTATTCCATAAATAACAGCAGCAGCAAAACCAAAACAATCCTCAAACAATAATAGCAGAGCTGCAACTGCAAATAAAATGTCTAAGTTTTAATATACTTTATGAAATTTAATCTTCTCAGTAATGCCTGAGATAAGTGTTATTTATGTATAGAGATAGGACTCTTCCTGTGGCTGCAAGCAATCCTCCTGCCTCAGCCTCCCATGAGGCTGGAACTACAAGCATGCGCCACCATGCCCAGTTTGAGGCAAGTATTATTATTCCGATTTTACAGATAATAAACAAGAACTCAGGGATTAAATTACTTGCTCTGACCCCAATGAGTGGCAGAGGCAGATGTCAAATGGATGTCAAACTCCAGAACCCACCTTCTTTCTATCAGTAATATATACTATTATCTTACATCAACACAGTGCATTAAGAAAGGTCTAGTGTACGTCTGCATAGTTTCATCACACAACTAAACTAGTCAGGGCTCCCACACTGAGAAAATGGAAAAGTTTACTTTTGGAATAAAGCAGGCTAGTTACAGACTGGGTTGGGCTTTTTCACCTTGCCCAAACCAGTCTCAGTGTGGTAAGCACACCTCACTCACTGGTGATTCGTTCGTGTTTTGATTTTAAAAACACCTTAACAATTTAAGCACCCCTCCCTCCAAAATGTGAAACACCCCAATATACTGAGCTAAGGAAAACAAAATATTAAAAATGCTAAAATCAATTAATCTGGGTTATATCAGCTTGTTATAAGTTTAAAATGCTTCAAAAGTGCTTTCACAAACATGGTTGTATGGACTTAGAGAATGAATTATGTTGTCTGAAAAGTCCCCAGGTACTGTTTACATAAAATATTCTCCAGAGATGAGTCTAATATGAGAATTTACTGTATAAATTTCAGACTGAAGGGCTCTTCTGTATTTGGAATACCTACCCTAAAAAAATTAAAGCAGGACATTCACAGAAGAACTTGGTTTAAGATCACAAAACGCTTTTAAATCACCAAGATTTCCTCAATCCCTGATATAACCTTTAAAAAACTCTGGAAATGAAGGATGAGGCAGAACAAAGTTTATTTATACAGACATGTATTTTATGTTTAGTGTGTTAAATGATCTAGATAAGAATGGTACTAGTTTTCATACAGTTTAAAATAATTTTAAATCTTATCAATTTTAGATCTTAGAGTAGTGATAAATACTACATCACAATTCTAAGTATTTTAATTTATTTAGGCACTACCTTCATTTTGACAGTGCTTCAAGAACGTCTCATATTCTTGGGTAAGGCAGCTGCATCACTTACAAAAGCAACTATATTTATAAATGTTCAACGGATGCTACATCAAAACAGGGAATTTAAATAAAAGTGAATCTACCTCCAAAAAGGATTAATCTGCAGTGCCCTAATGTAGAGTTTGAGGACATCTATTTTAATACTGTCCTATGATACATCTATTTGAATCAAAAGTAATGCTTTACTAGTTAGTGCTGAATGTTACTGAAAGCCAAATAGTTTAGAGCCACGGATATCTTGGATGATTAAAAAAAAAAAAAAAATCCAGAGGGTGCCAGAATACAGACATGCATCTGCTAAGTAAGTTGAACCACATCATAATTTGCATAGATAGGTAAAAAAGCGCCCTTCTAAAATAAGAGCCAAGGAATTATCGAATAACTATGGAAGCCTTCTGCCAACCCCCTAAAAGAGACACTAAAGCCCTGGTAGTCAAGACACTAAGACGGCCCCTAAGATTCCCCATAACGTATTACACCCTATATAACCTCTCCCACCCTTAGAGTGAGCGGGACTTGTGAATATAATGGATATCACTCCCATGATTGTGTTACACGGCAGAAGTGATTTTCAAAAATGTAATTGAGGCCCTTAATCAGTTGACTTTGAGTTAATCCAAAGGGAGATTATCCTGGATGGGCCTGACCTCATCAGGCAAGCCCTTAAAAGGCATCAGAGAGATTCAAAATGAGAGAGATTCTATGGCTGGTTTTGTTTTAATTTCTCCATTTCTGAAGAAGAGTTTTGCCAAACAGTGAATTCTTGGCTGAGCGCTTTCTTTCTTTCAGTACCTTCAATGTCATCCACTGCCTTCTGTCCTTTGTGGTTTCTGAAGAGAAATGAGCTGTTAATCTTATTGAGGAACTTGTGCATGGGATGAGTTTCTCCCCTCTTGCTGCTTTCAGGATTCTCTCTTTGGCTTTCAGCAATTAGATGTTATGTGTCTAGGTGTGAATCCTTTTATTAAAAAATCTTGGCTGGGCGCAGTGGCTCACGCCTGTAATCCCAGCACTTTGGGAGGCCAAGGTGGGCGGATCACGAGGTCAGGAGTTCGAGACCAGCCTGACCAACATGGTGAAACCCCTTCTCTACTAAAAATACAAAAATTAGCCGGGCATGGTGGTATGTGCCTATAATCCCAGCTACTCGGGAGGCTGAGGCAGGAGAATGGCGTGAACCCGGGAGGCGGAGGTTGCAGTGAGCCGAGATCGCGCCACTGCACTCCAGCCTGGGTGACAGAGCGAGACTCCGTCTCAAACAAACAAACCAAAAAAACAAATTTTTTTAGTTTGTTGGGCTACTCAGATGTGTAATTTTTTTTGTCAAATTTGGGGAGTTTCTTAGATATTATTTCTTCATGTATTCTCCCGATAGCTTTGAACAAGCAAACTTCCTGGCAGCCTCTACTAGCTGAGAATGGCTGCCCGTTGACAATGAGGAAGGAAGGAGGCAACTGAGTTCTACACCTGCAAGAGACTGAAATCTGCCAAGGACCAATGAGCTGGAAGAAGACCTCAGCCTCAGATGAGACTGCAGATCCAGATGACATCTTGTTTCAGCCTTTGAGACACCAAGCAGAGGACCCAGAGAACACATGTCAGATTCCTGACTTATTACTGTGAGATAATAAATCTGTATTGTTTCAAGCTAAGTATGTGGTAATTTGTTATACAATAGAAAACAAATAACGAAGTCAAAAGAAGGGAATTTTCAAAACTAGTCTTAAAAATGATGGCTTCAAAATATCATTTGAAATGAAATAATTTCCATATGGGTATTTATCATTCATTAATTCATTCAAAACATATCAATGCCCACTATGTTACTCCAGGTATATGCCAGGCACTGAGCATGCAGGGTGAGCAAAACAGTCTCCTTACTGCTCATCTTCCCAAACCCTCTGCTTCAGACATATCAGTCTATTTCACTGTTCCCAGACAAATCTCATTTCTTAAACATGACTACTGTCCTTTCCCTAAACTCATCACTTATGCAAACTGCATCCATATTCCACATCTGAGGATGAATCTTATCTTCTCTAGGAAGCTTTCTATGATCAATACAGAGTGCATTGAGCTGACAATACACAGAAAACCAGGCAGGTATTCCATCAGTTTGAAGGAAGTTGCCCAGGGTAACAGGGCCCTAACCACTAAAGTGGGTTTAGAGGAAGCACAAACACTCTAGGTCCAAGGAAGGGAGGTAGGGAAGATGCCAGGGAACAGAGAGGCCAAGCCTAGTCCTGAAGATACTGAGGAGCAACACTCCGTAGCAAGAGAATTTGCAAGAACCAGATCAAGACTATATCAGTAGTCTGCATGTCTTGAGATTCATTCCAAGGCCATGGCCCAAAATACTAGGCCTTGTCTGTGTATTAAAAATCAGCCAAGAGTGAAAGGAACCCCAATCGAAAAAACAACAGAGTGTCTACGCTCTGCCCTATATCAATTAAATCACATTACTTGGGAATAGAGCTCAGAAATCTATGTTGATTTTAATTGCAGCCAGGACTGTGAACTATTAATCTAAATCTTCTGAAATTCCTCTGAAGATCAGGATTATGGTCCTAGAACCTGGGTATAAGTTAGGTGTGAAGGTGAGGAGTTAAGTACACCTCACAATGGGAAAGGAGAATTAGTGGGGCAGGCATGGAAAGTAGCACGCCAGTGGAGATAAAGCTTTGCAAAGTAACACTATATAATCCAAAATAACTGAAAACAAGTGTTGAAGCTCATTCAAACAGCAAATGAACAAAGTGATTTCTGGCAATATATCCAACGTTCTATTTATATTTGGCTTGAGCTAGTATTAAAATAAGTTGAGGTTTTTGGAGCATCAGGCTAATCATTCGAAATTATCTGTAATGTTCTGATTAGAATAATAAGGACAGTAAGTCCTAGTTCAAATATTCTAATGTGCATGTCCACAGGGAGTGGGTATTATGATCAAAGCTAGTTTGTCCCAAACAGGTCCTAATCGAGGTAATATGCAAATATAGAATAAGTTTCAGCCCGTACCAGGCAATACTTAAGTAACATTCCATTACAAAAGCACATACTCACATATCACACATATACTTATGTGCTACGTATTGAAAGACGTTTGCTCTTTTTTAAGCATCTATTACGTCTTATCAAACTTTTCAACCACATTTTACGATCAGGGACCCTGTAGCCAGCTAGCCCTAGATCTGCAATTTTATCTTCAAAGTACGTATTACAAACTGATATAAGGAAAACAAACATCTGTGTAAAAGACACTAATTTACTAGTGATTTCATATTAGAAAATATATAAAGTAGATGCCTGGGGAAACCATAAGCCCATCATGCAAGATTTCAGATTTTCATTTTTATATTCAAAACTGGGCAGAGCTGGAGAGAGAAAAGGGCAACAGCAGAGCCTTAGTGATATAGGTTTGTGGGTGGGTGGCACGGTTTTCAAGTTTCTAAATACATTTCTCTAACACAAGCCCAGGAACAATCTGTAATTACACGTCGGTTCTCTTGGACATACCTTTCTCACGTCTGAACTCTTTGGTTCTGTTGTCCAGGTTATGATTCTAGAAACAGCAAGCCTTGTCTCACTAGAGTTTACAAAATCTGTTGGATCCATCTGTCTGGCCAGAGACTCAATGTATTTCAGGATTGCAACTTTGACCTGAAAGAACCAATAATTATAAACATTAAGTACACTTGATGAATCTTTGAACACAATTCTTATCAGGTGGCCAGAGAAAAGTAAACCCTGGTGAGGGGGATCTCCTTCCTTTCTCCTGTATCGATAGTTTCCACGTGGAGCGACATCCAACAGAGGAAAAAGCATGAAATGGCTGATGGGTAAGTTTGGGGACAGGAAGAGGCACATGGCTCAGTTTTCTTCATTTTTAGCTGCCTGTAGAGAAGCTTGCTCTGCTCCTCATCTATGCTGCAAGACACTTCCAGGGCAGGAGCCCTTGAGAGGGGCCCGTGGGATTTCCAGCTCTGCCACTGACTGCAGGGCATGTTCAGCTCTAGTTTTGTCACACGTTCTAGGCCATGTTCTGTAAGGCAGCATTTTCAGTAATCAAGCTGATGCTCTGTCCTAACTTCACCATCAACTTCTCAACTAGCTTTGACTTCAGGAGGAAAAGGTAATTATTTGTTAGACTCATCCTAAAACCTCCAAAAAGTTAATGATCAAAGAACAGATGATGAACGTGACCTAATTCAAATTAACATACATCCTCCCTCAAACTTGGTCTTGTTATTACAGGTATGATTTTCCACAACATGTAACGATTAACTTTCACAGCTTAGAATGTTAATATTAAACATTCCAATAAGATACCTATCTCTACACACAAGAATGTCTTAATTTTCTAGTTTAAATATTAATTGTGAAAAAGACTAGTACTGTCCAAATGCTGGTGAGGATGCAGCAAAACTAGAGCTCTCATAAACTACTGGTAGGAATACAATATGGTATAACCATTTTAGTGGTTTCTAAAAAAGCTAAACATGTACTTACCCAATGAACCAGCAAATACACTACTAGGTACTGAACCAAGAGAAACAGGAACATGTCCACAAAGAATCAAACAAGAATGCTCACAGCAGATTTATTCACAATAGCTAAACATGGGTCATACATAAACAAAAGTAAATTTAAACAAATGTGAGTTCCAGGGTTGAATTGTAATGACAAATAATTACTGACCTTGAGGTTTGGAGTTTGAGTTTGATCCACAATAAATCTCATCAAAATGTTAAATTGTTGATCAAATGGAAAGGAGTCCCTAGGTTGGTGGGAAAAAAGTGCTTATTTTTAAAGAAATTTATTACAAAACAATGTAAAACTATTTAACAAAAGCATACCATTGTAAGTTAATGTATGTAAAACCCTGTTCACATTTTTAATAAATAGTGCTTTTCGTTTTATGTAGAGTAATACATGTTATACAGAAAATATGGAAAAAGGAAGATCTTTTTGCAAGTCCCCAAACACAAATTGAACTTACTTTGAGTGGCTATTTAAAAAATTAAGACTAAGCAATAAACTAAGGAGAAATTTCTACCTGCCTTTCTAGGGATTCGCTCATTTTCCCTCCAGCTACCTTTCTGGATATTGCTTAAACATAAAAATCACTTCTGATACCCAAATCTCATTTTTACATCCTGACCGGGCTGCTTACAGCTGACCCTGCTTAAACTAACCGTATCATCCTCCTTGGTCCTGGTCACTGCTTAGGGTCCCTGCACACCACAGAAGAATGCCTGTGAGATGGCGACAAAACATTTCCCATCCAGCTACAAATCACACACAGAAGCCTGGGGTCCCAGAAGCCCCTTCTCTCTCTTGGCCAGAGAGTCAGTGCTCTTTCTGTTAAAATGCTGTAATTACTAGTATTAGTTTAAAATTGCACAATGGGGCCCACGTGGAAAATGGTGATGTAACTTCCATATTAACAGGAAAGATAAATGCAAGGCAAATATCTACACTGCTTTCTTTGGACTCTCTTAGAGATTTTTCCCAATCTACGTAAATGTAGTAAAATAAAGAAGTAGGTTTGACTCTGTAAAATGAAGCAAATAGAACTGGTTTGAAAAGTCAATAAAATCATACAATAAAAATAAAAAGCACATGGCACATATCAGGTACCAGTGTTATCCTACATATAATTACTAATAAAAAGTAAACTTGATCCAATAATACCCTGGAATCTTTGAAGATCTCTTCGGGAAGGAAAGCATACTTTAATATACCTAATTTAAGTGACTATGTCAACAAACCACCCACAAAATGTCTCTCCCTTCTTCTGGCAGCATGGGGTGGATGGAGAATACATTTCAGTAATGGGTGTGTATAATCGGGAAATACGCCATTGTTAGGCACAGGTAAAGGAAAGGAAATTGAGGCAGATTAGCACTCAAGTCTATAAACTGAGAAGCAATTCTCAGCCATCACTAAAACCTCCTATTAGCAGTCGCTGACTATTCTAGATCAGCTTAAACAGCTGTGCATCTCAACTGCTGAGAAAAAGAAGGGAATATTAAAAACGCTTTAGGCACTCAGACCAAATCTACTGAGATTAGGACTCTTAAAGGGGCATCCAGGAAAACTAACAGGAGGTCACAATTGTATTCCTTAATCACCAAAGTTTAGGAACACAATCTTAATACTCCTACCATTCCTAAATATATGAAATAGATCTGGTCATTGGTAAATTCACCTAAATTAAGCGACCTACAGGCCAAGTCTGGCTCACATGTGTTTTATTTGGCCTTCACAGTATCTTAAAAAATTCTCAAATATGTTGCCCAAATCCACATTTCTGACCTTTCTTGAAAAGTCTGGTACTACTGAGCCCATGTCCCAATGTGGCCACAACCGGCCCCAGTCTATCAACAGCCATCCTATCTACTCCACTCAATTATACCAGCTTATCAGCCTAGCCCCTCAGTCAATCTTGGCTAAACCTTTATAATCCACTGGTATAATGGTGTACTGTAATGCTCCCTAACTCCACTAAGTTTAGCCATGCAAAGGAATGACGAAGTTTGAAAGCTTTATTGCAAATTTAGTACATTACTTTGATTCTTATTTATTTATTTATTTAATATTCTTTTTTTATGGCCTCACCGACAGATGCAAGTACATTACTTTGAGTTCATTAAAAACCAGAAGGGTAATCGCTCTGGATAACAGAATTCTAGAGCAATGCAATTACACAGACTGACAGGGTCAAGGGCCAAAAGAAAACAGCTGGCATCATGGTGTAGAGGAACAGACGCATACTTTGAAGTCAGAGTCATGTAAAAGCTGCACGCATAGGGAGATGCCGGCAGGGCAGGATGTGCTACTGTGCTAGTCAAGGGAGCCAGAGAGGGAAGAGAAGGTTCCAGTGCTATCCATACCACCCCCCTGCCCCCACAGGAGGTGAGGACACACACCCACAAGATAGCCTGCAACAATAAAAACAGACAACAGTGCAATCTTCAGAAATCCTGGATTTGCGTTCCCAAACAGCCACTAACACAAAGTCAAGGCAAACTGTCTGTTTCTCACTGATAAAATGAGCATCATCTTTAAGGTCCTTCCATCTTGAAATTCTATGATAACTAGAATTATTCCAGTTTGTAGTAACTTATAAAAGTCATTGCCCTGATAATTTTCTGAGTGACTTGGAAGTTATTCCTTTGTTCTTTAAAAAAGTTCACCAATTTGACATTCCCCCCATCCATCTTCCACCAAATCACAACCAAGACATTATTGCAAAGTGTCTTCTGAGATGTTTCAACTTTCATACTTGCATATTGAGGACCCACAACTGCATAGACAATAGAGAAGCGGTTTCTGAACAGCAGCAGCATGTACTTTTTCTAACTTTTCTGGGCTTCAGCAGCTTTTCTTTTCTCATAACAGCCAGAAGGGTCACAACTACTGCAAATGTGCTATTAATCTCTAGCCAGTGTACTATTAATTTAGAGAATTTTCCTGGACCAATGGAAACTCTACATCATACACCGATAGAAAAATTTCTAGTAAGACTTGTAAGTTGAAGTAATAAAAATACTAAGGTCTTCAGAGAAATGTAAACAAATATTCTAAATGTTCCCTTTAAATGTTTTTTAATGAGAAGAGAATCAATTTCCAAAGTTTTACATTTGTTTATTATATATGTCTTAAATACTCACAAAAGTAATATCAACACAAGGAAGATATGGTATTTCATTTCATGGACTGGTGGGACATGTCAACAAGTATGTCAACAACAGAAAGTGAGAACTGAGTAAAAGAGATATTCAAGGGGGTGACAAAGGCCATGGGTAACAAAAGAGAATGGCAAAAAGTCACTTACAAGTATCCTGTAACATCAAAATGGACCTAACCCTTAAACACTTACCTTGTGACATCTAGAGCCTTTTGAACTTTTGCTTGCACAGATCCAAGTAAATCTGCTCCCATTTTCTTAAGTAATTGTGTGAGAAGAACAAAAAGCCAGTCTTGTAAATCATCCTTATGAATTATTATAAAATCCACAAGAGTCTCCAAAAACATACTGAAAACCTAGACACAAATGAAAACCAAGTAGTTCACATATTGAATTCACGATCTCCTCCAAAGTCTACAAAACATTAAAAATGCCCATACGTGCTTTGCCCAGACTCTTGTAACTTAGGTTAACACTGTTAACAACTGTTCATAGTACAGAAGGAAAATGTAGTGCAGAAAACAGATAAAGGAAAAAGAAATGGAACTTACTCTCTGTTGTGAATTCCACCGCAAACGAGGCCATGCAACAAAACAAATTCCATGTTAGTTGGCAGTGAATTAATACCATTTTCATGCGTTTTTTTAAGAAAACCTGAAAAGGCTACAAACCAATGAAATATTCTCTCCTCCATCAATGTAAGTCTTTAAAAAGCAGTACAGAGAGAAATTAACTTTTCTGTGTTTAATCCTGAAGGCTTTTCTTTCTTAAACAACAACAAATCCTCTTGCCCTAATTCTATAGTATTCTTATTCACTATCTAGCAGTCAACAAATACTATTATAAAATGAGCCAATAAAAACACCTACTCACTATTGTGTAGCTATTGCTTTTCACGTCAGACATTTTGATGTATACCAATTTCAGATATCATAAAGTAATAGATTACGGCTTAGAATAAAATATATAAAAATATTAACATAATCATCATGCTGTTGTGTAATGATTTTTGCTAAGGCAAAATAGAGTGCACAGTGGAATATCTCTGAACCAATTTCAGAGAGAAAAGTAGCACTGAGTATCCCTACCTTGTTAATGAAACTTGTTCTACTTGGACAAACCACAAACCCTATACCGCCTCATTTCTAGCACAGCAACTATTCACCACCAGGGGTCTCCTGTGAGACAGCTCAGGAAAAAGTCATTCAGCTGTGGGATTCCTGGCTTCACTTACAGGCAGCTAACAAATACTAACTAAACTGAGACCTCCAAACTCACTGTACAAGAGACTTCTGATGGAAACAAATTTCCTTCTTTATCCTCACATTCTGCTTCTGAATCAGCAATCTAGGGGTGACAGGTAACAGAAATTTATCAGTGTTCTAAACCATCTAATAGTGTTCACGTTATAAATCTTAAGAATCTAATTATGCTTATGAGTTAAATCTTACTGCTTTTACCACTACCTTAGAGAAAAATCTTGATAAATTTTATCTTTGGATATCTATGTGGCCTTTAAGCTCAGTCTTTCCTGAATTTTTATTGAGACAGAGTCTCACTCTGTTGTTCAGGCAGGAGTGCAGTGGTGCGATCTCAGCTCACTGTAACCTCCACCTCCCAGGTTCAAGTGATTGCCTCCCAAGTAACTGCGATTACAGGTGCCCGCCACCATGCCCAGCTAATTTTTATATTTTTAGTAGAGACAGGGTTTTGCCATGTTGGCCAGGCTGGTCTCGAACTCTTGACCTCAGGTGATCTGCCCACCTCAGCCTCCCAAAGTGCTGGGATTACAGGTGTAAGCCACTGTGCCCAGTGGATTTTTATTAATATTGTTAATGTTGACTTTGCTGTGAGGGTCACAGCAGAAAGTTTAAAGACATGCTTCAAGAATGACACTGAGTGAGGAGAGCTGTTGTGGGGGGAGGGGAGGAGAACCCTTGCATTCATCCCCTTTACTCTCATGAGCACCTCAAAAGGCTGGGACCATATCTTCTTTTCTATATCCCTGCCCCAGAGCAGGTACTCAGTAAATGTTAAATGACTGGGTGAATGAATGGGTGGATGGATGTTTGATATTTCAAGGACAATTCCTACGAGGAAGCAAGGATAGGAAAAGAAAGAAGATGATGATGACTAACTGGCTGGGCTCTCTGGCCATCACAGGTTTCTTTCTTCCAGCAAGACTTGGAGGAGCCCATCTTTACTAGGAAAACTGTAGTTGATCCTGCATGTCAGCATTAAAGATTTGCTTCTGCTCATTTAAGGTTCTATCCATTTCCACACCTTACCTTCTTCCTCTAAAAGCATCTAATAGTCTCTAAGGGCCTTCTCCCTAACAATAGTATTTAAAATCTAGACTCCAAGTAAACTTCTGTAAAGATACCCTGTCTCACGTCTTTTCCACCACCCCTGGAAAGTGTTCTGTCCCATACTCATGGGCATTTCCCCCTCAGCTGGGACTCTCTCATCAAAAAAAGCATTCCTTGGGCTTAGTGTTCCCTATGGCCCTCAGGAGGTGTGGGCACCAGCTAAGTGATCCCCGTTCAGCAAATTCTTGGTAACAGCAAAATCCTATTTTATGAAATAACCTGGTTTATCAATAAATCCATTACATATTCTCATTTTTTCTATCTTGTCCTATACGGACATATTCTACACGGGATACAAAAATAATTATATACTTATTTTCTTCACTACTATAACATTAAAAAATGCATGATATTATAATATAATCTTATACCCTAGCACCTACCTCACTGTTTGGCTAAGAGGAGACATACAAAAATATTTGCTGAATATAAGAAAGACCATCTGATTCTCTCCCTGATAACATTTACTTGAAACACACTTATTTAACTTGAAATTTTATGCACATTTAAGTTTCCAAGAATTCTGTTTTTAAAAGATGTAACATACACTAGTGCTGAAACCGGTGTGACTCTGTAAGGTCGGAACTGCACTATCGGGAATTCTCTCTCATTCTTGGGTAGTATATCACACAGAGCACACAGACATGCAGGGGTAAAGACAGGGCAGGCATGACTTCAGACTTACCTTGCTATGAGGGTCAGCAAACATCCGAGTGAAGATCTCACACAACCTTTTCAGTTCAACTCGACTAGAAGAAATAAAACAGAAATCAATGAATTTACTACTTTTATTATTTTTGAGACAGGGTCTCACTCTATTACCCAGGCTAGAGTGCAGTGGTGCGATCATAGCTCACTACAGCCTTGATCTCCCAAGCTCAAGTGATCCTCCCACCTCAGCCTCCCGAGTAGCTGGGAGGTGCACACTACCACACCTGGGTAATTTTTTTGATCAGTCAACTACATAAGCTTTACATAATTCGTATCTACATAACAATGTTTTTTCACAAACTCTTATTTAATTTATAGCTAAATCAAATAGGAATATAAAACCAGAGATTTGCTCTCATTTTAAGATGAGGAAACTAAGACTGAGTGATTTACTCAAGCTAACACATCTGGAAGTGACAAAGCCATGCACCAAATCTTTTTCATTTTATCCCAGCTGTGTTTTCCACATGCTACAACTGAAAGGCAATGGAATAAAGTTTAAAAAGCATGTCTATCCTGCATTTTAATGAGAGGTACAAAACAAAAAAGGGAAAAAACAAAACAGCATGTGTTTCAGGGTCAGACAGATCTGGATTTTAATCTCAGTTCTGCTGTAAATAAGGTACTCTGGGCCAGGGGCAGTGGCTCACACCTGTAATCCCAGCACTTTGGGAGGCCAAGGCAGGTGGATCACCTTAGGTCAGGAATTCAAGACCAGCCTGGCCAATGTGGTGAAACCCTGTCCCTACTAAAAATAAAAAAATTAGCCAGGCATGGTGGTGGGTGCCTGTAATCCCAGTTACTCAGGAGGCTGAGGCAGGAGAATTGTTTGAACCCAGGAGGCAGAGGTTGCAGTGAGCCAAGATCACACTATTGCACTTCAGCCTGGGCAACAAGAGCGAAACTCAGTCTCAAAAATAAATAAATAAAATAAATAAGTACTCTGCTATCTTTAAGCCTGTGATTTCCTTATTGGTCAAACAGGATAAGGACCATGTCACGTGGCTGCTGAGAGGATTAAAAGATAAAACATTGTACCTTCTACCGTACCTAGGACAAAGCAAACACTCATTTCACATTGGTGCCCTTTGCCTTTTCTGATCCTTGACTACTACCAAGTCCCATGTTTAAAGTTTGATAGAAGTGTCCTCTCTTCCACAAATCATCCCTGATTAATGCCCTCTTACGTGGATGAGACAGTTTGTTCAAGAACCCTTCAATATTGTTAACGACGTAACCTAGATTAGACCAATGCCAATCAACAGATTCCTAGAAATTATTCAATGGGTACTTGGTGAACACTAAGAATCTACAAAGTGGGACCACCAGGATTAAACAGATTCTTGAGGAACAATCGTGACAAATCATCTTCTATTTTTGACAGGTCACCAAAGTGTCACAGGATGCCTGCGTTTCAGAAGGCAAAACTTCCTGTATCGTCTTTGTGAACAGACAAATAATAGGGGCAGGTATGAGTACGGGAGGGTGGAGTCAGGCTGCCTGAAGAGCCACAGTGAGAGCTGAGCAACTCATCAGGCAGTGCTCAGCCTTACAGAACCCAAGAGGGATGCCCATCTATGACCGTTAACTTATCTTATAAAAATCATCCAAAGGATAAAGTAGACTGCATTTCATGTACTCTAAGTTGCCCATTTCTTAATTCCCATTCACGTCTCCTTTCTCCCGTTTTCACATCTCTGTAATTGAGTCATCTTATAATCAATGACATTTTTGCACTGTTATGGTTTAATACGTGGCATTAATTAAAGGGCTAAAAATAAGGGTGTGTCTATGGTGCCTTAGATTTGACAAAATATGGTATAACCACATACTTTTTTGGTATGTGTAATACACGCTTATTTTAGAAAATTTATAAAACAGAAACAAAGAAAAAAGCAAAAACGATCCATCTAAAAGACAATGCTGTTACTATTTTGGAGTGCTCCATTTTGTTATCTCCTCACTATGTACATTTATAAGCTACATATATGCACATGCATATCAAAATTTTCCAAACTAAGACTGATAACATTTAATCCAAGACCCTAAAGTATAATGAACCATACTAACCTGCAGAGTTGTTTTATTTTATGTTTTAACCTGAACTGCATACTGTACAGGAAGATTTCTCAAATAACATCTACTGGACAAATATCAAACAGAAGGGAACCAAATATGGGGTCTTTATTTTTTTATTTTTTTTATTTTTTTTGAGACAGGATTTCGCTCTGCCACTCAAGCTAGAGGGCAGTGGTGTAATCATAATGCACTGCAATCTCCAACTCTGGGCTCATGTGATCCTCCTGCCTCAGCCTCCGAAGTATCTGGGATTACAGATGCATATCACCACATCCGGCTAATGTTTTAACTTTTTTGTAGAGATGGGGTCTCCCTTTGTTGCCCAGGCTGGTCTCGAACTCCTGGAGTCAAGTGCTCCTCCTGCCCTGGCCTCTCAAAGTGCTGGGATTACAGGTATGAGCCACTGTGTCCACCCTACATCTTTTATCAGCTTAATAAATTATAGAATACTTGCCAGATGGGCTGGGCGCGGTGGCTCATGCCTGTAAGCCCAGCACTTTGGGGGGCAAAGGCAGCCAGATCACGAGGTCAGGAGTTCAAGACCAGCTTGGCCAATATGGTGAAACCCTGTCTCTACTACAAATACAAAAATTAGCCAGGCGTGGTGGTGTACCCCCGTAGTCCCAGCTACTCAGGAGGCTGAGGGAGAAGAATCGCTTGAACCCAGGAGGTGGAGGCTGCAGTGAGCCAAGATCGTGCCACTGCATCCAGTCTGGGCAACAGAGCGAGATTCCATCTCAAAAAAAAAAAAAAAGTAAAGAAAAAAAGGATATTTGCCAGATATTTCAAAGCAAATGGATGGCAAAGCAAATGGATGGCAAGGACTGTGTCTTAGTCATCTTGGTACCTTTAGTGCCTGTTCCTGCAAGCAGACCTCTTGGTATCTCCATTAATTATAGGAATTAGACTCCATTAATTATAGGAAATCCCTTTAAACCCCTGAAGAGTCCAACAGGAGATTCAAACTTAGCTCATATTCTTGCTGTGGTCCTCACCTCAGTGTTCTTTGGCTCTTCAGTAAGTTCTGCAGGCCCAGAAGCCCTTCTTTCCTTTCTGACCAGTTTGAACTAGCACAGTGGTTGAGAACTTCTGCTACATCCTCAGTCTGCCGCAGATAATGGGGAATGCCACCATTCCTGGAGCCATATGAGCGCTCAGAGCAAACACTTGAGGCATCACTGTTGGCATCATCGTCAGAATACATCCCATACGGCTCATATCTCCTCCTCACAGGCTTCTTCTGACAGGTCCAATGAGGGATGGGAGTGATTGAGGAAGAAATAGAAAGGTGAAATGACTGTGAGTCACACCAAACAAAATCTACAACAAAGAGTTAAGTGTAAAAAGACACATGCACACACACACTTTTCCTGTGCTTATAGATTAGGGAAATAAAAACAGAAAAGCAGTTTTCCATTAGGTAAATAAGCAAAGCACTCTGTAGTAGAAGGGAAAGAGTATGGCCTCTAGTAAAGTGCGTAGACTTTACAGGAAGACAGACAGATCACAACCTTGGTGCCAACACTGACTGGGCTGCATGACTTCTGAAAGCCTCCTAGGCCTTTTGCTTCAGTTTCCCCATCTTTAAGACAACAATAATTAAACCTATCATACAGGCTTGTTGTGAAGATTAAATGAAATTATATGTTAAATATTTCAGCTGGGCACCTGGCACAATGCAAATATGTGCAGCCAACAGCCCCTCCCCAGTCAAAAGCAATATATCTTGAGCACAGTCTATGGGTAAACTTGTGTGAATATTTATGTTTCCTAAAAAAGTCAGAATTTGAAATGTCAATGGCAGAAGCAGCCCACATAAAAGGATTTCTAAGTCATCTCCCTCTGTTGCCCAGGCTGGTTTTGAACTCCTGGCCACTTTTATTAAAGACTTAGGGTTTTGAAACACAAATAGGCTTCTTTGAAAGTAGACTATAATACCCACTTTATTCACTTCTCTGACCCTGAATACAAAACTGTTATACCCACAAATATGATATAGCAGCAACTATACAAAATTGATAAAAACAAAACAAATAGCGATTGGCTTAAACCATACAAATATACTTCTTTAATAATATGGCGTATTATTGTTAATCCAACTTGCTCAGGACTGTTCTGCCTTAAGCTTATTGTCATAATTATTGATAGCATCCCCCTTTTAATCTCAAAAGCATTTTTGTTTGGATAATAAATTACATGGTCACACAAAATCCAGATTCCTAAAATAAGAAAAATGTTGATAAATCCATTCATGAAATCATGACGACGTAAGAATAGGCACAAACTGAGTTAATAAAATGAAACACTACTAGGCGAAGGAGCAGAGCTTGACATTCAAAATAAATACTAAAACAGATGTACATGAAAGGTGGCTGACTCCACCATGAATAAAGACAACAATGATGGTGAATCACTGTTATGATTCAACAAAATCATATTTCAGACCAGAATTTCTATACTACATTTTTTGGTTTTCACTAGCTTCTAAAAGAAATATACTTGCAACAGGAGAAATAAAGTTGTAAAACAAAAGTTAAAGGACTGGTACCTTGCTCCTGGAGTCTCCTAACAGCTGTAGGCAGGAAAATATTGAAGGATGGGGAAAAAGCATAGAGAATTATGTCAGAAGCATATGTAGGGATTGTTCTTGCAACAAAAGTGTACAGCAAAACATATCTTAGCAAACCAAAAATACAGGTTAGCAAGCGTTTCATATCAAGCTAATAATAATAAAGAATGCTTTCAAAATGGCATTTCCTAACCCTCCTCCACGTCTCAGAAGACCTTCTGGTAACTTGCTGTAATTCTTTGCTAAAACTTTTCCCATATCGGTGAGGCAAATCTCTAAGGTCACCATTAATTCTACTATCTATTCCTCTGAGACATTCTGTCTGGCGCCGTGGTGTCTATTCAGCGAGGCAAAGATTCTGTACCATTTCTGTGTTTTCTCTTCAGAAGCAGGTCACTTGGAGAGACTCAACAGTTTGGACAAAAAGTAACAAGGGCAGCATGAATCTAATGGGAGCTAGAGCTCAGAGAAAAGCTCCAGTCAAGTTAAGCCAAAGCTCAAACTCTCAAGTCCTATTCCGCCTCCTAGAACTTTACACACAGTCCCTTATGCAGTTCTTTAAAGAACTAAGAAATTTCCCTGCCTTAAGTGGAAGTCTCAACTAAGGGTTTCACATCCATCATTTCCCACCCCTTTGACCTCCACTTCCCAGGGTCTCTGAACAAATAAGATACAGATTCTAAATGCTGCAACTTGGAAGGACAAACAGCTTCAGATAATTCTGTTCCAGCTCTTGACTCCTAAAGCCATGGTTAGAGCAGTTACCCTGAACTCTAGCACCTGCCAGAAAAAAGTCTTTCTATACATAAGGTTGAGGAATACAGGTGGCCAGGCAGCTTGCCTACAGGAAAAGGATTAGGAGAGCAGCAAACTGCTCACAGACACTTGTCAAAGAACCTGACTGAGCAGGAATAAATGAGGGCAAGACAAGAAGGAATGAAAACTGGAATCACCATAGCCATAAACTATAAAATGTTGATCTGACAAAACATGGCTGGATTAAAAACTTCAGAGTCTGAAAGCAGGATATTACATACTTTTTTCCCTTACAAGAGAATAAATCTTAAAACAGCAAGAGCAAGGCCAGTGATCAGACAGTTCTAAAGAATATCCATTTCAAATGCTGAGCACATAAACCAGAATATGCAAGAGACTGTGTGACTAGCTGAAATGCATCTTTAAAAAGCAATCTGACCACAAGCTGATTCTACTAGGAAACTTTTTGGTATAACCAAAAAAATTAAAGGATCCATGATCATTTATGTTTTTCAGATATTACACTATAATGATGCAAAAACATATTCCACCACTGCTTCACATCCTCAAAGATTTAGGAAAAACAACATAAAATCAAACAGACAAGATAATAGAATAAATGCAAGATTTTCAAACCTCAAACTCTATTACCTATTATTATAATAATATGTCTAGGTTATGCCATCAAAGTCTGTAAAGCAACAGAAGCAACAGAATGGAAAAAAGGAAATGCCAGAAAAAAAAACATGGTTAAAAAGAAAAAAAGAAGCCCAATGACATCTGAGAAGTCCAGGGTCATCAAAAGCTCCTTGATACTGAAGAGCACAGATAAGAAATACTTGATGCTAATATTTTCTGTAAAGTCCATTTTCACTTATATGTGTGCAGAGGTAAAAGTTTAAGGGGCAAACAATAACAATATAAATTTACCCAACATTAACACAATTTTAAAGAGTTTCAAAGATGAATTCATAACCTGATTTGGGGGCAATTTCCTGTTAGGACAGAGAGAAATGCAGATGAGTATTTCAAAAAGACTGTGTACATACATACTGTGCCTCTTACCAAAGCATCAGCAACAGCAGCTTCAAGATCTGTACTTGTGCTCAGAACTCTCATGGCATTCACAGAACCAGGTATTCTTCCTGGCTGGCCAAGCCCAAACCGATCTATTTAAAAAACAAAAGCAAAAGATGTGTCACTTTAATTCAAATTATTTCAATTCCTTGCAAGGACTACTGCCTCTTCCCACCAAGTAGACAGAAGTACTGAAAAGTCTCTAGCCAATTTTAACTACACTTGACTTGTTTACCAGTGGTAGAGGTTAAGCTGTTCACATTTAATGCTATAGTGCCACAAAGCACTGTCACTCGAAATTGTTCAAACATGGTATTTTATTATTGAAAAGTTTCTGATATGAGAGGGAAGCGGGAACTTATTATAAAAGGTAGCTAGGCTATGAGTTGAGTCTTTTAATCTATTTAGCTTTCCCTGTAGAGGCAAGTGGCCTTGATGTTTGGTCAAACTAATTAGAAAGCTTCATGGTTTCATAAGAGTTCTAATGCAATGTGTGGTAAAAGCTTAAAATTTGAAACAAATGTATTAAATTGATTTCTGTGCAAATTTTTATTAGTGTCACTTCTGTTTAACTATTGTTAAGCTCATTTAATTTTAGATACTTGTTCGTCACGATGCCTGTGTCAACAAAAATTACTTAAAAATCAATTTATTAAAATTATTTAATAATCACTAAAAAAATCTAGCACTTTCACTGAAGAACATTAAAAATTTAGATAATATAAGTTTTACCTGGGTTCCTCAAATAATTTAGAATGGCAATTTTTATACAGATAAACAAATAATAGAAAGAATCCAAAGAATTTAAAACAAATTTAGTAGTTCAAACAAGTATTTTAAGCTTACTTGTGATCATGGAAATGAAAACTCACTTTTTAAAGTCCCATTAAATCAGCTGACCAACCTTCCTTAGGAAGTGCTGGAGATTAAAACTATACTAGGAGAAAGGCAGTGTAAGTTGTATCTTCATTAAGTGTGTTGTACATTATCTACCAGTAAAAAATTTCTTATTTAAAAGTCCAATGTATAAAAACCTTTGGAAGAAAAATGTTAAGATAAAATATTTTCTCTGTGTTAACAAATAAGACTTCGTTTGGACAACGAAAATCTCTATGTTAGCTATATTCTGGAAGCATCTAGAATAAAAGGGAAGCTAATATCTATTTTACATGAATTGATCTTTCCTATAAAACAATGTATTTAAAATTTTAGATATGCAACAAGACAGTGCCTACAAAACTGGTGAACTTAAAAAGTGAATTGTTATTTAGCTTTTTAAAAATGTCAATTTCAAAACATTATACCTTCCACCACCACAGAAATGGAGAAAAATTTAAACACTGCTAATCAATAGTTATACAGTCATGAATTTTTTAAAAAGAAACAAAAACTGTATGTTATACTATCCCCTTTTTTAATGCATTTGCTGGTCTTTCCAACTGTCATCTTAACCATTATGTTTAAAAGGTAATGTGCCATATAAACTAAGAAAGGCCATTAAAAATTACATTTATCTATATCAGTTGAAATATGAAACAAGTGTAAATGTGAGATTTACTATGCACACATAGTTTTACAGATGATCTTTGTTCAAGTTTTTTTTTTCATTAAAAAAGGGTAGATAGTAGGAGACTTATGAGTAACAGAATGAAAGTAATTCAATTATAAGCCATTAAAAAATTACCCAGCATAAACTTAAATAAAACGAAGTCTAATAAAATTTAAAAAAAAAAATCTCATGCCAGCAATTCTTGCTCCAGGGAATATACAGATTTTTTCAGATACAAAATTAAAACTATAAGAACAATGCAATTATTCTGTGCTTCCAAGATGCATACAGCTTTGCCATACAGAGTGACTATAGATCATTTGATATATATCACAGACAATTTGAATTTCAAATCTTAAGGGGAAATGTTTATCTGGATCTAAGCAAAACTATAAGCTTTATGTTTTCGCCAGAGCAAAGTCTGTTCCATATTCTCAAGGCTCTGATACTATTATGAAGTCTGATTTTTCCAAGAGATGAATACCTATGACTGTGCTCTCAGTCTGGTCCCTAATCTTCAGGGAAATGTACATAATCAGAATATATAGGAGGCTGGGCACGGCGGCTTTGCCTGTAATCCCAGCACTCTGGGAGGCCAAGGTGGGTAAATCGCTTGAGCCCAAGAGTTTTGAGACCAGCCTGGGCAACACAGTGAAATCCCGTCTCTACAAAAAACAACAAAAACTAGCTGGGTATGGTGGCACGCACCTGTAGTCCCAGCTACTTGGGGGGCTGAGGTGGGAGGATCGCTTGAGCCCAGGTAGCAGAGGTTGCAGTGACCCAAGATCACGCTACTACACTCCAAGCCTGGGCAACAGAGTAAGACCCTGTTTCAAAAACAAAAAACAAAAACAAACAAACAAAAAAAGCAAAGGGGGCTTCATTTAGAAGAAGAAAAGAGAAAATACCAGACTCGGTGAATTGGTAACAATTGTTACCATCAATGGTCTGAAAATTCATAGATTATGCCTTACTCAATTGAGAAAATTGTAGTCATTAGGGACTGTTAGCATATAAAAATAGTGGCAGTTAAATCTAACAAATTGATGTATTACTGTATGCTTACTTTTTGCCACTGTGGCTAACCAGTGGATGTTGAGTATTGCTAAACAGAGCTGAGAGAGCAGGTTTGGGGTTTGCAGGCTGCAAAGGATACCTCTGGCCTGACTTGATTACCTGAATCCTGATCTTGTTTTTCCATAAAACTTTGAGAACAATACACTTATTTTCATACATATGAAATTATGTATGCTATAATTTGCAGCGCTGTTAACTAAATGGTACCTTAAAAATGTGAACTTGACATCAATAACTAGCATTAATATTTGACAGTTTATTTGGAGTAAAGACTTTGGAAGGGAAAGAATCTGTTGGATGATATCCATGCCCCCTTGCCCCACAGGAACCCTAAATAATACCTAATTTTGGTTATTTTCCTGGGGACAGAGTGGCAGGAAGGGAATTACTTCCCTGTTGTTTTAACGTAAATATGAACACTGGAGAAACGATGTTGTCAAACAGGCTATGAAGCATCTACAGCCTATTAACAGAACTATAAACATTCAATAACTTAAAAAAATTAAAGCACATTGGGGAAAAAATATGAGGTGCAAACATGCCAAGTGCTAGCCGACACAGATGAAAACAAATGTTGACATGGGTGTGAAACTAGAACATATGAAGAAGCCAAGTCATGCAGTTAGCACTTGTTCACCTGACTGCCCAACAGATTCAGCAGTGGAGAGAGCACTAGTGGACCTGGAATGACGTCGAGAGGCTGCAGGTAAAAGGAATGGCAACACCCACAGGATTAACACAGAAGTACCAGAGACAGAAAATGCCACAGTCCAGAGGAAATGCAGAGACTGCTACCAACAAGGCCATGTTTTCTCACGAGAAGAAATGGTGCTGGATATGAATGGACAGCAAGTGCCAATCCCCAAACTTCACAGTGGCCAGCTGGCTCTCACACAGCTATTAAACACACAGGCACAACAAAGGCGCTCTTAAAGGTGCTCCAAACTAAGTATGCATCAACCAACTCGGACTCCAGGGTTATATTCACGCCATGAAGCCTCTATCAGCCAGTATGGACATATGCAACATGAAGAACAGCAGGAGTCACAGAGCACCGTCTACATCCCAGAGCGGAATGGCAGTAAGACGGATTGTTAGCTCACGAGATGTTTTATCAGTATGTGATGCATATGCAACCATGCACCAAAAACAAGCATAGAAGTTCATAATGTTACTTCAACGGAAATAAAATAAAATCACAGGAAGGGGGTTCAACAGTTAGAATTCCATTTTCCCCAGTCAAAATGTTTGTTGTTCTGTTGCATGAATATCCTAATTATTATTATTACTATTGTTTTGAGACAAGGTCTCACTCTGTTGCCCAGGCTGAAGTGCAATGGCACAATAATGGCTCTCTGCAGCCTTGATTCCCCAGGCTCAAGCAGATCCGCCTGCCTCAGCCTCCCAAGTAGCAGGGACTACAGGGATGTGCCACCACATTCGGCTTTGTTTTTTTTTGTAGAGACGAGGTCTCCCTATGTTGCCTGGCTGGTCTCAAACTTCTGGGCTCAAGCAATCTTCCCGCCTTAGCCTTCCAAAGTGCCGGGATTACAGGTGTGAGCCGCTACGCCTGGCCATATCCTAATTATTAGTACTTGTGTAATCGTTTGAATTTAGCTGTATTAAGTTCAATGATCTTCCTTGGAGAGGCAGTTACAGTACACTGGTTATGAGTACCAGCTCAGTAATGCAATTGTAAATGCTCGTTGGATCACAACTAGCCATAGGACTGACCTTGGGCAAAGTACTAAATCTATCTGTGTCTCAGTATCTTGTTTGTAAAATGGTGCTAATAATGGTTAATGGTACCTACCTCTTGGGAGTTACTGAGTGGATTAAAAGAGATTATAAAGCAACTTAAACATTGGTTAGTAGTGTTGGGTGGTGCTGGTGGTGGCAGTAACAGTTAAGAGCAACCTCAAATTTACAATCTGACATTATAGTACCATTTTATTAACAAGTATTCTTAGTGAGCATATTACTTCATCAACCTGAGGGAAATACATGCTAAATTCTGTCCTCATGTGGATAGAAAACAACTTTTAGAAATAATTATGAAATAAAGACTTGGTTCAAAACATTAACTTATTGACTACAGTTTCATGCAACATACGGCTTTTCGTTAACCTCAGGAAAAACAAAAGATAATATGCTTCCATTCATTACTCTGAAAAATTCACAGTGATTATACCACAGAAAATTTATAGGTTTAACAAAATAATACTAAGCAGTGCTACATTTTATCTGTACTACTAGAGTATTCTGTACATGTTAACGCTCTCACATTCAGTCATAAAATATCAATACCTCAAATTCTTCAATATAATTTTTAAGGTCCATGTTACTTTATGAAATGTGCATCTCTATGGTACATGTGGTATTAAATAGCAAAGATTACCTGGCAATTTTTACCAGCTTGCAAAAAAAGGAAAATATCCCTTTCTCAAGATTCACAAAAATTAAAACTAAATTGGCAAAGAATATTATAAAATTATCACTTTCCCTAAATAAGGAAGTTGGTAAAATATCTTAAGACTGAAGCAAACTATACATTTTGTACAAGCACATCACTATCTTGATAGTTCAGACTGAAATAGTTTTTAAGCAGTACCTGATATGTAGGTTCCTTAAAAAGTGGTCCTTTAGTTCAGTTTCAACAGAATATTCTAAAAAAAATCTGTCATGCCATGAGTCCTCTGTCACATTCACAAGTTAACACCCAACACTGGAATCCAAGGTAGACCCACTTATGTGAAAGCCTAATTTATAGCAGCCCTAGAGCCCTTAATTTCCCTTAATCAAAAATTATCACCATAACCATATATATTCATACCATCAAAATGGTCCAAAACAATAAAAATGCAAACTTAAAAATATATATTCACTAGAATATAAGTACTGTCATTCTTTTTGTTGTTGTTGTTGTTAAAGAGCTGGCTACGTAAGTGGATTCAAAGAAGCACTGACACACAATCTCACTAATTTCCAAAAAGGGTGGGAAGAGATTATTAAAATGAATGAGCTAAAGAAGGAACCTTCAGAGGATGTGTAGTAAGCTCCCCTGAGGACAACAACCTTCTGGGATATATCTTTGAGTTCCCAGGTCCTAACCCCAAGCCTGGAAATAAATGACTCAGAAACTTCTTCTAACCCCCGACCCCAAGAAGCCTCAGAACAAGCATTTAATATATTTTCGAGAAACAGATGAAAGACACTGAATTATCCAAACTACTTCCAAATGAGGCAGGCTTGAAGTCAAACCTGAATTCAAACCCTGGCTCCACCATTTAGCTGCATGATCTTGAGAAAGTGGCTTATTCTGCCTAAGACTCTGACGATGATAATACCTGTCCCAGAGGATGAACAGGGACCACAAGGCATTATGCCTGCTGACTGCTCCAAACGGTGTGTGTACACATGAGCAATGCTGTTGTTCTTGCTGGACATAAGTTTTAGGGTTAGGTTTAACCCAAGGTGGGGAAAAGCATGATACAAAAATTTTAGCTCGAAGACCTTAACTATTGCCCTGACCACAACAGAAGACGTGCTGATGCTAGAGCCTGTGAGGACCCACGCCTTCTGCCTTGGTAGTGGCAATTACACATTTCAACATTCTGGGTTGTCACCAAGACAGCTAAGCAGATCCATTTAATCAAACAATGTACAAAACAGACCAGATTCACTCAACCACTCAGAGTTCAATTAGGATCTCAAGAATTCAGCACACCTTGCCTGCTCCACATGCCAGATTCCAAAGGATGCTTCCACGGACAGTATCAAAAATAACAGTACATATTTGAAAGGAAAACACTGAATTGCTTCTAAGAGACAAAATAACCAATAAAGGATTGAATTTTACTCATAAATAGGTTGTTCAGAAGGTCAAATAGTGAGCAAGGATGCAAAGATATACAGCCTTAATTTAAAAGGAAAAATCACCAGTTCATTCAGAAAAAAAAAAAAAATCATTGCCACCTCTGATTATTGAGAATTCTGCTGTAATGCTTCAGACTGCTGTGGAATAGGTGACATGCAATAGGTAAGGTGCCCCACTCAAGGGCTCATGCTAACAAGGTGGAACACCTCACAACAGGTATTGCCTCGCTAAATCACAGGGACCATCTAGCAGGGCTTTGGCATCTGGTTACCTGTTCTTTTTCAGAATTTCATAAAGGACAATGGGTCATAAAGAAATACATCTAGATTTTGATTACCGACACTGATTAGGGAAAAAAGATCAGAAGAAGTGAATAACATTAGAAGGGGCTAGGTAGAGGCAAATATTAAGACCTTATGCTTTTGATTTAACATCCCTCTTTCGTAGTGGCATGTATAGTTTTCAAAAGACCAGTTACATAAATACATAGTTAAAATTAACAGACTGCTGGAGTCCACAGATCCACATAATTTCAGGTCTACGTCTAAGTATTATAAAATGATTTCTACGTTTATGCTTATCAAGAGGAAAATGGACATCTGTACAGCACTTAACATGGCCAGCAGCCAAAAATAATTATTGAAGAATACAAAATATTCCTTTTCACAAAAGTATGTGTTGACAGATGTCTTTTGGGGATCGACAGTTTATACTAACTAAAAAGGGTTTATTATGTGTCCATTTTAGAGATGGCAGGACTATTAACTCTAAAAAGAAAACTCACTTTACTTTACTAAACATTATCGCTATTGTACTTTTGTTCCTTCTTTGAATTAAATTACATATAGACTGATCTGTAGTAAAATTAAAGATAAATTGTAAAAATTCAATGACTAAGAATAAACTTTGGATTAACTTTACTTTTAAGCAGCAACTAACTTCGGCTGAGTTTTGCCTTAGGTTAGAAATTACCACACAGATGGGCTTGCCCAAGAGCAAGTGGTCACAATGACAACAGTACAGAGTGAAGTGGTGTTTTTTTCCTCTAATATATAAAAATTCGAAGTTGCCAAAATTCAAGCATGCAGAGGGGGACAAGGGGTAACTAAGGAAGAGGAAAGAAAGAAGAAAGGATCACAAGGACAGTAGAGGAGGAAAAGCAGGTCATTCCGCCTAGCAGTGTCTCGGACAAGCAGGGAAAGGAACTCTTTGCTCCTCAGCCAGCACCTACGTGTACTCACCAAGTGGAGGAAAGCCCCGAGCAGGGCTTGTATCTCGGCTGCTCTCACGGCTGGTATCGCGGCTGCACCCCTGACTCATGCTGGGTCGAGGGATACGGCTGCTCCGTGCTAGCGTGCAGCATGAAGGGTTTCAGAGAAGGTGAACAAGTTTAATGAAGACAGATAAACTCACAAAATGTCAGTCACATTTGGTTAATGTAATTACGACATTGTTCGCGCTGGGGAGTTCTGATGACTGAGCCACCTATCCATGCTGAGGTCTCACTGACTGACGTGCCAACGGGGGAGGGTTTGGGTAAAATGTGATTATGCTCAATACCTCAGAAAGCTGTGAATTTCAGTACGAAGGTGAAATTACACCTAAATGTAAGAAGTGAAAAGAAATCTTTCTGAACAACAAACTGTCATCAGAAAATACAAGATCAAAAGCCTTTTAGAAACGATCAGTTTTTATGAGCTTAGCAAACTTCTCAACAAGAGGACAAAAAACCAAAGCTGTATTCATATGCACTTGTTTCTTAGAAAGGTAATTTAATTTGGATTAACAAACAGAATAACCACACTGGTCACTGAAGTCCATGAACTTACCTAATGATAAGGAAGAGGGCTCACTGCTCCCAGGCTGGCCATCTTCACCAAGAGAAGCCATAAGAGTTGACACAACCAGAGAGAGAGCCTACCCACTCCAAGTAAGTGTGTAGATGCTTCAAACATATCCAATTCTCGAAACCAGCAGATATAAAAAGTGGGGACTGTTATCCTTTCCTTTACTGATCCCAACATTTTATCCCTGCTTTTTCTATGAAAATCTGAAAAGATCTGCCTGTGCTCTACCAAGCACCACCACTGACCCAGTCTTTCACACTGTGTCTAGAGCAAGTAGATCAATACTCTCAGTATTTGGGGAAAGATCTCTCCACTGACCTGAGAACAGCAAATAACTTTCTGATTATCTACGGCTAAAGTTAATCATTCTCATGTTATAAAACACCGAGACTACAAGACAGAATTGCATGAATAGCCCAGGGTCTCATAATAACTGGGCTGTGAAGCTTAGAAAAGACCAGGATACCCTTGTTTCTCCATCTGAGAAAATGGAAATACATTACTGGGAAAATACTCCAAAACAACCTTGTATACTGAATACATGTAGGTGGAATGCCTAATGTAATAGCTGATGGGGACAATATACGTTTCCATCCTGAGAGGATGGACTGGAAAAAATGTCAAGACATTTTAGAAACAATCAACTTGAATCACTGATATCAAAACAAGTATGTTTCTATACTGCAATGAGCATAGTCTATTGTTTGAGAGCAAAGATTTATTATACAGCCAAAGTATAACAAGAATGTCTTATAAACCAGAACCATAACACTCCCTGATTAAAAAAAGAATACGAAAGGGAAAACTAAAGCCAACTTTCTATTGTGCTCAGCTGCTCAGTACTAGAGTGGAACTAGACTCTGAAGGCATTTAAGTGATATCCAAATGCTTACTACTGCTCAGGGAAAAAAAAAAAAGTCAAGCACAGGAACGTAATCTCAACAATCTAGACATAAAGGGCTTTATTGGGGGTTCACCAGAAATTCTTAAGCTCTCCTTAATTTTGCCAGAGTGATGTGAAAGCACTGAATTTTCACTCAAAGTAGTAGTGACTATTTAGTCAGCAATTCTTGATGACATTCTAAACAGCTCCTACAATGATGACAAAAGGAGATGCCAAATTAAATGCTTAAAAAACTAGGGAGCGTGTGTACTGGCTCTACCAATACGGACAACTTTCCTAGAATGTACACAGCAATACCACTCATCCTTAGAGAACCAATGCCAAATCTGAGTCAAAAAATGACCATTCCAGCTCCATGCTATCTCACTGGTCCAGCCACTTGGCCTCTTTGGGTCTCAAGCCTCCCATTAGGAAAACGAGGAAAAAGAACACGTCCCCTCATTTTAAATGAGAAGGGTACTGTGAGATAATGCACATACATAAGTATTTCCAAGTCCCTTGCTGAAGAGCACATGTAAAAATTTTGTCGTATTCCACTGCCCACTCCAAAACAAATAATAAAAAAGCTATAAAAGGTCTTGATAGTTGTTTAAACAAGTTCATGCTTAGTTGAGCATTTTCTTAATAGTTCTTGCCTGATTATTTCTGAATTCTTCCTAGCCCCATCCCCTTCCTTAAATTCATAT
Organism: Homo sapiens; assembly: GCF_000001405.40. Lineage (NCBI taxonomy): Eukaryota > Metazoa > Chordata > Mammalia > Primates > Hominidae > Homo > Homo sapiens. The sequence continues at coordinate 121,420,818 of NC_000002.12, forward strand.
ACATGCTAGAACAACGGGGAAAAAAATGCTCTTTTTCGTCTGAGTCTGTTTTGTGAAGACAATAAAAAGCATTAACAGCAGTAAACAGATATGATCTGAAATAACAGTATGCATAAATTTCTTAACAAGGTTTACCCCCCTCCGGTATTTCACCCAGAGAGAGTTCATTCACCCATTCGAGCTGATTTTCTCATTTAACATATGGCTAGTAGCAGTATAGAGAAAACTAATTGTCCGTTTATGATTTTGTGAAAATATGGCCATAGTTACCCTAAACCTCAAGAGCTTTGGCATCATTTACTCATCAAAGTAAATCTAGTGGTGACATCCATGGTTCAAATGTTAAATAATTTAAAATACAAGAGAAATACAAACTCACTTATACTACTACTTTGAAAGACTAATCTAAAAGAAGGATTTAAAATAAGTATATTTATTTATTTAATTTCTTTTTTTGAGACGGAGTCTTGCTCTGTCACCTGGGCTGGAGAGCAATGGTGTGATCTTGACTCACTGCAACCTCCGCCTCCTGGGTTCAAGTGATTCTCGTCCCACGAGTAGCTGGGATTACAGGTGCACACCGCCATGCCCGGCTAATTTTTTGTAGTTTAGTAGGGACGGGGTTTCACCATGTTGCCCAGCCTGGTCTTGAACTCCTGAGCTCAGGCAATCCACCCGCCTTAGCCTTCCAAAGTGCTAGGATTACAGGTGTGAGCCACTGTGCCCAGCCTATTTTTTATTTTTGAGACAGAGTCTTCTTCTGTTGACCAGGCTGGAATGTGTGGCGCAATCTCGGCTCACTGCAACCTCCGCCTTCCAGGTTTAAGTGCTTCTCCTTCCTCAGCCTCCTAAGTAGCTGGGATTACAGGCACGCACCACCACATCCAGCTAAGTTTTGTATCTTTAATAGAGATGGGGTTTTGCCATGGTGGTCAGGCTGGTCTCCAACTCCTGACCTCAAGGGATTCATCCACCTCGGCCTCCCGAAGTGCTGGGATTACAGGCGTGAGCCACTGCACCCGGCCTAAAATAAGTATATAAATGACTTTTTATAAATGAATTAATTAGGTGATCAAAACTAAAAGAAGAAAATCCCACCAAAATAGTCTTGTCTCTTTAAGTGCCAAACTAAATGTTCTATGTGAAAATATGTTACAGAAGAGAAGGCATAAGAGGGAGAGACCAGGAAAACATACTTGTACTGTGAACTTCCTAAAAAAGCAGTATTCCTAGGTACCTCTGGGGTCTTCTGCTTACATGAAATGCTGGGAAGCCGTAAGATACCCATTTGATTGGTTTACATTTCTTGATAGACACTCTACCCTACTTCAGTGTTTTAATGGTAATCTTGACTTTTACATCTTAAGGAAGGGTCCAACCAGGACTCATAAAAGCAGAATATAAGAGAATTAATAAAAACAACCAGAAGTTAAAGACATGAAATGTCTCTCTGGTCTAGACATTTTCATGTCTTGGTCTTAGACAGTAGTCTAATTTCACAGTTGAAATGAACTATTATTAATGTTTAATTATTTCAAAGTATTTTAACCAGAAAACCTTAACATTTAAAATACACATCCACAGAATGAAAGCTGCAAAAATGTCAAATGTGTTTTCATAGCCTTTCCATAGAGGAGTGGGAGAAGGGAACAAGGGCAAACTTCCAAAATATAATCACTATAGATACTAGTGATTTATGTGACTTTATTGTATCTATAAAGTATTATCTTTAAGACACACAGAAATAAAACAACTTAAAAATACATTTTCCTAGTCAGATAGCTTATGAGGGAACAAATCACCAAGAAAAAAGAGTATCAGGGATATATTTTGCTTCTTGAATATTTAATAGGAATTACAGGCTGTTCTGCTTAAGAAAATCTAAATGCCAAAGAAGAGCCTTGGCATCAGTTTTAAAACAAATGAAAAAAGAAAATTTTGTTAAGAAGTATCATTTCAAACAAAAAGAGGCATAGTTGAACCAAACACGATTTGTAGATAACTACGATTAATTCTCAGTGCAAATTCCAAACCTAGTTTAGCTATCATTAAAACTGTTGAATTTGTTGGTTTGGGAATTATAGAAAATATTCCTAAAAGATGTTCCTCCTCTTTTTTTCAACAATTATATTGAAAACTGCTATACAATGAGTCAAATGTTAAGAAACACAGGCATATATCCAGTATATACTAAATGATAATAGTAATATATAATCTATTACTGAATAATGCTATTATGTCTGCCACCCTATTAAATGCAATCTCTAAGCAATACCACAGGAAAAAAATGAAAATACATTTTATTCATATAGATTTCTTTATATGCATATATTCTCGCAATGTGTGGAAATTTAAAGAAAATATCTTCTTTAATATAAACTATATGTATGACCTCAAAGCTCTACACGTAACTGATCCCTTTAATTAGCATCAAGGAAATAACTTTCTTCAAATAATATTTCAAATAACTCTTTGGAAGGGAACAGGCTTAAGTTCCTACTGATGCTCCATAATAACTGTTTTAAAAACATATAAAATATTGTCTTTTCAACTACACACAACACAAACTTCCTAGTTAAAACCATGGAACACATTAGAATTATGTTAGATAAATGAAGTTGGGTTATTTCCCAATTTCAAGAAGAAGATTAAAATGGCATCTTTAATAATATAAAAGGAAAAAAAATCTCAAAACAGAAAAGAATCTTTAAATGTATAAAACTAACATGGATTGCAAACAGACATCCTATAAACTTAAACAATTAACTATGGAAAAAGACAGCTAAAACATAACACCTAGATTTAAAATCAAATGCATTTTCCAAACACAAATATGTTACAGCATCAGACATAAAATTCAGATATTCCAGCTGTGACCTTTTCTATGATTGTATCCACATCAACACCCAAATAACTTGTCAGCTAAGAGACCACACTACGCAATGCCAATAAAAAGTTGGCATCATAGAGATTTACTAAAACCAAGAAATACTTTCTACTTGCTTTGGAAATAGGATTTCAAATCAAATCTTATCCATTCTTAAATATCTTCTCCTGCCTTCTCGTAGCTAAGGTGGGCTTCAAAGACTTTCATGAGCTGGACTCTACCAGTCTCTGCCCCCAACTCCCACCCACTCTGACTTCCTTTACAGCAGCCAAATGAATTACATGTGGCTGCCTCTTGCCTGACTGCTTCTGCAGATGCTTCTCTCTCCTCTAGAAACCTTTCCCCTCATCTCCCCACCCGGACCAATCCCATTTTGTACTTCATGAAAACAGAATCTACTCTGGGCAGCCTCCCCTAGCAAGAAATCTGGGGTGGCCAAGGGTCTAAGATACTCCTTTTTTAGGTCATAGTTTTGATTATGTGAAGCACCCTGTCATAGTATTCGTCATACTGTGTTACATTTCCACCTCTCCCCAATAGATATCAAGCTTTTTGAAGTCAGAATCTAAATCTATCTCATGTATCTTCTAATTCTCAGGTCTAACAAAGTGCCTGGTACATCACAGTAAACACTGTTGATGAGATAAATGAATAAATGAGAAAGATAAGCCAACACAATTTAAGAATACAGTAGTCTGATTTTATATTAATACATTTTACCCTTAGGAAGTAAAGAAGTCATAGAGTATGAATTTAGATTTTTTGTATTATATCACAAAGACTTCTAAATTTTATATTTAAAAAGTTAGCGTATGAATTAGATTTTAAATGGAACAAAAGGTATTTAAGCGGCTGACAGTAATTCACATGATTCTACACACTATTACAAAGAAACTAAGTAACACAAAACTAAATATTATGTATTGGTTTTAATCAATTCCTAGCTTTCATGCTTAAACAAATCTATGTCAAAAGTAACTATGCATATTTTTTCACCATAAGTTTCACCAATTAGATTAGAGAAGATCAGAATTAAAATAAATGTGGACCCTAAATGCTGTTTTTGAAAAATTCATATAGGTTAATGTCTACTTAGTGCTAATCAGTAAAAGGAAAATGAAAAGCAACACTGCTTCTAATTGTGGGGGAAACACCCTGCTATTTCCCCAATTCCAGTGCTTTGTACAATGACTGCAAAACACAAAAGCCTACAATGACATAATTCCTTCCCATCAATTTGAAGGGTTAAGTCCCATATATTTTTCTAACTGAAACCTCAATATGCCATAATCTGTATAAAGCACACCCAGGCAAAGTGACATCCTCAGTTCAAAAAATAGATCTATATTTCCTACATTAGACATAGTCATTAGATTATAATCAAAACTATGACCAAGCTGGGAATGGTATTCCAAGATCTTTGAGAATCCTTACCTAATCCTATTCGGTTTGGACTTGTTTCCCGGCTACATCCCTGGCTCCTGGGAATCTTGCTTCGCTTTTCTGAAGACGGTGTCACAGGTGGGCCTCGTGAGGAGCCCCCAGTAAGTCCACCATAACCACTTCCCAACAATTTTCCTGGGGAACTTGACCGGCTGCCAGCTAAAAGTGAAGCAAAATGACAATGAATAATAGATGTAAATGTAGGAATGAACTATAATACTTTCAAAAGCCAGATTTTACACATTAATTTGGCTAAAATACACAATTTTATATAAAAATAAATTTTTATTTGGTGGTAGTAATTTTTTTAAATGTAGGAGCATAAAAGACAATTGAATATCATAAAAGAATATACTTAGAAGAATTACTGGTGGAATAGCCTCCTTATTCCACAGTAAATAACTACAAATGTCACAAAGGTGTTTATTCTTATTTTGTTTTTTTAATTCTGTAAGAGCTGATTATGTTAAAAATTTTAGGTGTCACTGCTAGAAGAGCAGAAGTAGAACTATAACAATTTTCTTAGCATTAGCTACAGAAAATGAATCCAAGAAAACTCTATTAATCTGACAAATGATATAAAAGGGAGTAGGGGGATAAAATAACCAGAAACCTGGTAAATAAAAATCACAAAATAAGATAGAAGCTCAAACATATTAGTTAATCATAATAAATGTGGCTGGATTAAATTCATCGATTTAAAAGAGATTAAAACAAGCCTGGGCTGGTAGCTCATGTCTGTAGTCCCAGCACTTTGGGAGGCCAAGGTGGGAGGAGTTTGAGCCCAGGAGTTTGAGACTAGTGTGGGCAACAACAGGGAGACCCCACTTCTCCAAAAATTGTAAAAATTTGTCAGGCATGGTGGTACATGCCTCTAGTCCCAGCTACCCGGGAGACTGAGGTGGGAGGATCACTTGAGCCCAGGAGGTCAAGGCTGAAGTGAGCCATGATCACACCACTGCACTTCAGACCTGGCAACAGAGCAAGACCCTGTCTCTTAAAAAAGAACAAAAAAGAAAAGAAAAGAAAATGCAAAGTAAAATAAAATGAAATTCAGCTGTCTGGTATTTTTAAAAGTCAAACAATACACCACAAACAAAAACAAATAGAATAAAACACAGCATTTAAAAAAGACAAAGAAGGATATTTAATATTTATGAAAGAATAATTGTCCATGAAGATCTAATAATCACAAACCTTTATGCTCCAAACAACATAGTTTTGAAATATAAAACTAAAAAATGATAAAAGTACAGGAAGAAATGGAAAAAGCCATACTTACCGAAAGACCTCACGGAAAGACTAATAATATTGAGAAACTATATACCTCACAGAAATTGACAGAGCAGTCAAAATTGTGTCTGTGTGTGTATATGTATGTATAAAAACACACACTTCCCACATACACATATATATCCCAACAGATAGAACACATATTCTTTTTACCTTTCCACACATGAATATTAAAAATAAAAATTGTGTATTAAGCCTCAAAGTAAATCTCAAAAAAAAATCTACAACAGTAGAAATAACATGGACCACATTCTCTGAGAAGTATGCAATAAAACTGGAAATTAAAAACAAATAATATGGCTGATAATTTTTATTAATAGGTAAGTAGCTAGATACATATATTACTATTTCTTGTGGGACCTAATTCTCTCTCAGAGGAAACAACAAAATTTTAAGCATCACACCAATACACTCAAATGGCAATCATTTGCATTGACAGATTACCTCCCTAAGTAGAGAAGGCAATACATTCTAAAATATAAAGTATACATTTACTATGTACTAGAATAGAATGACCCAGAGGAAGAAAGCATTTGAAGCAACACTTACCTGTAAATTTATATGTGTGTTTATTTTAAATATATATTATTTAAAAATACATATTATATAAATCAAAACCACCATCATTCAAATGAACCACGTAGGTGAATACTCACAAAAATTAATAGTTTATAATGATTTAACTAAAAATTGAAGTGAAAAATCATTATAAAAACCAATGAAGAATTTGTCTCAGGACCTATTAATTTTACCCATAAAATTTGAGCTATATAAACTATTAAACTATGTATAAAGGGGAAAGAAATCCATTTCAAACTCTAGAATTTGAACACAAAGAAAAACGCAGAAAGATTAACTAAGCTTACAATAAAGAGAGAAATTAATATTGTGCAAGGAACATGGGGTCGGGGAGAATGCCAACAACAACAACAACAAAAAAAGGCAAGAAGAGAAATGGCTTACCACCAGCAGGATTAGCAGATCTGGATCCTTGATTATGAGAGCAGACCAAAGGACAGGCAAAAAGTGGATTAAAAGACAATAACACAATACAGAAGGTCAGCATGCAACACAACACAAAGGTCTTTGTTCACAAATACATTAGCAAAACAGCTATATTTCCTAGGACTTGTTCCTCCTATTTTTGTACTTATGTTTATCTTTGTCATTCTACATTAGCATTTATTTCAGATCTGTTCATAAAACACTTTCAAACCTACAATGTGCCAGGCTCACATCTGCTTTCTAGCTTTAAGCAACCTGAGGGAAGTGATTGTAACTTACTCATCTCTGTATCACTACCATCTTCAAAAGTGCTTACCACATAGTAAGTGCTCAATAAACATCAACTAACTGAAAGAAACTGCTGTTAACTAGTTTCACCTGTCCTGACTTCCCATAAACCTCAAATATTTAAAATATGCCAATTATTAAGGGCCCTAAATCTAATATTAATGAAGCCTACTTAGTATTAAATCAGGACTATGAATACTAGTATATCTACATTTGTGATATATACACTTAGATTTACCACTTATTAAAATAATTTTTTAAATATTTAATTTATATGCATAAGCTTAAGGTATAGGCTTGATCACTGGCTAGTGTGGTCACTCTTCCTGAGTACGATTTGGTGAGTGAAGTAAAACTAAGGAATTTTAAAAGGGGAGCCCCAAGGCTAGGTACAGTATTTTTATAAGACTGAAAAATTAAAGCTCTATTATCACCCTAATCACTATTAGAGAAAGAACTGTAATCTTCACCACCTGCCAAGGTAACCTACACATTCCTAAAACCTGCAATATAGGAGAGAAAATTACAGCATTGACCTAGCTGGGGCAGGGAACCCCAAAGACCCCAGTGTTGATAAACAGCATTAGAAAGAAATATGTAAAATACTGTTCAACCCTCAACCCCCACAGAGGGAAGCAACACTGCAAAATTACATGCTTAGGCATTTTTTATTTGGCTTAATTTCATTATATTGACCTAGATTCTGAGATTTGAACACTTTTTGTCAAGAATTCCTTTGCAGTAAAATTTGACCCATATGTATGAGTCAAATATCCTTTTGTGTCTCCAGGCATCACTAGGGTTCAACAGAATAACCAGAGCCAAGAAGTTGTTCCCACGACAGACACTTCTGGGCTACACCTGCACCCTGGATCTGAATGAAAATCCAGTTTAAGTTCTACACTAAGGAGGGCATTCTTGGTCTTAACGGACTCAATCTATCCTGAACTGCATCCCTCATCATGTAAATCCATTCCTAGCCTTCTTTCCTAAACCTACTGAAGTAGACAGGGATCAAGGAGGCTCAACTTCAGCTAGGATGGAAGTCTGCTGATCTGAAACAACTATGACTATAAAGCTTGCGTCCATTTAACTATTACATGTTAGGCTCCTAATGCTCATTAAATCCTCATTAAAACCCCATGAGGGTGGGAACTGTTATCACTCAATTTACAGACAACGAAACAATGGCTCACAAAGGTTAAAAGACTCACCCAACATCACACTGGAGCCAGGATGCAAACCCAGTTTTGTCTGACACTGAAACCCATGCTTGTAGTGTATCACACTACACAATACAACCTAGGCCACAGGAAGGTTCTGTAGCCTCACCAAAGGCAGCACTATAACTGATCTTCTGCTTTCTTTGCAGAAATTATATAACATGAGGACTGCAGTTATCAAAGGGAAAAGAATTTAAATTCAGAAGGTGTTGAACAAGGCCATTTTCTATACTAAGGGAGCTCTTAAGGTTTGGTGCAGACTGATCACTCTCTACAACAGACAGACAGTTCCTTGGGCCACAAAGGAGGCAGGCAAATGTCAGCTAGTGAGTGCTGTGCTGTGGGACCGCATGCAGCTCCTGGGGACAGGAAGACTCTTCCTTCCCACGCTCACCTTGCCCAGGAGCACTCTGCTACCCAGCTCTACTCGACATGCATAGAGAGGAGGCGGGCCCCTTAAAAGAGGAGGTGGGCCCCTTAAAGTTTATGTGTGGCTGGAAAGTGAGACACCAAGTGAGGATCTGAAGTGTGACCAGAATAAATTCATTCCAGCTGTGGCTGCTTTCATGGCTAAGGCTAACAAACCAACTGACTTCACATATACAGAGACGCAATCATGGAAGCAGCTAGGCAAAGCAAGAGCCCACATGGCAGGAAGAGAGGTGCGGGCTGCAAATGTTAGAGCACAGAATTAAAGGGGGAGAGCTTTTAATGGATTTACTTATTTACCACTGGAAAGAACATAGCATTAATAGTTTTCTGCCCACGTACTGTTCTAAAATTACATCAGAAGGATTCCTTATCAATGCAAAAATGAGTCACAGAACAGATAAGCTACAATTTGACAGGCTTCAAAGGAGGGCGAAAAACTACATTTTAATGTTTAATGCTTAACAATACAAAATGTAAATCACCTGGACAGGAGACAAATGTATGCCTGAAATGTTTCATTTTTTAAGCTTACCCAACAAACAGTAAGATTACTCACAGTATCTCAGAGCCACAAAAAATGTGTTTTTCCCTCTGAAGTCAATATAGAGATTGTAAAATGTTCAACTGCAGAATGAGCTGTTGAATAAAACTGAGGTAAGCAAGAGCATAAAATATGTTTCTTACGCTGGGACTGTGAAACCACTTTAGCGCGACTGCGGCCCCGGTTATCAGGTGTAGAGGCGACGTTGGTGGCACTCCCAGAGCTTTGCCGTCTTGTGCGGATCCGACCTGGAGGACACAGCAAAAACAGTGTTTCACAACATTTCCAGTAAGTGCCACCTCCTCAAGAAAAGAAGCCATGCCCCAAAAGAGGGGCACTGACCAGCCAACTACATGGGGAGCAACAGCTTCTGTGAGCAGATCCTCCACACGAGGTCTGCCACGTCTCCCTGTGTGTGCATGCGCACATGCGCATATGATCCACGCACAACTGTTCTACGAACACAGGATGAACTCCTGAGATGGAGCCATGGACCTGCAGCTGTTTAGGTTCCAGCTATTTTAGTATGTTATCTCTTCAGACAAGGAAGTGATATCCATTTGAGGACATTTCCCATAATTTTTTCCAGATTAAATTTTCTTTTTTATTGTCTACAAATCTGACAAATTTCCAAAAACAGAAAATATTTACTGTCACTGTAAAAAACAAACTATAGAAAATAAGAGTAATACCAAAAAAAAACCCAAAATAAAAAAGTCTACCTTCTTAACTCAGCCATCACAGAAGCTATAGCTCCCCAGTGAATAAATGTGTTTTTGATATGCAGCATTAAACTTCTATTTTTAAAGCATGTAAGTCAGTAAGTTTCTAAGATAAAGAAAAGATAAAGCTAAAAAGAGAGATACAGCTAAAAAGAATCAGTATTAGGAGTACCTAGAGAAATGATGGCCCAAAGATAATCCAATGCTGTAGGCAGTTATGAAAAAATTACAGCAATTATTGAACCACGAAGCCATAAAAATAAAAATGAATTCAGAAACACAAAATCATTAGTGACCAGACTAGTATGATTAGCGATTAAACTTTAAAAAAAAAAAAAAATAGGCCTTTTTGGTTTCGAGGGAGCACAAAATGCCTCTCCGGCCGTAACTCAATGAGGATAGGAAAAACACAACCAACTTGAACTCCCACTGGCTTTTATGTTGTTCAAAATCACTTCTACCCCCACAAGCGACAAAGCTTACAGAGAAGTAATGCAGGAAGCAAATCCTAAAGCTTGAAAAAGTTTCAAGAAAGGAAGGTAAAGAGCAATGAAAGAAAGCTGGCATTAAAAAAATAATAAAACTAGTTAAGAATCAATGACTTTTCAGTTTAAGGAAAAACTTATAAATAAACTCTATAATCTATACAGAAGTGAAAAGCTATACCATTTACTAACAACTATATATGAGTCCATTCAGAATCCTCACAGCATATAAAGTAATCACTCCCATTTTACAGATGAGAAAACCGAGAAACAGGGAAATTAATTAATTTGTTCAATGTGACACTACTGGTCTAGATACCTGTGCCTGGCTGACTGGGAAGCCTATGAGTGATGACCTCTGATTTTCCTAAGGAAGTCACTGAGCTAAATCAAGGCAAATCACAAAGGCAAAGTGAACATGAAAAAAACAACTGAATTTAAATTCTTAAACTCATTATAAAATATTTAGGTCACAAAAAGATTTTTTAAATGAACATGTATACTCATTTAGCTTAAAAAATAAAAACTCTCTTTGCTAAACCTCTCGTATTCTACTTTCCCCCAACATTTGGTAACATGATCCTAAACCCAGTGTTCAGCATTCCCTTGGTTTTTTTTTTTTTTTGTAAATACATGTTTTCACAACCAATAACTCTGTGGTTTTGTTTTACATATTTAGAACGTTTTTAAATTATAACACAAGGTCTATATTTTTCTAAAGCTTACTATTTTGCTAATATTTTATGTGAAAAGTCACTTATGTATCGATAAAGAACGGATATACTTTATTTTTTCCATATAACTAACCAATGTTGAAATAAATTTACTTAACGCTTTTCTTACTGATTAAAATGCCTGATTGTTTATCAAGCAGCACTTATGTGTGTCTGGGTTTCTCAGCCTTCTAGTCTGTCCCACTAGTCAATGTGTCCATACCTACACGACATCACAATACTGTGATTAGCTTTTTATTAATTTATTAATTAATTAATATATGAGGCAGAGTCTCTTTCTGTCGCCCATGCTGGAGTGCAGTGGTGTGTGACCTCGGCTTACTGCAACCTCCACCTCCTGGGATCAAGCGATTCTCTTGCCTCAGCCTCCCCAGTAGCTGGGATTACAGGAACATGCCACCACACACCTGGCTAATTTTTGTATTTTTAGTAGAGTCAGGATCTGACCATGTTGGCCAGGCTGGTCTCCAACTCCTGACCTCAAGTGATCCACCCGCCCTGGCCTCCTAAAGTTCTGGGATTACGGGCAGGAGCCACTGTCCCCGGCCTGTGATTAGCCTTTTTTAAAAGACATCCTGCTAATTGGCAGGACAAGTAAATTCGCCTTTTCCTAAGCCCTTTGCTGTCTTCCATATGTATGTGCAGACACAATAACAACGCCTGTTGAAATGTTGACTGGCATTATGTGAAACTCTGGGTTAAGGGGAAAAGCTTTATAATATTGGTCTTCTCATTCATTGTATCTTCTATGTTTATTTAACTTTGTCAATATCTTTTGATAAAGTCTGATCATTTTTTCAAAGTTCTTACTCAATTTTTATAGACTTATTTAAAGTTGCTTTATTTTTATAATTTATTAAATTATATTTTCTGTTCTTGGCAGGTAAGAATGGAATCATTATATTTTGATCTTAACACTCTAGGATTCTGCTAAACTTGTATACAGATTTGGGGTTATCTAAATAGAATAACACCCACAAATAACTCATCAGCTTATTACCCTCAAATAATTCACTTTTACTTCTTTGCCTTTATTGTGGTGTCTTGGTCATGTAATATAATGCAAAATAGAAGCAGTGAGGGTAAGCACTGTTGACTCAAACAAGATTTTTAAAAAGAATTTCTGAAATTTCACAGAAAGTGTATCTGCCAACAGGTTAAGAAAATTTGGCCCAGAGCGGTGGCTCATGCCTGTAATCCCAGCACTTTAGGAGGCCAAGGTGAGCGGATCACCTGAGGTCAGGAGCTCGAGACTAGCCTGGCCAACGTGGAGAAACCCCATTTCTACTAAAAATGCAAAAATTAGCTGGGCATGGTGGCGCATGTCTGTAATCCCAGCTACTTGGAAGGCTGAGGCAGGAGAATCTCTCGAAACCGGGGCGGAGGTTGCAGTGAGCCAAGATCGTGCCACTGTACTCCAGCCTGGGCAAAAGAGCAAAACCCTGTCTAAAAAAGAAAAAAAAAAAAAAAGAAAATTCATTTCTGTGCCTAGTTGCCAACAATTTTTATCATAAATGTTTGAATTTTTTGATGTTTTGATCTTTTTAGATAAGAGGGTTTTTCTCCCGAATTTAAACTACATTAATAAATTTTAAAGTAATAGGTGAGGCACGGCGGCTCACGCCTGTAACCCCAGCACTTTGGGAGGCTGAGGTGGGAGGATCTCTTGAGGACAAGAGTTTGACACCAGCTTGGCTAACACGGCAAAACCCCATCTCTAATAAAAATACAAAAAATTAGTTGGGCATGGTTGTGCAGGCCTGTAATGCCAGCTACTTTGAAGGCTGAGGCACGAGAATTGCTTGAACCTGGGAGGCAAAGGTTGCAGTGAGCTGAGATCGTGCCACTGCACTCCAGCCTAGGCGACAAAGTGAGACTCTGTCTCAAAAAGAAAAGAAGAAAAATTAAACCTGGGCTAAACCTACGTGGTCATGACATACACACTCACATACACAATGTTTGTAGGTACTCTGGTCATACTAGCTGCATAAAACCAGTGAGGGAAGTATTCCCTCTTTTCCTATTCTCTGAGTTTACGTAAGACTGGAATTACCTAATGTTTTTATTATTATTTTTTTTTGCATCTCCACTGATAAACTGACAATGCAATTATCCAGTCTTTGATACAACTTGTGTGCGAAACCATCTGAGCATGGCAGGAATTTTTGGAGTATCTTTTCCATTTTTATTAAGTTTATTTTGGCAGGGTGGGAATAGAACAATGAACTTTTAACTACTGATTCAAATTGTTTAATGAGCAGTCTTAAAACTACTCACATTGCTTGTTTCTTTGAAGAAACAGTTTTGGGTTTTCTTGAAACTTGTACAACTTGTTTTTGAATTGTTAACAAAGCTGTCATAGGTTTATCTTACCTTAATTTCAAAAAAGTATTATTTTTTCTTTGATACAGAGTCTAGCTCTGCTGCCTAGGCTGGAGTGGAATGGTGCGATCACAGCTCACTGATGCCTCACTTCCCAGGTTCAAGCTATCCTCCCACCTTAGCCTTCTAGTAGCTGGGAGCAGCTGGGACTACAGGTGTATGTCACCACGCCATATTAATTTTTAAATTTTCTGTAGAGATGGGGGTCTCACTATGTTGCCCAGGCTGGTCTCAAACTCCTGGCCTCAAGCAATCCTCTCACCTTGGCCTCCCAAAGTGCTCAGATTATAGGTGTGAGCCATTGTACCTGGCTTCCTATTACCTTTAAAACTCTACTGATCCACATTTATGCCTAATTTATTATTCTTAACAGTTAATTTGTACCTTTTCTGTATTTCAATTGACATTTTTCAAAAGTTTGCCTACTTGATTAGTATTTTCAAAAACTGAAATTTTGCTGGGTGCAGTGGCTCACACCTGTAAGCCCAGCACTTTGGGAGGCTGAGGCAGGTGGATTACTTGAGGCTAGGAGTTAGAGACCAGCCTGGGCAACATGGAGAGACTGTCTCAACTAAAAATGCAAAAATTACCTGGGCGTGGTGGTGCACGCCTGCAATCCTCTTTTACTGGCATGAGCCACCATGCCCAACTTTAGTGTCTTTCATCAATTACAAATTTTTTTTTTGCCTTTGTTACTAAATACTCTTCAACAGCTTTCTTCTACTGATCCTTTGTCTTCTATCTGTAGTCTTAAGTTTTAGATTTCTCTCTTTAAATATCACATTGGGCTGGGCGTGGTGGCTCTCCCCTGTAACCTCAGCACTTTGGGAGGCCTAGGCAGAAGGACAGCTTGAGGCTAAGAGTTTGAGACCTGCCTGGGAAACATAGCAAGACCCTGTCTCCATTTAAAAATAATAAAAAATAAATATTATATTGCTAGAGCTTTAAAATAAATCAAGTATGACAATCTTTCTCATTTAACCACAAAGCTTGGTTTATTTGACTTTATTTTTACTTCTTTTTCTTTTTTTCTTTTTTTGAGGCAGAGTTTCGTTCTCGTTGCCCAGGCTGGAGTTCAATGGCGCAATCTGGGCTCACTGCAACCTCTGTGTCCCGGGTTCAAGTGATTCTCCTGCCTCAGCCTCCCGAGTAGCTGGGAATACAGGCATGTGCCACCACGACCGGCTAATTTTGTATTTTTAGTAGAGACGGGGTTTCTCCATGTTGGTCAGGCTGGTCTTGACCTCCCAACCTCAGGTGATCTGCCCGCCTCAGCCTCCCAAAGTGTTGGGATTACAGGCGTGAGCCACCATGCCCGCCCTATTTTTACCTTTTTATATGCATGCTTTTGTCTTGATTTTTCATTTTCCTTTTATCCTCTCCTTTGTTTCCTTCTTTTGGATTAATTTTTTAAAGATGCTTTACTATCTTTAAATAATATTATGAAAAACGCAGCCATTAAATCACACTTTAGAGGAGATACAGTAATTTTAAGGGCTCCCTCCTTTTAAAATTAAACCTCTTTGAGATAATTATAGATTCCTATGCAGTTTTAAGTTTTAAGATTCCTGTGTGTTCTTTATGCAGTTTCTCTCAATGGTAACATCTTACAAAGCTATAGTATAAAATCAGAAACAGGACATGAACACTGATATGCTCCACCCTTCCTATTCAGACTATTCAGATTTCCCTGTTTTCTTTGCAGTTAATCTTTGGCTTTCCTTTGTAGGTAGTTTCTTTTTCTAGTGGCTTCTGTGCCTTTCGTGTTGTGCAATTTTACTTTTTTTTTTTTTTCTTGAGACAGAACTTTACTCTGTCACCCAGGTTGGAGTACAGTGGTGTGATCTCAGCTTACTGCAATCTCTGCCTCCCAGGTTTAAGTGATTCTCGTGCCTCAGTTTCCCTAGTAGCTGGGATTACAGACATGTACCACCACGCCTGGCTAGTTTTTGTATTTTTAGTGGAGACAGGGTTTTGCCATGTTGGCCAGGCTGTTCTCAAACTCCTGTCCTCAAGCGATCAGCCCACCTCAGCCTCCCAAAGCATTGGGATTAAGGCGTGAGCCACCGTACCTGGCCTTACTATGATATGTTTAACTGCAGATTTTTTATTTTTGTCTTACTTGGAATTTATTGGGTTTCTTCAATCTGTGCTTTAGTGTCTTTTTTTTTTTTTTGAGACAGAGTCTCACTCTGTTGCCCAGGCTGGAGTGCAGTGGTGTGATCTCGGTTCACTGCAATTTCCACCTCCCAGGTTCAAGCATTTCTCACACCTCAGCCTCCCAAGCAGCTGGGACTACAGGTGCGAGCCACCACGCCCAGCTAATTTTGGTATTATAAGCAGAGACGGGGTTTCACCATGTTGGCCAGGCTGGTCTCAAACTCCTGGCCTTCAGTGATCCACCCACCTCAGCCTCCCAAAGTGCTGGGATTATAGGCATGAGCCACTGTGCCCGGCTTTAGTGTCTTTCATCAATTATGAAGAATTCCCAACCATCATCTCTTCAAATATTGTCTCTGCCCCATTCTCCCTCTTCTTCTTAAACTCCCATTAGACATGTTAAATTTCTTTACTATCTTGCATGTAACTTAACAACTCTGTCATATTTTCTAACTCTGTACTACAGTCTGGATAAGTTCTTCCTAGCTTTCTTAATTCATGAGTTCTCTCTTCAGTTACATTGATTCTACTGCTCAATTTACCCATGCAGTTTATTTTTATTTTTTTCAGACAGGGTCTTGCTCTGTTGTCCTGACTGGAGTACAGCGGTTATGATCACAGCTCACTGCAGCCTCAACCTTCTGTGCTCAAGCGATCCCCCTGCCCCAGCCTCACAAGTATCTGGGGCTACAGGTGTGCACCACCATGCTTGGCTAACTGTAAAAAAAAAATTTTTGGTAGAGATGGGGTCTCACTATATTGCCCAGGCTTAACTCCTGGGCTCAAGCAATCCTCCTGCCTCGGCCTCCAAAATTCCTAAGATTACAGGTGTGAGCCACTGTGCCTGACCACTTTTTGATTTTAATAATGTACTACATTTTCATTTCTAGAAGTTCCATTTGCTCTTCTTCAAAATCTGCTTGGTCATTCTTGATAGCCTCTTACTCCCTTTCTACAATTTCACTTTATTTCTTTAACTGTTAAGACAATGAAACGATCACTTTTCTTGGAAATTTATGGGAATTCTTTAAGATCTAGATTAAAGCTGAATTATTCCAAAGAAGATCTCTGATTTTGTTTGTGTGCTGTGGACACAAGTAATCCACAGCCAACTTAAAATGATTTATCTATTTGGGTTTTTCAGACTACAAAGGTAACGTAAACTCTGACCAGAATCCTGCATCAAGATTTTGGTTGCACATTCTCGAGGGAGATTACTTTCCCCCTCTAACCAGCACCAGAGTTAAGATGGGCAAATTTCTCTGTTCTTTTCAGTTTAGTAAAGTTAACTTTTTGTTCACTAATGATGATGCAGGTCTTAAATAGGCTTGGGCTTTCTGTCCTTTATGTCCTGCACAATCATCACATCAAATGCCCAAGGACCCCAGGGTTTAGCCAAAAGCCTCAGGGTGACGGCCAGCATTGACCCTGACATACCAGGGCTCCTGCCATGCTTAGGTTTGAAGCTGTGTGGATTCACTGCTTTTACTCTAGAATAGTAATGTATTCTCAACTGGGAGGATTATTCTGGCTACTAAGTTGTATATATCCTTAAAAAATGCGAGTTTATTTCTTTTAAACACTTTAGTTATTTTACATTTTGTAACAGATCCTTAAGTCCTTAAGGGTACATTCTGTTTTTATTCTTTTTCTCTGCTGCCTCTCACTCATAATGGATATAACACAGAGTATGAACTCTTATTTCACTGATTTCCATCTGCATGAACCCCGAGGAATTAGATTTGAGAGTAGCTTCCTCTACAGAAGTTTAATGTTTGTTCCTGGCAGGCACCCTTGGGGGCTATAAACACAAACTACTTTAATTCATTAGCTTGGAGTCTTCCAAACACCACAGGTGAAGTAAATTTAAAACCACAACTTGTGTGAGTAGACAGCTTAGTTACAAATTATGAGAAAAGATTAGGGGTTTTTTTTCCCCCTCTGTTTAAGGCAAAGTCAAGACAGACATTATATCAACTTGAAGATAAAGAGGATTTTTTGTGTTGTTTTGTTTTTCTCACCTGTCCACCTTGTCATGGATATACAGCCCCCTTGTCAATGCTGGCTTAATGCCAACTCTCAATCTTCACCTTGGGTCAGCTCAAGGTCTTGTGATCTGTGTGTCTAGCTATTCACATCAATAACTAAGCCCTTTTCTGCATCTATTGAGATAATCATGTGGTTTTTGTCTTTGGCTCTGTTTATATGCTGGATTACATTTATTGATTTGCGTATATTGAACCAGCCTTGCATCCCAGGGATGAAGCCCACTTGATCATGGTGGATAAGCTTTTCGATGTGCTGCTGGATTCGTTTTGCCAGTATTTTATTGAGGATTTTTGCATCAATGTTCATCAAGGATATTGGTCTAAAATTCTCTTTTTTGGTTGTGTCTCTGCCTGGCTTTGGTATCAGAATGATGCTGGCCTCATAAAATGAGTTAGGGAGGATTCCCTCTTTTTCTATTGATTGGAATAGTTTCAGACGGAATGGTACCAGTTCCTCCTTGTACCTCTGGTAGAATTCGGCTGTGAATCCATCTGGTCCTGGACTCTTTTTGGTTGGTAAGCTATTGATTATTGCCACAATTTCAGCTCCTGTTATTGGTCTATTCAGAGATTCAACTTCTTCCTGGTTTAGTCTTGGGAGAGTGTATGTGTCCAGGAATTTATCCATTTCTTCTAGATTTTCTAGTTTATTTGCGTAGAGGTGTTTGTAGTATTCTCTGATGGTAGTTTGTATTTCTGTGGGATCAGTGGTGATATCCCCTTTATCATTTTTTATTGCGTCTATTTGATTCTTCTTTTTTTCTTTATTAGTCTTGTTAGCAGTCTATCAATTTTGTTGATCCTTTCAAAAAACCAGCTCCTGGATTCATTAATTTTTTGAAGGGTTTTTTTGTGTGTCTATTTCCTTCAGTTCTGCTCTGATTTTAGTTATTTCTTGCCTTCTGCTAGCTTTTGAATGTGTTTGCTCTTGCTTTTCTAGTTCTTTTAATTGTGATGTTAGGGTGTCAATTTTGGATCTTTCCTTTCTCTTGTGGGCATTTAGTGCTATAAATTTCCCTCTACACACTGCTTTGAATGCGTCCCAGAGATTCTGGTATGTTGTGTCTTTGTTCTCGTTGGTTTCAAAGAACATCTTTATTTCTGCCTTCATTTCGTTATGTACCCAGTAGTCATTCAGGAGCAGGTTGTTCAGTTTCCATATAGTTGAGCGGTTTTGAGTTTATTGCGGCATTATTCACAATAGCAAAGACTTGGAACCAACCCAAATGTCCAACAATGATAGACTGGATTAAGAAAATGTGGCACATATATACCATGGAATACTATGCAGCCATAAAAAATGATGAGTTCATGTCCTTTGTAGGGACATGGATGAAATTGGAAATCATCATTCTCAGTAAACTATCGCAAGAACAAAAAGCCAAACACTGCATATTCTCACTCCTAGGTGGGAACTGAACAATGAGATCACATGGACACAGGGAGGGGAATATCACACTCTGGGACTGTCGTGGGGTGGGGGGAGGGGGGAGGGATAGCATTGGGAGATATACCTAATGCTAGATGACGAGTTAGTGGGTGCAGCGCACCAGCATGGCACACGTATACATATGTAACTAACCTGCACAATGTGCACATGTACCCTAAAACTTAAAGTATAATTAAAAAAAAAACTAAAAAAAAAAAAAAAAACTAAGCCCTCGGGGACAGCCTTAAAAATCAGTTCAAGCTTGTCATTCCAGTCTGTGATCCTCTTGGTTTTGAACATTTCCTTACTTTTTTGGGAACACAGCTATACAGCTTAAAGGGCCTCTGTTGTGTTAAACTCAGATATATATTTATTTTATAGGAAAAGGTGTCTTTTGTTTCATTTTGTTTTGTTTTCAGTCTATTGATTTGGCAATATTACTATGAGTACCTGTGCATGTTTTTAAAAGATGATATAAAATGCTCTGTGGTAATTAGGGGAAAAAAGTTTCAATAAATGCAACAAGCAGGCTGGGCACAGTGGCTCACGCCTGTAATCCCAGCACTTTGGGAGGCCAAGGCACGAGGGTCACTTGAGTCCAGGAGTTCGAGACCATCCTGGGCAACATGGCGAAACCCCATCTCCACAAAAAATTAGCAGGGCATGGTGTTGCACACCTGTAGTCCCAGTTACTTGGAAGGCTGAGGTGGGAGGATACTTGAGCCTGGCAAGTCAAGGCGGCAGTGAGCCATGATCATGCCATTGTACTCTAACCTAAGTGACAGAGTAAGACCCCACCTCAAAATACAATAAATAAAAATAAAGCAACAAGCAGTACAAATATACTTCAGTTCTGTATTATAATCTATTAAGTGACAGAGACAAGTAGATAGATGTGAAGGGAGAAAAAAAAGTCAGCACAAGTAACAGAAAAAAAAAAAAAGAGGTAAAGAACTGTACAACAAAAATAATTTTGGAGGGAAGGATGAATAAGATAAGCATCAACAAACAAACCTAACCAGAGCAAAACCAGACCCAGAGGAAAACAAAGACTTGTAAGAGGAGCCCAAAGCCTTTGACTTTCATGGAATAAAGAAAGATCATTCATCTCATGACTTTTTAATACTGCTCCTAAGGATTCTTTTTCACTCACATTGCCATACCTTCTAGAAAAGACTCCAAACCAGGAGAAATTCACCCTGCGTACCAAGTGTAGTTTGTAGGCCTGGTTTTCCTATCTTCTTGTTAGGCAAATGAAAAACCACTAGAGAGCCTTATGTCACTAGGGTTTTTCTGTTCCCTACGTGTTTCAAATTTTCTAGCAAATTCCCAAATTACAGATTATAAAATTAAAAGGTCTTCAAAGTAAGTCTCTGTTCTCATCACACTGGGACGTTTTGGCATACATATCTGCTGTACGTTTCACTGCTTGGGGGCATAATTAAACCCAGCCTTTACTCATACACTGACATCTTTTACAGAACCAAAACAGAGGAACTTGATCATTTCTACATTTTGCTACCTACAACTATTCTCCCCAAAAGAATAATTTCCTGCCAGGCATGGTGGCTTACGCCTGTAATCCCAGCACTTTGGGAGGCTGAGGCAGGAGGATGACTTGAGCCCAGGAGTTTAAGACCAGACTAGGCAACATAGGGAGACCCCATCTCTACAAAAAAATTGAAAAATTAGCCAGGCAGGCGTGGTGGTGCACGCCTGTAGTCCCAGCTACTCTGACAGACAGGGTGGGGAGCTGAGGCAGGAGGATCACTTGAGCCTGGCAGGTCAAGGGTGCAGTGAGCTGTAATAGCACCACTGCACTCCAGAGCCTGGGTAACAAATGAGACCCTGCCTTTAAAAAAAAAAAAATTTCCTTCATATTTTAAAAATTTAAAAGAAGCTTAACACCCTTTTACTTCTATATATAGACATGCATACTTTTTCCACTGTGTAAAAAGGACAATTACCTAAAATTCACAGTTCTTGGATAATTTTTTACATTTTATTTCCCAGTAAAATTGTACTAAAATCTAAGTTCTTTTTCCTGAAGAGAAGACAAGGCTATATAATTTTTATCGTGTAATCTTAATTAAAATCACTGAAAGTTAAGTTGATATGGCTTTTGACTACATCTTAATAAACATGATTATTCCCCAAACAAACAATGGTTGTCAGCCCCACAGGCCATTCAAAGCACTGTAACTTTTCATTTAAAGTTACTTATTTTGGGAAAAATATGAATGCTTTTCCTAAGCATACTAGCTTTTTTAAAAAAGTATGAGAATGCATTCATTTACCATATGACATCTAATCATAAACTTCCTCATGTGCAACATAAAAGACATTATGTTTCCCTCATCAAAATCTCCAAAAATTACTGAACATAACATACTGAAGATAATAACCTAGAAATAAACTTTCATCCAAAAGTTTAGTTTTTCGTTCTTTACAAAAAGTATTTTTCTAATTAGTCATAAATGTTAGGATTCCTTGATGTGGACAATGAATAACTCCTAAGGAATATATATTTTTCTCAATTACTATAGTAATAAAATTGCCAGTAAACTCAAACGTACTGCCTAAATTTCTTTCTTTTTTTTTTTTTGAGACGGAGTCTCGCTCTGTTGCCCAGGCTGGAGTGCAATGAAGGCATAATCTCCGCTCACTACAACCTCCGCCTCCTGGGTTCAAGCAATTCTCCTGTTTCAGCCTTTTGAGTAGCTGGGACTAGAGGCACACACCACCACATCTGGCTAATTTTTGTATTCTTAATAGAGACGGGGTTTCACCACGTTGGTCAGGCTGGTCTCGAACTCCTGACCTCAGGTGATTCACCTGCTTGGCCTCCCAAACTGCTGGGATTACAGGGGTGAGCCACTGCACTCACCCTCTAAATTTTTAATTTAGAGCATATAACTGTTTTAAAATCATCTTGTCTCAGAAGCTAGATTATAAAATATTTAAGAGACTTATTAATAAATTTTTAAAAGGCCCATAATGGTTCCAAAAATGCAGGTGGAAAACTCGTATTGAAAAGGCACCAAGTGACATCTCCTGCAGACTTTACCTAGAAAACCACTGTGGCTTTTCTAAACAGAACAGGCTCTCTCAGTCTCACTGCTGAAACCAACAGAACAATGGCAACCCAGAAGAGTTCAAACTCACAGGTCTTTCCAGGCTTTGACTAGCCAGTGTTGCCACAGCCTGTGCAGCCCCAGTACACAAACACTGACACTCCCTATGCTTCTTCAGCAACGGTCTCTATTGTCGGAGTCTGAGCTCTCTATAAAAAACAATTTCTCCCAGAAGAAGGAAAAACCAGAGAGTTAGTCTCCTGGACAATAACTGAGAGGGCAATTCTGACCTTACTCAGGACTGTGGAACTGGTGGAAAAAAAAAAAAAAAGTTAAAAAGTCCTAGGGCTGGATGGAATAAAAGGCTGATTTCAATTCTGTTATATAGGCATAGAAATCAGGGCATTCTGGAAAAACATATAATTTCCCATGTAATGTCTTTGCTTTCCATTTCATCTACATTATTCTCTTCCACTCTCCTCCTCCCCTCCCAGTAAGGCTGAGAAAACACTCGGGATTGTTTCTTTGGGCAGGAGAAACATAAAATTACCCATATCAGCTTAAGAAATGAAGAAAATTATCAACCAGCTTCCCAATCACACCAGCCTCTGCCGTCTGCTGTCAGACATGACGTCCTCATCAGGACAGAGGTTTCTTGTCCTTATTTTAATTCTGGAATTTTTTTTTACAAACTTGTCCGACCCTAAGAACCACCAGTGAGGCTTATTAGAAATTCAGATTCTCTAGTTCCTTCCAAACTTAATCAGCATCTTCAGGGTGAAGGACCTAAGAGTATTTTTTTAGTAAGTATCCAAGTAATTCTCACGATGTGATAAATTTAAGAAACACTGCTCTTGGGATCATGTTCACCTTCAAAAAAAAAATCCATTCCTATCTTTCTTTTATGAGTCCCTTGGAAAGTAACATACGGATTAAAAGAACTGAGCTGCACACATCAAGCTAAACCCAGCTAACTTTGCATGCTAGCCCTTTAGGGTGACTAAATAATATATGAAAATGAACTAGCTGTTCCTAATTGTTAAGTAAATATCCTGAAGGTTGGTGGGTTTAAGCCTCTATTTAGGCAGAGAAGGTTCCTCTAAATTTCAATTACTTAAAGCATTTTCATGCATTCTATCTAGCAAAGGAATGATATTGCCTTATATGCACTTATCAAAAACCTGCAAAGACTAAAACAACTATGTCTAAAATTCAAAAGGTAATACAAAAATAGAAAGAGCTTCTTGAGAATGGCATAAAAAACAAAATAAAGTGGATCTGGATATGCCTATTTCTTACAGCATTACTATATCCTCGGTGTGTAGTACAGAACATGGCACATGGAAGGCATTTAATACACGGTTGATGAGGGGATGAATGAGAGTAAATGAATGAATGGGGTGTGTGTCCGTGAGACAAATAAAAAATAGCATCATATAAGTCAGTAGTACCTTTAGAGGAGAGAAAAATATATTTTTTTATTTCTTTAAATTACCTGTTAGGAAATGTTTACCAGCCTTTAGTCTGAATAATTGACATTGAAATTTACTTTCAAAACAGAAAGGCAAATCCTGAGAGGCCCACAAAAGCACAAAAGGAAAGAAAAGGAAACAAAAGCTAAGGTAGTGCTTCAGGAGTAATAAAACCCAAGACAGGCAGTCCATGAGGACAGTAGCACACAGTGTGACATCAATGCTCCTCCCCAGAGTGTGGACTCAGCAATAAAAACCACACGCAGCATACTTTAGTGCTAAAATTCACAAGAACAAAGACTGAACAAGAAAGGGAAGGAGAACTCAGGTAGAGGTAGGGCAAAAACCCAATGGCGACAGAATGAAAAGAGAGGAGGAGAAACAGCGTGCAACATCTCATGCAGGGACCTTGGTGAGGACAAGTGGGTACTGGGCAACACTCGGTGAGAACAGAGGACCAGAGAAAGTGAGACACACCTCAATCACAGAAACAAACCGCTTACCCTCCGCTTTAGTGGTAGTACCATCTTTAAGCAAATTAAAAAACAAGGGAAGGGATAACAGGGAACAGTTAGTAACATTCAAAAAATTAAAAAGCCGAATGTTATTAGCTACTAAAAAAGCAAAAGTACAATTTAAAACAAAATTAAAAGGGAAACAAGTTCAACAGCAAAGCAGAGTCTGAAGCAAGTAAGTGTGCCTTGTATTGAAATTAGCTTAACATAGCATAATGGTTTTTTTGCCTTTGGAAAATAAAACACAGACGGGCAACCCAGGGTAGTGCCACAGTTGAAAGAAAGATTATTTTTTGTTTTAGCCAACTCTCATCCTCTTAAGAGTTCCTTTTTCTTGGAAGAAAGTACCAGCAGAACAGGGCAGAGAGGAGGAACTAGAAGCTAAAATACTAAAGAGTTACCCAAAAGGCAGAGCCAAGTAAGAAGCTCAGAGAAGCTTGCTCTAGCAATGCCTATCCCAACTACACGTCCAGCAGCAAAAGCTGTCGAGCATGGTACCTGAGTCCAGGCCTATGTACTCCATGTCTTCCCTCATGTGTCTGGACTCTAGAAGTTTGGAAAAGGATCATCAGCTTTAATGCTACACTTTTGCAAAGATGTCATGTGTCAACCTAGGTAGCAACTGTAACAAATTCTCACTAGGATTGTGCTATATTTCAATTTTTTGGTGTTTTTGTTTGGGGACAAAATAAGGGAAGTTGAGGTAGAATTCTCAGGAAACAGAGAATTTGAATACTCCAGTCTCGTTCTTTGAAGAGGTTAATACTGGACTGAAAACTTATCATCAGTGCTTCTGAAGGGTCAGCTCCATATTATCATACCAAAAGACGTGAGGGCTTTTACTAGCACTGGGGGAAGTCTATACCAGCCATATTCAAACACTCCATAATACAGACAGAAAAACAAAAATACTGAGGCTGATTTTTACTCACTTTTTCCAACAATGAAACAAATACTAATTACAAATACTAAAGGTGGATCTAATATACTAAAGCATAGGTAAGTACTGAAAAACTAAACTAAAATTAACAGAACTAATTCAGCATAGGAGGAAGAGTTGTTACTTCTCCTTTGCTCAATGGTTACATATGGACAACACTCCTACATAATGCTGCAATAGTTAAAAACGATTTTAAAAAGAGAGTTCTTAATGAATTTCTTCTCAATTGTTATGGGTGTATGAGGTATTTCCATAAAAACAAGACTGACTGAGCAAATGTTCCAGAACACATATCTTTCAAATTAATAATGTTCCTATCACAATCACACTTTCTTCCACCTTACAGAACAATAGTTTATAAAGAACCTTTATATAATTTCATTTTGCCTCATATATGAGTTAGGTGGCTATTATTACAAGTAATTTGCAGGTATGGAAAATAGACCTACAGATTCCACGGCCTACTCCAGGTCACAGAGCGAATAAATGGCAGACCCTAAAATCTTCTCTGGGTGCTATTTGTTCACTGTGCTTCCAATGTTCAAAACATTTTCAGAACATTAGTTTTAGAACTGACTCTGGAATTTGTCTGAAAGTTACATGAGTAACTCCACCTCAATATTTCAGGAAGTTTAAATTTTATTCATTTCCTTAAAATCTAAAGTAGAACCAATCCAGCTAAGTCCCTAGATTTTGGCTTTGAATGAATTGGCTCTTACAAAAACAAAACGAAATAAACAATTAGCCTGACACACAGTACGTGTTAAGCAACTGCTGAAAAATATGAATAGTCGATCTATCACTATGTCAGATGCTAAAAGTTTTGGAAGTAGTTTTTAAAAAACTTTTTTGGGCAATCATCAGAGTAAGGGCATGCTCCTCCCAAGGTGATACATGGAAGGACAACACTCTTTTGCACAGACATGGTTATGCTGATTCATGAGCTCATCACATTCCTTCAGATTCCTCCTGCCATTCCCCACAACCCAACCCGATTATCCCTGCCAGCTCTGGTTATATTCTCAAATTGAGAAACACCTAATGACACTGACTACCTTTGGTGAATCCCTCACTGAACCTGCTGGCTCTGCTCCCACCAGTGTCAGAGGGGGAAAAAACTTAGCTTTGACAATATGGGAGGTGGCTGGGCTTGCCATGGAGGAAGAGGAAGAGTTGAGGAAAGGACGTGCTCAGTGCCACACACCCTCCGAGCATGAGTGTACTGTGTACTTACTCAGCACTAAAACGGATGATGCATCGAAGAAAGGGACACTCAACAAGGGTGGCTGGCTGATCAGCAGCAAGTGCACGAAGCTACTTAGATTTAAATAGTAGCCCCACAACAGTGAGACTTGCCTCAATCATGGGTTTGTATTTTGCTAAGAGGTTAAGAGTCATCTCTTGCAGAGCAGTGCAGGAGGGAAAGGGTGACAGGGGTGTGGTTACCTAAGGATGCGTATGACCCTGGAGGCAAAGCTGCTGCAGAGCTGAAAGGCGTCGTGCCCGAAGATGAGGAGACTTTGGATTTGGCACTGGCTGCTGCGTTCACATCAATATCACTTCGAGATCGCTGGAGGGACCCAGTCGTTGACACAGATTTGGTACTAACTGTAGAAGCTTTAGTGATAAAGGAGGAAATATGAATAAGGACTACATAGAATTTTGAAAATACATTGCTAAAATCTGATGTTGTTTTGCTTTCCTGAAAACAAATACCAAGTTTTAACAAATGCTGGAGCATAAAAAACTGACAAACAGTTTCTCCTGGTCCCTGAAGAGAGTTCAGGCAATGCCGAAGGAAACTACAAGTGATCTCAATTGTAATGTATCAATTACATTTGTTTTCTTGTTATTGAAGACTATAAACCCCAAAGAAATGGACCATGTTTCTGCTTACTACGAAGAAGTGAAATAAGGAAAAAATGCTCACATCTAGGGCGTCTCCTCATGAAATGACATAACTGTGCCACGCCCTCTTACCTAGAGCCCTCCTCTTTCTGGAACATGCCACTCTCCCACCACTAACCACCATCACACTGCTGCAGCTGCTGCTCAAAACGCCACCAAGATGTCTTCACTGTCTCATCAAAGGATCAGAGACAGGAGGTACAGTTTGTGGCAATGTCAACATGCAGGGGAGGTGGAGAGAAAAGGTCACAGAGCTTCATTCCTAAGTCACCCCGTCAATGTTGTCCTCAGCAGCGAGTGGCCCTGACAAAGCGGAGCTCTGCTGGAGAGTCAGGGCAGGGCAGAGCAGGCAACATTCAAGCCTAAGAAGGAACTGAGGGCAGGCCGTTGGCCTCCTGTGCCTGGGCAGCCTCTTGCAGCTGCACGTACAGCCCACCAGAGCGGAGAACAGGCCTTCTCCACGGCTGTCAGTCTCACCTCTAGATGTGGTACTTCCAGTAGGACTTCTTTTGGCAGACAGCGGACGACTAAAAGTAAAGATGTATATTATTTATTACATGTACTGTACCTGAATTAATACAAATACAAACTACAACAGGAAATTATTACAATGAAGAATTATTTCAGAGTTTTCAGAATTTTTTGGGCAATGTGAACCACAATGTTGTAAACTCCCTGATTCCCAACGAAGCTTTAGCAATCTATTTTGGACTGCCTTTCAAATACAGAGAGTGAAATAGTAACTACAGACAGAAATTAGAAACACAGAGCAGAGATGATAATATATTAAGTCACAGAGTTTGAATGACCTCCATTTCCAAACTTGTCTCCAGGTTCACACTTACATCCTCTGAGAAGACTCTGAAGCACTGGTGTGTATAGTTCACACTACTCCATAATTCACTTATGTTATTCTAAAACTGTATTCTAGGACTGCCGTATACATTTAACTGAAAAACAGTACGGTAGAGACCAAAGCAACCTATTTCTCACCACTCCATGGTGGTATCTTACTTTGCACCAGGATCTACCTCAAGTAAGGGGGCGTTTTAACAAGCACCCATGTAAAAACATAGCTAGAATTTGTGTTTTCATGTGACAAACTTTTAAATACAAATTCTCACATGAATGATAAGCAAAGATGAATCTCTTACTTTAGACTCTCTTGAGAGCTGGAAGATGAGCGGTCTGACTGAGGCAGAGACACTATGCTGTCTGAGTTCTTCAGGTGGGACTGCAGGGCTTTCTGGTAGGAGGACTCCAAGGTGTGGTACAAGTGCTCTGCTTCTCTGCTGAAGTGACTGTGGAAACCCCAGTAACATCTAGAGGAAACACACAAAATCCTGGTCTAATTCAAGGATCCAAACAGGTCTTTTGCTGAACTCTGGAGTACACCACAGAAGATTTTCAAGGACTGGAAGCCTCAGTTTAGCCGCTAATAGTAGCAGGAGGAGAGGGTAAACAAAGGAGACCTGGTACGAATCCTGGCCTCACAATTTTACTGTCTTTTAGACTATGGGCAAGTCACTTATCCTCTCTCAACCTCAGCCTCATTTATAACATGGGAATTAAAAAGCCTAACTTGCAAAACTGGGGAATCTTAGGGAAGGTGGAGCTAAACATCTAAGACCATACCTAGAACACAGGATAGGCTCATTAAAATGGCAGCTATTATACATGCAATTTTACATCTCTTGACACAAAGTATTTAAAATTGCCTTAGGTAACATGTGCAAAAGAAAAATTTTAAAATGTTCAGAGCTACTTGAAATCAGTATCACATTATAATTAAAGACCAAGAAAAAATGGGCCGGGGGTGGGGAGGGTCCAATACAAGGATAAAAACAGCATAAACAGATTATTAACAAATCCATTCCTAATAGTTTTTAGCAACGATTAATTATATCACTTATTTTGGTAGAAACTAGCAAAGAAAAAATTGGCACAAACACTTCATAGTTATAATAAGCTCAGAAACAAGTGAAATATAATTTAACTGTGAAGGCAGTCAAAGAGCAATAAGTACTAGATCAGGATGTATTAATGCAGCTAAGTAAAACCGTAACGTTGCAGGCTAGTACAATTAGATTTTAGCACATATCAATTAGGAGAGTTGGTCAACTATGAGAGTAAATTCAAAAAAAATCACAGATGCAACACTGGCAGTAGTTATCAATGCACTGCCCAAGAGAGAATGTCTTAATATCAAAATTCTGGTATTTACAGTCACACTGGCAAAAATTATTTCCAAGGCTGGACACAGTGGCTCACACCTGTAATTCCAGCACTTTGGGAGGCCGAGGCGGGTGGATCACGAGGTCAGGAGATCGAGACTATCCTGGCTAACACGGTGAAACCATGTGTCTACTAAAAATACAAAACATTAGCCAGGCGTGAGGGCAGGCGCCTGTAGTCCCAGCTACTTGGGAGGCTGAGGTAGGAGAATGACGAGAACCTGGGAGGTGGAGCTTGCAGTGAGCCGAGATTGCACCACTGCACTCCAGCCTGGGCAACAAAATGAGACTCTATCTCAAAAAAAAAAAAAAATTTCCAAGGAGGTAACGAATACAGAGGCCATGGCCACATAATTGGAGGAAACTCAGTCCTAATGGCAAAAGTACCTCACTTGTTGAGACAGAAACAACAAGTTATCACTGTGATAATCCCAGGCATTAGTCGATCCAACTCCCCTTAATATGATTCACACCAAGGAACCACAGATGCTTGCAAAGAAGTGACTGCAGGGAGAGAATTCCCTGTGACCAAGATTTTTCATGGTAAATCATTAAAGCAGCTTTGGATTACAATATGGCTTAATGAGTAAAAGAATACATTGAGCATGTATACAACTGCCTTCCAGAGCTATGTGATAATTTGTGACGAATGTAAAAAACGAGCATTCTTTTGTCTCCCTCAGTCCTGTTTATTTACAAGCTTGAGTGATGTTATTAAAAAAAGAGAGAAATATTCCAAAATGGCCTTTTGGGGGTCATGTTTAAAAGTCATGGTTAACAAATATGTTCAAGTAACTTAAGTTTTTAATAAGGCAATCCTATAATTCATGTGAAATATAGAAGAAGTTAATTTAAAAAGTGGTGTACAATAAAAACTTACTTTCTGGCTTCTATTCTTGCTTCGGAATCAGCATCATGTATTCCCTTCTTTATTGTTTCAGCTAATACTGATATGTGTCTAGATATTTAGAAAAGAAAGCAGTAACAATCATAAATGTATGGTTTGATGCAAGTGAAACCAGGTGGGAGAAATAACTTCCAAATGGCAACATGGAGCTGGGAGCCTCTGTGCCAAGGCTGGTCAGTTCCCACGTGGCTGGGCAAAGCACGGCACTCCTACCTACAGTCCTTTAACTCCCAATCCTGCCCCAACACCCTAGCGCCACTCCAACCTACCCACGCCTAAGGACTTTGATAACCCTATTCTCTTGTGGGATTTTTTTTAAAAAACACAAGCTGATTTTTTAAAAATGTGCACTTATAGCTCAATCTTTTACGAACCCAAACAACAAAAGCTTGTGTTTTTCACATCAGAACTAGTTTCTATGGAAACTGTGAAATAATCACCTTAACATTAAATAGGCTGTCTACATCAAATACAGAGGGAGAAAAAGAAAACTTTCAAATGAGTGAAATTCCTTGAAGGATCTAACACTTGTCTACTAACAGCAACTTTAAACTGTTACCTCATGGGAACTGACAGGAATGTCAAGCAGCAGGGCCAGAGTCAGTAACAGTTTACATTGGCTCTGCAGCTGTCAGAATGCACATGGACATAGTAGTATTTCAACCAATGAAATTCACTAAAAGCGTCTGTGAATATTATGTGGCCAACATCAGTAAAACAACAGACGTAGTCATGAAAACAAACGCATATATTCCTCCATTCTTACAGAAAGCCAGCTGGACCACTCACCAAAGCATTCACTCTAAAGGCTCAATTCAGAGGGAAAAATGGTTTCAAATCAGATGCTCACCGTTCTAGTGAATGTGTCTGCCATTCTTGTAAAAGCAAATCTAAAAATTCAAAACAGCGCCTAAAAAGTATTAAGAAATACACAACTTATTAATACATATTTTAGTGAAAATGAAAACGGCATTTTTCTTAAGTGACCCAATACTATTTTTTATAATTAGTACATTTCTTCTGATTTTTATGATTAGAAAAACAGAACATAAAGAATGAATCAGAACTGACTAAAAACCAAAGCAAATGAAAGTAATTAAGCACCTATTAGTGCCACAGGGACACAGGGACAGGATCCAAGCATTTCTCTCCAATCAGAAGCTTGCACTTCATGGCAACATCACTGAAAGGACTTACCACTGTCATTCATTTTTATACTATCCTAAGTAATATGTTAATAGAGAATGTACACATGCACAGAAGATCAACAAACATGACACAATCAGGTCTTTGCATTAATTTCGGAGAATGCTTTGCACAAAAAAAGTTAAAAGTACCTTGAAAAACTAAGTGCTCTCCATATTTTCATGCTAAGGCCCTAAATAGTGCTTAAAATGGATTTTCTCCAACTACTTTGCTTTCCTCCAACCAACCAATAGAAGGATGTTTCAGCATCCTTCTATTTAAGCCTTTTCACTTTTATGATTTTTCTTGGTCTGATTTGTGCACAAAAACAATTTAGATTACATCACCACTTCGGGTTCTACCTCTACAAAATTTTCTTTTTCTGGCCGGGCACAGTGGCTCACTCCTGTAATCCCAGCACTTTAGGAGGCCAAGGCGGGCGGATCACTTGAGGTCATGAGTTCAAGACCAGCCTGGCTAACATGGTGAAACCCCATCTCTACTAAAAATACAAAAATTAGCCAGGCATGGTGGCGGGCGCCTGTAATCCCAGCTACTCAGGAGGCTGAGGCAGAAGAATCACTTGAACCCGGGAGGCAGAGGTTGCAGTGAGCCGAGATCGTGCCACTGCACTCCAGCCTAGGCGACAGAGCGAGACTCTGTCAAATAAACAAACAAACAAACAAACAAATAAAAATTTCTTTTTCCTAAGTCTAGCATTTCTATTTTTGTATGAATAAATCCTAATAGTCCTAGGAACCCATTCAAGAACGCACAAATCAGAAGTAAAATCTTTCTCTAAAGAAATGACCAGACTTTCTTTCCTACAACCTTCCCAATTCACAACTTATAATCCATACACAATCACTCAATAAATCAAGGCTGGGAGCAGCGGCTCACGCCTGTAATCCCAGCACTTTGGGAGGACAAAGCAGGAGGATCACCTGAAGCCAGGCATTTGAGACCAGCCTAGGCAACAAAGCAAGACACTGTCTCTACAAAAAATTTTTTTAAAAAAATTAGTTGGGCATGGTGGCATGCACTAATAAAGTCCTAGCTATTTAGGAAGCTGAGGTGGGTGGATTGCTTGGGCCCAGAAGTTTGAGACTGCAATGAACTATGATTGCACCACTGCACTCCAGTTTAGGGAACCAAGTCAGACCCTGTCTCAAAAATAAATAAATAAAAATAATTATTTACTGACCCTTTACCCCATGCTAGATGCTGGAGATCCAATGATAACCAAGACACAGCCCAGAGAACATAAGAGACAAACAGTTACACTGCCAGAATGCAAGGGGCTCCAGCAGCTCACAGGAGAGCCATGCAGCTTGGTCCTAGGGCCGGCAGTGGTGGGGCCAGAGTGGTAGAGCAAGCCTTTTCAAAGGAAAAGACACCAACTACACACACACACATTCCTCACCATCACCCTCCCCATTCCTGCCCCAATCCCCAATCTAGACCATGTTTATTCTACTTTCACCCTTTTGCCTGTGGCATTTCCCAGTCTGGGTTTTTCTTGGCTCTTTACTGCACTTATTCCTACTCATCTTTCAAAATGTAGCTCATTTTTAACCCATCTATGAAGCTTCTTGGGAAAACATCAGCAAGCTTTAATCACTGCTGTATCTGAACTCCTAATTCCACTATATATACGTTAATGTCAGAGTGTGTGTAATCCATTTGTTACCAATTCTACGAAGCGAAGCTAAGTACAGGCTGAATATGTAGCTAAGAAGGTGCACTGCCTTGCTTACACTGCTCTCTTAAGCTCCCTCTCCCTTTCTGAGGGCAGAGGGCAGAGGGACTGGGCAAGATGGTCTCTATTACTTCTCTCAGCATTAAGACATACAGTTCTGACTGATACCCACTGGCTAAATACAGAAATAACAATCTGAGTGTGTGGTTCAGAAATTGGTGAGGGTGGCGGCATTTCTATTGTCACAATAACTGTAGGGTGCTACTCATATTTAGTGCCAAAGGCCAGAACTGCTAAATGTTATGAAGCGAATTTTATCTCCCTGCCCACCCCCCCCTCCAAAATTAATATGCTGAAGTCCTTACTCTCAATGTGATGGTTATTTAGAGATGGGACCTTTGGGAAGTGACAAGGTTTAGATTAGGCATGATAATGGGGCCCTCATTATGAGATTAGTGTCCCTATAAGAAGAGATAACAGGTAGCTTGTTCTTTCCTCCTTCCCACCCTGCTCTCCCTCTCTCCCATGTGAGGACACAGGAAAACACTGGTCTACAGGCCAGGACGAGAGTCCTCACCAGAATCTGACCTTGCTGGCACGCCGACTTTGAACTTCCAGCCTCTAGGCCAGGGGTATCCAATCTTTTGGCTCCTCTGGGCCACAGGGAAAGAATAATCGTCTTGGGCCACAAATAAAATACACTAACACTAATGATAGCAGATGAGCTTAAAAAAAAATCTCATAATGTTTTAAGAAAGTTTACGAATTTGTATTGGGCATTCAAAGCTGTCCTGTGCTGCATGGTTGGACAAGCTTGCTCTAGACTGTGAGAAATAAATCTGTTGTTCATGCCATCCAGTCTGTAGTATTTTGTAATGGCAGCCCAAGATGATGAATCCCCTAAACATCTTGCAATGTTCCACAACAAAGATCCGTGTCATCTTATCGGAGAAATTTTGCCTTACGCAAGGAAAAACACATTCTGAATTTCTCTTGGAAACCTAACAATAGCGA
Source organism: Homo sapiens (assembly GCF_000001405.40). NCBI lineage: Eukaryota > Metazoa > Chordata > Mammalia > Primates > Hominidae > Homo > Homo sapiens. The sequence continues at coordinate 121,454,838 of NC_000002.12, forward strand.
AATGAAAACAACAGCAGCAAAATGAAAATAACAACAGCCACAGCTGCAACAAATTAAGCTTTCACTAAATGTTTTACGTAATGATTGTGAATCCTCCAAACCTTACAGAGGGGTACCTTTATACCTAACAAGTCAAACGAGTAAGTGGGAGAGGAATGTTTCAACTGATGCTGGTCAGGTTCTGAAGTTCATAATCATCCCTCTGGCATGCCAACTTTACATTCTCATCTCTAGGGGAAGCTAAAGCTGTTCCACTCTAACCCCAGGAGAAGCTGAACCCTAGGTCAAGGGTAGATTGCATTCCCTGGGGTACGCACTTGAGCCACACAGTAAGGAATTACATTTTTTCAGTGGAAGGTATAAATTTCTTTTTTCGTGACTTTAGATAGCTGGATTATTCTTCTTTTCTCTTTTTGTCTTTCATGTAGTTATTAATGAGATGGATATAAAACCAACTACTAGGTATATATCCCCAAAAAATGAAGTCAATATGTTGAAGAGATATCTGAACTCTCATGATTATTGCAAGACTATTCACAATAGCCAAGATAGGGAATCAACCTAAGTATCCATCAACAGATGAGGAGATAAAGATAATGTAGCATATATATACAACAGAATCTATTCAGCCTTAACAACAACAAAATAAATCTTGTCATTTAAGACAACACAGATAAACCTGGAAAATATTATCTTAAATGAAATAAGCCAGGCATACAAAGACAAATACTGCATGATCTCACTTAAGTGTGGAATCCAAAAAAGTCGACTCAGGCTTAGTGCAGTGGCTCACAACTGCAATCCCAGCACTTTGGAGGTTGAGGCCAGCCTGGGCAACATGATAAGACCTTATCTCTACAAAAAATTTAAAACTTAGCTGGGGGCGTGGTGGCGGACGCCTATGGTCTCAGCTACTTGGGAGACTGAGGCGGGAGGATCACTTGAGCCCAGGAGTTAGAGATTGCAGGGAGCCATGATTGTGCCACTGCACTCTAGCCTGGGTGACAGAGTGAGGTACCACCTCTAAAGCAAACAAAATTGGACTCATAGAAGCAGAAAGTAGAATGGTGGTTCTCAGAAGCTGGGGGTTGGGAGACTGGGGAGATGTAAAGCATGCAAAATGTCAGGTAGATAGGAGTAAGTTCAAGAGATCGATTGCACATCATAGTGATGTGACTACAGTTAGTAACAACATATTATATACTTTAAAATTGCTGAGAGTAGATTTCAAGTGTTCTCACCACAAAAAAATAAGTATGTGAGGTGATACACATGTTAAAGAGCTTGATTTAACCATTACAAAATGTATACACATTATCAACACAGCATGTTGTACACCATAAGTCTTCACAATTTTTACTTGCCAATTAAAAAAACAAAGATTGGGCATGGTGGCTCACATCTATAATCCCAGCACTTTGGGAGATCAAGGTGGGAAGACTGCTTGAGCCCAGGAGTCTGAGATCATCCTTGGGCAACATAATGAGACCCCCGTCTCTAAAAAAAAAAAAAAGTAAAAAAAGAAAAAAGATTAGTGGGCCATGGTGGTGTGTGCCTATAGTCCCAGCTACTTGGAAGCCCAGGAACTTGAGGTTACAGTGTGCTGCACTCCAGCCTGGGTGAAAGAAAGAAAAGAAAGGAAAGCAATAAAGGAAGAAAGGCAAGAAAGGAAGGAAGGAAAGGAAAAAGGAAAGAAAAGGAAAAAAAGGAAGAAAAAGAAAAGGGGAAGGGAAGGAAACAGAAGGGAAAGGAAGAAAAGGAAAGGAAAGAAAATTTTTAAAAAGGCGGTCTCTGGCCAATTTGTTAAAAATAATAAAATAAATTTTAAAACGACAAATATAGAGCTGCTTCATGTTTAAGAGGGTCTTGTACCCATAGAAACCCAGCAGGATCAACAAGACACCCCAGGAAAAAAGGTAAACGGCTGGCAAAGGTCATCTGGGCTCTAAATCTTAAGAGTGAAGGACTCTTTCACAGGGCTAGCATCAAGACACACAGCTAAGGGAATGGGGCCAAGAGGTTGCCCAAGCCTGCCAGTAATTATCCTATAAGACTCCCAATACAGTCTACTGGAACAGCTTTAGTGGTATTCATGAATTCCCTGAAAACCTACACAAAACTATTCTGTACATTTACGACTTGCTGGAAAGAGGGTTCATAGATTTTAAAAGACTCTTAAAACACTCAAGAATCACAGGTCTGAGCTGAAAGAACACAGTCTTTATTCCTCACACGTAGTTTAGGGCAGCTCGCCAGGACATATAAGATAGGGACTTGGGAACAAACCCCTAGCTAGTTACCCAGGTTGTATTTGCCTGTGTCTTCTGGGTATATCTCCCACAACTGCACAGAACTAAGTGACAGTGAAGATTCAGAATCCCAGAAATCGCTAACAGAAGATGCAAACACATACCTTTCCCCTCACCTATGTTAATACAAAACTATTGCCATTGATGTTTACGGTATTTTTTTCTTGCATGCAGTTACTGCCTTTACTCAGGGAATAGGGCAGACCGATGACAAAGGTAGGAGGATTATCACAGGAAAAAAATGTACAGGGAGTCCTCTCCCCTTCTCCTTCTGCCACTAACACCCAAACTCACTTTCTCTCACACAGACATACACACACACACACACACACACACACACACAGAAACATAATAGAGGTTGTCCACATTCATTTCCCAAAATATTTAGATCTTGATTCTTCAACTCAAAGTCATTTACTGCAGTGATTTTAAGTAATACTAAGCATGTTATACATGAAATTTTATCCATGGAAGGAGATTTGGAATTTGTTTTGGTTTTTAAACAATTCAAAAACAATGAGAAAATCCTTTAAAATTTACCTTCTAACTGCGACAGACTTAGAGGTACAGTTGCTTGTTATGACAGGTATTAACCTAGGGATGTGTGTGTGCTGTGAAGAACAACAAAAAACAGAGGTCAACACTTGCAAATACAAAAACAAAACAAAATTAAGAGAATCACTTCCTTACTAACCTACTTATAGCACATATATATTCAGATTAGAATGTCAGTGAGTTTTAAAAGAAAAAAAGAATTCACAGGATATTGTCAAAAGCCATTAGAAAATTTACAGAGTTAAGAACAGGCAACATGATGACATGAAGATAAGCCTAAAACAATCATTAGTATGAGGTCTAAATTATCTCAGCTGTAGACATCTGAGTGGGTTTAAAAGGAGTGGGTTTGAAAGGAGTCATCAGACCAATATATTTTGATACTATTTCAATAGAAATGTCCAATAATGACCTTGGGTTTAACAGTTAAAGCAGGCAGTGCAAGTAAGAACAGTAAGAACTTATAATACAAAGTAAATAACCAATAATCAAGAATATTCTGGATAGATTTTAGACAACATCATCAAGCCTCAAAGTTTCAAGAGCTGCCTCTGGGCAAAAATGACTTGAAAGTGGTGGGGAGGTAATGTGGAAAACCATTTTAAACCTTTGTGAACTATTAGATTTTGTTAAAAACCTGTGTATAAATTACTTGGATAATTATTTAAATTTAAACAAACAAGTGCCTAGAAAACCTAACCAAAGAGAACATTTTGTTTCGTGCTTATGTGCAATTAATTAAACTTTTGGGTGAACAGTAAAACCACAAGCACCAATACCTAAAACGGAAGGACTGGGACTAAGGAGGTAAGACTAAGAGTAATATCCGAGTAACAAGAATACAATATAAACTCAGAAGCAGACACCGGATGTTCGAACATTTTAAACCAATAGTGAGTTAACAATCAATACCTCATTAACTTTATAACACAACCATAATTCACATTATGGATTATAAAAAGCTCACATGCCACAATTAAGTAGGGGGAAAAGATGATATATATACAAAATTCCAATATAATTATGCTAATAAATTTAATGACTCAATATAATTATGTTAACAAAAATGCCTCTAATATTTATCAACCATCAGTATTTACCACTTGCTTATTTCAAGCATGGCCTATAACATACTTACCCGAATAATTAACCTAACAGCTACAACACCAGATGTGGCCATAATTTTGGCACTGTTTGGAATTAAATTAAAGATAGTTGGCATAATGGCTTCAGCTCCATGGTCAAACTTATTCCCCAGAACTGATGACAGATGCCTAAAACAAGAAAAGGATACTGGACTATAGTTATTTTTCTTAGAGACAGTGAAGCATATAAACCACTTAACATCTAGAGCCTTCATTTAAAGTTATCTAGAAAGGACAAGGGTCTGAGATTTCCGATGTGCATGTTAAGAACTTGGCAAATAGTTCTTAGCCCAAAAGTTTTGTTGTTTTTTTTTTTAAAAAAAAACATTTCCAACTAGTCTGTGGAGCTTTTTGTTTGTTTTCTAGAGGCAGGATCTCACTACCTTGCCCACGTTGAACTTGAACTCCTGGGCTCAATCAATCCTCCCACTTTGGCTTTCCAAGTAGCTGGGACTCCAGGCACATACCAGCCCACCTGCCCCAGCTAGTCTTAAAATAGCAAACAAACTGATTATATATTAATAAAACACAAATATGAAAAAGCACCCTTGGCTCCTTTTTCTTTTTTCTTTTATCTTAACATAAAATATTCAGGCTTCAAAATCTGACTTCAGCCAAAACTTAAAACAGCTGCAATGCCTCCTCCTGCTGCTGCTGCTGCTTTGATATTCCGACATACATTCTAACACAAAGTTTTAATAGCTTTGATCACTAGTACACGTACAGCTAGAATAAAATCTTACTGCAGTAAATGCCTTTAACTTTATAACTACAGTACTCTTCTAGGAACAAACATTCTGATAAACACGCTATTGCCTGCCAGCAAAAATCAATGAAAAATCAGAGAAACAGGATTTTATAGAATTTCACTTTTCCATATTAATAACTGCTTCAAAGTTTGAAATAAAGACTTCAGAGCTATGTCACTGAATAAAATTTAAAATCTGTCACACTTCACATAATTGAGCAAAAAGTATTGTAAAACTACTGAAAGAAGTGTTAACTGGAATGGGTCTTGGAGACTAGTCAGAAGTTACATTAAAGAGACCCAGCTCACATGTTCAAGGAGACATCTCTGAAGCTCTGTGGTGACACTATTTTATGGTGAGAATATGGAGCATCGCAGTCCTTACCCCAACGTGATACAAGCCTCCCGCACTACCTGAGACCGCAGGTCCTTAGCAGAGAGTTTAAAGGCTCCATCCAAAAGACGCAAATGTTGAAAGAAGTTATCATACTCAGCAGCACCAGCCAAAAGTAAAGATCTAATCTTTTTTAGCTAATGGAATAGAGAAAATTCAGAAAAATAGAAAACAATTCTAACACAGACTATACACAACAAAAGAAGTCATCAAATACAAAAGAGATCATTGTTAAAGTTCAACTGATTAGAAAGCTTTCCCAAAAGAATTCAGCCAGTTAAATATTAGCTAATACAATAAACAAATCTACATATCACAAATAAGACTAAATAATTTTTAACTAGAGTATTTGTGACACATATACTATAATTTCTGCAAAAAAAGTTTTACATTTGAAATATCTTAAAGTATTTATAGATCCTACAACACTAATGATAAATAATTAAAAACTTTTGGCTTGTGAAAATCCCCTCCTAAGCTTACCTCCCCGCGACACCCCACTTCAACTGCCATTTATTTAAGAATCAAAGGAAGAAGCATTCCTATAGTATTTATTATCCTCCACTGAACCATTAAATGGCTGGTCTGAATTTGAAATACAATATAATGGCAATTGTACCACTTCTCTTCTTGCCAGCCAACCAGTAGAAAATAGCCTTCTCAGATAAGACACACCCTCACTTTAATGCTGAGCCCACTTTCCATTAATCTACTTTTAAAAATAAAGGAGACACAACTTTCTAGCAAGTGATAAGAAGAAAGAAAAGAATATTGGAGACATACACTAAAAATGCCACAAAAAAGCCACCTTAAAGGCAAACAATCACAGAATGAAATTTCTGCTAAGGTGAGAGTGGAGACTATTACCATACATTCCACAGTCAGGTCTTTGTTAAAAGACTAGGCGATTCATAAAGGTGTAAGTTGGTGTGTTTTCAAAATAAAAATAAAAGGAGACACTCTACTAAAAAGGTGAAGTATAAATATGATAATTTGAACTTAAAATATGTACTATTTAGAATTCATTAGAGCTGTCCCAATTTCACAATAAAGTATTTGAGATATTTAAATACATCTTATGAAAATGTAATCACATGAAGTCAACAGCTTACAGCATTTACTCTCTGCTCCCAATCATGCTTGTCATCAGATAATATTTCCCTAATTTTGTTTATGGATTCCTCAAGGTCTCGGCTGGAATAAATCTGTAAGCAAAATTAATTTACAATCAATATAAAAACATGCAGAATAAACAGATTATTTCTTAATTACATGAAGTCAAGAACATTAAGTATGGTAAAAGAAATTATTTTTTTAAGAAATACCTATGAGAAAATATCTGAACAGTTTTGTCTATAATGAGGATCTTTCTCACTACAAATGTGTACCCACAAGATTTGCTGCCATATGTGAATAACCCTGCCTCAAACATAGCTTTACTATAAACTTAACAGATGATTTCATGTACAAAGAGAAACAAGGCTAATGGGAAACAGCCAGTGATGCCTAAGTCATTTCTCACTTAGTATTATTTATAACATGACACTATACCTATAAATTTAAACAGTTTCAAATCTACTTTCTCATTTATCCCCACATCTTACCTAGAAAACAGGTAAGGTACAGGGTATAATCAATCTTGATGTATGCTGGGAAGGTCAGGTCAAGTACTTAAGGATGAACCTGAACCCGAGATTGTTTTTTGTTTAAGACACTGGGAATCACTCTGTCGCCCAGGATGGAGTGCAGTGGCGCAATCTCAATTCACAACAAACTCCACCTCCCGGGTTCAAGGGAGCCTCACACCTCAATCTCCCGAATAGCTAGAACTATAGGCACAAGCCACCATGGATGATTTTTGTATCTTTTATAGAGATGAGGTTTCGCCATGTCGCCTAGGCCACTGAGATTCTTGTTACCTGCTTTATACACATATGGCAACCAAGGTGGCAAAGAGAGTTGTACATAACAGACAGTAAGTGCCACAGGAATCCAGAGCACAGACAGTCAGTGTAGGCTGAGGAAAAGTATTAGTCTCAATCAGCAACAGACGATACTAAGGCACAAAGCAGTCAAACTTGTGGCTGTATCCCAATTTTTATAAATAATCTTTGTTTCATCTGTTAGGTACTTAAAGTGAAGCATCAAAGAAGGTATAAACTAAGCTCTTATTAAACCATTCTCCATAACTTTTCAGACACCAAAATCCTTCAAACTTATGAATTAAAAAAAAAAAAAATCCCTAAATAAATATACTTTTTTTATTCTCTAATTTAGCGTCATCTATTTCTTTCTCTTTTATGTGACCTGATCCATAAACTTAATAATAGAGCAACCAATGTCTTTCCCGTTCTTACTGAAAGATTATCTTGGGCCTTGACTTTTGCTCCAACATTTTCTGGTCTGCACCTCAGATCTCCTGTAGTGCTGACAGTTAAAATTACCTGACCTAGTAAACAACATTACATAGGCAGAATTGAAAAATAAAACTTGAAGAGTAAGTTGACCCTTGTTTGTAATCATACTCAAATATCCTCACTGACCTGTACTACAGGTACATCATCAAATGCTTTAATAAAATCCTCTTCATCAACAGCACCAGCTCCTTCTTTTGCAGCTGTAAAAAAGAATTTTAAAAATGTAAACAATATGAAACAACGTCTATAACACATACACTGAAGAAGTCTAAACATACACAATCAAAATTACATTTTGGAAGATTCAGAACATTTTTTTAAAAGGCTTCATATAACTTTGAAGTGTCATGAAATTGACAAACATTACTGACTTCATATCAAGATGAAATATAGTAATTCTACAATGCTATATACATTAGCTTAAGGTCACTTAGACTACCTGTTTAAGCAGGGAGGGTATGGGTTTTAAAGGATTTAGATATTGTATTAACATACAAGTCCTTTGAAAGATTCCTAATAAATGGATCAAGCAGAAAATTTAATTCATCAGGGAATAACTTAAATTGTTATTACTGGGAATCCAGCATAACAAATTTGTGAATATTCAAACAAGTCCTAAATAATTTCACAGTTTTATTTAACTTTATATTAGTTTGAAAACATTTCTATTTCCTTGAACTCATGATAACTGTCATTTTTTTCACTTAAGAATCAGTTACAAGTTTCTCCTACAAACTTACCCTAAGATGCTTTGTATAATTAAAAGTATTGGAGAAAGTATTTCTTTTTGCTAATATGAGCTCCCCTTTATGTATGAAAATCAAGTGATGCTTTATCAGATTTTTTTCACATTGTAAAAATTGGTATCTATAGTCCTCTTCATAACCCCCATTAATGATTTACATGGATTAGTCTGATTGCTTTTCTAAGACCTTCTTACCACTCATGTATCTGGTGTTCAGGGTCCTGATAACTATCCAGACAGAAAGGGGCTTTAAAGACAATCCCAGGTAGCAGTAAATGTGTGTCATCACTCTTGCTGAAGATCACTCACACTGTGGAAAAGCTAACTACTATAAAGGATGACCGTCACTCACTGTGATGTGGTGCTCTGTGTCTGTTTTAGCATAAAAACTGGATCCCATTGAGCAGATAGGCCCTGAATGCCTCCTTTGCATAAGGCCCTACACCATGTACCCACATATACTGAAGAGGACTCAAAGGCCAACAACAGTCCCTGAGCCTAAGCTATCTGATGAGGAGGAGCTAATCAGGAAATTCATGACTATGGCATTAAACAACATGCAAAAAGGATAAGTGCAGGGCTGAAGGGGAAAACTGGGCTGATATGTGCATAATCTACACAGCAGGGACTTCTGGAAGGGGTATGGACGCGAGATGGGAAGGAAAGCACCAGTCTAGTAATTTTCTATTTTATTTTATTTTATTATTATTATACTTTAAGTTTTAGGGTACATGTGCACAATGTGCCGGTTAGTTACATATGTATACATGTGCCATGCTGGTGCGCTGCACCCATTAACTCGTCATTTAGCATTAGGTATATCTCCTAAAGCTATCCCTCCCCCCTCCCCCCACCCCACAACAGTCCCCAGAGTGTGATGTTCCCCTTCCTGTGTCCATGTGTTCTCATTGTTCAATTCCCACCTATGAGTGAGCATATGCGGTGTTTGGTTTTTTGTTCTTGCGATAGTTTACCGAGAATGATGATTTCCAATTTCATCCATGTCCCTACAAAGGACATGAACTCATCCTTTTTTATGGATGCATAGTGTTCCATGGTGTATATGTGCCACATTTTCTTAATCCAGTCTATCATTGTTGGACATTTGGGTTGGTTCCAAGTCTTTGCTATTGTGAATAGTGCCGCAATAAACATACGTGTGCATGTGTCTTTACAGCAGCATGATTTATAGTCCTTTGGGTATATACCCAGTAATGGGATGGCTGGGTCAAATGGTATTTCTAGTTCTAGATCCTTGAGGAATCGCCACACTGACTTCCACAATGGTTGAACTAGTTTACAGTCCCACCAACAGTGTAAAAGTGTTCCTATTTCTCCACATCCTCTCCAGCACCTGTCGTTTCCTGACTTTTTAATGATTGCCATCCTAACTGGTGTGAGATGGTATCTCATTGTGGTTTTGATTTGCATTTCTCTGATAGCCAGTGATGGTGAGCATTTTTTCATGTGTTTTTTTAGCTGCATAAATGTCTTCTTTTGAGAAGTGTCTGTTCATGTCCTTCACCCACTTTTTGATGGGGTTGTTTGTTTTTTTCTTGTAAATTTGTTTGAGTTCATTGTAGATTCTGGATATTAGCCCTTTGTCAGATGAGTAGGTTGCGAAAATTTTCTCCCATTTTGTAGGTTGCCTGTTCACGCTGATGGTAGTTTCTTTTGCTGTGCAGAAGCTCTTATTAATTAGATCCCATTTGTCAATTTTGGCTTCTGTTGCCATTGCTTTTGGTGTTTTAGACATGAAGTCCTTGCCCATGCCTATGTCCTGAATGGTAATGCCTAGGTTTTCTTCCAAATTCGACAACCCTTCATGCTAAAAACTCTCAATAAATTAGGTATTGATGGGACGTATCTCAAAATCATAAGAGCTATCTATGACAAACCCACAGCCAATATCATGCTGAATGGGCAAAAACTGGAAGCATTCCCTTTGAAAACTGGCACAAGACAGGGATGCCCTCTCTCACCACTCCTATTCAACACAGTGTTAGAAGTTCTGGCCAGGGCAATTAGGCAGGAGAAGGAAATAAAGGGTATTCAATTAGGAAAAGAGGAAGTCAAATTGTCCCTGTTTGCAGATGACATGATTGTATATCTAGAAAACCCCATTGTCTCAGCCCAAAATCTCCTCAAGCTGATAAGCAAGTTCAGCAAAGTCTCAGGATACAAAATCAATGTACAAAAATCACAAGCATTCTTATACACCAATAACAGACAAACAGAGAGCCAAATCATGAGTGAACTCCCATTCACAATTGCTTCAAAGATAATAAAATACCTAGGAATCCAACTTAAAAGGGATGTGAAGGACCTCTTTAAGGAGAACTACAAACCACTGCTCAATGAAATAAAAGAGGATACAAAGAAATGGAAGAACATTCCATGCTCATGGGTAGGAAGAATCAATATTGTGAAAATGGCCATACTGCCCAAGGTAATTTATAGATTCAATGCCATCCCCATCAAGCTACCAATGACTTTCTTCACAGAATTGGAAAAAACTACTTTAAAGTTCATATGGAACCACAAAAGAGCCCGCATCGCCAAGTCAATCCTAAGCCAAAAGAACAAAGCTGGAGGCATCACGCTACCTGACTTCAGACTATACTACAGGGCTACAGTAACCAAAACAGCATGGTACTGGTATCAAAACAGAGATATAGATCAATGAAACAGAACAGAGCCCTCAGAAATAACGCCGCATATCTACAACTATCTGATCTTTGACAAACCTGAGAAAAACAAGCAATGGGGAAAGGATTCCCTATTTAATAAATGGTGCTGGGAAAACTGGCTAGCCATATGTAGAAAGCTGAAACTGGATCCCTTCCTTACACCTTATACAAAAATTAATTCAAGATGGATTAAAAACTTAAACGTTAGACCTAAAAGTCTAGTAATTTTCTAAGCCTTGTTTGTGCAACGGATAATTACCCAAGAATAGTTCAAGAAAAAAGATTAGAAAGATTGTTCAGGCATTAAAAGGAACAAAGTATTGATATATGCTACAAGGTAGATGAAACACTGAAAACATCACCTTTAAAATGGCTAATTTTATGTTATGAGAATTTAAACTCAGTAACAAAAAGTAAAATGTTTTAAAATACACCAAAAAAATAATCAGAAAGAACTAGAAATAAGCACAATTAACATTCCTACAGCTCCTCTATCACAGATGCTGGGGTGAGGAGGCAGAGTGGTCCCATGCTGGTCTGGTCAAGATACCAATATTCTAGGGCCGGTTCAGAATTCAGGAGAGGCCATCAGGAGACAGCATTTTAATGCTAACCATGAGTACAGCTTTTACTTGGCCCACTCAGCTTCATCTTTTTTGGCTCATGGGATTCCCCACCCACCACTATCCCCACCACCACCAACTGCTCAAAGCTCACAGCCATCAGTGAAAATGGTTCTAAGAGCAGCACCTACACAATTTTTCTGAGATAAATTTCAGAGGGAATTTGCATGTAAATGTAAAATTTGAGAGAAAATAAGAGTTGTATATAACAACCAAACTGTCTACATTAGGGGTGAAAGGAAGAATTTATGGGAGAAATCTCCTACAATTTATTTAATGCAACATCCATACTGGTCTCACAAGGAACCATGTTGCTTGTAAGAACAAAATGTGTTTTATCTTATTTATTTTTATTCCCAACTTTTAAGTTCAGGGGTGCATGTGTAGGATGTGCAGGTTGGTTACATAGGTAAACGTGTGCCATGGTGGTTTGCTGCACAGATCATCCCATCACCTAGGTATTAAGACCAGCACATTAGCTATTCTTCGTGATGTGCTCCCTCCTCCCACCCCAAACCCTGCAACAGGTCCCAGTGTGTGTTTTCCTCACCCATGTGTCCATGTGTTCTCATCATTCAGCTCCCACTTATAAGTGAGAACATGTAGTATTTGGTTTTCTGTTCCTGCATTAGACTGCTGAGGATAATGGCTTCCACCTCCATCCATGTCCCTGCAAAGGACATGATCTTGTTCCTTTTTATGAATGTGGTATACATGTACCACACTTTCTTTATCCAGTCTATCATTGATGGGCATTTAGGTTGATCCCACATCTTTGCTATTGTGAATAGTGCTGGGATGAACATATGCATACATGTATCTTTATAACAGAATGATTTATATTCCTTTGGGTATATGCCCAATAATGGGACTGCTAGGTCAAATGGTAATTCTGCCTCTAGGTCTTTGGGGAATTGCCACACTGTCTTCCACAGTGGTTGAATTAATTTACACTCCCATCAACAGTGTAAAAGCACTCCTTTTTCTCCACAACCTCGCCAGCATCTATTGTTTTTCTGAATTTTTAATAATAGCCATTCTGACTGGTGTGAGATGGTATCTCATTGTGATTTGCATTTCTCTAATAATCAGTGATGTTGAGCTTTTTTTCATGTTTGTTGGCTGCATGTTCATCCTCTTTTCGTAACTGTCTGCTCATTTTCTTTGCCCACTTTTTAATGGGGTTGTTTTTTCTTGTAAATTTAAGTTCTTTGCAGATTCTGGATGTTAGGCCTTTTGTCAGACGGATAGATTGCAAAATTTTTCTCCCATTCTGTAGGTTGAGTGTTCTCTCTGATGACAGTTTATTTTGCTGTGCAGAAGCTCTTTAATTAGGTCCATTTGTCAATTTTTGCTTTTGTTGCAATTGCTTTTGGTGTCTTCGTCATGAAATCTTTGCCCATGCCTATGTCCTAAATGGTATTGCCTAGATTTCCTTCTAGGGTTTTATAGTTTTGAGTTATACATTTACGTCTTTCATCCATCTTGAGTTGATTTTTGTATAGCGTGTAAGGAAGAGGTCCAGTTTCAATTTTCTGCATATGGCTATCCAGTTCTCCCAGCACCATTTATTAAACAGGGAATTCTTTCCCCATTGCTTGTTTTTATCAGGTTTGTCGAAGATCAGATGGTTGTAGTCGTGGGTTCTTTATTTCTGGGTTCTCTCTTCTATTCCATTGGTCTATGTGTCTGTTCTTGTACTACTACCACACTGTTTTGGTTAGGGGTAGCCTTATAGTATAAAGTTGGATAGAGTGATGCCTCCAGCTTTGTTCTTTTTGCTTAGGATTGCCTTGGCTATATGAGCTCTTATTTGGTTCTATATGGATTTTAAGATAGTTTCTTCTAATTCTGTCAATGTTAGTTTAATAGGAATAGCACTAAATCTATAATTGCTTTGGGCAGTATGGCCATTTCATAATATTAATTCTTCCTATCCATGAGCATGGACTGTTTTTCCATTTGTTTGTATCGTCTCTGATCTCTTTGAGCAGTGTTTTGTAGTGCTCCTTGAGGAAATCCTTCACTTCCCTTGTTAGCTGTATTCCTAGGTATTTTATTCTTTTTGTGGCAATTGTGAATGGGAATTCATTCACGATTTGGCTCTCTGCTTGCCTGGTGTTGATGTACAGGAATGCTAGCGATATTTGCACATTAATTTTGTATCCTGAGACTTTGCTGAAGTTGCTTATCAGCTTAAGAAGCTTTTGGGCTGAGACAATGGAGTTTTCTAGATATAGGATCATGTCATCTGCAAATAAAGATAGTTTGACTTCCTCTCTTCCTATGTGAATACCCTAACCCTAACCCCAATCCTAAGCCCAACGCCATGCTCCTTTAGCTCAGTGAAGTTCGTTATTATCCACATTCTGAGGCCTACTTCTGTCATTTCAGCCATCTCAGTCTCAGCCTAGTTCTGAGCCCTTGCTGGAGAGGGGTTGCGGTCATCTGAAGGAAAAGGGGTACTCCGGCTTTTTGAGTTTTCAGCGCTTTTGTGTTGATTCTTTCTCATCTTTGTGGGCTTATCTACCTTTGATCTTTGAGGTTGTGGTCCTTTGGATGGGGTTTTTTGTTGTTGCTGTTTTCTGTTTGTTTTTCGTTTAACAGTCTGGTCACTCTTCCGTGGGGCTGCTGCTACTCAGCTTTCTACAGATTGTCTTTGAGGTGTTGAGCTCTGCCCTTCCTGCATGAAGAGCCTGCGGTCCAGGTAGAGAAATACAGGCCTTCCACTCCCACAGAGCTACCTCCCGCTGGCCCAGCTCTACTTCATGCTGCCACCCAACAGACACACCAACAGCTGCCACCTCACCATGGCTCACTGGGAACTGGAGCAGAGATGGCTGGTCACCACCACCCACAGCACGACCCTGCATGCGGAGTATACACACATGCCCCAATACCTAGGGGCCAGTCTACAAAATATATTTTAAAGACAGGAGTTACAGTGTGACTTCTGGATTATTCTCAGTCTTGTTAAATAGAAATTGTCTAAAATGCCCCTAGTGGTTTCAGGCATTGCTGGATCCAGATAACTAAACAATGTGATGAGGGTGCGCTCTTGCTCTTATCTCTGAGCTATGCTTTCCTCTGTGCTGGCTTCCTTCTCCTGCAGGCTCCACCTTACTAGAATGTGGCAAAAGTCAACATAGTAGCTCAAATTTACAACTTACCAGCTTATCAGCATCAGTATCGCAATGCTAATTCAATTAAAGAATAGCAGGCAGAAACCTGCTGCATATGGGGACTGTATCACTTCTGAGGGCCACCACAGGCAAGTACGTGCACCTCTGGTTTGAAAAGCTGGCATAGCTGACCCCAGAACGCCACACAGGGCTTAGACTAACCTGAAGACTTGGATCCAAGGGTGGATGAACCAAGCCGGCGGGTGGTTCCCATTCCAACGTTTCTCCGAGAACTTGGTGGAGCCTTGGATGATGTAGAACTAGCAGAGGAAGGTCTGTTACCATCCACAGAATCTTCATCGTCGAAATTTTTATCTGAACAGTAAGCACAGAAACCAACGTTTTTTTAAAAACAAAAACTATATATACATATATATATACTTTTTCACCTGATTATAAAACAATTAGTCTTCGAGACTGATTCTGCATACTCTTTTGGAATCTGAGGTGCTCCTCTAGGGTCTGGAAAGCCTTAGGTTAAGCCCAGAATGAAGCTACAAAGATCATACTTGCTTTCACATACCCAGAATACTTTTGCACTCAAATTTTGAAAAATAGAACAAATATAAAGAAGAAAACAATCTCTCATAAAACCACCACCTTGAAACAGTTATTTTCACATTCTGCAACATTTCTGACCATCCATGCTTTTTTTTTTTTTTTTTTTTTTTTTTTGAAGACAGAGTCTCACTGTCACTCAATCCTCCCTCCTTGGCCTCTCAAGGTGCTAGGATGACAGGCATGAGCCACTGTACTTGGTCACCTGGTACACACTTTAAACTAACAGCTGAGATGAGAGTATATATCATATTGGAATAGTGCTTACTTCAAATATGTAAATTTTTCCTCTGTGATGAAATATTTTTCATAACCACCATTTTAATAATTGTATGGTACTTTGTAAGTGGAAAATGGTACAAGTGAAACACTCTTATTGTTAGATATTTAGGGTGTTTCTAATTCCTCACCATTAGAAATGCAATATTGCCAATACTTTCCTACACTTTTTTTTGTTTGTTTGAATTTCCAATAGTTTTAGGAATGAAAACCATAGAAGCAACAATAGTAGGTCAAAGAGTGTAAAAGTTCTTGATGTATAGTGCCAAAATTATCAGAGAGGTCATATAAATGTACATTTCTCCTAGAAGTTCAAAGAAGTACTCATCCTTCCACACCATTGCCAACATTTAATATTACCATTTTTAAACTTTAATCAATCTGACAGGTGAAAAAAAAGACTTCACTTTCTATGTTGCATTTCTTTTTTAGTGAAGATGAACATTTTTTTCGTAAGTTCATTAACTTTTAAATTTTCTAAACAGCAGTGGATCCAATCAATACTCCTCAAGTTGCATTTAAAATTTTAAAAAAACACAGCTATAATCCTACCACTTTGGGAGGCCAAAATGGGAGGACTGCTTGAGGCCAGGAGTTCAAGACCAGCCTGGGCAACATAGCAAGATCCTGTCTCTTAAAAATAAAAAAATGTGTCAGATATGGCGGCGTGTGCCTGTAGTCCCAGATACTCAGAAGGCTGAGGCAGGAGCATCAACTTGAGCCCAGGAACTTGAAGCTGCAGTGAGCCAGGGTCACTCCACTACATTCCAGCCTGGGTGACAGAGCAAGACCCTGTCTCGAGAAAAAAGAAACATCTTTGGAATCTTAAAAATCAACATATTTATGCAAACACTTTAATGATGCAAAATTAAAGTTTATGTATCAAGTATAAGAGTGAGTCATTTAGGAGGCTAAACAAAGAACTTAAGAGTAATTTAAATAAAAAAAACAACATCTGTAGCTGGCAATATTCATGATTTCTGAAATGGGCATTAGTTCTTTACCAATAAGTTTGAAATAAATCATTGCTATCCAAAAAACACACAAATAGAATCCTGTTTTCCTTGATCTAGTTGCTTCTTAAGCTAAATTATCAACAGCCAAGTCTTGTGTCTACTCAAGACCCCAATGCTCCCTAAAACTCAACAACAATGCCCTCCAAATTACATGGTTCAGTTTATTCAACACAGCGTAGGGGGAGGAGGAAAGACATCTTCACAAATCCATGTCCTTATGCAGATTAGCTCCTTTCACTGTGCCTTTAAATCCCCCAGATTGTCTTGTTATGCCATTCTGTTTCAAGATGGTTCTTTCAATCCATACATCCATTTTTCATTGATTCAGATGTACAGTGCTCTTAATTAGCATAGACTTCCCGTGGATTCAGAAAGTGGTTCATAATGGCCTTCCCAAAAGGAAAATTTAAGTCTAATGTAAGGAATAAGAACAACCCAAAGGAAAAGTCACCCACTGAGTACTGCCAGCATTAGCAGTGACAAGGACAGATCTCACTCAGCCTATCTGTCCTCTGGGGAGCTCCAAGAACATACGAACTGCTGTCATTATTCTACTACCTTAAATCATAATCATTCTGCTGAGTGGGAACAGTTCCAGTCTGTGGGACAGGTAAAAAATAAATGGGAGACATGAAGACACTATCACGCTTCACTCACAAATTCATGTAAATTATGTTTAGTTCAGTCTTCTAAAATATGCAGGCATGTCATTTAGAACAGTACTCAGTTGCCAAGAATTATTTTCAATGGACCAATTTCAATGGAATTCCTGAAATTTTTGCTTGCATCAGTGATAGACTAGACGTGGATGACTTAACCTCTTGCAATAAATAGCTAGAAAACCTGACAGTATATATAAAAGAACTACGTGCAGGCACCGGACAACGGGCAGTTCAGAACTTGGCTGTTCAGCTAATTTGCATAAAGATATGGATTTGTTTGTTTCTCCCTGCAAGAAAAGAAACAAACAAGGCAAGCTATACAATCACCCCAACTTTCTGCCTGGAGGTGTTAATAATTTCCAGGTCACCAAGTACAGGGAAGGGGAACTCAAATTAAACATAGTAGCCCTACAGATTAAATACTGCAGACAGTAAAGAACAGAGTTCAGAGAAGTTGAGGGTGCTAGAAATTACAGGAAGCTACACAGAAAGAGGGCTACAGGAATGTGCTAAGTTCTAGGCCTCACGTGTGTGAGTGAACTTCCAGGAAGCAAGGCAGAAAACAACCAAGAAGGTGTGAAATGAAAAATTCTTAGAGTTTACACAAGTAGGGAAGCTCCAAACAGCCAAAGTGGAATGTTCTTGGTGACCCACCCAAGGCATTCAATGGAGACCCCCAGAGAGTCAGGTCTTAGTGAGACTGAAGTATGTCTGGAGTGCAAGTTAAATGAAATCTGCCCTATCAGAGCTTAAAAGCAGGCCTACAGGGCATTAGGCAGACCGCAAGTAACTTATCTGATTTGCCAAAACAAAGCATGATATTCCTAAAAGAAATATAACAAGACACAGACACTCAACAAGGTAATATTCACAATACACAATATCTAATAAAAAATTCCTTCACTATGTACAGAGAAGCCTTAAAAAAAAATTTCCTAAACATGACAAGAGGGAAGAAAATGTGGCCCATAATCAGGAGGGGCAAAAAAATCAGAAAATAGTAAACTTCTGAGAAATGATGAAATAAGAACATTAAACTTCTATTATAACTATGTTCAATATTAAAATACATAGACATTCATAAGAAAAAAGAAAGTTTTTTTAAAGAATCCAATGGAACTTACAGATTTTAAGAAAACATAATATCTGAAATGAAAATTTCACTGATTGAGATTAAGTGCAGACTAGACATTGTAGAAGTAAAGAAAAAAATCAGGGAACTTAAACATATAGCAATAGAATTTATCCAAAATAAGCACAGAAGCACAGAAACAAAATAGGCTGAAAAAATAAATAAACGGAATAGAGTCTCAGAGACATGAAGGATAATATCAAGCAGTCTAACACACACAACACTGCAGGCCTGCAGGACGAGGGGAAGAAGGGGAAGGACAGAAAAAGACTGAGAAATGATGGCCAAAACATTTCCAAATTTGATAGAAACTATAAACCTACAGATCCAAGAAGCTGCATGCCCCAAGCAAGACACACACACAGAAAAGCATACGGAGGCACATCATAATCAAACTGCTTAAACCCAGACAAGAGCAGCCAGGGGAAGAGACATAGCACACAGAAGAACAAGCATAAAAGCAGCAGCAGACTTCATCAGAAACCCTGCCAGCCAGAACACAATGGAAATGATGCTTGAAAATGGTATTCACCTAGAAGTACCCTAGAATTCTATATCCAGTGAAAACATGTTAAGAATAAAGGCAAAATAAAAACTCAAACAAACAAAAATTGTCATCAGCAGACCCGCACTTCAAGAAATGTAACAGGAAGATCTTCAGGCAAAAGGAAAAATGATACCAGTTGGAAACTTGGATTTAGATAAAGAAATAAAGAACAGTAGATACAGTAAATATGTGGATAAATATAAGACTTTCTCCTCATATTTTATTATTTATTCTCCTGTTTTAATTCTTTCACATTATCATTTCTATAAAAGATGACTGACTGTTTAAAGCAAAAATATTTAGCTTTCATTCTTTTTATATTCTTATGTAATAGGCCAATAACCTGGGGGCCAGAGGAACCAAAATTAGGATATATGTTGCTGTACTAGATGACACACACAAAACTATACAGGAAGTAAGGCACAGGGAAGGCATGAAGAAAATGGAAGTGGTTCCATTTCCATCCTCAAAGAGCATATATTTTTCAAAGTTAATC
Source organism: Homo sapiens (assembly GCF_000001405.40). Lineage (NCBI taxonomy): Eukaryota > Metazoa > Chordata > Mammalia > Primates > Hominidae > Homo > Homo sapiens. The sequence continues at coordinate 121,474,336 of NC_000002.12, forward strand.
ATAACTTGTCTAAATTGCCTGAAGATGTCACACAATAGTGTATCACAAACCTTACTGAGAAGACATGCCCTTCATCACCAACACCTGTATGTAATGCTGCCCAAAGAAGGGAAGGAGGAGGCCAGGCGAGGTGGCTCACGCCTGTAATCCCAGCACTTTGGGCGGCCGAGGCAGGCAGATCACGAGGTCAGGAGATAGAGACCATCCTGGCTAACACGGTGAAACCCCGTCTCTACTAAACATACAAAAAATTAGCCGGGCATGGTGGTGGGTGCCTGTAGTCGCAGCTACTCGGGAGGCTGAGGCAGGAGAATGGCGTGAACCCAAGAGGCAGAGGTTGCAGTGAGCCAAGATCGCATCACTGCCCTCCAGCGTGGGTGACAGAGCGAGACTCCGTTTCAAATAAAAAAGAGAAGGAGGAAAGGGCATACTGAGCAGCCAATGTAGGGCTTTTTAAACCGAACTTTAGGAGGCTGCTTGTCTTTTTACTTACCCTTTGGAAACAAATCTAACAAGCTTACTTAGCTGATTTCCTAAGCAGATTAGAAGCAACTAACTATAGGGATAGTGAGAAGGAGGACGCAAGAATTAAGCAAAGTAATGTTAATAAGTGAGCTGAAGGCCTAATAGCCTAATAGAAACTACGAAAAGCAAACACATGCACATAAAAACCCCTAAACCCAAAATGCTTAGAATACAGTTGACAGTACAGGGGTCAAATCACATCTATACAATAACAGCACAATGACCCTGCACAACAACTTAAGATTCAATTTTTCAATGATCTGTGAGTTAGTGAAGGAAGTAATTCACATTTCCCATCTCGATTGGAAATTCAGGAAAACAAAGGATAAAAAGTGTATTTATTTTCTAGATTAAGAGCTGGACACAATGCTTTGAACTGAAACACCTGCAAAGGCTTTTGGAGGATAAAAACCAACTGAGCCAATTATTTGAAAACTTAACTAACATACTGTTTAAAAATAAGTTTAGCCTATGTTTCCTAGCTTTTCAGATATCAGAAATTAAGATTCAATTTAAAAGGAGGCTGGGTCATCAGAAAGGTACCTAGTTTCAGTTAACTGGGAAATTCCACTATGTGGAATGAGCCATTCTTTAACTGGGCAAATAAGCTGTATCTGCAACTGGACCATGGTTACAGTCCAGGATGAAGAGTCTCACATCCAGGTTCTAACGTTACAGTATTTCTCAGCTAAATTAACCCATACTGAACTCTACTAGCCATTTGGATTCCCATTTTCTTTAGGCTTTTCTGCTAAGCATACGTCTGGTAGTATCTAACCTCTTTTTCTAGTGCTTTAACTAAGGCAGAAATGGGTAAAAATGAGTATTTTTAACTGCAGGCTTGTGCCATTACATCAATTTTAACATTTTCACATAATACATATGTTACACATAAAATCGTCTTAAGGGGAAGTTCTCTTTAAGCCCACAGAAATAATTAATTGTATCTTCAGCCCCACTGCAGACTGCCATGGGAGGGCCACTTCTCTCATCTGATAGTCTCGGGTAGAAATCTGAAATAAGCAGATGGAAGCCTTCAGTTCCTAGCAAGCATCACCTCCTTTGATTCTTTAAAAATCACCTGAGCTCCATTCCACCTTCTACAGCATCAGGATAAACCACTTAAAAATGACTCATGAAATTTCTACAGAGTGATACTATAATTTTCATCCAACCCTGAATCACCCCACCCCTGGCAATCCAAATAAGTAGACATAATGAAGGGAAAAATAGCAGTAAAACAGTAAAAATAAAGCCAGATTACAAACACAATCATCCATGGCCTTAGAAGCAAACTAGCAGACTTCCAGAAGCTGAACAGGTCTACTACTGAGGTCCAGATGCTGCAGAGAGGCTGAGGGATAGCCAGGGCCAGCACTAGGAGGTCAGAACCAGTCCCTTCAGCAGCCTCCACTGAAGTCCCTAAGAAAGCCCCAGCAGAGCCCAGCTGCCCCAGAACTGAACTTTAACCAGGCTGCATAGGGGAGATACCAAGCAACAAGCCACAGACAGATCAGAAGGAATATACCACTGTGGCTACAAGTTTGGCTATGAGGGGCAGAGATATCAATCTAAAGACAAACATGAATTCAAGTCTGGTGTCTGGAACTTGTAATTAGAAGCTTTGGGCCATACTGTTCGCTCGGAAAATTTAAACACTCATCTATAACGACCAACAAAAAGTCACAGAAACTAAGAAATAACTGCTCATTGCCTATCTGCCAGGAAAGCCAGAACCTAAACTACAAAGCTTTTCCTTCTCTTCTTCTGAGGCAGGCTTTGATGGATAGAAGCCCAATGGGGAGAAAATGCCTCATTTTCTAAAGAAAAGACAACTATCTCTCTGCTTCACTGCAGCAGGGTCACTTTGAAGAAGCTGCTATCCTGACAGGCTTTCAGATTCACCCACTCCCTGCTAATTGAGATTCTCCTCCAAGGGAGTAAGAAATGTGGCAGCCTACTAACTAGACTATAATTAGCTCTCTCAAGAGGAAGCTGCACAGAGACAGGATAATGAGCCCAAAGGCGGCTGCTTTTCATAAATATCCCAAAATTTCTTTCTTCTTGAATTTGCAGAGCTCCAAACCTTTTGCAAAGGCTGTTTCTGCTATCTGCAATTCTTGTCCTGTCTGCCAGACACACCCCTATGCATTCTTGAAAACACAAGTCTACTGCTAGCCTGAGATCCTGCCCGGCTCTAACTTGCGTGTACCATTTACTTCATTGCCCCCTGAAATTAGCTGGCTGCAGATCTGTTTGGTCTCTCTGTCCCTGGAGTAGGGACCACTTTGTATTCTTCTTGGTATTTACAACATCTAGAACAGAGTCTGGGCCAACACCCAGTAGACATTCAGAAAAATTTAATTCTGGTAGTCCACATGAAGAAAGGCAAAATTTGTGAATGGATGAAAATCTTTTCTCATATATCTTTTTTAGAAGCTTTTATTACTTTTTTAACGTGCATATGGTTTAATTGGATAATAAATTCAAACAAGGCTATGAAAATAACTGAAGACAAATCAACAAAGACAATTAAAACCTCAAATACTTTTTAAGCTTCCAAATTTTCCTGCTAGAAAGAAATGTATATCCTTCTTTCCTGATAAAACATATACCTATTTTAAAATTAAGTCATAGTTCCACTATAAGCAATATAAGCTCCCCAAATTAAACTAACACTTTGATATATATGTATTTCTAGACTTTAATGCATTCATAAACATGAATTCTATACACACATGCATAAAAACTGCTTTTTTGCACGCCAATATTTTTCTAGATCAATATTAATCTAGTCAATTTTAAAGACTACTTATTGTGACACTTTGTGCATAGACTATATTTAATCAATCATCTATTTATTGATATTGAATTGTTTTCAATTTTTCACCTTCATAATACCACTGCAGTCAGTATGCTTAAAAGTAACAAGAAAAGTAACAACTAATAGAATCACAGCACACAACTGTGTACCAGGTCCTGGGTTTGGTTTTGCATAGTCACATTAAATCCTCCTGACAACGCTGAGAGAAGGACTATTGTCACTTTGGTCTTAAAGCAATTCCCATAAGCTGATGCTTAGGAGGTGCTGGGCACTGTGCTAAGTATGTTCTGCACATTGTGTTGTTTAATTCTTACTGCATATGTTTGCTTACTTAAAATTATTTAAGATAATTTCTCAAGTACAGTATCTTCAATATCTCTTATGAACATTAAAAATCCTCAAAAAATACTAGCGAACCAAATTCAGCAACATATAAAAATAATTAACATTATAGCCATGTGCGACTTATCCCAGGAATGTAATGTTTGTTCAATATACATCATAGTTGTCATATTAATATAATAAAAGACAAAAAACAACATATTCTCTAAACACAGTAAAACGCTTTCATGCTAAAAACACTACAAGCAGGGATTAGAAGAGAACTCCCGCAACCTGATAAAGACCACCTACAGGCTGGGCACAGTGGCTCACATCTGTAATCCCAGCACTTTGGGAGGCCAAGGCGGGCGGACTGCCTGAGGTCAGGAGTTCCAGACCAGCCTGACCAACATGGTGAAACCTCATCTCTACTAAAAATACAAAAATGAGCCCAGCGTGGCAGCACACTCCTGTAATCCCAGCTACTCAGGAGGCTGAGGCAGGAGGATCGCCTGAAGCCAGGAGGGGGAGGTTGCAGTGAGCTGAGATTGCGCCACTGCACTCCAGCCTAGGCGATGGAGCCAGACTCCGTCTCAAAACACACACACACACCACACACACACATACACACACACACACCCCCCACACACACACACCCCCCACACACACCACACACACACCCCACACACACAACCACACCCCACACACACAACCACACACACACCACACACACACCCCACACACACCACACACACACCACACACCCCACACACACACCCCACACACACCACACACCACACACACACCCCACACACAACCACACACCACACACCACACACACACCACACACCACACCACACACACACCACACCACACACACACCACACACACACACCACACCACACACACCACACACACACCACACAACACCCCCCACACACACACCACACACACACACCACACACACCACACACACACCACACACCCCACACACACACCACACACACACACCACACACACACACACCCCACACACACACACACCCCCCCCCCACACACACACACACACACCATCAACAACATGGTGAAAGACCGGATGCTTTCCCCCTAAGACCAAGAACAAGGGAAGATGTTTACTCTCACTACTTCTATTCAACATTGTGGTAGACGTGCTAGCCAGGGAAATCCGACCAGAAAAAGAAAAAAAAAAAGCATGCAGACTGGATTGGAAGAACTAAAACTATCTCCATTTACAAATGACTTGATTTGGTATGTAGAAAACACTAAAGAATGCATGCAAAAACTTAGAACCAATAAACAAGTTCAGTGAGGTTACAGGATATAAAACCAATATTTAAAAATCCATCGTATATTCTATACATCAAATTAAGAAAACAACAATAGCATCAATAAAAACACCTAACAACTTCAACAAAAGGAAACTACATAACATTCTTAAGATCCAGTAAAGACAAACCTAATAAGTAGAAAGATATTCCATGTTCATATATCAGAGGAATTTTTGCTCATTATCCAAACTATATTCCTTGCCCATCTGTTTCCTCTTAATTTTAACCGAAGTTGGATAAATAGAAAAGTGTAAAAGTGCAAAACACACTGTCTGAATTGAATGGCTGGATAAAGACTTTTTCTTCTAAGTTCCTACCTCCCCTTCTCCATCAAAGTATGGGAACTGGGGTACACGTATCACCCCCAATCCAGTCAATATGGACCAGTGTTATTAGGGCCGGTTCTACCACTCTGTACAAAAAATCTTCCAATATCCATATTCTGAAACAAAAATCCCTCTCCCTGTTTACAAAATTAAGGAAGGCTTTTGTCAGAACACAGGGAATATAAAAATTTCCAGCTTGGCTGGAAATGTTGGCATTTTTGACAATACAAAGGTGGAAATGGCATAATAGAAGCTCTGAGGGTGCTAGCAGAGTGCTACTTCTGCCCTTTGGCACCAGTAATCCATCCTCTACCACAGAAGTGAGCGTGGAATGCAATCACGTTCCATTCCTTCCACCCAAAAGCTTGCTGCCAAAAAGCTGGGCTGGCATTTTAAGACGATCTCAACAATGACACCACTGGTACAGATAACGTGAGAAGAGAGAACTAGAGCACAGACAGGTGACAACTCAAAATTCATTTCAGCTTTACTAGTCCTTCACAAAGGGAGGTCAAATGGGACGACACCGGGGAAAGACAGGCAAGGAAAACACCATCGGAAACTGGAGAGGTAAATGAACTGTGAGGAGGGCAGAAAGCCAATTTCCACAGATGCCTGCTCCTTAAGGCACTGTAGGAGCTCAAAGTTCACACTGGGTAAGAGCTGCTGAGTGCCCCCTGCAGGTGCAGATCAAGGCACAATTCCTCTTTGGGTCTCAGGTGGAAAATGCCCTGGCTGCTGCTACATAACTTATAACCAGGCTCCAGAGAGATGCAGGCATACTCACAACAGAGGAGCCCAGGGATGATTCTGTGCAGGAAGAAATCCACAGCTCGCACTGGGTAGTGAGCCTGTCCTGGGGCAGAGCTGTAACGTCACAGGCCTGCACTTTCAGCAAGACCAACCTCATTTGAGGTATAAAAAGAAAATGAAGAGAGATAGGCTTCTGTTTCCCTGTGTGAAAAAGGATGATCCTGTCTACCTATGAAATGTGCTGCCCACCCAATATCAACCCCCTTCTTCTACTGACAGCCCAGGGTAACCACCCTCCCCCACTCTCAGAGTGATGACACCTTTGTTTGCCTCAGTGGAACCTGGCCACAGCATCAGGGCTCTCCCAACCCATTACGGTAATTAATTCTAGAACCTCTCTTCTTGTGGACTTAGAGCTATGCAGGTACAAGCCTGGAGCTGTTGGAGCCAACAAATGGCAGTGCCTGCCTAAGAGAGAGGCAAAGCAAAAGAAAGCAGAGTCAGGGGCAGTGAGAACCGACGTCTAATGCCTGGCATGCGTCCAAAGGAGGACCGCAAGACCCACACACCCAGACTTCTCAGTTCCATGAGCCAAGTCACTCCCCTTCTCCCTTACACCACTTGGAATGAGGCCTGCATTGCTGGCAACCCAAAGCATCTCTGTACTATATCAAAGGGATGTAATGCAGATTAGACAAAATGCATTAAAGACAGGAAAACCATAAGTATGGGACAAATGGCAGCTATTTTATACCCTCATTATTTGTGCTATGCTTTGCGTGCAAAAAACCAGCTCTTCAAAAATATTTCAATAGAAGTGAGGAATTAGGAACATAATTTTCTTTAAAAATGGGCTTAAAAGGCCATACAACTAATTCAAATTAGGCAGCCAAAAAAAAAATGTATGGACATTATTGAGACATGGAGGTTAAACCACCTTCTCTAGAACTGATTCCAAAGGTTAAAACCACCTTCTCTAGAACTGATTCCAAAGGGAAAGTATCCATTTCCCCTTTGTCAAGCGTCCTTAGGAGGTCTCAATGACAATTTTCTCAGGGTCACAGGAAAGAAAATAATTTGTCATTTGTAAGCAAAAGAAAAAAGCTCAATTAGGAATATGCTTTCATCAAGTGGAATCAATGTTTTAAACTCTCTCCAAATCCTCCATGCCCTGTAACTTGGAAGTTCAAGTCCAGAGCACAGGGTCACCTTACAGGTGATTTGGTCTCAAACTAATCATTTTGTTACTTCTGTAATAAAACCGGACTCCCAGAGCACCAGTCTTGCCCTAGCCTCTACCACTGGAAGGCTACTGGAGAGGATACCGCCTCTGAATACCAATAGGTGACCATGTGCATCTTCCTTCTTCTCTCCAGCATTTCTCTAGTAAGCATGCTTGTGTCTGAAGTACTTTGTTGGGAGCTGGGATGCAGAAAGGGAAGTCATGGTTCTCACTCTGGAGTGCAGTCCAACGTGGGAACACACACAATCAACAGCATGTAGGATTCAGTGTGAGGTTTTCCTAACAGCACACACACAATATGACCTATGAATCCAAAATAGGGCCAAACAAATTTAGAAAGGATCCACTGTGCCCACCAACCAACCCTCGGATGTGACCCGTACTACGTGGGTCCATTTAACATTAACTGAGAGTGTGAGCGGCTTTAAATGTGTGCACATCCTACTTAACTCAGGAATACCCTGGGCTACCATGCTCAGTGAATATACAGCGAGAGAGAACAAATTCCAAAGACTCTTCCTGAACAGATGTAGCAGGGGCAAGGAACTCCTGACAGGGGATAATGAACAAACTAGCCAGCTTCCCTCTGCACCTGGACAGGCCCAGGTGCCCCACTACTCTGCGAGTGTGCCCATCGGGACACTAGGGAACAGAGAATTAAAGACAAAGTCTCCAAGTCATGTCCAGGAGTTAGGGTTCCTGAAGTTAGAATCTCTTGGCCAAACTGGAGGCCCAGTTTAAGTTAACCCTGTTAATACTATGCCTTCCTCAGAGAAAAGAACTTACAGCGACACGCCAAGAGTGACTAAGATCAGTCTTGAAGAAGAGTATCTCTAAACATATGTCAGAAAGACTATAAACTTACCCTTAGAGCCAAAAAGCAAAGGAAGGGAACACAAAGAGACTGGTACTTTAATATCCAGAGTACCAAAGAGCACCCTAGGGGGTGAATTAGGGAAGATGGGGATAAACTATCCTTCCTGCTGGAATAGCTAGTCCCCAACATAAAACTCTGTGAGCACCTGAGCTGAGCCCACAGTATCATCTCCTGGAATGACACTCACACTGAAACATCCACAGGAACTCAATTCTCCATAGAAACGTCCACCATTCCTCAACATCCACAAGAGCTCTTAGACTGAAAACCTGGCTTCATGTGTCGTTAAGGACCATCATTTCCAGACATATGTGTGTTAGTGCCTCAAACTCTCCCCAGGACCGGACAGACTCAGGGTAAGATGAAAACAGACAGAGCCTTCTCCAAGAGAGCTGCTTCTGCTTCTCCCACTTGCTAGGTTCGCAGAGCTGGGACCGTCCTCTAGTCCCCTCCATCAGCCACCTAACTCAGAGTTCATCCAGCAGGAGCAAGAGAGGGAGGGGAGAGGGGCTGAAATAAGTAGTCATCTGTAGGAATCTTCCTCTTCTAGATACCAAAGCTCTCCTGGGCAGAAGACTGACTTCATCCATCTGGGCATCCTACTTTATCTGCCCCTCTTCCCCCTCCCCGCCCCACACAGGGCCTGGTAGAAAGTTAGTCTGTGAATCACCTCACTATTGTCTTCTGTACTCTCTGGCCATGAATTTCTAGCTGCTTTCAAGCTTCTCTCTGTGGAAACAGGATGACTATAAACATCTACAATAGCTCAGTAAAGGTCAGGATAGCATGAAAAGAATTAACCATTGTAGTGAAGGAAAAAATAAGTTCTTACTTTAGGAATCTGAAGGTTTTTCCTAGCAAATATCTGAGAGAGAGAGAGAAAGAGGGAGAATATGAATGAATATGTGTGTGTGTGTGTATATATGTATGTATATATATATGTGTGTATATATATGTATGTATATATGTGTGTGTATATATATGTATGTATATATGTGTGTGTATATATATGTATGTATATATATGTGTGTATACATATATACACACACACAAGAATTTGGGTTTATTTTCTCCAATTAATATTAATATGTCTGTTTTTTTGGTGCAATGTTCATTCAAATCTAAATAATTCCAGTCCTACAATTTGAAAAGTTAAAATCATATTTTAGTTGATGGTTTTCAATGATTTTAATAACACCTTTGGATAACTACAGCATACATATGCTTAAAACAATAGCAATCTAGAGTTCTCATTGCTGTATTTACATAATTATAAAGAATTAACATAAACCAAAAATAACTTGTTTCAAAATTTCAAAGTAGTTAGCTTTCTAAAATTCTTTTAATTACATTTGGGTAGTATTACAAACCTAAATGCAAATGGCACTCAGCTTCCCTGCTATTATTTGTCTAGAGAATTATCCAGACATTCTGATGCATGGCCGGGTATACAGGCCACACAACTGCAGGCTAAAAACAGGAAGAAAGCAAAGCTTAGGAGGAATCAACATCATGAGAGGTTTCAAGCAAGTGTATTTTAGGAGAAGGAAGTGCAGATAAGTGCAGTTATTCTACGTAAGGTACAGGATATCTTTAAAGAGATTTTTGTAAATTATAGATATATTACTAAAAGTACCTATTTGATAACTGTCCTCACACTTTGATCATATGCTCATTTTCTAGCCCAAATAGGTCAAGTGAGTGTGCCACACACCACATCTCCATCATCTCGGCCCACCACTGAAGCCTGCTCACCACTACCTTCAGCTTCCCTCTGTGTTCCCCAGCTCCCAAGCCAACTGCCCACATAATAATCACATTGCCCAATTTATGCCAAAGACAACCATTGTGTGAGAAATTTCACACCCAATTTATAAGCACCAACAAACATCCCATGGTCCCCTTTGTCCTGCATGCCAAAAAGTCAGCCTTGCTGGGCACAAACACCACCATGCAGGGAACTTCTGAGCACAAATAGTGCAGGGCCAGGGTCTTGGGCCCCATCACAGGGCTTCCATCCAGCTCACAAATATGGAGGCCAGGATTATCTTCCAGTTGACTATGGACTTCTTGATGGCAGTGGGAGGAAACAATGGAAAGATACAAGAGAACATGGTGGGGAAGAGGTGGGAGAAAAGGGGACAAGAAAGGAACAAAGGGAGAATGAGAGAGAACAGATTCTCTTTCTTAAGCTCTGAGTTCATAAGTAAAGCATTAATTTACTTCAAGAAATAACAGCCAAGATAGTTTACAGGAGGAGCAGGCTAGTTGCCACCTGACTTGGATAACTATCTCCCTCTTTTGTTTATTCATTGAGGATGAGGATCTACTACATTTCAGGCACTTTACTAGTTCCTGGGAATACAGTATGAATAAAACATTCATGCTAACTGCCCAAAGAGACTTTCCAGTACAAAGGGGTATGACATTTGTAAAGACAAATCTGTGATAAAGGCAAAGAAGAAAAAGAACAGTGTTCTGTAACAAAGTGAGGGGAAAGGCAGAGGGTGGTGAGAGACATTTTGGACATGGTGGTTCAGAGAAGGCCAAATCACACTATGCTGTAGGCCTTTTACCAAAGGCATAACCTCATCTACATGGGAGAGGATTACTCAGGCATCTCTGTCATGGACATGGAATTTAAGAGTAGGAGGCAGAGAAAGGTAGAAGGAAGGTTCCAATTTGCCTTGAACAATGAAGCAAAAGAATGCCTTTGACTAAGCAGCAGGGCAAGGCTAACTGTTTTGGCAGGAAAAGGGGCCCTACAAAAAGTGTACTCTTTCTCTTTGGAAAGGGTTTACCCTGTGGGTCTACCCTCATGGCCACCAGCATATGCACACAGGTTATCACAGCCTGGCCTAACTGCAGATAACTGAATATAGTAAGCCAAGCTCAAACACCATTTTCATTTCTGTATAAAGAAATCCAAGTACACTAAAGACTCCAAAAATTGTTTTAAGATAGAAAAGAGGGCCTTCCAATTGTGTGTGTGTGTTTTTCCTTCAAATTTTGTATTTTAAAGACCCATGAGCTGGGTACGGTGGCTCACGCCTGTAATCTCAGCACTTTGGGAGGTCAAGGCGGGCGGATCACTTGAGGTCAGGAGTTTGAGACCTGCCTGGCCAACACAGTAAAACCCTGTCACTGCTGGAAAAAAAGAAAAAAAAGAATTAGGGCATGGTGGGGGGCGCCTGTAATCCCAGCTACTACAGGCATGGTCCACCACACCAGCTCACATACCCTTTGTGTATGCCAAGGATGTTTGTAAATGCCCGTCCTGTGCCTGGCACTGGGCAGGCTGCTCGTAATTCAGAGGTGAACACAGCAGCTCCCATCTTTATTCTCACAAAGCTGATCATAAGCCAGCATAAGGAGCCTTAGGAAAGCGAATTCCTAGAGGCCACAGAAGTCCAGGCAAGGCATTTCTGAGGAAGCCTCTGCACCCAGACCTGAAAACCAGGCAGGCATGAGGAAAGTGAAGTGCATTCTAAGTGAGAATAATGTGTGCAAGCTCCCTGGGGCAAGAAACGGGCAAGGTAGGAATGGCAAAGACACAAAGGCAGTAATGAACGAGACTGGGTGACTATAATTATAGTAATAATGACAACCACAAGCTTCTTCCTGGTAATAGGTTAGAGAATAGTAGGACATTGAAATCATCATTTATCCCTCAAAAAGGAACTGAAAAGGTACAATGCAGGCCTTAAGTGGGCATATTCTGACTTACATTTTTATTATTTCATGGCAAAGGGGAAAGTTTTAAGCAACACTAAGGGATGTGAATAAAGTTTGCAAACTGATGACTGAAAACTGAGACTTCCAGAAGTCAACAACTAAAATTTCAACACCTTAGATAATCTCTGAGTGTCATATTACATAAGAGTCACCATATATCCTTTCATTGATTAAATGTTCATTTCTCCCTTTGATCACAGTACTTATTTTACCTTCCAACTTGCCCTGAAAGTTATAAATGTCAGAACCCAAATCCCACAGATATCAGATCTACACCCTGTGCTCTTTTGGAAATGTCATTTTAATTATCACTGTAGCAATCCTGACCCAATTCTTTTTGACAATCACTACATAGGCACAAAAGTAAGTCAGTTGGAAAAACTTAGAGCCAAATTTGGAAAAGGTTTCCTACCAGAATGTTCTCTCATACTTTAAAGTAATTACACTAAGAGCTATTTGCCATTTGTGCAAATAATCCTTCAAATCTTCCATCTCTGCTTTAATGATCTCTTTCTCCAGAACCCTCTTTAGCTAGAGAGGCAAATACCATACCGCTACATACGAAGACAAAGAGAAAGAAGATGACAATTTAACATAAATAGCCATGTTCCAATAATACTTAATCCTCTAATAGCAATCTCAAGTCTACTCCAAGATACAAACCTACCTGAATCAAACTCACGTACAAACAAAATTCTATGTCCAAGTGTCCAAAACTATAATCACCTATAATCATCTTACCCTCAAAACCTGCTCTCCCCTCCAGGTTCCTGACTTCAGTTGGTCCTACCACCATTTGTCCAGGCCAAAATATGGAATTGCTCTTAACTCTTCCCCTCCTATCTCCCACCAGGTCTTTCCCCACCCACTGCCCTAAATAAGCACTGGGTGTGGTCAGTGCTGCTTAGAACCACCTCTCACTTCCATTCCCTCTCAGTCCCACTGAGGCCAACCTAATTCGGGTCTTCCTCATCTCTCAGGTAGATCTGTATTACCAAATAGTATCCTTACTGGTGTCCATGTCTTTAATCTTTGTATGTTTTGTTTTTTTTAATGACCTGTTTTAAATACATGAAACAGTGAAAAAGATTTTCTTAAAGCACATAACCCAACACGCAGATCAACTGTTACCTTTAACTATTGTCCCCAGCGTATTCAGCATTCCTTAGTTTTTCCCTAATGTCCTTTATCTGCTCCAGGATCCCATTCAGGACACCACATTACATTTAGTTATCCTGCCTCCCTAGGCTCTTCTAGGTTGTGACAGTTTCTCAGACTTTGTTTTCAATGACCTTGACATGGTTAGGGAGTTTACAGAATATCTTTCATTTTGGGTTTGCCTGAGGCTTCTGCCATGTTTCCACAGAGCTTATGGGGCTTTGGGAGGAAGACCACAGAGGTAAAATGCCATTCTCATCACATCCTATCAAGAACACCCACCACACTGACCGACTAGGAAGTTATGCTCCCCTCCTTTAGAATGGGATATTTGCATAAATGATTTGGAATAATTCTGCACAAGAGGTTCGTCTCTTCATCTCCATTTACACACTTTTCAATCATTTTGTTTACATCGTATGGATCATTAACATTTATTTTATACTTTGGGTTAAAACTCAACAATACTTCACTGTGTTGCTTAAAGCATTCTAGCTTTGGCTATTGGAAGCACTTTCAGTTGACTCCTGTGTCTCTCAGCAATACCCCCACTGTTGTTTTGTTTTGCTTTTTCTTTGATTTTTTCAACCACTTCCTTACTTTCTGGCCCTGCGAGATACACTGGCTCACCTTGCTCCAGCCCTAAACTCAGCCATTTCCCCAAGGAGCCCTGGTAGTGTTAGTGACCAAGATCTGGGTACTGGATGGTTTCTTTTTACAAGATCTTAGGATACATTTAATTCTGCATCTTGTTTTCTTAGAATACCTTTCCATATCTACACAAAAAGATCAACTATATTATTTTAAACCTCAGTTCAACCTTCATACCTCCTGTTATGAGATCACCTAGAGCTGCCACAGTGGATGTGTCCCTGTATCAATAGGATGAGATTGATGTGCCAGGCCCAAGGCCCCCTCACTGGCTCCTCAGCAAAGGGACTATCATCCCCAATTTGCACATGAGAAAATGAAGGTGGACAGCCATGCTGCCAGTCCCAGGTCACAAACTGCCCATGCAGAGGTGGCACTCATACCCAGTCTGAGGGATTCCAGAGCACTTGGCCTGACAAAATGGCTTTCTGGAATAAAGACTTGTCTAAGACAGCAAAAACTAGGGCTCTCCCCTGTCCTGCAACTAACCCAATTATAGAAAACCCAAAACCTTCAGTATCTGTGTTCAAAAGCTGCCCTACCTACTCCTCATGGGGCTGCTGTGAACTTCATAAAACAAAAAACGCAGGAAAGTGCTCTGAAAACACTAAAGTACTCTACACACCTTGGGAGACCTGCTGCTGTTATATTTTGCAGATTTTTAATGGTCATGAATTAATACATGATTCAGACATACCACTTCCATAAGAAACAGTATTTTAATCCTTGTTTCCTATCACGACTGCAGTTACTGAGGGTAAAAGTTACCAAAGCATGTAAGCCTGAATTCCAGGTGATAGTGACTAAGGAGGCAGGCAATTTGAAAAAATATATCAAGTGAAAGAATCGTCTTTATTTTAAACTCAGATTCAGGAGGCTATCTCCATGGCTTTTAACATGAAAAAGCTGACTCTCATATTATTTTGACCTGTTGCTAAATACAAATGAAAATATCACAACTTAAGTCAAATGCTACTTGTAAGTGACACACTTTCAAATCCTCAAAGGAAAGGCTCTGAGAGAGGTTACTTCAGAACATGAATTATTTAACTCTCCTGCCCAGGTATTGATTTCCTGCAGCAGTTTAACCTGAAAATAGAATATGATACTTAGGTATGAAATAAAAATATTATCACTGTATACCTTAAATTCTCAATTAAAGAATACAAATATACTTTAAATTCTCAATTTAAAAATATGAGCAGAAATGTGGCATCTTCCAGTACTTTCAGCCCAACTTAACCAAATTTAAGAAAATAGCTATACAAACCTTTAATAATCCATTACAAAATAAACACTGAGCAGAAGTCCTGGATGTGTGCCCAATTCCCCACAGCAGGAGACAAATAAACACTTGTTACTGTATGCAATTTTACTCTGTGCAATACCTGTTTCAGTAGAAGAGTCTGGAAATACCCTTTGAAGACAACAAATTAAGAGTCTGCCAGCAAAACCACTAGGAAAGCAAGACAGTGATACAGGTTGTTCCCATCACATCAACTGTACCCTATACCTTTAAATGCAAACCCTGTTTACACAGAATCTTTTAAAATCACTTCGATATTGGCCAAACCTGAGAAAAAGCTCTGTGGAAAGACTGAAACCTAATCAAGAAGATTTTTTGTGAGCAATACTTCTTTTGTAGTTTTCCTGTACATTTTTGCATTTTAAAAATGCAAATCTTTTAAAGGGGAAAAAAATAAACAATGACTTAAGACAGAAGCAGCATCCTTGCACTGCTATCATTTATGCTTTTCCTCTATACCTACTGGGAAAACTTAGAAATTTCTAGCCAGTAGATTATTTTCAAGACCACTTAGCGTTATTAACAAATACCTTGCAATTGCAAATAGATTTATGTTCATAACCCTCATACTGTGAACATAAGCAGAGAAAAATTAAAAGCCCATGAAATAAACAGAAGATAAAAACACAGCTAGCCTCAGCCTACTGTGCCTACTTCCTCTCTCCTAGTCTTAGAAGGTTAACATTGATGTTTATTTCCCTGTAGGTTTCACAATTTTTCACTGCTTAAATACCAACAACATTCATAACAATCTTTCCCATGTTTCATCCATGATTTTTAGTTACCACAGGAATTATAAAATATTTAAGCATTTCCTAGCCAAGCAGCAATAATTATAAACACTTTTCAGAATATATTAGAATAGCCTACCTTTCCCAGTAGTCATGATTGTCAGTAATCCTGGTACCAAATAAAAACACTGCTCTGAAAGCTATACCTACTCACAGCAACTTAAGCATCAGCAAACTCTCCACCCACACTTGTTCAGTGTGATCCGGCAGCACCAATGACAACTGCCACCCTATTCCAAAATAAAAGCCTAGACTAACAATGATTTTGTAAAAAGGGTTGGGGGTTGGTGGCTGGGGGGAGGTGTGAGCCTTCTCCATCCAACTCTACTCATTTAAGAGAGTCTTCTTTAAAAGTGGTATTAAAAATTTTTAAACCAGTTCTTCCCCCTCAAGAAAAAGAATATTCCTAACACAAATCTTAAAAAGAAAAATATCAAAAAGCAACCTTATTTCCACACAGAAAATAAAATAAGCTGTCTGCTGCAGCTTATGCGACTTATGCTGCCATCAGAAGCAGTCTCTTCCAGGCTATTTTAGGTGGGCTTCTTAGCACAGCTCAACACATATGCCAGCCTTGTAACAAACACATTATCCTTGTATTCGTGACTATGGAAACACTTTCCTAAGATACTGAACCACTATCCCAAACCTTGTAATATGCATAGTCTAATAAACAAGCACTGGGAGAGAGTGTGAACCTAGAATTGGCACCTGATCCACTTATTCACAATCATTGCTTTTAAAGGATAAGCATGGATAATAATGACTTGGCTTCTTAATAAAGAAAAGACAACTGATTTGCCTTTAAATGAATGCTTTGTCCTAGCCACACTGGGCAATAATTCAGATCTTATCTAACAGAATCTGTCAATGGTCTGTTTTCAGACTTGCACAGGTATTTCTCATTTCCGACAAAGTAGAACTGATACCTGTAATATTTTTCAAGTTATAGTTGTTTAAGTGTAAAACCATAAAGCAAAATGCATTTGGCAACAAAATGATACCCTGTACATTCATGTATAAGAGCCAATAATGTTATGATTACTTGTTATCTACTTTATAGTTTTATTAGCAAATAAATATTGGGTCTTTTACTTCAGCTACAAATTTATTATAGAATTATCATGGATTTAACCAAGATGATAGTTTGTATCTTTCCTCATAAACATGTTAGCTTTGCTCAAGAAACTCAAAAGCATGTGTATTTTTTAACCAAATTAATGTTCATGGGCCTCGCTTCAATCAAATCCAATTAAAGATCATTAAGTGGTTGCAGATAAAGGACACTGAGTAGTCCATAATTACTGGGTCTTTCATTCTGAAAATCCAATTCTCCCATGAGCATAAGCACATCTGCATGATTTAAAAACTTACAAATAATTTGCTTTTTGAAACTCATGGAAGGAAAAACTGTAATTTTTGCTTCAAGGGGCTTGCTAATTATATGGAGATGAAAAAAAGAAGAAACATCTATATAGCAACATATTTTTAACTCTCATATTCTCACCATTCAAAGCCGAAAGGCCTTCGGGTAACCTAGCAACAAGAAGGAATCATACAAAGATGAAGTATTCTATTACAGACAGGAAGCCCATTTCAAATTGCTACTTGGCTGCTTTTTCATTCCTGTTTTAGTCACAATTCGATTACGCTTTTAAAAATTAAGTCCATGGGTTTCATATAAATATTAAGCATCAGAGAACAACATAATTTTGAACATCTGAAGATATACAAACCCTTGATAAATCCTTATTATTTCTTAGGAGTACCACCATTAAATACGTTTCTTCCAACTTAGCTAAAATCCAGAACGTTTCTTACTCAAAAGTGCACTGTTGTTCACAAGCAACAAAAGAAAAAAATAAATTGGACTTCAGCAAAATTTAAAACCTTTATACACCAAAAGACACTTAAAAGTGAAAAGATTGGCTCACGCCTGTAATCCCAGCACTTTGGGAGGCCGAGGCGGGTAGATCACGAGGTCAGGAGATCGAAACCATCCTGGATAATACGGTGAAATCCCATCTCTACTAAAAATACAAAAAATTAGCCGGGCGTGGTGGCGGGCACCTGTAGTCCCAGCTACCCGGGAGGCTGAGGCAGTAGAATGGTGAGAACCCGGGAGGCGGAGCTTGCAGTGAGCCGAGGTCGCACCAGTGTACTCCAGCCTGGGCGACAGAGCGAGACTCCCTCTCCAAAAAAAAAAAAAAAAAAAAAAAAAGTGAAAAGATAAGCCACAGAATGAAAAAAAAATTTACAAATCGTATCTGCAAATCATATACAGTTCAACAACAAAAAGATAAACAATTCGATTTTTAAGTGGACAAAGGATTTGATTAGATGTTTTTCCAACGTAGATCAACAAATGGCCAGTAAGCACAGGAAATATGTTCAAACATATTAGTCATTAGGGAAATGCAAATCAAAACCACAATGAGACACTACTTCATAATTACTAGGGTGACTACAATTAAAAAAAATAAAAAAAAAAAAAAACAAGCATTGCCAGAAAGTGGAGAATTTGGTAAAGGCTAGAGAGAATATAAAATGGTGCAGCCACTGTGGAAAACAGTTTAGTGGTTCCTCAGTAAGTTAAACATAGAATGACCATGTAATACAGCAATTCTACTCCTGGATATACACTCAAAAGAACTGAAAACAGGTGTTTAAAAGCTTGTATACAAATGTTCAAAGCAGCACTATTCACAATAGACAAAGGTAGAAACAATCCAACTGTCCATCAATAGATGCACAGTTGCAGCTATCTGTGACTATACTAAAAATAACTGAATTATACACTTGAAATGAATGCTGTCATGGTATGTAAATTATATTTTAACAAAGCAATTTTAAAAGAGCATTACTGTCCATACTACTCAAAGCAATCTATAGATCCAACATAATCCCTATCAAATGCCAATGACATTCTTTACAGAAATAAAAAAGTAATCCCAAAATTTATACGGAACCACAAAAGACTCAGAATAGCCAAAGTCATCCTAAGCAAAAAGAACAAAACTAGAAGAATCACATTATCTGACTTCAAATTATACTACTACCATTGCTGTTTTTGTGGCAGCATGGTACTGGAAAAAAAACAGACACACAGACCAATGGAACAGAATAGAGATCCCAGAAATAAATCCACACATCTACAGTGAACTCATTTTTGACAACAGTGCCGAAAAGAACACACACTGGGGAAAGGACAGTCTCTTCAATAAATGGTGCTGGAAAAACTGAATATCCATATGCAGAAGAATAAAACTGGACCCCCATATCTCTCACCACAAAAATCAAATCAAAATGAATTAAAGAGTTAAACCTAAGACCTCAAACTATAAAACTACTAAAAGAAAACATGGGGGAAACTCTCCAGGACATTGGTCTGGGCAAAGATTTTTTCAGTAACACCCCACAAGTATGGGCAACCAAAGCAAACAATCAACAAAGTGTAAGACAACCCACAAAATGCAAGAAAATATTTGCAAACTACCCATCTGACAAGGGATTAATAACCAGAATATATGAGGAGCTCAAACAACTCAATAGAAAAAAAAAATCAAATAATTCAATTTAAAAGTAAGCAAAAGATCTGAATAGACATTTTTCGAAAGAAGACACACAAATGGCAAACAGGCATATTAAAAAAGTGCTCAACATCATTGATTATCAGAGAAATGCAAATCAAAACTACAATGAGGTATCATCTCACCCCAGTTGAAATGGCTTTAATCCAAAAGACAGGCAGTAACAAATTCTGGCAAGGATGTGGAGAAAAGGGAACTCTTGTACACTGTTGGTAGAAATGTTAAATTAGTACAGCCACTACAGAAAACAATAGAGAGGTTCCTCAAAACACTAAAACTAGAACTACCATACGATCCAGCAATCCCACTGCTAGGTATGTACCCAAAAGAAAGGAAATCAGTATATTGAAGAGATACCTGCACTGCCATGTTTACTGCAGCACTGTTCACAATAGCCAAGATTTTAAAGCAACCTAAGTGTCCATCAACAGGAGAAGGAATAAAGAAAATGCGATGCCTATACACAATGCAGTACTATTCAGCCATAAAAAGAATGAGATCCTGTCATTTGCAACAACATGGATGGAACTGGAGGAAATTATGTTAAGAGAAGCTAGGCATAGAAAGACAAACTTCATATGTTCTCACTCATTTGTGGGAGCTAAAAATTAAAACAACTGAACTTATGGAGATAGGGAGTAGAATACCAGTTACCAGCAGAGCCTGGGAAGAATAGTGGTGGTGGGGAAGGGAGTGGGGATGGTTAAAGGGTACAAAAATATAGTTAGACAGAATAAGATCTAGTATTTGATAGCACAACAGGATAACTACAGTCAATATTTATTGTACATTTAAAAATAACTGAAAGAGTATAACTGGAATGTTTGCAACACAAGAAATGATAAATGCTTGAGTTGATGGATACCCTACTTACCTTGATGTGACTGTTATGCAAAATACCTATGTCACCCATAAATATATACAACTGATATGTCCATAAAAATTAAAAATATTGGGCCAACCACGTTGGCTCATGCCTGTAATCCCAGCACTTTGGGAGGCCGAGGTGAGCGAATCACCTGAGGTCAGGAGATTGAGACCATCCTGGCTAATATGGTGAAACCTCGTCTCTACTAAAAATACAAAAAATTACCAAGGCATGGTGGTGGGCGCCTGTAGTCTCAGCTACTCGGGAGACTGAGGCAGAAGAATCACTTGAACCTGGGAGGCGGAGGTAACAGCGAGCCAAGATCGCACCACTGCACTCCAGCCTGGGTGACAGAGCAAGACTCCATCTAAAAAATAAATAAATAAATAGGCCGGGCACGGAGGCTCACGTCTGTAATCCCAACACTTTGGGAGGCCGAGGCGGGCGGATCACAAGGTCAGGAGATAGAGACCATCCTGGCTAACACAGTGAAACTCCATCTCTACTAAAAATACAAACAAATTAGCTGGGCGTGGTGGCAGGTGCCTGTACTCTCAGCTACTCAGGAGGCTGAGGCAGCTGAATGGCATGAACCCAGGAGGCAGAGATTGCAGTGAGCCGAGATGGCACCACTGCCCTCCAGCCTGGGCGACAGAGCTGGACTCCGTCTCTAAAACATAAATAAATAAAAATATTTAAAGAGTATTGTCACTTTAAAGAATACAATGGCTGGGCGCGGTGGCTCACGCCTGTAATACCAGCGCTTTGGGAGGCTGAGGCGGGCAGATTGCCTGAAGTCAAGATTTCGAGACCAGCCTGACCAACATGGTGAAACCCCGTCTCTACTAAAAATACAAAAATTCGCTGGGCATGGTGGTGAGCGCCTGTAATCCCAGCTACTTGGGAGGCTGAGGCAGGAGAAGCGCTCGAACCAGGGAGGCGGAGGTTGCGGTGAGCCGAGATCATGCCATTGCACTCCAGCCTGGGCAACAAGAGCAAAACTCCATCTCAAAAAAACGAATAAAAAATTTAAAAAGTAAATAAATAATACATTAAATTTTAAATGCATACTCCAAAATAATCTGAAAATCTACAAGTATGACAGTTATTCTCAAATATTCTTTTTATTGAAAAAATGAATATACCCCTAAAATTGAGCAACTGGAGGAGAATCTATTATTCTGAGCACCAACCATGTCCCAGGCACTAAGAAATTCGCTAAGAATTTTACACACAATCTCATTTATTCTCCACAAAATCCCTGCAAGGTGTTCACTCCATTTTACAGATGAGCAAATGTGGTTCACAAGAGTTAAGTCACTTGCCCAAAATCCCATAGCTAAAGCATTGCAGAGCAGGGCACAGACGCCTTTCCTAAGGAGGAAGGAGAGCCACACATTTCCAAAGCAATCCCCCTTGACTTGCTCCCTGACACTGTCCACACTTCCCCACACAGGGGCATGTGGGCACCCACACTCCAAAATTAACAACTGTAACTACTGTTTGGCATACACAGTCACCATTTATTAAACAGATATTTGTTGCCTAGTCCTTAGCTGAGTATAGGCTGCTAAATTTTCACAAATGGGAGTTAGAAAGACACAGATCATTTAATAGACACCCTTTTGAGTCAGCCTAGGAAGCCGCTCTGTGGACATGCAGTGCTAACCAACCAAGGCAGCCATCAAGTGATCAGAACCTCTGCCCAAGAGGTCATTGAGGAGCCTGGAAATGAGCCCCATGTTGTCATTCATTCTCTCCTGTGTTTTGCTCAGTTCTCTGTCAGCTCCAGCTCATATGCAACACTCCAGAACCCAGTGGGTATATAAGAATCCATGGGAAAAAGCAGAGAGAAAAAGAATCTAGTCATCTCAGATACTAAGTGTTCGTACATGCACTCAAGATTTACTGAGAGACATAGAAGAAAAGCTGGTTCGGTGAAACAAACCAATCGCAGAGAACACTGGGACTAAGAGGCCAGCCTGCAAGGTATCTGAGCCTTAGAATGAGCAAAAACAGGCACACAGTCCCCTGTATGCAGGAGGGTTACAGTCCAATGCCGAGATAGGTATTAGTCAGATAATCGCCAAATGTAAACCTGCAAACATGACGCATACCAAGCAGTGGGGTAGAGGGTGCCTGCCCACACTTAACAGAGGGATCTGACATCATTTGGGATGCCAACAGATGAATGGAATAAGAAAAATGTGTATATATACACAATGGTATATAATTCAGCCATAAAAAAGAATGAAATCCTGTTATTTGTAGCAACATGGATGGAACTAGAGGCCATCATATTATATAAAATAAGCCAAGCACAGAAAGACAAACATCACACATTCTCACTCATATGTGGGAGCTAAAAGGGTAGATCTCACAAAGGTAGAGATTAGACTGGTAGTTACCAAAGGCCAGGAAGGGGAGGGGGAAGAGTAAAGTGAAAAAAATGTATATAAGTGTATTTATTACCACTGAACTGTACACTTAAAATTGGTAAAGATCGTTAATTATATATGTAGATTTTACCTCAATAAAAAAGCAATATTTGAGTTAAACTCCATATGAATCAGTGATAATATTTATGAAAAGTGAGGGAGAGGGAGGTATCAAAAATGACACCCAATCTTTAATTTACATACCAGGATGAATAATGGAGCAATCACGCTTATAAGGAGTACAGAAAACACTTAGGGTGGAGCAATATTTATTGTTTTGTGTTTTGTCTTTCAGCCAGAAGTAGAATATAAATTTGGTTTTAGATACATGTTTCAAATACAAGAGGAAATGTCAGACAGGTAGCTGTTTCACATACAGTTCCAATCCTGTACCAAGATCTGTATAGGAGACAAACATTTATGAAAAAAATGTGATATAGCTAATAAATAAAATTATAGCCACGGATATGTGTAACCAGGGAAAAAGCACTGCCTGAGAAAGGAAAAGGCCTAGAATTAAGCTTTAAGAATTTAATGGCTAATTAGTAGACATTAGATAAAGGAAGCCAAGAAGGTGCAGCCCAAAAAGCAGGAAGAAACTAGGAGGAGGTCAGACCCAGCTTTTCTTTCTTTCTTTCTTTCTTTTTTTAGATGGAGTCTTGCTCTGTCACCCAGGCTGGAGTGCAGTGACACAATGTCTGCTCAAGGCAACCTCCACCTCCCAGGTTCAAGCGATTCTCCTGCCCCAGCCTCCCGAATAGCTAGGACTACAGGCGCCCACCACCACGCCCGGGCCCAGCTAATTTTTTGTATTTTTAGTAGAGATGGGGCTTCACCATGTTAGCCAGGATGGTCTCAATCTCCTGACCTCGTGATCCGCCCGCCTTGGCCTCCCAAAGTGCTGGGATTACAGGCGCACACCGCCACGCCCAGCTAATTTTTTGTATTTTAGCAGAGACGGGGTTTCACCGTGTTGCCCAGGCTGGTCTGGAACTCCTGAGCTCAGGCAATCTGCCTGCCTCGGCCTCCCAAAGTGCTAGGATTACAGGCATGAACCACCATGCCTGGCCTCTTTTCTTTCTTTTTACTGTGGTAAAATAGGTAATAGTTTCTTTTTTTTTTTTTTTTTTCTGAGACGGAGTCTCACGACCAGGCTGGAGCGCAGTGGTACAATCTCAGCTCACTGAAACCTCCGCCTCCCAAGTTCAAGCGATCCTCCCACCTCAGGGCCACCCCACCACCCCCCCAGCTGGGACTACAGGGGTGCCCCACCACACCTGGCTAATTTTTGTATTTTTGTAGAGATGGAGTTTCACCATATTGGCCAGGCTGGCCTCAAACTCCTAACCTCAGATAATCTGCCTGTCTCGGTCTCGCAAAGTGCTGAGATTACAGGTGTGAGCCACTGCACCTGGCCAAATATAGGCAATAGTTTCTTAGGTATGACAAAAGAAAAAATAAACAGATAAATTGGACTTCATCAAAATTTAACAATTTATATCTCAAGTGACACTATCAAGAAAGTGAAAAGAAAACCCATAGAATGGGAGAAAATATTTGCAAATAAATCACATCTGGTAAGAGTCTGGTATGTAGCACATCTAAAGACCTCTTAAAACTCAACAATAAATAGGCAATTAACTCCTTTAGAAAATGGGCAAAAGATTTATTTGAATAGACATTTCTCCAAGCAAGGTATTTAAAGGGCTAATAAGCACATGAAAAAGATGTTCAATACCATTACTCATCAAGGTAAAGCAAATCAATACCACAATGAGATACCACTTTACAGCCACTATGGTGACTATAATGAAAAAGATAGACAATGACAATTGTTGGCGAGGATGTGGAGAAAGTGGAAACTCTTACAGGTTGCTGGTAAGAACATAAAATAGTGCTGCAAAACTGGAAAACTGTGTGTTTACTGTGTTTGAGCAGTTACTCAGAAAGTTAAAGGTACAACCCAGCAATTCTACTGCAAGGTATACAGCCAACAGAAATGAAAATACATATCCACATGAAATCTTTTACATCAATGTTCAAAGAATCATTCTTCACAATGGCCAAAAAGTGGAACAACCCCAAACGTCCATCAACAGACGGATAAAGAAAATGCAATCTAATCACACAATGGAATCTTGTTCAGCCATAAAAAGAAATGAACTTCTGATACATGCTACATTATGGATGAACCTTGAAAACATTATGCTAAGTGAAAGACACCAGACACAAAAGCCAAATATTGTATGATTCCAATTATACAAAATGTCCTGAATAGGCAAATCCATAAAGACAGAAAATAGGACGCCAGAAACTGGGGGGAGAGGGGAATAGGGAGTAAGTGCTAATGGGAATGGGACGTGAGGGTGATGAAGTATTTTAGATTTAAATAGTGGTAATAGTTGCACACTTTGTGAATATTCAAAAAAAAAAAAACACTAAAGCATTCACTTTAAAAAGTGAAACACCAGTAGGTAAATTATATATAATCTCAATTTTTAATTTTTAAATGAACGGCAACTAGAAGGAGAATGTATCTCAATTTTTAAAATATACTGATAACTTCACAAAAGGCCTAACACCTATTTCTGATAAAAACTCAGATAAGGGCATTTGACTTTCTTTCTTTAACCTTCATGTGCCCACCTGGGTCTCTCCCAAGCACACCTTCCTTTCTTTTCTATTCTAAGGCCTTTTTAAATAAACTTCTATTCCTGCTCTGGGAAAAAAAAAAAAGATAAGATAAACAGAAGTAAATAGAAAACTACCTCATTTTGATAAAGAACATCTACAAAAATCCTACGGCTAATACCATACTTAGCACCTAGGATAGGAACCAGACGAGGATGTCCTGTCTCACCACTCTTATCTTACACAGTACTGGAAGTTCTAGCCAGTGCAATAAGGCAAGAAAAAGAAATTAAAAGCATACGTATCTGAAAGAGATAAAACTGTTCCTATTTGCAGATGACAAGACTGTATATGTAGAAAACCCCACAGAGGCTACAAAAACTCCTACAACTAATAAGTTCAGAAAGGTTGTAATCTAAGCTGTATAAGGTATGAAATGGAGAAAGCAGAGGATGAATGGATCTAGAGAAAACTGAACAGTCAAAGGTTTGAAGTTCAAAAGAGATCAAAGAATTACACTGGGAGTTGTGTTTTAAAAAAACACGAAGGAGGAGGAGGTGGGGGAGAGAGAGAAAGAGGGAGAGACAGAAAGAGAGAGAGGAAGAGAAAGAAGGAAAGAAAGAAAAAGAAAGAAAGAAAGAAAGAAAGAAAGAAAGAAAGAAAGAAAGAAAGAAAGAAAAGAAAGAAAGAAAGAAAAAAAAGAAAAGAGAAAAGAAAAGAGGGAAGGAAGGAGGGAAGGAGGGAAGGAAGGAAGAAGAAAAGAGAAAAAGAGGAGGAGGAGAAAAGGTGAAAGAAAGAAAAGAAAAGAAAGAGAAAATTAGATAAAGAGGGAGACAGGTTTTATTCCATCACTACTGCAGTTTCTCTATGCCATCTAAATGTTCAATGAAGGAAATCAGGTGGTTTGTTTTTTGACAGCAATTGAACATTTTACTGGTCTCTCAAATTTACTGTAAAGAGATGAAAATCATTTAGGTTAGAAATTCTAAAATTTTATACATATGGCTATATAGTACTCAGTTTCCTTCAACATTTTGGCTCTAACAATTAAAACAGTAATACTACACATACAAAGCAAAAAGCTGAAATTATCGGCCTCCAAGAAATTTTGTTAAGGCTTCCTTACCATTTGCTATTTTTAGCATAGATGTTTAAAAGAACTGTTTCCATCCTCAACCCTAAACCTATGTGTGTGCACGTGCACACACACATAAAGGGAATTTGGGGGCAATATTTATACCTAGCCACTTAGAATAAAATGCTGCTTGTGATATATCCAATGCCACACAGTTTTGGCATTCCTGAGGGTGAAATCCTATTTGTCACATCACTGGATCCCATAGGGTATATGTACACACTCTTTTAGGCAAGATCTCCAGTGTGGATGCAGTCTTTCTCCCCAATGCCAGCACTATAATGAGATTCTGTTTCATAGCTGTCATACTGGCTTATGAAGCACAAACTCAATTTCCTGCCACTGCTTTTACTTACTTGCACAGCATGTTCTGTCCTAGTGCCAACAATTTTTAAACTGAGAAACCACACAAATGACACAAATACACCCACACAAAAGTAAAAGCCACATGTCCAGCAACTAACTGCCTGTGAAGACCTGCCTGTGGACACCCAGCAACCCCACTCATCACGAGTGCACCACTCAGATGCCAGAATTCTGGCCCCAGCTCTACCAATGATATGTTTTTAAAAGCTGAAAGTATGTAAGCTAAAGTACAGGGTAAAGGAGAGAAAATTACACCATAGTTAAAATTATATACAAATTATACAGTTACAGGAAAATGAACTAAGAAAATATAGCGAAAATGATTTTTGATGGTAATAGCTGAATTATGATATCAATTTTCTATTATTTCTTACAATCTATGAAAAAGAAATAAGGAGGATTAATGAAAGCATTTTTAGATCACTTTAGGTATTTTATATAGGAAACATGCTGTTCAAAGAAAAATTCCTTTGGAATAATAATAGGTACACAGCAGAGTGTGAGTCAAAAGACTTGCATGCTATTACCTGCTCTGCCCTTATGTATCAAGTTACTTTGAGGAAAAGCGCTCAGACTTCTCTTTACAATCTCAAGATATTCAAAATGTGAAGGCTTGTACTAGGAAGACAGTAGTAATGATGAGGAGAATTACTGGGATTCGGGGTGCAGTTTTAAAAGTTAATCCAACAGGATTAATGAATTCAGTACTGGTTGTAATCTAAGATACCTAAAAATTCTAAAATAGCTTAGCTATGATACAATGAGGTATCCAGAGTTAGAAAAAGTTTTTCTCAGCAATTAACTTTTTGATATTTTTTCCTTCATACAGGAGTAATTCACTCCTGTCTTTTCCTCTCCTTCTGGAATCACAAGAATTACCCACTAGTTCTCAAATATCATCACAAAGTATAGTGAAAGGAATACAGGAACTGGCAACAATAGACTACAATTGACATCAAAATCATTACTTTATTTATTCAACAATACTTACTGCACACCTATCACAAGCCAGGGACTCTTCAAGGCGTTGAATTTATGCTCATTGAGAAAAAAAATAAAGAACAATAAAGGGAATAAAGTAAAGGTCCTGCTCTCATGAGTAAACACATATTTTTCTAGTGATACATGCAAAGAAAACTCAAACAGGGTGAGGGCACAGAGCGTTCCCTCAGAACCCTGGACATGCTATTCTGGTGGCCTCAGTAATGCAGTGATACTGTATGAAGTGAGATACTGTATGAGGGAGGAGGGATGAGGCCATAATGATACCCACAGGGCAAATACTTCAGGCAGAAGGAATTACAAGCACAGAGGTCCTGAAGCAGGAGATGCTCAGAATGTTCAAAATTAGCAAGGAGGTCAAACGTGGCTAGAGCAAAGAGAAATTTCACAAAGAACGATTCAAATGACATCAGAATGGCGGTGGGTGCCAGATCACGCAAGGCCCAGTGGGCCATGGTGAGTTGGTGAATTGTAGCCTGGGTGTGATGGGAAGTCTTTGGAGGATTAGGAAGAAGATTAACACCACCCGACTTGTATTCTGAAAGGATTACTCTGGTTGCTATATGAAAAACAGACTTTAGGCATGGGGAAACAGTAGAAGAAAAGATACTGTTTAGGAGGGAAACACAAGAGCCCAGGTAAAATACCATGACAGCTTGTGCTAGGAAGACAGCAGCAGTGATGATGAGAGTTCCTGGGATTCAGGACGCAGTTTTAAAAGTAAAGCCAACAGGATTCGCTAATAAATTCAATACAGGTTATGAAAGAAAGTCAGTGATGATTCACTGCATTGTTTCTGGCCTGGAAAACTGGGTGAATGGAGGTTAAGTTTTAAGACTTAGAAACTCTTACTAAATTACCTAATTCAGCTCTTCACATATAACATAAATGATGCGAATGTAAAACTGAAAAAGCAAAAGTAGGGATTGCTTTTTCTACTCACCATTTGCAGATTGTATCATGTTTCCAGATTTCTGGACTTCATCAAATTTTGTAAAAATTACATTCAACCTGTATGAAAGAAAAATGTAAACAAACTATTAACCATCACTGCTCATAGCCAATTATATTAAAATGCTAATGTGAAGTTGATCCCCACTCCCCATCAAAAAAAACAATGGTACAGACCCACCTAGTAACAAAACAGTGACTCAATCAATAACATTAACAATAGCCAACAATAACTGAGCACTTACTATGGGTAAAGAATGGGCCTAGAAGTCTATCTGAAAGATCTCATTTAATCTCCTTGAGGTGACACAGGTGTGGGGTGGAGATTCTAGCCCTGAGAGTAGTAATCCAGAGCCCCTGCTCTCTGACATTACTGACTACTCTACACAAAATGTGTATCTTATGAGAAGTGTGTGTTTCTCCTCTTTCTTTCTTAGCGCAGACTATCAATAACTTGGGATGGAGCTTTTCAAAATGCACTAATAGTACGTTACAAAGGCTTGTGCTTATTGCTGTGATTCATGCTTAATCCAAAAATGCTATAAATGATTTCTCTAGAAACAAATGCTGTGACTGGATAATCTTCAGCTTAAAAAAAAATCTGTATTACATTTATTTTCTATTAATGGATCATTTCACCTTGGCATTTAAATTAAAGCAAAATTCCTTAACCAGTCTAAATATTCCATCCTAGTGACACCAAAAATGAAAGGAAAAGGTGGGAGAATGCAATCATAATTAGTAGAAAAAGTTAAGAAAAAAGAGGCTTTCTTGAGCCGGGCATGGTGGCTCATTACTGTAATCCCAGCACTTTGGGAGGCTGAAGCAGGTGGATCGCCTGAGGTCAGGAGTTTGAGACCAGCCTGGCCAACATAGTGAAATCCCATCTCTACTAAAAATACAAAAAATTAGCTGGGTGTGGTGGTGGGTGCCTGTAATCCCAGCTGCTAGGGAGGCTGAGGCAGGAGAATTGCTTGAACCCGGGAGACAGAGGCTGCAATGAGCCGAGACCGTGCCACTGCACTCCAGCCTGGGCAACAAGAGCGAAACTCCGTCTCAAAAAAAAAAAAAGAAAGAAAAAAGAGGCTTTCTCACAGGTATACTGGAGTAAGTGTTGAGATTCCAAAGCAATGTATCTGTGCATTCAATTTTAGGGACATTTTAAGTGCTTTTTAACACACCATCCTATCCTGCCAGCTCTCATCATTTCAAATATGTTTGCCTTTTCTTCTCAAGCGAATGGAAGCTCCTTAGGGGTAGAGATGTGAGCTACATTCTTTTGGTATTTGTACCAAACACTATGTATGCCATGCAGACACTCACTCAGGAGAGTTACATCACTATGTTAGACAGCTGGAACCTAACTCCTCACTCTGGAAAACTGTAGGTATTCACACAAGCTCTGGTGTTAGTTCATTCATTTGTTCATTCACTCAAAAATACTTGAGTGCCCATTATGTGCCCAACACCGAGCTAGTGAGTTCTTACCCTCTGGAGCTTATGCTCTAAGTAACAGAGAGGACAAAATTACACATCAGCAAATGAGGGGGATGAACCAGCCTGATGCACTGCCTCCCCCCATTCCATAGGAGACACCAACAATCTTTTCAAGCCATCTTTCCACCAAGCCCAGATGTTCCCTCAGAATCCTTCTCAAAACTATTCCAGGCAGCCACTACCCATTCGTTAAAGCTGGCACTGAATAAAACTCCAATTGCCACCTCAGGACCAGATATGAATAAAACTATAACTCACTTTCAAATCCAGCAGTTACTAAAGAACTGGAAAGATGCCTTACATGATTGTGTTTCTTATGATGTTTCCATTATCTTCCCTTTTTAAAAGTAACAAAGATCTCCAATGGCTTGACAAACTCATAAATAATATCATGACACCGGTTGCCAGGGCATGCCCTCACTAAGGCACTACTTGATTGTGTCACAACCACACCCTCTGATGTGAGCATGTCTGCAAGTCTGCAAGTTAGAGCCAAGGTATACCTCTAGTCTGGCTGTTCCTGAAATTACTGGAAGAAGGCAAGTATTTCTTTCATTCCTGGGAGAGTATTCACCATTCTAAATGGTAATTGTGTACGAGTCTGCAGATTCTTTCTCAGTGGTGAGGCATTCTCACTGTGGTCACATTACCCACGACCTGGCAAGCCTGAACAACTAGGTATGAGAACACTATAAACATAACTATTACTAGTATGTCCACCTTAATTCAGAATTCCCTCCGCTTTTACTCTCCTGCCTCACTAGCTCCCTCATTCTCTGCTCATTAATGCTGCTACAACAGCTCCTATCAAGGTTACCACCTAAAGAGACAGTCTAACACCAACAAAGCATCCTTAGGAATGAAAGGACTGGTTTTTGTTTGCTAGCTCTGAGCACAAAAATATAAAATGTCTCTCTTGGGACCTACTGATTCACACAAATCTAAAAGGATGAGTTTTATATATTCAAAGACATTGAATACATAACTAATGATTACCCTCTGAGGCCACTAAATTGTTTTATTTTAAATCTCTGGATTTCCATTTAAAATAAATTTCTTTACTGGTTTGACAACCACCATCTTCCTCTATTTTTTCTGAATTTAAATTTCCATATTAAACTCTTCAATCCAATTAGAATTTATTTTACTATAAGATTTAGTTCAAATTAGTTCCTTCCTAGAAAATTTTATATATAAATTTTAAATAATTTCCTGGAAGCAAATACTTAATCACGGCAATCTCAGTCAATAAGCTGCATCCATATACTCAGAGCTTCTAGCATGAAAAAGAGAAATCAACATAAACACATACTTAAAAATCCAAACTTGGAGGACAGAAGAGATTTTAAAGAGAAAGAAAAAGTTTTTTTAAAAATGTCATTAGTGCTTCCAAAGAGATAAGAGAAAATATTGTGATCATAAAACAGGAGAGTAGCACTTTAAAATGGCAGAATAAGGACCCTTGAAAATCTGCTTCAAAGAAGCAAAGAAAACATTGGCAAAAACCGTCCAAATCAACTTATCATCATGGCAAGTGTGAAAACCAGCAGCCTGGCAGCCACTAGAAAGAGCTGAAGTTCCCAAGTCTGGAGCTCCCTAAAAGTCCCCATTCCCAAAGAACTATCATTCCACCTATCTGGCACATCCCTGCAAGCCCAGTTGCAGGGCTTGTCTTTATCTGACCTGACTTAGAGCTTGTTCAATGTTAGAGGCCTTTTCCCTGAGGCGATGATCAAAACTAACCAGTGACAACTGTTCAACATGGCGGATACCCAAGACAGAAATAACAACTGGGGCAAAGAAGCTGACCAAAAATAGGAAAAAAAAAAGGTGGGGGGAAGGAGGGGTAGAAATTGAGATGTCCACAGCAAACTTTGAAAACACTGACATACTCCTGGGAACCTGGGAGGTCACGTATATGTGCAAGGCTGTGCACATGCACAGGCCCAGGAAAGACCCCTGAAGCCTCTAATGTCCCCACTGGCTGACTTTGACACTCTGAACAAGCAGGAAGTAAAAAGGAAGACAGAGGTGCAAAACACCTTTCAGAGCACTGAAAGCATGCCCCCAAAACACAGAGCCAGTCAGTAGAGGCTGGGAGACTTACTGGTTCAACATGTTTAAGGAAATCTCTGTTCAATCATTAGCTCACCGCTAAGCTAACCAACCAGAGAATTCAGTGGCAACATATAACAAAGAACAAAGACTTTAAGGAATTCTTTCAGGAAAGTCACTAGAACAAAATAAGCAACAAAAACAATAAAAAGCAACAACAAAAAATCTGGGGAGGGGAAAGAATATGATTTCCTGAGTTGCCACAATATATTATTTCAAGTGTCCAGTTTCAACAACAAATGATGAGACAAAGAAACAAGAAAATATGGCCCATACAAAGGAAATAAAAATCAGTCAACAAAAACTATTTTTAAGGACACCTATACATTGCCTTAACTCAATGAAGACTTCAAGTCAACTAATATAAATATGTCGAAAGATCTAAAGAAAACTATTTCTGAAGAATTAAAGTGTAAGAACAATGTCTCACCAAATAGAGAAAAACAACAAACAGAAAGAATATATTTAAAAGAACCATACAGAAATTCTGGAGATGAAAAATACAATAACTGAAATTAAAAATTCACCAGGAGGAGTTCAACAGATTTGAGCTGAGACAAGAAGGAATCAACAAATTTGAAGATCAGTCAAATGATACCATATCCTACCTAAGTAACAGAAACAAACAAAAACAATGAACAGAGTCTAAGAGATCATCTTACAAAACCAATGTACCAACATAGTCACATAACAGAAGTCCCAGGAAAACAGAAAAAAGAAAAGGAGATACGGTACTTTTCAAAGGACTTTTTGGGTCAGATACTTTGCCCTAGTTGTTATCGTTGCCTCAGGCATCTACCACGTTGAAAAATTATCAAAAAAAGATATATGAAGAATAATGGCTAAAAACTTCACAAATTTGATATAAAACAATCTATATATTTAACAAGCTACTCCAAACAGGATAAACTTAAAGAGATCCAAATCTAGACACAATAACCAAACTGTCACAAGAGAAGACAAAGAGAAAATCTTCAAAGCAACAATGGAGAACCCACTCATTGTGCACAAGGGATCCTCAAAAAGGTCAATATCTGATTTCTCATGAGAAACCATGAAAGCCAGAGTGGAGCAGGGTGGGAATAGATAATATATTCAAAGTTCTGAAATTAAAAAAGACAATCAACCAAGAATTCTGTATGTAACAAAACTATTCACCAAAAACAAAAGAGAACTTAAGATATTACCAGATAAATGAAAAACAACAGTCCTTTGGGTTGAAATGAAAGGACACTGTACAACAGCT
This sequence comes from Homo sapiens, assembly GCF_000001405.40. Taxonomy (NCBI): domain Eukaryota; kingdom Metazoa; phylum Chordata; class Mammalia; order Primates; family Hominidae; genus Homo; species Homo sapiens. Next base: position 121,508,033 of record NC_000002.12, read on the forward strand.
CAAATCCACATGAAGAAATAAAAAAAAAAGTAAAAATAACTACATAGGTAAATATAAAATATAGTATAAAAGTATTTTTTGTTCTTAGCTCTTTTCTTGTCCTACATAACTTAAAAAGAAACTGCATAAAGCAATAATTATAGAACTATATGCACTGGTGGGCTTATAATGTATAAAGATGTAATTTGCATGACAATAGCAAAAAAAGAAGAAAACAGAGCTAAGTAGAAGTTTTTAATACTGAAATTAAATAGTATCAATTTAAACTAGACTGTTTAAAGTTAAGATGTTAATTGCAAGCCCCAGAGCAACTGCGAATAATTCCCCCCAAAAAACTAAAATAAACAGCAAGTTATAGTAGTACACTAGAAAATATCTATTTAACACAAAATAACGCAGTAACAGAGGAACAAAGAAACAAGTCATGACATATAGAACATAAATAGCACACCTGCAGACATAAATTCTACCTTGCCAGTACTACATTAAATATAAATAGATTAAACCAATGGAAAGTTAAAAAAAGTCAGACTGCATAAACAAATAAGACTCAACTTTATAGTGTCTACAAGAGACTCACTGTATTTATTTTTTTTATAAAAGATGGGGTTTCACTAGGTTGCCAAGGCTGAACTAGAGCTTAAGTCATCCTCCTGCCTCAGCTTCCCCAGTAGCTGGAACTGGGGGTACATGCCACCACACCCAGTCTAAGAGACACTTAAGATTCAAAGTCACAAAGTGGTTGAAAAGTAAAGGATGGAAAAAGATATTTCATGCAAACAGTACACAAAAGAGAGCTAGAATGGTTATAGTGATAACAAGTAACACAGACCTTAAGACAAAACTTCTCTCTGTGCACAAAGACAGACATTTTACAATAGTAAAAGAGTCAGTGCTCAGGGGATCATAACAATTATAAACATATATGCACCTAAGAACAGAGCCCAAAATACAGGAAGCAAAAAGTGACAACTGAAGAGAGAAATAGATAATTCAACAGTATTAACTGGAAACTTCAATATGTACATTCCTTAATGGATTTTAAAAACCAGAAAGAGGATCAACCAGAAAATAAGACTTCAATGACACTATAATCCAACTAGAACAAACATCTATAAGACATTCAAACAAACAATATTAGAATACAGATTCTTCTTTTTTAAGACAGGGTCTCTCTCTGTCACCCAAGCTGAAGTGCAGTGGCACGATCCCAGCTCACTGCAACCTCAACCTCCCAAGCTGGAGAGATTCTCCTGCCTCAGCGTCTCATGTAGCTAGGACCACAGGCACACGCTACCACACCCAACTAATTTTTTAATTTTTTTGTAGAAACGGGGTCTCATGTTGCCCAGGCTGGTCTTGCACTCCTGGGCTCAAGCAATCCTTCCGTCTCGGCCTCCCAAAGGGATGGGATTACAGGCATGAGCCACTGGGCCTGCCTTACAGATTCTTTTCAAGTGTACATGGAACATTATCCAGGAGTCCACATGCCAGGCCACAAAAATAAGCCTCAATAAATTTCAAGCCGGGCACGGTGGACCACACCTGTAATCTCAGCACTTGGGGACGCTGAGGCAGGTGGAACACACGAGGGCAGAAGTTTGAGATCATCCTGGCCAATGTGGCAAAACCTCGTCTCTACTAAAATTACAAAAATTAGCCGGGTGTGGTGGTATACATCTGTAATCCCAGCTACTTGGGAGACTGAGGCACAAGAATTGCTTGAACCCAGGAGGCAGAGGTTGCAGTGAGCCAAGACTGTACTACTGCACTCCAGCCTGGACAAAAGAGTGAGACTCTGCCTCAAAAAAATGTTTTTAATTTAAAAAAAAGATTTCAAATGACTGAAACCATACAAATTATGTTCTCTAACCACAATTTGATAAAATCAGAAATTAATAACAAAAAGAAATAAGAAACAAACAAATGTAGAAATCAAACACTCCTAAGTAACAAATAACTCAAAAATGAAAACAAAAAGGAATTAGAAAATACTTTGAGATAAATGAAAACATTAACATATCAAAGCTTATGGAATACAGCTAAAGCAGTACTTAGAAATTCATAGGTGTAGATGTCTACATTAAAACAGAAGATCTCAAATCAATAACCTTCCATCTTAAAAAACTGGAAAAAGACAAGTACATCAAACCAATCAAAAGTAAAGATTAGAGTGAAATAAGCAAAATATATACAACAGGGAAAACAGAAAAATCAATGAAACCAGAAGTTAGTTCTTTGAAAAGGCAAAAACTGACAAACCTTAACTAGACTGACCAGAAGAGCAAAGGCTCAAATTAATGAAATAAGAACCTTGAAAGGGAAGGCATTACTGCTAAGCATGTACAAATAAAAAGGATTACAGGGGAATTCTATGAACAATTATATGCCAACAATTAGATAACCAAGATAAAATGACTAAATTCCTACAGAGACCCAAGCTACCAAAACTGATTTGAAAAGAAACAGAAAATCTGAATAGACCCCTAACAAGTAGAGAAATTGAATTAGTGACCCCTAACAAGTAGAGAGATTTAATTAGTGATTCAAAAAAAATCAGCCTGAGACCAGCCTGGGCAACATGGCAAAACCCCACCTGTACAAAAAATACAGAAATTACCCGCGCATGGTAGCATGCGCCTGTAGTCCCAGCTACTTGGGAGGCCGAGATGGAGCGATTACTTGAGCCCAGGAAGTCAAGGCTGCAGTGAGCAATGATCATGTCATTGCACTCCAGCCTGGGCAACAGAGAGAGATCCTGCCTCAAAAAATAATAATAATAAATAAAAATAATTTTAAAAATTAAATAAATGGACGAATGAATGAATGAATGAATGAACCAAGAAAGAAAAGGCCTAGTCTCCAAGAAACAGCAGATGCACCTGCCGAGAAAGGTGAAGCAAAGACCCAGGATGACAAAGAGGTGTCAGGATGATGGGTTTGCAAGAGGCAGTGAAGGCAGCCAGTTCAGGCTGAAACAGGCTTCACAGACTTACACAACTGGCAGAGAGGTTAGCAAGTAGAAAGTATGAGTATGCAGTAAGTATACAGACAACTATACAAATGAAACTAAAACAGTTATTAACTCCAGGAAAAACAAAAAGTTGTAAGAAAAAGGTAATCATAGTTTACCAAATATTAATAGTGAACTGTAAATAGCATTCATAATCATAATATGAACTATATGTTGTCCTTACCAAAATTAAAATATGACTTTATTTGATAGATGAGGAGATTGGAAGTATATATGAGAGAGGTTAAGAGAAAAGAGAGCAGTCAGGGGCAGTGGCTCATGCCTGTAATCCCAGCACTTTGGGAGGCCGAGGCGGGTGGATCACCTGAGGTCGGGGGTTCGAGATCAGCCTAACCAACATGGAGAAACCCCGTCTCTACTAAAAATACAAAATTAGCCAGGCACGGTGGTGCATGCCAGCAATCCCAGCTACTCGGGAGGCTGAGGCAGGAGAATCAGTTGAACCCAGGAGGTGGAGGTTGCAGTGAGCCAAGATCACACCACTGCACTCCAGTCTGGGCAACAAGAGCGAAACTCCATCTCAAAAAAAAAAAAAAGAGAGAGAGAGAGAGAGCTGAAATTCAGCCTGCATAGTGAAAAGTATAATTCTTATAGTGACAAAAAATTTTTAAATAGCAATACCTGCCAATTATTAGGAGAACAGTAAATAACAAAAGGATCAATAAAAACAGTTGACAGCGTTTGCCTCTGAGGAGCAGAAAAAGGCAGAAAGAGTGAGGAACTGTCTTTTCAAAAATGTATCTTATAAATCTAGTTGAATCTCTGTGTGTACAAATAACTATGACAAAAAATAAAATTAAAAATAAGTGATGTCTCAGAGCAATTTATCATCTGCTTTCACCTTGGGTTCTCTTTAACACTAAAGCTTTAGCAAGCAAGTTAAAAATTTTAAAGTACCAATTTTCCCTTTCCGAAACAATCATTAAGTAATAAAACCTGATGAATGTTTATAAATTTTAAAATAGATAGCAAACGAGTAAATATTATGAAATGTGTTTTTTAAAAAAGTAGTTCCCAATGTAAGTTACCAAATAGTTATAATGAATCAAGTGACCTATGTCTCAGCCCTGTCTATAAGTTAAATCATCTTCAGGTTTAAAGCCACTGCTTTTTAGAAGCTTGGTTCCCAAATGATGATCCCAGAAGAAATTTAACATAAGTGACCTTTTTCCCAACACTCTGCAAACTAAAATATGTGATACTGACTAAAAATATTTTCTAGAAGACTCAATGGGATGAGAGTGAATGTCAAGATATGCTAAAAGTCTATGAAAGTAACAAAGAGTTAACATTTTATTAAGTTGTCAAGCATGCCTCACAGGGTATCACACAACTACATGATATCTTATGATGGCTAGAAGTTATTTATTTTCTGAACATATATACATGAACTATAATAATACATGTAAAAACCATGTTAAATGGTCAAATATTCTATACCTTTAGGGCCTCAACTACTCTGAGACCCCATGTAAGCAGGGAGACCCTCTAACATGAAGATTTTGTTAACTACCTCCACTTTATTATCTGGCTCGATAAGATTTTGGCCACGAGAAGAGAAGACTGAAATAACAACAAATGGCCCTAATCCCTAATTCCAGCTCCTCCAAAGTGAAGCTGGTTGTACAGGTCTCTTTTCTCAACTGCGAAATGGACAAAGAAAATTGTTGCTTGAATGGGATTACTACTCTTGCTATTTAAGTCATTTAGGTGATCTCACTAAGGCATTTTCCTCACCACGTATTTCTTAGAGATATAATTAATCGTATTCTTCTCAACATACTCTCTTGGTGAACAAACCCTTATGAAGACATTTTTAATTTAGAACTAAATCCAATTTTGGAAAGCATTAAGCAAATTTTACAATATTGTAATAGTCCTATGGAAGCTTGCTAAGTTGAAAAATCTATGCTCACAAAATTACTAAAAAATCTATAATGATGTAAGAGAAGTCTCGACTATTCAAGTAATCCAGTCACCCACGTGGAGCCACATATAGCAGATACTGAAGTTCTCTGATACCATAAAAGCCTCATTCCATTTGGGCACAAAAACAAAGGTGGTAACTGGAGCCTCTGCCCCTCAGAGTTCTAGATCTTAGGTAACTGTCTTGTAGTAAATGCAAGGAAACTTGAAGTTTCAGCTTCTCTCACTAGAGTAAGGTTTTTAAAGAACAGCATAGTTCTCCAAGCACTCGTGTATGCCAAAGTGTCACAATATGGATGTGAAGGGTGTGGGTCCATTTCCCTAAGAATACCCTCTCCGTTTTGGAGAATTTGTAGGAGGATTTTAGGTAACGTGAGCTAGCAGAAACCCTCATTTCTATTCAGAGGTCCAAGTTCTTTTGTAGCGCCTTTTTTATTTTATTTTTTTTTTTTAAAGAGAAGAAGGAGGGGGTCATGTGAAGAACCTGAGAAACATGTGACTGAGAAGCTGGAAAAGGTGGCTTTAACTCCAGCTCTGGCATCCAGGCCTCTGAGGTCCCACTGTGTTGGGGATCTCCAGGACCACCCCCAGGCTTACTGGTTCACTAGGAAGACTCACAGGACTCAGCACAATCATAGTCACAGCTGTGATTTTTTATAGCAAAAGGATACAAAGCACAATCAGCAAAGGAGAAAGATGCATGGGGTGAAACCCAGAGGATACCAGGCAAGCATCCTAGAGACTCTCCTGGTAGAGTCACACAGGACACATTTAATCCCTCAGCAGTGAGTTGTAACAACACAAGTGAGATGCTTTCTATCAGGAATGCTCCTTAGAGACTCAGTGCCCTGGGTTTTTCCTGGGGGCTGGTCATGTAAACACCCTCTGCCTGGCACTTAACAAAATGCCAGACTCTCAGAAGGAAAGCAGGTATTCAGCATAAACCAAATTGTGCTGTGCAGTTTGACACAGTGAGCCACTCTTATTCCACTTGTTGGGAATGGTGGGGGCCCTCCCCAAATCCACATTTCTAGACACCAGCATGGGGCCAGGCCTGTAAGCAGGCCTTTCTAAGGAAAGCAGTCTCAGGCCAGCTGCATTAACTCTTTCCTGCACTCACCTCTCTAGATCTCGGTTTCACCATGTCATTTCCCCCTGATTTGCTAGTTTGCTGTGGTTACCCTCCAAAAACACAGAGGAAGCCTCCTGTTAAGATGGAAACTGTGTAAAATGGTGGATTCATGGTCTGGGGTCACATCAAGTTACACAGCATGGCATGAGGCCATCCCTGCAGCAGGGCAGGGTTTCACTCTCGAGACCTGTTTTCCCAACAATCACGGTGACTTCGTCATTAAACAGTCCCTTCCCTTGATATCATGCCTTCCCTGATCATCTGTGCCCTCCAACTTTCCCTAAGAGATTGTTTAGTATTGCTATTGAGTTCTTTTTCCTCCTGTGTTCTCACCATATATTCAAAGACCAGAAGGCTGAGGTTCACAAAACACAGGAACTTAAAAAAAAAAAACAAAACAAAAAAAACTATTATCACAGATTATCTTTTGTAAAGAACATGAAAAGTAGTTTTATTCCCATCTAATCATCCTGTGCACAGATGGTGAGAGCAATTCCAGATCAGGCATGACTCTCAACCACAAGGAAGCACAGTCCACTTGTCTGCCCGTGGAGCCACCACTTGAGGGTCTGGGGCCCACTGCCGTCATGTTTGCCTTAGAGACATCAAGACAGTTGACTCCTGTATATTTCAATATTCCATCCCATTTCCAGATGCCCAGTATGCCATAAACTCTTTTGTGAAACAGGACGGAGAAAATTAAAAGGCAAGTCAGAAGAACAGGGTTTTGAACTTGGTTCTCTCTCTTAGTAGCTGTGTAATCTCTCAAAAGTCACTTCATGTTTCTAGGCCTCTGGGGTTTCCATGGACAAAATGACAGGCTCAGATAAGCTGCCCTGTGAGTCCACTCCAGTTCTATCTGGAATTTTAACATTACTTTCCCCCTTAAAGGAATGACCCAGGGTAAAAGTTTGGAATTAATTTGGTGTTAAGTTTCTCCATCACAGTTAAAATTATACATATCTGATCACTACATTATTTTAAAAATCTGGACTATAACAAAGTCGCATTTGTGGACTCCAATTGTCTTGGGTCTGATGAGACGCTGATCCCCTTGCATGGGCTTATACACATTGTGAATGACATGAAAACAGAAAGTTACATTTAAAACATGATTTCCAAAATTATAACTTATGAATTTTTATCCAAACACATTCTGGAATGGCTTCATTCATTCAAATATATTCTAAGCACCTACTATACTAAGTGCTGTCTGTACAGATATAGATACAGAATCATAGATACAGAACCATAAAACTGTAAGAGTGCTGAATTTTTCAATACCAATTGCTTTTAAAATCAGTATGTGGCATGGGACCTGGCCAGTTGTCTGAGTGAGAAACTCTCATTTCTGAGGAACTGGAATGGGAGCGGACCCCTGATGTATGATCTGGATAAAATCTCCAACTACCCTCTAACCTTATATTCTTTGAATAAAATAACCACAACAGAAAAAGTATTGCAAATCAAGATATTAACTGGAAAACAAAGGGGGCGGGGGGTTGGGTAGAGCAGAAGAAAGGAAAAAATCTGCACTCACCGGGACTGTGGCAATCCTTTTTTACTGAGATCTGCCCTCACACGTTCTCCTACATGTCTGTAAATTTCCACTAAGCTGTTTATTGCTGCATCTCGAACCTAGATATAAAAGAAGAGATCTTACAGCTGCTCTGTGTCATCCCCCAGCAAGTCCTGCTGGGACACAACAGGCCATATACCACCCCAATTTATCACCATTTTACCAGTGCAACTGTGAATACAATCCTTATATACATTTGTCTAGAGAAAGCCATGTTTTGACAGTTTTCACTTTGCTGATACAATGTCAAACGGTAGTAAAACTGTGGGACCCCCATCCCTATATACACGGCAAAGTCCATATCCTTAGTTCTTTCCGTTCTTTAAGGTAATTTTGGAAAACTGGAATTTTCAGACCATCTTTCCAAATTAAGAAACAACACTAAAAATAAATAAATGATACTAAAAATAAAATACCATGTAAAACACTCTGGATTTAAGTCAATTAAACAAATACTTAATGAGCAACAAAAATGGGTAGTACAGGCCATATGAAGTCCCATACTCAAGAAGCCCCTAGTCCTAAGAAGGAGATTTTTAAAAAGTCCTAAAAGTCTACATTACAGGGCATGATGGAATAAACATTATTCAAGAGCATAAAGAGGTTGTGGTTTAAAGAAGGGAGCAATCACATTAGGGGATGTCAAGGGATGCCATATGAGGAAGAAACCACTGCGAAGTGCTTGGAACAGCAGGATTTCACCAGGTCCAGATGGAATGAGCGAATTCCGAATAAGACACAGCCTGTGCAAAGGCACGAAAGCAGACATGCACGGCACATGCTTCAGGAAGAGGAAGTACGCCGGTCTGGCCAGACCAGATCAAACTAAGAAAGCAGCATGAAATACGAAATAAGGTGTGAGAGACAGGGTAGACTTTTTTTCTAACCTGGGGAAATTTGAATACGGACTGTATATTACACATCACTGTATCCATGTTAAATTTCCAGGGTGAGAAAAATGACATGCGTTAATATAAGAAAATATCTTTGTTATTAAATGATACATACACACTGATATGTCTAGGGTTAAAAATATCATCATAAGCCGGGCGTGGTGGCTCACGCCTATAATCCCAGCACTTTGGGAGGCCGAAGCGGGCAGATCACGAGGTCTGGAGTTCAAGACCAGCCTGGCCAACATGGTGAAACCTTGTCTCTACTATAAATACAAAAAAATTAGCCGGGCGTGGTGGTGCATGCACCTGTAATCCCAGCTACTCAGGAGGCTGAGGCAGGAGAATCACTTGGAGGCGGAGTTTGCAGTAAGCTGAGATCGTGCCACTGCACTCCAGCCTGGGCAACAGAGCAAGACTCTGTCTCAGAAAGAAAAAAAAAATCATTATATCTGCATGTTACTTTCAAATGGCTCAAGAAAAAAGTATGTGTCTGTATATGTATGTATGTGTGTACACAGAGATACAGAAGAAATGTAACAAATGTTAACTGGTAAATACACTCACTTTCTCTGTATGTTAAAAAATCTGCAAATAAAAAGGTAGGAAGAAAAACATTTTTAAAACATAAAATGGAACCAAGGCCAGGTGGTGTTGGGGAGACTGTGCTTAATTCAGTAAGCAAAGATGGGAGTACAACATCAAGGTAGTGGAGAATGAAGAGAAAAGAAGCAGGAATACAAGCAAAAATTTACAATTTGAAATACTGAAGGGAGTCCTCTGATTTAACAGTGTTACATGACAGGTAACTTTACTCATAATTTTTATCTCTTCCAGTGGAAAAAGGCAAATCTTAGGCTATATTGTCACCCAAAACCTCATGCTGTGGACTGAACTGTGTGCCCCCAAAATTCAAATGATGAAGCCCTAACTCTCCAACATATTTCAAGATAGGGCCTATAAGGATGCAATTAAGGGCCGAGCATGGTGGCTCACACCTGTAATCCCAGCACTTTGGGAGGCCAAGGTAGGAGGACAGCTTGAGCCCAGGGGTTTGGGACCAGCCTGGGCAACAAAGTGAGCGCCCATCTCTACAAAAAAAATTTTTCTTAATTAGCTGGGCCAGTTGGTACTCAGCTACAGTCCTACCTACTTGGGGGGGCCTGAGGTAAGAGGATTACTCAAGCTCAGGAGTTGGAGGCTGCAGTGAGCTATAATCCTACCACCACACTCTAGCCTCAGAGACAAAGCAAGACTCAAGCTTTTTTTTTTTTTTTTTTTTTTTTTTTTTTTTTAGAAAAAGGAGGTAACTGGGTATGGTGGCTCGTGCCTATAATCCCAGCACTCTGGAAGGCCCAGGCAGGCGAGTTTAAGTTCAGGAGTTCGAGTTCAGGCAAGTTCAAGTTCAGGCGAGTTCAAGGTCAGGAGTTCGAGACCAGCCTGGCAAACATGGTGAAACCCCGTCTCTACTAAAAAATACAAAAATCAGCTGGGCGTGGTGGCACACACCTGTAATCCCAGCTACTTGGGAGGCTGAGGTAGGAGAATCACTTAAACCCGGGAGGCAGAGGTTGCAGTGAGCTGAGATCACACCACTGCATTCCAGCCTGGGTGACAGAGCGAGACCCCCGTCTCAAAAAAAAAAAAAAAAAAAAAAAAAGGAGGCAATTAAGGTTAAATGAGGTCATGATGGCGGGACCCTAAAATTAGAGGATTAGTGTCCTCATAAGAGAAGCCAGAGAGCTGGGTACACACACAGAAGAGGTCATATAAGCACATAGTGAGATGGCAGCCATCTACAAGCCAGGAAGAGAGCCCCAACCAGAACCCGGCCTCTAAAACTGTGAAAAAATTAATTTCTGTTGTTTAACTCACTCGGTCTACAGCATTTTGTTATGGCAGCCAGAGCTGACAAACACAGATTATCAGTTTATTTTGAGGGAAAAAAATAATTTCTAATGTTAGGGAATATTTTTACATTGAAAATGCGGTCGGGCGCGGTGGCTCATGCCTGTAATCCCAGCACTTTGGGTGGCCGAGGCAGGCAGATCACTGGAGGTCAGGAGTTCGAGACCAGCCTGGCCAACATGGTGAAACCCCGTCTCTACTAAAAATACAAAAAAAAAAAACTTTAGCTGGGCATGGCGGCGAGCGCCTGTTAGTCCCAGCTACTTGGGACACTGAGGCACAAGAATCGCTTGAACCCAGGAGGCAGAGGTTGCAGTGAGCCGAGATTACACCACTTCACTCCAGCCTGGGTGACAGAACAAGACGCTGTCTCAAGAAAAAGAAAAAAAGAAAAATGCATATATTACAGAAGTAGTCAATGCTACTATACCTTGAATACTATTAAAGTGTATCACCATTGCTTAGTTTCTAGGGATAACATCTGCTCAGAGCAAATCTCAATGGGTGATCTCTTTAAAGAACAATCAATACCCAGGCAGCTACTTAGAAAGTCTGGGCCATAAACGTTTAAGAGATTTACTGGAAAAATTACTAGCTTTAGAGTCAAATATTAATAAGTAGACTTAAGGACCTACTTGGCCATTTAGGGAGCTGTGTAACCTTAGACAAAACACTAGAACTCCTTTGGTCTCAATTTCCTCCTCTGTAAACTGAGGGTTGCTCTGAGGACTGAAAGAAATAACAGTTTCATTCAACAAATATTTGAGTGCCTACTAGGTGAAAATGAACTGAAACGCCTACACAGGCCAGGCAGTGACATGAGGAGTGAGTGATTGCAGCAGGCTGAGTGCAGGGTGACAAATGGCACTGGCAGGGAACCCTGGAGGCAGGGACAGAAGAGGGATAAGGTGCTCAGGCAGATGGGCCACCACCACCCAGCCACAGAGGAATGGTAGCACAGCTTTACCAGGCCTTCTACCCTTTCAAGAAAAGTTAAAAATATAAGTCTCCCAAATATAAACTCATTTGAACTCAAAATGTAAAATTAAAACATTCTGCAGGCACAAGCATACACACACCCACAAATCTACAGGCTGAAACCAGCTTTATGCCAGCAGTTTGTGACCTATAGTTTGTATCTATAAAGCAATCAACACAACGGCTAGTGTTATCTCTATCTTTTAAACCAACATCTTTATCCTTTAAAATAATCGTTCCTTAGACCTAGAAAGTTACAGGGTCAGATAGCATTTAGGGGTCTAAACTATTCTTCACTGAAGAACTGCAGATGAACAGGTATTCTTTGGTACTGCAAAGTAGGACACTCTAATAGAGAAGAGGTTTAAACAAAAGCCATTCAGCTGAGACTGCAGGACAATGCAGCTATTCACTTCTACACAGGCTCTCACTGGTCTCGCACTGCCTCTCCCTGCTGACCCCTCAGGCTCACCACAGAAAGGCACCACAATGTGTCAGGCCATGAAGACTGCAAAAAGACAAGAGCCCCATACATGCAGCACGCTCTGCCAGGTCTTATATGTATGCTTTACAGAATCTAAGGTCTCCAACGTCTGACCATGTTGTTCCTTCCTTCCTCATAGTCACTGCACACTGGAGGGTGTAGAGGCTGGCAAGGTTAGTCACCTGCCCAATGCCCACAGATCAGGAATGGCAGGCTGGAGCACCTCTCTGGGGGCAAGTCAACATCCTTCTCACCAGCACACTGCACCTTAATGTGGATGCCAAAATAAAGGCTTCCTGCAAAGCAAAAAACTCAAAGGAAGGCTTCCGCCCTAGGGTGGGGGACAGGGAAGCAGTCTATAAACTGATGAGACCCTAAATCCACCCTGTCCTCCTAGAACCCAGCACAGCCCCACAGCCAGTGCCTTGGAGCGTGGGTACCCCAGCACCCCAGCACAGCTGTGCCCAAGAGCCCACCCCTGGCTCCCAGGCTGCAACTGTGGCAGGGCCGCATGGAAGCTCTGTCAAGCCAGCAGCAGAGGTGCTCCTCCCTCCTCCTGAGCTCTGTCCAGCTGGAGACAGCATGGAATTAGCAATGGTCATATGTTTCAAGATGTTTTAGGCTTTGAACCAAACTCAACAAGAGGGCCAGCAGTCAGCATGGGGAGTCCCACTGGATGCAACCCTCTGCCAGCCTGCCTGCAAAAGGGCAGGTGAGGTGCTGTGAAGATGAAATCAAAAGTCTTCAGGCAGAACTCAGGCTTTTCTTATCTAGTCAAGGGAATTCTTATTGTTAGGATGCCTCGGACCACTGGCTGCCTCTGTTACAGCCACTGCCCTGTCCTCATCAACAAGCACAGACTTCGTACTGAAATCCCCACCTCCAGGAAGAAAAGCTTCCCTCAGCTCAGGAGGTACATCCTTAGTGTACAGCCATCACACAATTCTGTCCCTTCCCAGCAGCTGGGTCACACAGGGGCACGGAATGCAACTCTCCAACAATGAAACATGAGGGGAATCTGTGGGAAAGCTTCTAGAAAACATTTCTCTGCTCTTGGAAAAAGACATTCAGGGAAAAGTGAACACTGGCTGGGTATCTGATGATAGGAGAGAACTGCTGATTCTCGGGACATAGGAGGTGACAATGGTATTAAGGTTATGTTTTTGAAGAAAAAAAGTCTATCTTTTAAAATATTTAAGAGTTAAATAAATGTGGTCTAAGATTTGCTTCAACATAATCTAACTTTTGCTTCAAAATAATGGGGTGGAGGAGGGGAAGAAGACAAAACTGAACTGGCCTTGTCGAATGAGCTGATGGCACATGGGGACGCTTTATGGCACTCTCACTGCTTACGTGTATGTTTGAACCTTTCGATATGAAAGTTGAAAACAGAAGAGGAGCTCACAAAGCAGCAGCCTCCTCTCTGCCAGGCCAACCGTGCGTGTGGTACCGGTGCTGTGCCTGTGCTGAGAGCTCTAGGAGGCAATGCACACAGGCTGAGGTGCCCAAGACTCCGGCTCCGAGCTACTGGCAGATCCCGGAAACTTCCTACGTCATGCAGAATGACACATTTCCCCACTGCTCTAATGATTCTGAGTTGGGCTTTCAGTTACTTGTAACCAAAAGCATCCTAGCCCACACACACTGTGCACCTGTGGCCCACTCTGAAAGGCCTCCCTGCTCTGAGTCACTGCATTCGGACCACCAAGGAAACGAACACTTGCCAAGTTAATTTTAAACACCAAATCCAGTCTTTGTTAGCCGCTGCCTGAAGAGCTGAGAGAGGATTCTCCGCACACTGGCTTTAGGGAAATGAAGAGCTGGAGGCTGACTACTAGGTCAGGTGTCTAAGTGCAGAGACAACACTGATACAACAGTGTCCTCTCTGGTCTGAGACTTGGCAAATAAGGGAAAGTCATTCAAATAGTTATGGGGCATTGGGAACTGCAAAGAGGAACAAGTTATAATCTTAACTCTAGAGGTTCAGAGACTAGTAGGAAAGATTAATGAAAAAATTAAAATAAAGGCAACAGCAAAAGCACATGCAAGCTACACAAGAACCCCAGAAGCAGGAATAATTAACTTGGTTAGTATCGGGGAGGTAGGTGGCAGAACTTCCTGGCAGAAGGGAGACATGGATTGATTGTATGTCTGTGTATGTGTGTGTGTGCGCGCACGTGTGCAAATATATGTGCGGACAAAACATTCCTAAGGCACATGTGAATATATGGATTATTTTCAGAGTGCTCAATTTGGAATACTCTAGCTGTAAATCCTGTCTACTACAGAATACTGAAAGCTGCCCGTAGAGTACCAACCTCATCTTATGGATGAGGTGGGGGAAATGAAAAAACAAAACAAATAATAAGAAGTTTCTCAAAAGCAGACACACAGGCCTAGAACTCAGCCCACAAAACCATTATAGGCTCCAAACTCCTGACCAAAGCCTAGGGCTTCCTGGCACAAAAAGTATAACTGCCATTAAAGACACTAGGCAGGAAGTGCTAACTTGAATTTTTGGCTTAATGAAACATTTTAGACAAGTCTCACATTTTCTATCTTATTTTAAAAAACTATCTCTCTGCTTCTTCATAAATCATTTTTAAAATTATACAATCTATTTATGATTTATACAGCAGTAAGATGTAATCCATTTAAATGTACTACTTTTGTTTTTCGGTTGTATTATTATTATTATTCCCCATAATCAGTCCAGGAGCACCTGATTTTTGGTAGTGAAACTAGTGTCTGGTATATGGCAGTATGTGTATAGTCTACTCCAGGGCTGCCAATGTTTGGTGTAAGTATGGCTATGTCAATATCACAAATACATCTCAAGACACTAAGGCTATCCTGCAATTAAGGTTTTTCATATATTTAAAGCACTATACAGCTGAGTTTCTCAGAAACCCACTGGCACATGGTAGGTGCATGATTTCTGCAAATGAAAATGACCATCTCAGATGATGAGGAGACTACTGAGTAACTTGGCCTTCTGAGAGTCTTCTACTTAGACCAACAGGTCACACCAGCACCTAAGAATATTCACTTGCAAGGACTCTCATAAGGATTGAGGGGTGAGGCACTTCCCACTGACTCCACTATAAAGGGGAAACTGAGGCTCAAGATGCAAGTGACCCCAAGGTCAGCTATTACATGCAAAGCAGGGATCTATGCCTTTAACGTAGGTGTCTTACATTGCGTCAGGTAGCTCAAGTATTAATATTAAACATACTCTGCCTTTTGGCAACTTTAAAACAGTATGTCAAACTGTTAAAGACTCGACATTATCTTAAACTCTTAAACAACTGAATCTACATTTTGAGAATGTGGGATTGTGCTGATCATTTGAAATTTAATCTGTGTACTTCTAAAATAAAGAAAATCTTGTTAAAATCCCTAGAGACCTTACAAGTTAACCCTAGATCTAAAGGAGAAAAATAGTATCAGAGAGTAGCCCAACACAAAAACAGACTAGGCCCTTCCTGTCTCCTTTCTACCAAAGCTTTAGGGAACTTTTAAGTGAGACCTCCTCTAGCAGAAAACTTCAGAGAAAAGGAAAACCTGTGAAGAGTAGGGCATTCTCCAAGGCTTATCTGAATAGCTTCAAGGATGAGAATGTACCCATTCAAAATTTTAAATATGCTTAACATTCCACTCCCAATGTCTCTTAAAATCTACACCGAGTCCATGATCTTTTGGGCGGGGAAATACTGAGGTTATTCATCAGTGAAGAGCCCTAGGACAATGAGGCATTTCCTTCACTTTCCTCTGGAGGATGTGGTCCGCCTCAGTTGCAGAAGCAAAATTTGAGGCTCAGAAGCAAAATCAAGCTAGTAATCTCCATCCCCTTCCCCAAAAAGCCCAAGGATCCACACAGACAAGACAGGCCCACAGCATGAGCTCTCGCTAAATATATGTGGAAGAAAAAGAGGAAGAAGGGGAAATGGGGGTGAGTGAGGGGACCCTGTGGGATGGACTGCAGTGTGGTGCACAGCCATGCAGTGCTCCCCTCCCCAAACCAGACTCTAGACAACGTCCCTTGTTGTAGTTCTGGCTAGTGTCGGTCTGGGCTGTGGTTTTATGTTGCCCCACCACAGAAGTGCATTTAGAGGTGACAGCCCTCCACCGCCCACCCCAGGTATGAAGATCTCCACAGGCAGTGTGAACATTCACATCACCTGTCTGGCCAAAGTCAGCAACTGAATGAGGAGAGAATCACCTCAGCAAGTTGGCTTTTCTGCTCTGCTAGAGCACTCCATGTGGCGGCAGCGAAACCCCCAGAGTGCGGCCTCTATAAAGGATTTTTCCCACGGAAAACAAAAACAGAAACAAAACCAAAAGGGAGGAAGGATACAAAACGATAATCTATTTGGTAACTTAGAATCTTTTTAAAAAATAGTACAATTTATTTTTAAATTAACGTTGAATATAAAGTATGATTAAGTAAATAAAAATGTCTAAACATTTATTTCCCATGCCATATATTTTCCTTTTTTTTTTTTTTAAAGAAAAAGTCTTGCTGGGTTGCCCAGGCTGGAATGCAGTGGCACGATCTTGGCTCACTGTAACCTCTGCCTCCCAGGTTCATGCGATTCTTGTGCCTCAGGTTCCCAAGTAGCTGCGATCACAGGTGAACGCCACCATGCCTGGCTAATTTTTGTATTTTTGGTAGAGATGGGGTTTCACCATGTTGGTCTGGCTGGTCTCAAACTCCTGGCCTCAAGTGATCCACCCACCTTGGCCTCCTAAAGTGCTGGGATTACTGGCATGAGCCACCACGTGCCCGGCCTAATGCTATATATTTTCAACAAAGGCTGAAAAAGGGCGTGAGTGGAAGAAGAAAGCAGGGAGACAGCAGACGACAGGCAGTGAGGAGGGGAGAGGCTGGGGTGGAAGGAGCAGCACAACAGCCAAAGAGAAGGGAGAGACGCCTGCTGCTGGAACTAAGAGCACGATAAGGAAAGGGCCTGGAGAGCAAGAGGGGAGGGGTGCCGACTCAGGGGAGCTAGAGGCCAGGGGAGGTCGGGTAGAAGGCCAGCCTGATACAACCTCCTGGGAGGGTAACTTAGCAGTTATCAACCAAGATTTCACAGGAGAGGCCACTGACCATATATATTTCTCTTGTAAATTACTGTTCCATTTTCTGTCCCTTCTTCTAATGAAGTATCATTCTTATCAGTTTGTATGAGATGACATAATAAAAATGACTCTGGTTGAGAAATAGCATTGAACTGGGAGGAGAGTTCAATGCTATTTCTCCAGCCCAGACTTGTACAACTTTGTGAATTGCCTGGTAACTCACAGGTGAGACAGCCAGCTCCTCTCCTACCCTCACACTGAGGAAGTGGTACTTTTTGTTAATTTAGGTAAAGTCTGCAGTTCTTAAGGGTTCAGTTGAGGAGTTTCCACGATGATATACACAGTGGAGCCACCCCCCAAAGCAAAATGTAGAACATTCCCATCACCTCAGAAAATTCCCCTCAGACCCTCTTTCAATCATTCTCCCCAACCTCAGCAGATTCTGCACCTCCACCCCCGGCACCACCCCTTTTGGCTGCAGAGGTGGTGGCCAGACATCTTATCTTGGAGGCTGGTCTGGATAACATCAATTTCTAGGCTAGTGATTTCTCAGCCCTGTGTATAGAAGAGGACAGACTGGCCACCACATTTACCAATTTTATACTTAAATGTAAACTTATTTTATACATTTGAATGTATAAATATTTTATAAATGCTAATGGGTACTGGATCTCTTAAATAATCATCAGTGTTCTGTGAAGATTAGGACTCCAGTCCCACCCACTACGGAACACCAGAATGCATCTCAACAGTCTGTAAGCAATGACTTCTCCCGAGGGTTTTCCTTCTCACTCACCTGGCTGTTTGGATCTCCAAGTAAGTTGCATATATGTGGCACAATCTTGCT
The DNA here is from genome assembly GCF_000001405.40 of Homo sapiens. NCBI lineage: Eukaryota > Metazoa > Chordata > Mammalia > Primates > Hominidae > Homo > Homo sapiens. Next base: position 121,525,896 of record NC_000002.12, read on the forward strand.
TAGTGTTAAAGTCTGTGCTCCAGAGCTGAAAACAAAAGGAGTGCTTTCTTGTTAGTGAGAACTGAGGAAAGAAAGAAAGATGCCTGTCTGCCCACACCTGCCCTTCCCGTGTCTCCCCAATCCCCATCACCACCTCATACCAAGTCTCTCTCCATCCCATCCACACTGGCTCCAAAGTAAATGTGTCCGATGGCCCCTTTGCACAGAGTTCAAAACCTAGGGTGGCTTCTCCCAGATAAGTCTTCGTCCTGTCCCCCAGGGCTCTGGCCAATCTGGCCCTAACCCTTTAAGGCTGGGCCAGAGCTCCAGCCCCCCAGGTCCCGCTTGCCTCACAGGTGCTGCCTCTGCATTACTGTCTGTCACTTTAAGCCAACTACGAGTCACTTGAGGGACCTTGTTTAATTCTCCCGTGTGCTGTGGCAGAGCTAGACATTCAGGCAACACCGCTGGATGAAAAGACTGCAATCAAATCAGAGCATCTACCCTACTGGGGCACATCTGAGCCAAGTACTGCCCTACTGGGGCACATTTGAGTTACAATTTTCACCATCACCATCCCTGTCATGACAAATAGCCTTTGTGAATAAAAATCTCTTGGTTAATCTGCCTACTACCTTAGCATACATTCCTAAAACTGGAGCTACTGTGATCAAAGGCTAGAAGTTTTCTTTTTTTTTTCTTAAGCTTCAGTTACATATGGCCAAATTTAATGGCACTGAAAAGGCTAACATATTAAGATGGAAAAAATTTACAAGTAATATAAACATTATAATCTCAATTTTGTTTTTAAAAATAACATAACTTTACAGGTTAGGATAAAATGCACCAAATTTAACAGTGATTACCTGAAGGTAACAGAATCATAGCAATCTTTATTTTTTCCTTGCGTACATTTTTATGATATATACAGTATTTTTTCATAATCAGAAAAAAAGGCTTGAAATTTATAATTTTTAAAAAGCCTCTCCTACAAATAAGCACATGAAAAAAATGTTCACCATCAACAGCCATTAGATAAATACAAATTAAAACCACAATGAGGTATTACTACACACATATAAAAATGGCTAAAATAAAAAAATGACAACATCCAATGGCTAGCAAGGGTATGAAGAAACCAGATTATTCGGACATTGCTGGTAGGAATGTAAAACAGTATGGACAACTCTGGGGAAAAACTTGGCAGTACCTTTTAAACTAAAAATGAACTTACCAAATCACCCAGCAAGTGTACTCTTGGGCAGTGATCCAAGAGAGATGGAAACTTATGTTCATGTAGAAACTTGTACATGAATGTTCATAGCAGCTTTATTCATAAAAGCCAAAAACTGGAAATTACCCAAATGTTCTTCAACAGGTGACTAGTTTAACCAACTGTGACACATCTATACCAAGGAATTCTATTTAGCAATAAAATGAACTATCAAATGTCAGGTGCAAACTCAAGGGCATTATGCTGAGTGAAAAAAAGATAAACTCAAAAGGTTACATATTGTATAATTCCATTTACATAACATTCTTGAAATGACAAAATCATAGGGAGGGAGAACAGATTCCTGGAAATTCAAATACATTCATGGTTGCCAGGGGTCAGGGTGCAGCTACACACAGCAGCATGAAGGAGCCCGGCAGTGACTGTGCAGTTGTATATACACACAAATGCACATGTGGTTTTACCTGAGAAATTTGCGCAAGTTCTAGGGATTGTATCCATCTCAACTTCCTGGTACTGATGCTGTACTATAGTTATTCAAGGTGCTAACACTGGGCAAGGGTGGGTAAAGGGGGCATGAGATCTCACACTACACTTCTTTGCAACTTCCTGTAAATCTATAATTATTTCAAAATAAAAAGTTTTAAAAAATTCAGCCACGTAAAAATGTCAGGCTCATCCCAGACTTACGCATTGAGTGTTGCTATAAGGCAGAGACAGATGCCTTCTCGAGTACGGAAATTCTTGTGTTTGAAGCCTCCAAGCATTCTGTCCCATACGTACTGCAGATGACAAAGAACAGGTGAGGAAAGGAGAAGACTGCTGCAGCTGACACTTTATAAGGGAGCAATAGAAGGCAAGCCTCTTAACGAGCGCCAAATTAGTCCCATCCTCTACCAACACATTTAATCCTCTCGAGAGCATACTGGAAAATGATGACATCTATCATGTTATCAAGTATATCAAATTACAATTTTTAAAACACATTCATTTACATAATTGCATTTAATTCTCCCAAGAACCCTGAAAGAGAGGTATAACTGTCCTCATTTTATGGGTGAGGAAAGCAAGGCCAAAGGAGCTAGTGAGTTGCCAAAGATCACACACTCACACTGGCCTCTGTTTTTTCTGATCACCCCCCAATAAAGGACAGTAGAAGCTGGGAAAGCAGGGCTGTTTTGGTCCATCCCAGCAGCCCCAATTCACCGGAAGACAGGGGCCAGGGCTCCAGCCAGGCCTCCTGACTCCCCAGACACCACAGCTCCCTCTTTTCAGAGAATTGGAGAGTCGGTTACATAAATGAGCTGAAGAGTCTAATGGATTAAAACTAAGTATATTAGATTCAATACCCCCATGTTAAATCCACTAATTTACTCATCTCATAGTTTTGTGACTTATTTAAATATCTTGCATGGGGAAACAGATTGAATGCTGTGAAAATTTTTATCTGTAATACATCAGCTTAAGTCTATGGAGTCACACCATTTGTGCAAGTACACACACACACCCTCGCACGTGCATGCACGCGCACTGGCCAGCTGACCTCAAAACACATCTCTTGCCCCTACCTGGGGATTAGCAGCTTGATCCATGATCTTTAGCAGCAGAGTTTGGTCCTGCTCCCTCACAGAGTCTTTAGCATCTCCTAGTCTGTCTATTAGACTTGGCAGCACTGAAAATCAAAATGGAAACTGATCAAATGAAACCCTATTTGGGGGTCTGTGGTCACCAAGTATTCCTATCTCAATTATGTGGGAAGACAAACCCCTGACCTAAATGATGTATCTCATTCTAAAACCACTCATCTTTGCTCACAGCTCTACTCTCCTTGCTGAAGTCCATGAAAGTCACCAAAAGAGTCTGCAAAATCCTTTGCATGGACAGATACACTATTTGTCTTCCTCCTTACCCCACGTTCCTCCAGCCAGTTCCCAACGTATTTGTAAGCTGATAAAAATGGAAGACCTTGAGAGGAAGAGTCAACAGAAAGGAAAATTTAGGTAAAACACAAGGAGAGGGGCTCCAGTATATGTGTTTGGGGGTGGAAGGAGTGGGCACTTATGAATAAATCTTAAGTTTCATCACTATTGTGTATTTTTAGTTTTACATCACGCCCATACACACATGAGACAGAGCCCAGCTCTCCATCTTCCCCGACATACCCAGGGTGGACCCTCCCACCAGTGGTCCAAGTGCACCTGTAGACCAGAGATCAGCTTATTTTAAGAGTTTGTAAACCTCTATTACATGAGATATCCCTGAATAATTCAGCTAATTTAGGAGGAAAATGGAACACTATTAAAATATCAAATGTCTAAAAGTAAAAGCTTTTTTTAAATTTGTAAACAGTCGGTGCTCATGACCTTTTCAGAAGGAGCATATTGGTCGGAAAGTTAACAGTAAAGAATACATGTGTACCAACGTAAAACAGAGAAATTCCATAAGGAAATGGTTGCATAGAGATGCTTAGTGTTTATACTACCCCCATGAAACACCGGAGGTCAGGAATTTAGAGGTATTTAAATCTATGAAATCTGTGGGTTTTGTTTCATTTTGCTGACATACTGTTTTCCCTTCAAAATAAGAGTGAACATTTACTATACATTTGTAATGACATTTACAATCAAGGTGAAAATAGTCATGCCAACCATAATCATCTGGAGAAAAATACAACTGGCTTGGTTTTATAGGATTTCTCAAGGAAAACTGCCTCTCATTAAAGGGGACCGGGGTCAGGGTAAAATATGACTTGGTTGGCACTAAAGAGTGACAGCTAATTTAGCATAAGAAATAAAAATGGCACTAATATTTCATATTAGAACACGTATTACTAAGTTCCGTGTGAGAACACAGTGAAGCCAGTACAAAGGTATGGGGGAGGGTAAGGGCGCCCGCAGGCCCAGAGGCCAGGGGAGTCCAGCTGGAAGGGAAGGCAGCGGGGCGGCCGACCCAGGCTGCGAGTGCTTAGGGGGGCTGCGGGGGAGGGCGGGGACTGGCTGTTTGGGAGGAGCGGAAGGGAGGGAGAGGGGGCTGGAGGGGAGGCAGGGTGGCTGCCGGGAGGGTTTGGGAGCCGGGGAGGCCGAGGGAAGGCTGGGGGTCTGAAGGGGCCGGGTCCGCTCCACAAGTGCCGCAGCTCACCTGTGCCGATCTGCGCCTTGAACCGATCCTGCAGCCGGGTCACCAGGGCGGACAGGATGTCCATGCCCAGCAGAACCACCTGCAGCGGGAAACACCGGGAGCCTGTTAGCAGCCGGCCTGCGGGGCAGCGCTCCCGCCCACCCGCTCCGGGGAGGCCTAGACATTTCCGGCCCAGACGCAGTCCGAGAGTCCAGACGCATGCCGACTGGAGGACCAAAGAGATTAGCACGAAGAAGGATGATCTTCCACAAAAAGAGCTATGTACAGCTATAATGGAAAATACTCGGTGAGGAGAAACGAAATAAAAGGCAATACAGCGTAGCCAAACCCGGGTTAGCTGCGGGTGGAGTTCAAGAGCGCGCCGCGGTCCCGCCCCCGCCAGCCCCGCCCCGGCGAGAAAAGCGTATGCAAATTTTCGAGCGGCCGACGCGCGGTCTTCTGGGTAAAACCGAGCCGCCGCTTTTGCGACCCTTCGGGAGCCTCAGAAAACAAAGAATTGGGGTGTCGTCGAAAGCTGTGGAGGCTGGAGGTAAGCTAGCTACCAGACCGACTAGGGCGAGGCTCACGAATTAATTACCACAACCCTACCAGGTATTGGCGCTTCCTGCTTGCAGCCCAGGGACTTTCTATTATAACCATCCTTTTCTTGGGGTTGCGCTACTGTCCAATGAGCGCATAGTGAGGGCAGTACTGCTAACGCCTGAACAACACACCCGCATCAACTAGAGCTTTTGCTTTATTTTGGTGCAATTTTTGGAAAAATGAAAACCTGTTTTCATAGACTTATCAGTTCAAACAGCAGTAATTCGTAAATAAACTAGTACTTTGTGGTTAAACCAGTAGAGGGTGCACAAGACGCGTGGTTTTAGTGTCGCAAGTAAAGTTCTTTCAGTTTTTGCGGTGATTAAACGGGAAGGATTTCAACAGAACTTCACCCCTTTAACTTTACGCCGATCATCAACTGTTCTGTAACTTCCTTATGCTGAGTCAGCCCAGTAGTCTAGGTCAAGTTTCAATAGGAGACGAAGTTTCAGTAGGTCTTTGCACCTCACATAAAATGTAATCCAGGTCGGGCGCGGTGGCTCACGCCTGCAATCCCAGCACTTTGGGAGGCCGAGGGGGGCGGATCACGAGGTCAGGAGATCGAGACCATCCTGGCTAACACAGTGAAACTCCGTCTCTCCTAAAAATACAAAAAATTAGCCGGGCGAGGTGGCCGGCGCCTGTAGTCCCAGCTGCTCGGGAGGCTGAGGCAGGAGAATGGCGTGAATCCGGGGGGGTGGAGCCTGCAGTGAGCAGAGATCGCGCCACTGCACTCCAGCCTGGGCGACAGCGAGACTCCATCTCAAAAAAAAAAAAAAAATAGTAATCCCAGCACTTGGGGAGGCCGAGGCGGGCGGATCAGGAGCTCAGGAGATAGAGACCATCCTGGCCAACATGGTGAAACCCCGTCTCTACTAAAAATACAAAAATTAGCTGGGCGTGGCGGCGCATGCCTGTAGTCCCAGCTACTTGGGAGGCTGAGGCAGGAGAATCGCTTGAACCTGGGAGGCGGAGGTTGCAATGAGCCAACATCGGGCCACTGCACTCCAGCCTGGCGACAGAGCAAGACTCGGTCTCAAAAAAAAAAAGAAAAAGAAATGTGAAATAGTGAGCTTTTTGTGGAATGGTCCAATAGTCAGATTAAACCCTTCCTCCGTATGAAGCAGTTTTGCACTGTGAGACTTCATTAAACATGCTTCCAACACAAAGCCGGGCACTGCCCAATGTTCACACAACAACCAAACAGGACGGGGCAACAGTTAGGATTTCTTGTATACAGCCTGTGCCTGCCTGCCTCTGGCGGCTGATAAAAGCAAAAACTGCAGACTTTTCTATTCAGCTTTGAAATCTACTGCTTCAAAACTGAAGGAATCTAAATTGGCCCAATAATCCCCACAATACATAAAATGTTCTTGCAAGAAACTGGCTACTTGACAATATTGAAGAAAATAATTTTTAAAACTTTTATAAAGAGAACAATTTGTAAACAGATTTTTTAAATAATATAATAATGGTATAAACACTTTAAAATAATGACTCTACTTTCCAGCTAAAAGGGATTAGGTTTCACACTATGACTTCCTTCCAGAGTACAGTATGAAGTGGAGGAGTAACTATCCTGCGGAGAAAACTGACAGACGCAACCTCAGCCAGATGGTGGAGGTCAACATCAAGTACACGTCATATGATGTCATGAAAACGGCATTTTGCCTGTGACAGTCCTTCCCAAGACCCTTAAGCTCAGTCTAAACATGAGGAAAACATCAGAGAAATTCCAATAGAGGGGCATCCTACAAAACACCTGACCAGTACCCCTCAAAACTGTCCAGGTCATCAAAAACAAGAACTCTGAGAAACTGTCACAGCAACAGGAGCCAAGGGAAACATAACAACTAAAGGTAATGAGGTATCCTGGAAAAGAGTGTGCAACAGAAAGATGACATTTTTCCTTAGGTAGAAACTAAGGAAATATGAATAAAGCATGAACTCTAGTTAATAATAATACATCAATACTGGCTCATTAATTGTAATAAACCACATTAATGTTAGATATAATAATGAGATATTTGTAATTTTTCTGTAAAAAAGTTTATTTTTTAAAAAGAACAGCCCATCACTTAAGTGAGTTATTTAGCTTTTGTCTGGTGAAATCTTAAGCTTATCTGCACAGTTGCATTACTGGTTGCAGGTAGGGGTGTTATTCATGACAGAAACATCCCTTCATACATCGTTCAAGGCTAAGGTAAAGAGGACTATTGTTTATTTGGGGGAAAGCTGACGTCAGCTTTTCCAGGATGGCAGTTTACTTGGTAGGTCTGAGCAGAGAAGGCCTCGCTAAGCCCCGGACAGTCAAGTTTCAATGCGTTGCCTAGAGGAACTGGGGAGCCTGGAAACTCCCGAAGAAGACTGAGTGGGTAGATGCACCTGAGCCCCAGAGAAATAGGACAGGAGAGGTCCAGGGTGTCAGCCAGGAGGACAGAAGGCAGTTCCAGGCACTTTCACAGCTCAGGCCCTTCTCCTGGGTTTCCATTTCCCTACTGAAGAAAGGGATACATGAAAAAGTCCTTGCCCAGAAGACCACTCTGATAATTAACTATAAAAACCTCTTTGTGCCTAACCTCCTCATCTGTAAAACATGGACAATAATAACAGCTGCCTCGTGGGTTGTTGTGAGGGTTAAATAAAGTGTGTATGTAAACTGTGCCTGGCACGTGGTAAGGGTACTTTTTTTTTCCCCCTATTTCTGCTTTCTTCAGCCCTTAGGTTTATAAAACCAACTTCTTCTGCATGGCTCACTGGAATACACAATTCTGTTTTATGGAATGAGGTGTTACCTGATTCTAAAGTCACGAATAAAAGTCAATCAAAATCTTTAAATTTGTTGTAATTTTTTTCTTCCAACACCATTAACTCTGCGTGACCCTTGACTCTGACATTTTACTTAATTATCTACGTTTGTGCTTGTTTCCCCAGCTACACTCCTTGAATGTAAGGAATACTATCATCTTGCATTTCCTCAGAATTCCCATAATAAGTAGCACAATGCTGGGTACACGGTAGGTGATCAATAAACCCTACTGTATTGATGTGAATGAGACTGGAATAGATGAGTTCTCAAGGTCCAACACATCTTCTTTATCCTACAAACCTTTAAAAGACTCTTTTGTAAAAGAGAGAAGAGGGCTGACCAGGTCACTGGGACCAACACTCCTGCCGAGCACAACTAAAAAATGCTGGACATAAAAGGACACCTGCAGCATCAGAGAACTAAGAAGGCACAGAAGAACTTCCAGGTCAAGAAACAGAGACAACCAAAATTTACAGATATAAGCCTGCAACAACTGGTTCACTTTGCCCTGGGGCCATTTATACACTGGGAAAGGGCACAGAGAATCACTTTTAATAACCTCTTGGGTCATCTAGGAGGGCAAAGGTTAGATTCCAAAGCCCTCCAAAGTTGGTGACCTAGTTAACCCCCTACCACATGTGCTGGAAACCCAAATGGCTAGACTTTAGGAGGAGAGTGAGTTGGAAATAAAACAGCCTTCACAGGGACTGCAGCCCAGTTTCCAAGCATCTGGGTGGCCCAGAAAAATCCTAATCCCTGACATCAGATTAAAGTGAGGTTAGACTGTTTGTGCCCAAAAGCCCTGAGCAGATAAAAACACAAGTCATTTCTGGATAAAGAAAACATCATCCTAATAATCTAGTCCTCGGATTATTCCTGTAAAAATTTTCTTTTGTTGTTGTTGTTGTTTGTTTTTTTGAGACAGAGTCTCGCTCTGTTGCCCAGGCTGGAGTGCAATGGCACGATCTCTGCTCACTGCAACCTCCGCCTCCCGGGTTCAAGAGATTCTCGTGCTTCAGCCTCCCAAGTAGCTGGGACGTGTTATCAGCCCAGCTAATTTTTGTATTTTTAGTAGAGACGGGGTTTTATCATGTTGGACAGACTGTTCTTGAACTCCTGACCTCAAGCAATCTGCCTGCCTCAGCTCCCAAAGTGCTGGGATTACTGACGTTGAGCCATTGTGCCTGGCCTATTCCTGTAACAATTTTTCAAAGAGAACATCTGAAACACAACCAAAGATAACCAGTCACACAGGACAAAGTGAAAACTAGCAGAAACAAAGACCAACCTGGACTCTGGGTCCCTGGATAGGAGAATAATTGCAAACGGACTTTAAAATAACAAGTCAGGCCGAGTGTGGTGTCTCACGCCTGTAATCCCAGCACTTTGGGAGGCCAAGGCAGGCAGAGGCAGGCGGATTGCCTTAGCTTAGGAGTTCAAGACTAGCCTGGGCAACGTGGCGAAATGCCACCTCTACGAAAAAATACAAAACTTAGCTGGGCGTGGTGGCATGCACCTGTGGTCCCAGCTGCTCTGCTCGGGAGGCTGAGGTGGGAGGATCACTTGAGCCTGGGAGGCGGAAGTTGCAGCGAGTGGAGATCGTGCCACTGCACTCCAGCCTGGGTGACAGAGAGACACCTTGTCTCAATAAATAAATTAATTAAATTAAATAACCAGTCTTATTATGTCTAAGAAGAAAAAACACATGATTAAAGTTTTGGGTAGAGAAATGACAACTTTTAAAGTTACATAGGTTAAACAAATAATACAAGAGAAAATTAAATACTCAATGCATGGGCTCTTTTTCCTAAGTGCACTGTAAATACATGAAGAGAACTAAACAGGAAACTAAGTCTGCAGAAAAAATCCAGAATAAAGTAAAGAGAAGCAAAAAGATGGAATATTCAAAAGAATAGGCAAGAGAGAATAGAGAGAAAACATCAAGTTTAAATGGAATTTAAAAAGAAGAAATGAGAGACAATAGGTAAAAAGTAACGGCTGACATTCATTAGAATTTTTTTTTTTTTTGGAGATAGGATCATGCTCTGTCACCCAGGCTGGAGTGTAGTTGCGTGATTTCGGCTCACTGCAACCTCCATCTCCCAGCTTCAAGTGATCCTCCCGCCTCAGCAACCTGCCCCCTCCCCAGTAGCTGGGACTACAGGCGCGTGCCAACACACCACCCAGCTAATTTTTTGAGCTTTTGTAGAGGAGAGGTTTTGCCATGTTGCCCAGGCTGGTCTTGAACTTCTGGACTCAAGCGATCCGACTGTGTTGGCCTCCCAGAGTGCTGGGATTACAGGCATGAGCCACTGCACCCAGCCCTATTTTATTAAAAAATAAAAAATAAATACTGTTGGTAAAGATGTAGAGAAACTGGAACTCTTGTATACTGCTGGTGAAGTGTAAAATGGTAGAGTTGTTGTGGAAAATGGTTATAGCAGTTCCTCAAAAAAGATTAGGGCTGGGCACAGTGGCTCACGCCTGTAATCCCAGCACTTTGGGAGGCCGAGGTGGGCAGATCACGAAGTCAGGAGATCGAGACCATCCTGGCTAACACAGTGAAACCCCGTCTCTAGTAAAAATACAAAAAATTAGCCGGGCGTTGTGACGGGCACCTGTAGTCCCAGCTACTCGGGAGGCTGAGGCAGGAGAATCGCATGAACCTGGGAGGCGGAGCTTGCAGTGAGCCGAGATTGTGCCACTGCACTCCAGCCTGGGCGACAGAGCAAGACTGTCTGAAAAAAAAAAAAAAAAAAAAAAAAGATTAAAAATAATATTACCATATGATTCCAGCAATTCCATTTCTGGGCATATACCCAAAAGAAGTAAAAGCAGAGTTTCCAAAGACAGTTGTAAACCCATATTCACAGCATCATTATCTACAGGAGTAAAAAGGTGGAAACAACTGAAGTGTTGATTGACAGATGAATGGATATACAAAATGGAGTCTCCTGGTCTACCCATACAATGGAACTTTAGGCCTTTTCTGAAACACTACAACATGGATGAACCTTGAAGGCATTATGTGGAATAAAGTAAGCCAGTCACAAAGACAAATATTGTCTGGTTCCACTTACATGAAACACCTAGAGTAGTCAAATTCACTGATACAGAAAGTGGACTGGTGGCTGCCAGGGATTGTGGAAGGGAGAAATGAGAGTTATTATTTAATGGCTACAGGGTTTCAGTTTTACAAGAGAAAAACATTATGGAAAGAGACGTTGGTGATGGTTGCATAATTCAAATGTACTTCATGCCGCTGAATTGTACACAAAACTAGTTACATGGTGAATTTTATGTTCTGTATGTCTTACTACAATTAGAAATAACTTTTAAACAATAGCTGATGGTTATGAAGCTTGTGTTATGGGGCAATAAAAATGCTCTAAAATTAGATAATGGTGATGGTTGTATAACTCTGTGAATGTACTATAAACCACTGAATTATACACCTTTAAAAAGAATAAAAGGCCGGGCACAGTGGCTCACACCTGTAATCCCAGCAATTTGAGAGGTCAAGGCAGGCAGATCGCTTGAGCCCAGGAGTTTGAGACTAGCCTTAGCAACATGGCAAAATCCTGTCTCTACAAAAAATACAAAAATTAGCCAGGCCTGGTGGCACAAGCCTGTAGTCTCAGCTACTCGCATCGCTGAGGAGAGAGGATCGCTCGAGCCCAGGAGGTTGAGGCTGCAGTGAGCCGTGATCTTGTCACTGCACTCCAGCCTGGGTGACAGATCAAGATCCTGTGTCCAAGAAAAAAAAAAAGAGAGAGAGAGAGAGAGAAGCAATACCTGAAGAGATAATGGCTGAAAATGTTCCAAAAACTGAAGAAAAACATCAAGCCACAGATTCAAGAAGCCCAGTGTATCACACCACACTAAGGAAAAAGAAACCCAAACCTAGATACATTAGCTACATTGTTTAAAAGATGAAAATTAAGACCAATACTGCCAACAATAAAGAAATGCATCAGCAAAGTGAAGAAAGACAATTACTAATTACCAACCTATAATTCTATGATCTGTAAAATATACCTTTCTAGAAAGTGAAATAATTCTCATACAAAAACTAAAAGAACTTTTCAATACTTATCTTAGAAGCTATCCATTCTTTTAAATTCAATTTTAGTGACTGTCCTGGTGCTACTGGTTTAACAATAAATCATTCCATGTAACTTGCCATATTAATAACATGATTTTCCCCTTTATTATGTTAATCACCGCAAAAGATACAAAGCATCTGAGAAATTGAACATCCACTGCATTCATGATTAAAAATTCTTAGCAGATTAGGAAGAGAAAGATTCTTCCTTAACTTCATAAAGGATATATTTTTTTCAAACCTACAAAAAGCATCACACTTAATGATGAAATGCTGAAAGCTTTCTCTCTGAGACTGGAACACGACAAAAATATCCACTGTACAATTTCTGTTCAACATTATATCTACAGTCCTAGCTAACTAATTTTGGCAAGAAAAAAAAATAAAAGTGGCCAGGTGTGGTGGCTCAGCCTGTAATCCCAGCACTTTGGGAGGCCAAGGCAGGTGGATCACCTGAGGTCAGCAGTTTGAGACCAGCCTGACCAACATGGAGAAACCCCGTCTCTAATCAAATACAAAATTAGCCGGGCGTGGTGGTGCATGCCTGTAATCGCAGCTACTTGGGAGGCTGAGGCAGGAGAATCGCTTGAAACCGGGAGGCAGATGTTGCAGTGACCCAAGATTGCGCCATTGTACTCCAGCCTGGGTGATAAGAGCAAAACTCCGTCTCAAAAAATTTTTTTAAAAAAAGTATGAAAATTGACAAAAAAAGATTATCATTCTGAATGGAAAATACAACTGCGTAAAAAAAAAATCTAGAAGGCGCTAGGCATGGTGGCTCATGCCTGTAATCCCAGCAATTTGGGAGGCCATGACGGGCAGATCACGAGGTCAGGAGATGGAGACCATCTTGACCAAGATGGTGAAACCCCATCTCTACTAAAGATACAAAAATTACCCAGGCATGGCAGTGGGCACCTGTAATCCCAGCTACTCGGGAGGCTGAGGCAGAGAATTGCTTGAACCCAGGAAGCAGAGGTTGCAGTGAGCCAAGATTGCGCCTCTGCACTCCAGCCTGGGCGACAGAGCAAGACTCAGTCTCAAAAAAAAAAAAACTACAAGATCTAAAGGTGCATTATAAAATTAAGTTTTGCAAGACTAATACAAAGCCAATATATATGAAAAAAATTACATTTCTATTCTCATAATAAGCCAAAAAGGAAAGTTAAAAATGTTCCTATTTTTAATTTTATAAAAATAAACACCTAGGAATAAATCTAGCCAAAATAAATATCTGCCCAAAAAGCTATGTAACAATTTTTAAAATTTTTTTAAGATAGCTAAAATAAACGGAAAGATAAAACTATAGGCTGGAATACTCAGTACTGTGAAATTTTCAGTTCTCCCAAATTGATCTAAACATTCAATAACATTCCACTAAAAACCCTAATAAACACAAACATATATTTTTTTAAGAACTAAATAAGTTGATTCCAAAATACGTGTGATAATACGAATGGCAAGGCACTCTTTTGGTTAAACAAGGTGATAAAACTTGCTCCCCGTGGATATCAAGATTTATTACAATATCACAGGAATTAAGACAATGTGCTATCAGTTGATGGACAGACACACCAACAGACAGGATAAAGAAACAGATTCGGGCCTATGAGGGTATTTTATGACAAAGCAGGCATTACAGAGCAGTGACAATACGGCTACTTTTTAAATTGATGCCCCTGGATCAACTGAATATCTACATGGATTTAAAAAGAAGTTGACTCCTATCTCACACCCTGCACAAAAATGAATTCCTGATAATAGATAAACGTGCAGAAAGCAAAGCAATAAACCTTTTAGAAAATAACATAATAGCTTCAAGATCCCAGGATAGAGGAAAATATCAGGACACAATAAACACAAACCATAAAGGACAAGATTGATGAACTGGACCAAATTAGAATTAAGAACTTTGGCATATCAAAACCACTTAAGAAAGTGAAAGTCAAGTCACGCTAGAAGAAGATATTACAAAACAAATAAGCAACAACAGGCTTGTTTCTAGAATATATAAAGGTGCTCTACAAAGCAACTGATAGGCAAGCCAGTAGAAAAACAGGCAAAATATGTGAAGAGGCACTTCACAGAAGATACCAATGGTCAACATTCTAAGAAAAGTTGTTCAATTTCTACTAGTCATCAAGGAACTGCAAATTAAATGAGACACTACCGCACACTCACAATGGCTAAAACGGAAAAAGACCCACAAGACTGAGTGTTAACAAGGGTGTGGTACCACAGAAACTCTCCTACATGCTAGCAGGAATGTAAATTGGCATAATCAACACTTTAGAAAACATATTGGCATTAGCTAACAAATCTGAAGATATGCAGCAATACTGCTGCTAGGATATAACCAACAGAAACACATGCATACATATAACAGGTGAAATGTGCAAGAATGCTCAGAGCAGCACTACTACAGTAGCCAAAAACTAGAAATCCTTAAGTCCATCCACTGTGGAATGTTGAAGTTGTGGGTTTCATACTAAGAGATGCAATAAACACTGAAAATAAATGAATCACAGTTACACTCAGCAATACAAAATCTTGTAAGAATGAATCAAAAGGCCAGAAACATACCCACATTTCTATGAAGTTCAAAAACAAGCAAATAAAGTGGGCACGGTGGTGTCTACAGTCCCAGCTACTTGGGAGGCTGAGGCTGGATGATCGCTTAAGCCCAGGAGTTCAAGTCCAGTGTGGGCAAGATAGTGAGACCCCATTTCTAAAAATCATCAATTTTTTAAAACCAAGCAAACATGGCCAGGCATGGTGGTTCACACCTGTAATCTCAGCACTTTGGGAGGCTGAGGTGGGCGAATCAAGAGGTCAGGAGTTCAAGACCAGCCTGACCAACATGGTGAAACCCCGTTTCTACTAAAAATACAAAAAATTAGCTCGGCGTAGTGGCATGCGCCTGTCATCCCAGCTACTTGGAGGCTGAGGCAGGAGAATCGCTTGAACCCGGGAGACAGAGACTGCAGTGAGCCTAGATCGCGCCACTGCACTCCAGCCTGTGCAACAGAGTGAGACTCCATCCAAAAAAAAAAAAAGCAAACATAAACTGTAATGTTAAGGTGCATATTTAGATAATAAAACTAAAAAGAAAAGCCAGAAAGCAGTTATCATAAAAGTCAGAAGAGTGGTTACTTAGGGGAGTCCTGGTGGCGATGTCCTAAGCAACGTTCTATTTCTTGTCCTGAAGATCAATTAAACAGCTATTAGCTTTAAAATACATCATTAAATTGTGTCTTTGTGTTTTGTGCACATTCTATACACACTTCACAGTTTTAAGTTTTAAAAATTAGAGCAGTGGGAGTGATGCTGACCACTAGACCTATAAGTTTATAACAAGAAGCTTAGACCTCCAAAACACTTGTAAAGGCCCCAAAATGGAACAGTTATCTTTCCAGAACATGAGGTCTGCTCATTGAGCAAAGAAAGGAATACTCAATCCTCTCCTCCAAAAAAACATCCATAAGGGACAAACTAGGTGGTAAAAACAGGCCATTTCTGAAGCTTCAGAAGACTGGATTGTCTAAGGTAAAAACAATGTTCACATTCATATTGCACTTCATTGTTTTAAGGTATTTTGCATGAATCTGAGTACTCTCACAATAATCCTGAGATATAGAATATATTATCCTTATTTTGGAAATAAGGAAAATAAAGACCAAAAGACTTATCCAGGGTTGTAAAGTTTGGTAAATGACCAAACTGCAAATAAGCCCGAGCCTCCTGACTACACCAAAGCCATTTTCACTATAACATAATAATGATATACACAAAACCCCACATTTTTAGTCTTTTTCATCTCTCTTTCTCTCTCTCTAGCTAGCTTAAGACCTTCTCTGCCAATATCGGATAACTTCAAACGTCAGCCTCGGCGCTACACCTCTCTGAGGCTCTGGGAATGCCTCAGCTAGGAAAAAAAGCACTGGCTTTGTAAGCACATCTTTGGGGCTGACATCCAGCTCTCCTCCCATGGCAGCTGCTCCATCTCCGAGCTTCAAATGCTCACTCAATAAAACCAGAATAATAATACATTTACCTTAAAGAGTACACATGAGGCTAACGAAGTTTTAACAAAATGCTCGGAATGTCACAGGCACCCAGTAAGTACTATTTCCCTTCTTTATGAGAGCAGCACTTTTAAAAATAATAAAGCGTGGCTTACTGAGTTAAGGGGCAAACAAAGTAGGCATGAAATCTAGAAAAGAAAATAAGGTTGCCTAAAATTCCATCACTCAACAATACCCCTGTTACTGTTTTGGTGACTATCCTGCAAGACATCCAGGCACACGCACATGCACATTTTTCCATTCAATGTGCAATGGACATCTTCCCAAGTCAATAAATACAGATCTACACCCCTATTTTCAGTGGCTTTATAATATTGTACGTAGGTATCATCATCACTCACCCAGTCCTACTAATATGCAGGGTTTTCATTATTTTACACAAAACGATGATGGATGCACACTTCTACATATGTGCTCTCATCCTCTTAGTACAAATGCTGAAAACATTTGCTGAGTCAAAAAGAAAACACACTGTATACTATACTGTTAGCTCTGTTTTTAATGTAATGCACTAGGTGCTGCTTTAAAAACAGGACTGTGCCCTGCTGATTTCTACACATTTTTTAGTTATTTTAAAAGACTAGATTGCAACCTCACTAAGTAAGGAGAAATTAGCACTCTACACTGTAATTTTCACATTCAAGAATAAAAACACAACACAAATACCCCCTCAAGAAAAGTGTGATAGTCAGTGACTTTGCACATACACATGTACGATGGCAGAAGTAGTTACTGTTACCCAAACTTGTTATCCTTCAAAGCAGTCACCTAGGAAGTGCCTGGGTGCTCAACCCAATAACAATGCCACTGCGCAGTCTATTTTTAAAATTCCTCTTCTGGAATGCCCTCCAGAGATAGTTTATAAACCATAAAAGTAAATGTCTGTTAAAATACGTTAATTAATATTGGATTAATGGGACTTACAAAGTTATGGGCTATTACCAGTAATTGTCCATATAAAGGATTTTACCCTTCAAAAGGTATTTAGGATCATCACACCATCAAACCACTTTCTTTTATTACACATGAGGCCAGCAATATGGCAAGTCACACTAGGAGACAAGGTTTAAAATACAATGAGAAGCAGAGTTAGTAACCTTTGTTTGAAGACCTAGACCAATCCAATACAGCTTTCAGCAATGATAGAAATGTTCTACAACGGTGATGTCCAATGCAGTAGCCACTAGCCGCATATGGTTACTGAGCAAACGAAAGGTAGCTAGTGCAAATGCAGAACAGGACTTTTCATTTAACTTTGCTTAATCTTAACTTTAAACCACCACAGGAGGCTCATGGCTACTGTACTGGACAGTGCTGCTCTAGACCACTGGCTGCAAACTCGGACACATAGGTAAAAATAAGGCCGGTTATGTGATGGGGGTAAGGGGGCCATGGAAACTTGGGGCACCTCTTAAAGCTCCAGTCACTTGATAACATGTGGGACTGAAGGACAGTAAGGCCACATCTCCTGATTTTAAACCCTGGCAACTTATCCAAAGAATTTTAAAGCACTAAGGAGACCAAACAAAACATATTTGTGGGTCATATCCAGTCACAGACCTCTAAATTTGCAATCTCTCTCATCCAGATACATCCCATAAACATGAGATCAGGCACCAAGACATTCATGATGGTTTAAGGAAATAAACAAAGATCTAAGTTTCCCATATGGACTTTCAAAATTTTCCCTGATATGCTTCCAAGCTGACCTACCTGTTCCTCTCTCCCAGCAGCCCCCAGCGCGCCAACAGGACTCACAGCTCTTCCTCCTGCCCAAGATTCCTAGAGTCTCCCTAGACTCCTCCAAAGCCCAAGTCCCAATCCTTCTAAGAGACAGTTCCAGCTAGCCCCCTCCAAAAGGTCTCCAGCCTCCTAATTTCTCTAAACCCCAATCTGAATAGTACTTTTTTCTATCTCCTTTATATGCATACTAAGTAACTCTCCAAAAAGACCACAAACTACTCAAAGCAGAGCAGATTCTTACACAACCTTTCTCATGCACTCACTTGCCCAGAGACAGTAAAAAAAAAGTAGGGGGTGGATAGGAAATCATGGGGCAGTGAACGTCTATCTTACAAAGATTCTCTATTTAATTCTCACAACAATATTTTGAGGCAAATATCATAACTATAAATATGCCTACTTTGCAGATAAGGAAACTAAGCCCAAAAAGATGAACAAATAATTAGGCAAGGTCACTCCGCGATTATGTGGCTTAAATAATGTTCACTAATCCATTAGTCTTACAAAAGGGCAAACCAAGAACACTAAGTTTATAATGACACCCAAGTCAAATCACTCTTCTGTGTCTACTTTTTCCAGAGAACCATCTGCCCACTGGTTGTGCTTCTGACAAAAAGTGTGTAACAGAAGCCGTTCCAAGAGTGTACTGTAACTAATTTTAGAGACCAAAATATCTGTGAATTGGCTCATTGGTTATAGCTCCCAGCATTCCAATCTCCACAGAGGCACCATGAGAGACAAATCAACTCCTTCCTCAAGTAAGGAGTAATCTCCTTCCACTGATTTTTCTCAGAGTTCATGCCAGGGTTAAATCCTGACAAAAATCTTAGCTCCAGGATGGCATTTTACTACTTTCAAAAAATATATACAAAAAAAAAAAAAAAAAGCTATTACTACCCCTTTTTGAAATTGAAATCTGGAAAAACATAACAATAGTCTGTGCTTAACATACTCTCTAAATTCATGCAATACATGTTTTTTTAAAGGGGGAAAGGTGCATTCATTTATTTACTTAAAATTTATTGATCACTTATTAGAATTCTATATACTTGATCAAATATCAATCAAGTATAAGGGTAGAGACGAACAAGCTGTTAGACATATAAGGAGTTACTAAACACACACGTACCACATGACTGCAATTCCATTCCATACAAAAAGAACTGGGTCAGTAAACAAGAAAATAAACCAAAAAAGTGAAAAACATGGGATCCTAGAAACAGAGGGGCCAACTCAAAAGAGAGGTGAAGGCAATTACCAAGATGATGGCAAAAGGGATTCTCAGAATGATGGCAGGGCACCTAATTTTTTCTTTCTTTTTCTTTTCTTTTCTTTTCTTTTTTTTTTTTTTTTATTTTTGAGACGGAGTCTCGCTCTGTCACCCAGGCTGGAGTGTAGTGATGGGATCTTGGCTCATTGCAACCTCTACCTCCCAGGCTCAAGCAATTCTCCTGCCTCAGCCTCCCGAGTAGCTGGGATTACAGGCGTGTGCCACCACATCCAGCTAATTTTTGTATTTTTAGTAGAGACAGGGTTTCACTATGTTGGCCAGGTTGGTCTTGAACTCCTGACAGTTCAAGTGATCCACCTGCCTCGGCCTCCCAAAGTGTTGGGATTACAGGTGTTAGCCACTGCACCCGGCCTGGGTACCTAATTAAAATCAGCACAGCAAGGGCAGAGAATGAGAGCAAGTTAGAAATCAACAGGGGAATACAAAGCTGATGGTCCAAAATTGAATCTCCAAGTTTGTCTCCAAAAAGTTTTTGTTTTTCTTTTATTTGTTTGGTTTTTTTAATCACGGGGGTGGGGCGGGCACGGAGCAGACATTTGCTTGAATCATGATCCAAAAAAATCCACACATGACATTTAGCAGGTATGGCACATGACAACTCAAGGTTATTCTAAAGTCTCCCTGACTCTAAAGTGGGCCCCCTCCTACCCCATTTCTTTTCGTGTCATTTTCGTGCTGTAGAAATCTGGTCGGTTCTGTTATGAAGAGACACAGTCAGCTTTGTCTGTTTCCTTGGGCATCGTTGAACTTGACCCTCTATCTGCATTTCCTGCAGATGAAGTCAGCTCTAGAGATCCAACTAGATTCAGATTCAGCATTTCTGGCCAGAATATTTTATAGGTGGTACTATAATCTTTATTCCAATAATATCTTCCATATTTCATCAAATCTAAGACACCACCAACTTTATGAACACCAAAGAAATAGCTGGTGACAAACTGTTACCCAATTGATCAAAAGACTCATCTTGATATCAGAGATGGTAAAACTGTAGAGGTTAAAAAAAAAAGTGTCTCAGAATTGAAATTCTATTATAGTTTGCTCATTACTTAAAAAAAAAAAACTTTCTTTAATTGGATTTATAGTTCTATAGAATGAGAGCTTCAAAAACACCTTTTAAAACAGAAAGATTCTTAGAAGTATGGCATGCTTTACATGCAATGCCTCTTGGAAACAGAAATGATCTTTCAAGGTACTTTCCAACCATGGATTTCAAGGCCCTTTCCCTTTCACATCCCACCCCAACACATTTCCTGTGATTTATCACATCTCTATACTTTAGCCATGAGACTACCTCTCAGGGTATACCCAGAAAAAGTAAAAACAAGGAACAGCTAAAAAATTCAGTTACATTGGAAATAACTTGGCAGTTTCTTTAAAAACGAAACACACACGTACCCTATGACTGCAATTCCATTCCTAGGTATCTACCTAGAAATGAAATATAGAAATCAAAGTGTAGGGGGGTGGCCAAGATGGCTGACTAGAAGCATCTAGTGTGCGCAGCTCTCACGAGAGGAGCGAAGGGGCGAGTAAACACAGCACCTTCAATTAAACATCCAGGTACACGCATTGGGACCAATCAAGGAAACAACTCCACCCATGGAAAACGGAGAAAAGCAAGGCAGGACGGTGGCCCACTTGGGAGTGAAATGGAGCCAGGGGAACCTCCCCCATTCAGGGAAGCAGTGAGTGAATATGGGACCCCGGGAACCACGCTTCTTCCACAGACCTTTTTACAACCCTCGGGTCAGGAGACTGCCTCATGAACCCACTCCACCAGGGTCTTCAGTCTGACACAGAGCTACATGGAATCTTGGCAGAGTAGTTTCTCAGGCGCAAACAGAGACCCGAGAGCCTTAGATACCCAGGCTTTCTGGGCTTCAGGGCAAAAGGAGCTGCAATTCCATCTTTGGGTTTCAAGTGCCCAAAGCAACTAGGGGCAGACCCTGAGCATAGCATGGCTGCTCTATGAAAAAGAGGTCAGACTGCTGTTTTAAGCAGGTCCCTGATCCCATTCCTCTTCAGGGGATGGGCCCTCCCAACTGAGGTCTCCAACCACCACCTACAGGTGCCTTTGGGCTGGCAACAGATCTGTGCCTTCCTGGGACAGAGCTCCCAGAGGGAGGGGCAGGCCACTATCTCTGCTGTTTTGCAGCCTTCACTGTTGATACCTCCAGGTACTGGAAAATCCAAGGCAACTGGGACTGGAGTGGACCCCCAACATATTGCAGCAGCCCTACAGAAAAGTGGCCAGACGGTTATGTGGGTACCCATTCCCACATCTCCTCATCGGCAGGTCCTCCAGGCCTGGGCCTCCAGCCACCCCCTTACCAGAGCTATCCAGCCAGTAGCAACTCAGCAACTCCCTGGACAGAGACCACATGGCAACTGAAAGCCTCTCTGCCACTGCCGCTGCGGTGGAACTGCCCTTGCTACCCTCGGACTAACAAAGAAGCACAGACCCTAACTGCCTTATCCACACCTCCAACAAGGAGGGGAGGCTAGTCCGTCTCCCAAGGGCCCACCCACCCCCCTACTCTTCACCAGGCAGGGAACCCCCAGCTTGGGCTCGCAGCGAAGACCCTCCATCCTGAGCTGATTGCACTGAGTGACTGCTGACCTGCATGTCTCTGGGGTGGAGCCCACAGGAGACAATCAAATGACCCTCGGCCACAACCACTACTAAGGTCCCTTCCTCTGCTGCCCCCAAACTGGAAAAAAAACATAAACACTGAGATTGTCCCAGAGCTGCAATGGGCAGCTCGGGAATGCCAAGCTGCGATCTATAGCCAGTACTCAAGGTGGAGAGAAACCCACGCTTTTTGAGAATTGAGAGGGAACACGGCTGCAACTGTGAGGAAATACGGGGGAGCCACACAACCAAGCAAGAGTGTACCATGACCAGTATGCCTACGTGCCACATACCAGATCACAACCCAAAGCTTCAACACCAAAAATACCTCACTAACGTACCACCCTCTGAAACCAAAAACAAGAAGTCAGCTTCAAAGACCCTAAACAAAGACTCAGCCCTGTGAAAACATCCAGCAAATCAGTCACTTGACTGTACTCAATCTACACTGCAGTTAAAGGAACACCCAGACTTAGAGACAAGCAAAAAACCAATGCAAGAACTCCAGTAACTGTCATATGTCTCCCAACAACCACACCAGTTCTCCAACAAGAGTTCTTAACCAGGCTGAGCTGGCTGAATGACAAAAATAGAATTTAGAATATGGATAGGAACCAAGATCACTGAGATTCATGAGAATAGCAAAACTCAATCCAAGGAAAGTAAGAACCAAAATAAAATGATACAGGAGCTGAAGGACAAAATAGCCAGCATAAAAAAGAACCTAAAGGATCTGACAGAGCTGAATAACACAATACAAGAATTTCACAATGCAATGACAAGTATTAACAGCAGAATAAACCAAGCTGAAGAAAGAATCTTAGAACTTGAAGACTGGCTCTCTGAAATAAGAGTCAGACAAAAATAGTGACAAAAAGAATAAGGAATGAACAAAATCTCAAGAAGTATGGGATTATGTAAAGAAGCCAAATCTATGAAAAATTGGTATCCCTGAAAGGGAGAAGAAAGCAAACAACTTACAAAATATATTTCAGGGTATCATCCATGAAAACTTCACCAACCCTGCTAGAGAAGCCAAAAGTCAAATTCAGGAAATACAGAGAACTCCTGCAAGATGCTACACATGAAGATCACCCCCAAGACACATAATCATCAGATTTTCCAAGGCTGAAATGTAAGAAAGGATGTTAAAGGCAGCTAGAGAGAAAGGGCAGGTCACCTACAAAGGGAACCCTGTCAGGCTTACAACAGACTTCTCAGCTGAAACCCTGTAAGTCAGAAGAGATTGGGGACCTATATTCAACATTCTTAAATAAAAAAAAAAAAAATCTTCAACCAAGAATTTCATATCCAGCCAAACTAAGCTCTTTAAGCAAAGGAGAAATAGGAACCTTTTTCAGATAAGCAAATGTTGAAGGAGTTCGTTACCACCAGACCTGCCTTACAAGAGATCTTGAAAGGAGCACTAAATGTATTAATATAGTAGAAAGGAAAGATCACTACCAACAAATGCAAAAACACAAACCAGTGTTAAATATGCAGACCAGCGATACTATAAAGCAGCCACACAAACAAGACAGCATAATAACCAGCTAAGAACACAATGACAGGATTAAATACACATATATAAAACTAACCTTGAATGTAAATGGGCTAAATGCCCCCACATAAAAGGCACAGAGTGGCAAGCTGGATAAAAAAGCAAGACTCAATGGTATGCTGTCTTCAAGAAACTGATCTCACATGCAATGACACCCATAGGCTCAAACTAAATGGATGGAGGAAAATCTACTAAGCAAATGGAAAACAGAAAAAAGCCAGGGTTGCAATCCTAATTTCAGACAAAGAGACTTTAAAACAACAAAGATCAAAAAAGACAAAGATGGGCATTACATAATGGTAAAGGGTTCAATTCAACAAGACGACCTAACTATCCTAAATACATATATGCACCCCAACACAAGAGCACCCAGATTCATAAAGAAAGTTCTTAGAGACCTTCAAAGAGATTTACACTCCCACAAAATAATACTGGGAGATGTCAACACTCTACTGACAATATTAGACAGATCATCAAGGCAGAAAATTTATAAAGATATTCAAGACCGGAACTCAACACTAGACCAATGGATCTGATAAATCTCTACAGAACTCTCCACCCAAAAATAACAGAATATATATGCTTCAGATCATCACATGGCACATACTCTAAAATCAACCACATAATTGGACAT
The DNA here is from genome assembly GCF_000001405.40 of Homo sapiens. Taxonomy (NCBI): domain Eukaryota; kingdom Metazoa; phylum Chordata; class Mammalia; order Primates; family Hominidae; genus Homo; species Homo sapiens. Next base: position 121,549,692 of record NC_000002.12, read on the forward strand.
AAAACAATCCTCTGCAAAAAAAAAAAAAAAAAGGCCTGGCGTGGTGGCTCACGCCTGTAATCCCAGCACTGTGGGAGGCAGAGGCGGGCAGATCATGAGGTCAGGAGATCGAGACCATCCTGGCTAACATGGTGAAACCCCGTCTCTATTAAAAATGCAAAAAAATTAGCCAGGCGTGGTGGCGGGTGCCTGTAGTCCCAGCTACTCAGGAGGCTGAGGCAGGAGAATGGCGTGAACCTGGGAGGTGGAGCTTGCAGTGAGCCAAGATTGTGCCACTGCACTCCAGCCTGGGTGACAGAGCACGACTCCGTCTCAAAAAAAAAAAAAAAAAAAAAACCTGAAATCACACCAAACACACTCTTGGACCACAGCACATTAAAAATAGAAGTCAAGACCAAGAAAATCACTGAAAATCATACAATTACATGTAAATTATACGACATGCTCTTGAAAGACTTTAGGGTAAATAAAGAAATTAAGGCAGAAATCAAGAAGCTCTTTGAAACTAATGAGAACAAAGATACAACATATCAGAATCTCTGGGACACAGCTAAGACAGTGTTAAGACAGTAATTCATAGCACTAAATGCCAACATAAAAAGAAAGATTTCAAATTAACAACCTAACATCACAACTGAAAGAATTAGAGAAGCAAGGACAAATCAACCCAAAAGCTAGCAGAAGACAAGAAATAACCAAAATCAGAGTTGAAATGAAGGAAATCGAGACATGAAAAACAATTTTTAAAAAATCGACAAATCCGGGAGGTTTTAAAAAAAAATTAATAAGATAAATAGGCTGCTAGCTAGACTAACAAAGAAGAAAAAAGGGAAGATCCAAATAAACACAATTAGAAATGATGAAGAAAATGTTACTACTGACCCCATAAAAATAAAAACCATCAGAAACTACTATGCACACCTCTATGCACACAAACTAGAAAGCCTGGAAGAGATGAATTAATTCCTGGACACATACAGTCTCCTAAGACTGAGCCAGGAAGAAACTGATTCCCTGAGCAGACAAATAATGAGCTCCAAAACTGAATTCGTAATAAAAAGCCTACCAACCAAATTCACAGCCAAATTCTACTAGATGTACAAAGAACAGCTGATACCATTCCTACTGAAACTACTCCAAACACTTGAGGAGGAGGGACTCCTACCCAACTCATTCTACTAGGCCACCATCATACTAATACCAAAACCCAGAAGAGACACAACAAAAAAAGAAACCTCAAGCCAATATCCTTGATGAGCATCGATACAAAAATCTTCAACAAAATACTTGCAAACCAAATCCAGGAGCACATCAAAAAGCTAATTCACTATGATCAAATAAGCTTCATCCCTGGGATGCAAGGTTGGTTCAACATACGCAAATCAATAAATGTGATTCATCATATAAACAGAATTGAAGACAAAACCACATGATTATCTCAACAGATGCAGAAAGGGCTTTCAATAAAGTTAAACACCCCTTCATGTTATTAGGTATTGAAGGAACATACTTCGAAGTAACAGCCACCTATGACAAATGCACAGCCAACACCATACTGAATGGGGAAAAGCTAGAAGCATTCCCCTTGAAAACCGGCACAAGACAAGGATGCTCACTCTTACCACTCCTATTCAACATAGTATTGGAAGGTCTAGCTAGAGCAATCAGGCAAGAGAAAGAAATAAAGGCATCCAAATAAGAAGACAGGAAGTCAAACTATCTCTATTTGTAGACAATACGATTCTATATCTAGAAAACCCCACAGTCTCGGCCCAAAAGCTCATTCAGCGATCAACAACTTCAGCAAAGTTTCTGGATACAAAATCAATATACAAAAATCACTAGCATTCGTATACACCAGCAACAGGCAAGCAGAGAGTCAAGTCATGAATGAACACCCATTCACAATTGCCACAAAAAGAATAAAACACCTAGGAATACAGCGAACCAGGAAGGTAAAAGATCTCTACAATGAGAATTACAAAACACTGCTCAGAGAAATCAGAGAAGACACAAACAAATGGAAAAATATCCCATGCCCATGGATAGGAAGAATCAGTATCATTAAATGGCCATACTACCCAAAGCAATTTACAGATTCAGTGCTATTCCTATCAAAACTACCACTGACATTCTTCAAAGAACTAGAAAAAAATATTTTAAAATTCATATGGAACCAGAAAAAAAGCCCAAATAGTCAAGGCAATCCTATGCAAAAAGAACAAGGCTGAAGGCATCACATTACCTGAGTTCAAACTATACTACAGTAACCAAAACAGCATGCTACTCATACAAAAACAGGCACATAGACCAATGGAATAGAATAGAAAGCCCAGAAATAGGCTGCACACCTATGACCATCTGATCTTCAACAAGCTGACAGAAACAAGCAATGGGGAAAAAACTTCCTATTCAATAAATGGTGCTGAGATAACTGGCTAGCCATCTGCAGAAGATTAAAGCTGGAACCGTGCCTTACACCATACATAAAAATCAAGTCATGATGAATTAAAGACTTAAATGTCAAACCCAAAACTATAAAAACCCTGGAAGACAACCTAAGCAATACCATCCTGGACACAGGAATGGGCAAAGTTTTCATGACAAAGACACCAAAAGCAATCGCAACAAAAGCAAAAATTTACAAATGGGATCGAATTAAACTTAAGAGCTTCTGCACAGCAAAAGAAATTATCAACAGAGTAAATAGACAACCTACAGAATGGGAGAAAATATTTGCAAACCACGCATCTGACAAAGGTCTAATATCCAGCATCTATAAGAAACTTTAACAAATTTACAAGAGAAAAAACAACCCCATTAAAATACAGGCAAAGGACATGAACAGACACTTTTCAAAAGAAGACATACATGCAGCCAACATGTAGGCATATGAAAAAAAGCTCAACATCACTGATCATTAGAGAAATGCAAATCAAAACCACAATGAGATACCATCTCACACAGTCAGAATGGCTATTAAAAAGTCAAAAAGTAACAGACGCTGGTGAGGTTGCAGAGAAAAGGGAACACTTAACACACTGTTGGTGGGAGTGTAAATTAGTTAAACCACTGTGGAGAGCAGTCTGGCAATTCCTCAAAGAGCTAGAAGCAGAACTACCATTCGACCTAGCAATCCCATTACTGGGTATATACCCAAAGGAATATAAATCATTCTACCATAAAGACACATGCATGTGTATGTTAATTGCAGCACTATTCACAATAGCAAAGACATGGAATCAACCTACATGCCCATCAATGACAGACTGGATAATGAAAAAGTGGTACATACATACCATGGAATACTATGCAGCCATAAAAAGGAATGAGATCACATCTTTTGTGGGAACATGGATGGAGCTGGAGGCTATTATCCTTAGCAAACTAATGCAGAAACAGAAAACCAAATATTGCATGTTCTCACTTGTAAGTGGGAGATAAATGATGAGAACACATGAACACAAAGAAGGGAACAACAGACACTGAGGCCTACTTGAGGGTGGAGGGTGGGAGGAGGGAGAGGAGCAGAAAAGATAACTTTTGGGTACTGGGCTTAATACCTGGGTGATGAAATAATCTGTACAACAAACCCCTGTGACATGAGTTCACCTCTGTAACAAACCTTCACATGTACCCTGGAACCTAAAATAAAACTTTAAAAGTAAATAAATAAAATTTAAAAATAAAATAAAATAGCAAGGTACTGCACTTTTTAAAAAGAAAAATGGGCCAGGCATGGTGGCACACGCCTGTAATCCCACCACTTTGGGAGGCTGAGGTGGGAGGATCATGAGGTCAGGAGATAGAGACCATCCTGGCCAACATGGTGAAACCTGTCTCCACTAAAATACAAAAAATTAGCCAGGCATGGTGGCAGGCGCCTGTAGTCCCAGCTACTAGGTTGGCTGAGGCAGGGAAATCGCTTGAACCTGGGAGGCAGAGGCTGCAGTGAGCCAAGATCGCGTCACTACACTCCAGCCTGGTGACAGAGCAAGACTCTGTCTCAAAAATAAATAAATAAATAAGTAAAAAATAAAAATGTATGGTCACATAAAGATTTGTATCTTTAATTATTCATCATTAATTATGAATTAATGCATAATTATGAAATACTGTCATAATTCATATAGCAGTATTATTCATAATGGCAAAAAGCAGAAATAGGCCAAATGTCCATCAAATTATGAATGGATAAACAAAATGTGGTAGATCCATATAATTAAAATAACACTCAACAGGCTACAGACAGTGGCTCACACCTGCAATTTCCGAACTTTGGGAGGCCAAGATGGGAGAGCTGCTTAAGCCCAGTAGTTCAAGATTAGCCTAGGCAACATAGTGAGATGCCATCTCTTTAAAAAAAAAAAAAAACTTAGATGTGTGTGGTGGCGTGTGCCTGTAGTCCCAGCTATACTGGAGGCTGAGGTGGGAGGACCAGTTGAGCCTGGGAGGTCAAGGCTACAGTGAGCCATGATCACCCACTGCACTCTGGCCTGAGCGACAAAGCAAGACCCTATCTCAAAAAATAAATTAAAAAGAAATAAATAACAACAATAAAGAAGAACAAACTATTGACACATGCTATGACATAGATGAAGCATGAAAACATGATGTGAAGTACGATAAATCAGATAGGCTGGTTGAAGTGGCTCATACCTGTAATCCTAACACTTTGGAAGGCCAAGGCAGGAGGATCTCTTGAGCCCAGGAGTTTGAGACCAGCCTGGGCAACATAGGAAGACCCTGCCTCTACAAAAAGTAAAAAAAAAAAAAAAAAAAAAAAAAATTAGCCAGGAGCGGTGGCACTTGCCTGTGGTCCCAGCTACTCAGGAGGTTGAGGTGGGAGGATGGCGTGGGCCCAGGAGTTCGTGGCTGCAGTGAGCTGAGATGGCACCACTGCATACCTGCCTGACCTTGTCTTAAAAAAAAAGGAATTGGATTAAAAGACTACATATTATATGTTCCCATTTATAGGAAATGTCCAGAAAGGGCAAATCAGTAGAAGCAGAAAACAGACACACCATTGCCTAGAGCTGGGGGTAGAAGTGAGTGTTGACTGCAAATGGCATGAGGGATCTTTTTGGGCTGATAGAGAAATGTGAAGATGGTTGCACAACTCTGTAATTTTACTAAAAATAACTAAATTGTACATTTAACAGGTAAATTTTATGGTATATAAATTATATCTCAGTAAAGCCATTTAAGAAAAGCAAAATCTGTTAGTAGGCTTAAAACAATTCTCCTAGTGACTGAATCATGCACAGAAGAACTTATTATACCTGCCCCAAACAAGTATTTCTTATATCTCTATCCAGAAATATCGGCTGTTGTGGAAGAAAGCAAGGCCCTGGGTCAGGAACTGAGAGTTGTGGGTGGAAAGCAACACGGTCTGTGCAGACCCAGAGTCCTAATGGAGTCAAGAACTCCCTGGAGAGCTCACGCTGCACACAAACCTCAGCAGGTCTCTCTGCGGCCCATGAATCCTCTGCAGTTTTCCTGGATGTGCTGTGCTCTCGCATGCTCCCGTCTGCAGCACTGTGTGTTCTCTCTGCTGTCTGCTCTTGTGCCTCTTTCAGGACTCGCTTCAAGCCTCATCAACTCCAGTGGCCTCCCACCAATATCCACCAGCCTGAGACAGAAGTTGTGTTTCCAGCCACCTATTATACTGTTCTAGCAGTCAGGCTCATTTGTGACCTCTGATTTTTAAAAGCATCTATTTCTCTAATGCCAAGAGTCTAGACTGCAACCTTCCAGAAGATAGGTTTTTATTCATCTATCATCAGCATCAACTATAATGATAGCAAATTTTGAGGAGGAGGATGGAGGGAAGGTGAATAAGACAAACAGGAAAGAATGTAAATATCATGAACTACGTATTCCAATTAACTAACCTGAATACAATGACTGCCATCAAGACATTATCACTCTGTCCTACTTGTATCCTTGCTTCCAATCCCAGCCCACTCAAGGTCTACTCTTAACAGACAAGCATAATGTCTTTTTTTTCCTTTTTTAAGACAGAGTCTTGCTCTATCAAGTACAGTGATGCAATCTTGGCTCACTTGCAACCTCTGCCTCCTGGGTTCAAGCGATTATCCTGCCTCAGCCTCCTGAGTAGCTAGGATTACAGGCATGTGCCACCACGCCCAGTTAATTTTTTTGTATTTTTAGTAGAGATGGGGTTTCACCATGTTGGTCAGGCTGGAACTCCTGACCTCGTGATCCACCCACCTTGGTCTCCCAAAGTGCTGAAATTACAGGTGTGAGCCACGGCGCCTGCCCCCTACCCACCGCTTTTTTTTTTTTTTTTTTTTTTTTTTTTTTTTTGAGACAGGCTGGAATGCAGTGGCATGATCTCAGCTCACTGTCACCTCTGCCTCCCAGGTTCAAGCAAATTCTCGGCCTCAGCCTTCCAAGTAGCTGGAATTACAGGCACACACCACCACGCCTAGCTAATTTTCGTATTTTTTGTATAAAGATAGGGTTTTGCCATGTTGGCCAGGCTGGTCTCACATTCCTGGCCTCAAGTGATCTGCCCGCCTCAGCCTCCCAAAGTGCTGGGATTATAGGTGTGAACCACCATGCCCAGCCACAGAATGTCCTTTTGAAAGGCAAGTCGTTATCATTTCAATCCTCTCTTCAACACCATCCAAGGGCTCCCCAGCTTGGGTAAGAGCCAGTCTTACTATGGCCTACAAGCCCTCATGATCTGACCTCTCATTACCTCTCTGAGCTTATCTAGTGGTCCTGCCCGCTCCCTTCACTGGCCTCCTGGCTGTTCATCAGATGTGCCAGACTCCTTCCGCTCTCTGCACCGGGTGCTCTGTATGCCTGCAATGCTCTTCCCCAAGATACCTACCTAGCTTGTTTCAGCATCTCCTTCAAGTCTTTGTTCAAATGTCATAAAATTCACTGTTAACATGCTTATTGGCTCCTTCCCCTAAGTAACACATAAGCTCCATGAAGACAGAAATATTCATCTGATTATCATTGCTATTGTCTAGAACCATATTTGTTGAATAAATGAACAAATCCCACTGACAGGCCTTATTGCTCACCTGGAAAAATATCTTTCTGTTGGGTTCTAAATTAAGTTGAACAAGAATGAACAACTTCTGACATGCATCTCCCCTCCCATACTTCTTGCTGCTAAAAAGTTATACCAAAATACAAATAAAGAGAAACTAATACAACTAAAGCACCATGCAAACAGCAGTACCTGTAGTACAGTCCTGTACTAGGTCACAAGACCTCCATCCTAGTTCTGCTACCAAATGACTCTAGGTGTGTTATTAATACTTGCATAATCGGGGCAACTGTCTACAAAACTAAAACTAGTGGTCTCTGAGACTCTGCAAGCTCTGTGGTTTGAATTCTGTTCTTCATTCTCCCTATTTTGCAGTGCTGCTCACTGCGAATGTTATCAATCCCTGTTGCTGGGCCCTGCCCTAGGTTTCTACTGCTGCCTTTCTCAAGAGCACGTGATAGAACTTACTCTTTCCTGGTTATCAGTTCAGATGATAAGTTTTGTTTGTGCCTTTCTTCACTCAGTAGATAGCTTAAAGCAGTGGCTTCTGAACTTTTTGATTACATAGAATATCTATTATGTGGCCAGGCTTGGTGGCTCACACCTGCAATCACAGCACTTTGAGAGGCTGAGGCGGACGGATCACAAGGTCAGGAGTTCGAGACCAGCCTGGCCAACATGGTGAAACCCCATCTCTACTAAAAATACAAAAATTAGCTGGGCGTGGTGGCAGGTGCCTATAATCCCAGCTACCCAGGAGGCTGAGGCAGGAGAATCGCTTGAACCTGGGAGGCGGAGGTTGCAGTGACCCAAGATCGCACCACTGCACTCCAGCCTAGGCGACAGAGTGAGACTCTGTCTCTAAATAAATAAATAAATAAAAGAACTATTAACAATGGAGGGTGGAAAGAACAGAATCAACCATAAGCTCTGCTAACTTTTTAGTCTACTGTAGAACCCTGGAGATGGAGGTTGCAGTGAGCTGAGATCACGCCACTGCACTCTAGCCTGGGCAATGGAGTAATACTTCATCTTGGAAAAAAAGAAAAAAGAAAAAAAAAGAATACCTATTATGTGTAGGCTGGGCACGGTGGCTCATGCCTGTAATCCTAGCACTTTGGGAGGCCAAGGTGGGTGGATCACAAAGTCAGGAGTTCAAGACCAGCCTGGACAAGATGGTGAAACCCCGTCTCTACTAAAAATACTAAAATTAGCCGGGCATGGTGGTGGGCACCTGTAATCCCAGCTACTCAGGAGGCTGAGGCAGAGAACTGCTTGAACCCAGGAGGCTGAGGTTGCAGTGAGCCGAGATTGCACCACTGCACTCCAGCCTGGGTGACAGAGTGAGACTCCGTCTCAAAAAGAAAAAAAAAAAAAAAGAACACCTATTATGTGTATTTACTTATAAATCATACAATCTATTGTTATGTAAATTTAGTTATAAAGCATATGTAAAACAGAATAACTTCAAAGAATAAGGTGAAAAATAAATATTAACAAGGAGCTATAATGTTCTTCCCGTAGCCCAATGGACTGGCCTGTCCCTCATAGAAACCACTAATCTAAAATGAAAGCAGCATCACCCAGATTGAAAATGGGAAAGCAACAGAAAAAAAGAAATCCTCCAGGCATCCTAGGAAGCATCTCTGCTATGGTTTGAATGTGCCCCCCCAAATTTCACGTTATAAATTTAATCTACAATGCTGCAGTACTGAAAGGCGAGGCTTTTAAAGAAGGGACTGTGTCATGAGGGCTCTGTCTTCACGAATGGATGAATGAATTAATGGGTTATCACGGGAGTGGAACTAGTGGCTTTATAAGAAGAGGAAGAGAAACCTGAGCTAAAGCACTCACAGCCCCTCACCATGTAATAACCCGCACCACCTCGGGACTCTGCAGAAAATGCCCACCAGCTAGAAGGCTCTCACCAGAGGTGGCCCTTTGACTCTGGACTTCTTGGCCCTCACGCCTATAAGAAAAAAATTCCTTTTTACAATAATTTATCCAGTTTCAGGTATTCTGTTATAAACAAAAGAAAATGGACTAATACACTCTTGCTGCCAATTGGGGGAAAGTGACAGTTAAGGTGATATATTCCCAAGTGCCTCAGACTCCAAATCACAAAGAATTTCAGAGCGAGCCAGATTCTCTCATGGTTCTGTTCAGAATGTTTCATAAGAATGACCTTGCAAACTGAAGCTTTCAACCTGGCCTGGGAACCTTAAGAATATTTTATGAACAATCAATCCACCGAACTGCACCTGTCAGCAGACCCCGGTTAACTGCACAGAGTACCTGAAAGCCATCCCCTGTCTGAATTCACACAGAAAACTTTTAGAGCCACGGCACTGTGATGGAGGGAAAGAAGGTGTGGACCACACCTCATGAGATGTGCAAACAACATGGCTCATGACAAACCCAGCAGAATGCTCAATCTTTAGAAACCCAAGATGGCTACAGCAATACAGACCATGACAATTTTTGGTAAGGACATGGAGAAACTGAAATCCTCAAACATTATTGGTGGGATTATAAAATAATGTAGCCACTCTGGAAAACAATCTAGCAGTTCCCCAAAATGTTTAACATAAAATTACCATATGTCTCATACATTCAGCTCCTAGGTATATACCCAAGAGATTTAAAAATCTACATCCACACAAAAACATGAATATTCATAACAGTATTATTCATAATAGTCAAAAAGTGAAAACAACATAATATCCAACAACTGACAAAATGTGGTATACCTACATAATGGAATATTATTTGGCAATAAAAAGAAATTAAGTACTGAATTCATGCTACAACGTGGGTAAACCTTGAAAACATTATGATACAAATGGAAGAAGTCAGATACCAAAGACCACATATCGCATGATTCTAGTTTATGAAATATCTGGAATAGAGACAGAAAAAAAAAATCCAAAGACAGCAAGTTGATTAGTTGGTTGCCAGAAGCTTTGGACAGAGAGGATGGGGAGTAACTGCTGATGGGTATAGAGTTCCCTTTTAATACAATGAAAATCTTCAAACACTAGACAGTGGTGATGAGCATACAACTCTGAATATACAAAAAAACCACTTAATTGTAAACTATAAAATGGTGAATTTTATAACTCATGATATATAAATTATATTTTAGTACCTTAATAATTATCATCATCATCATTATCATCATCATCATTACAATGGCTAATGAAATGTGGTATCCTGGACTGGATCCAAGAAAAGAAAAAAGACATTAGTGGAAACACTGATGAAATCCAAATAAAACCTGTAGTTTGATTAATAGTGTTGTACCAAGTCCCTTGTATTTCTTAAGTTTTGATAAATGTACCATGGCACTGTAAGAAGCTCACACTAAGGGAAGCTGGGTGAAATGTACATGGGAACTCTTAAATCACTTCAAAGTAAAAAAAAAAAATTTAATGATAATGAAAAAACTTAACATACTATACTTGAATACTACAGAATACAGTGCAGCTACAGGAAAGAATAATTTAGACCTACATGTATATTTAACATGGGAAGATGTCTGTGTTATGAAGTTTTTAAAAACAGCAAGCTGCAGAACAGTATGCAGAATAGTATGACTGCATTTCCTTAAAAACTTACATGCAATGTTTGTGAGCAATGTGTTTGTATGCTGGGGAATAGGATTTTCACCTTGGGCTTCACATGTGTGTATTAAGGAATTTTCACAACAGATACACATAAATTCGAAATTTAAGAAAGCCACAATTAAAACAATTTTTAACATTTTAAGTTTTAAACACACATATCCCCTCAGAAGCTGCCTGCCAGGAAGGAATGGAAGACAGTCTTCTGTCTAGGTTTTCTCTGCAAAGTGGAGAATGAATCCACATCCAAGAACATCCCTCTGCTCCACGGTTATTTCCACCTCTAGGAATAAGGGGTATCACATCAGTACCAGGCATTTCAAGAACAGCAAGTTACTGACAATCCTTGAAGTTAAATGCTGGGTGCATGGATTCATTAAAACATTCTCTCTACTTTTGTGTACGTTTCACAATTTTCTTTTTGTTTTCGCCCAAGCTAGAGTGCAGTGGCGCGATCTCAGCTCACCACAACCTCTGCCTCCCAGGTTCAAGCAATTCTCCTGCATCAGCCTCCCAAGTAGCCAGGATTACAGGAGCCTGCCACCACAACTGGCTAATTTTTGTTTTTTTTGTTTGTTTGTTTTTTGTGTTTTGAGACGGAGCCCAGGCTGGAGTGCAATGGCACGATCCTGGCTCACTGCAACCTCTGCCTCCTGGGTTCAAGTGATTTTCCTGCCTCAGCCTCCCGAGTAGCTGGGATTACAGGCATGGGCCACCATGCCCAGCTAATTTTTGTATTTTTAGCAGAGACAGGGTTTTGCCATGTTGGCCAGGTTGGTCTCGAACTCCTGGCCTCAGGTGATCCAACCACCTCGGCCTCCCAAAGTGCTGGGATTACAGGCATGAGCCACCACACGCAGCCCAATGTTTTGCAATTTTCATAATACAAAGTTGAAAAAGTAATAATAAAGGTATACTATAGGTTTGATCTTTAGAAACTATATCTCCTTAACTACCTGGGAACCAGGATTAAGACTCATGACTATTATTCTAGGCAAAGAATTACTACTGTAAAATCTATCTTAAAGCTTTCTTTTCTCTTACCTTAAATACTGCAGTGACTAAAAAAGAGTAGCTTGCAGTGCACTGATCTCATACGATCACTATTAGAAAAACTAGAGACAAAATGGAACAATAAGACAAATATTTAGATCAAAAGTATCCAATCTTTTGGTTTCCCTAGGCCCCACTGGAAGAAGAAATGTCTTGGGCCACACATAAAATACACTAACACTAATGACAGCTGATGAGCTTAAAAAAAAATTGCAAAAAAATTTCATAATGTTTTAACAAAGTTTGTGAATTTGTGTAGGACCACATTCAAAACTGTCCTGGGCTTCTGAGCCAGGGGTTGGAAACCTTGATTTAGATGGAGATAAGGGCAAGTGAGTCAGGCCTTCTGAAATACTGGGCTCTCTAAATAAAGGATGGTGCAAGTATTTAAAGGGGAAAGGAAATGCCAAAGTTAGAGTTGATACACTCACTATTCTCCCTTGAAGAAAATCATCAGTTTCCTACCTTTGAGTGGCTTATCTACAAGGGTTATTACATGTCTGCAGGCATCAGGATTGCAAAAATCAGAGGTAAAGCTGTTTTCATTAGGGAATCTGGCAATTTACAAGAAAGGGGCTCAAAACTACATTATGTTAGGGCTTAATGTTAGACAAGTATTCTTTGTCTTCTGTGGTTTTTCTTGAGATGAAATGTTTTACTTCTGACTGTGGGACTAATGTGTTCCTACAGGTTGCAACATAAAACGGATTTCTCACTATGAACCTTAGAGAAACAGCTTGACAATCTTTGTCCTGGACAGCAAGTCTTCTTAGAGCTGGGGCCAAGTGACTTCTCCTTGACTCCTCTGAGCAAAGCCCAGCGCCAGCCACAGCACAGGAACCTGGGCAGGCAGTCCACCCTCAGGGCCTGCCTGTGACCACTGCTAACCTGTGCGGAACAAACATGTGCTGAAGGATTTGAGTTCTTCAGAGGACTTGGGGAACTGACTTATAGAAAATGCTCAGCACGTGGCCTAGCACAAGGCATTCTTTAAATCTGAGTCTCCTCCCCATTCCATCTCTCATCCCTTTTCCTGAATTCTGTCTTTACTGATTTATCTAGTCATCCAGCAAAGAACAAATCACTCCAAAGCCATGACAGGCTACAACACAACTAGTTACTCCAACACTGAGAGTCCTATGACTCCCTCCATAAAATCAACTGAGTAGAATACTGAACAGCTCTTCTGAACATTTTCAGACAAATCTCTATTCTAGAAACCTTTCCACTGGGGAACTACCTCAAACTCTTCAATTATTTACTAGGAGATCAAACATAAGCACAGAAGCACAACAGGCAAATTTCACTTAAGCTTGGCTTTTGTCCTCTGGGGTTTTATTATTGTTCAGGTTTTGTCTTTCAATGATGTGGCCTGGTACAGAGAACCCTCTCCTGCTTTCGATTTTATTCTTTCAGAATCTGGAAAGGAGGTCAGCTGTCCTTTCCAGGCTTCAGTTCCTCCATCTGTAAAATGAAGTTGTTCTAAATTATTTTTCATGTCTCTTCTAAATTTAAAATGTTATATGCACACATCTTTTTGAGTCCCAATGACAGTCCCAACACAGGCCAAGCTAATCACGTGACTGACACTTCCCCAGAGGCACTTGGCTGAGGCTCCTGGGGTTGGGGATGGGCAATGTACCTGCCCCATCTGGTGTCACACTCCTAAGGTGTGCCCTCCCTCCCAACTGACCCCTTTCAAATCAAGTACAAGGCATCTCTTCTCAACTGGAGGCTTCCCCCAATGCCAAGTAGCCTTCACTTCTCTCTCCCTTCTCTGACCTCTAACCACAACACTCAAGGATAACATAAGTGGGCACTTGATTTTTCTCCACTTTTTTCATAGGATAGTTTATATTATGCTGAACAGGCTGTCAAGAAACGACCGCCTGATGATTTGTTGAAAGAGTCTACATCACATTGAAAAAGGAGATGTATAAAGCAACAAGACTTTGTCAAAGGCCAGTAGCACTTTTAAAGAGGAGGCAGAAAGAATCAGCAGAAACCTCATGTCTGGATTGAGCATCACCTCTTCCATTCCAGAATTTCACTCATGCTTTCAAACATACCATGCTTTTAGCCAAAAAATGAAAAATTAACATGCCGACACACTTAATGAATTCTCTTATTAAAAAATATGCTAACTTGTTCTAGCATAGAAAGCTTAGAGGTAGGATATGGAAATCAAAAATAAATTTGCTGCTTTAATTTCTTTTAACTTCCAACTTTTTGTAAAACAAAAAGGCCCTGAGAACTTGGAACAAATTCTCAGCTCTGGGGAAATTAGCTTCTTTTATATTACCTCCCACTCTTATCTAATCCTGATTTCAAATTTCAAAAGTAAGCAAAACCAAATTTGGGAGAAATAAACAAAAAAGAATGAGCAAGGGGTGAAAATGAAAGTTCATTGTATTCATTTGTTTTCATGCTGCTGATAAAGACATATCCAAGACTGGGCAATTTACAAAAGAAAGAGGTTTATTGGACTTACAGTTCCACATGGCTGGAGAGGCCTCACAATCATGGGGGAAGGCAAGGAGGAGCAAGTCATGTCTTACGTGGATGGCAACAGGCAAAGAGAGAGCTTGTGCAGGGAAACTCCCATTTTTAAAACCATCAGATCTTGTGAGACCTATTCACTATCACAAGAACAGCATGGGAAAGACCTGTCCCCATGATTCAATCATCTCCCACTAGGTCCCACTTGCAATGTGTGGGAATTATGAGATAAGATTTGGGTGGGAATACAAAGCCAAACCACATCATTCATGAGGTAATTATTCCAAATGAGGAATTCACTGATTAGCTAAAGGCAATGAGGAAAAACAAAAAAAGGTGGCGGCGGGGTAGGGAGCTAACATTTATCCATTCTTCTATAAATGTTCCATGTACGAACCATGTTTTAGGAATCTATTCTTTCTGAGACCCTGTCACTTAACCTCTCTGGCCCAGCACTGGACAATCTCATATCATGACTAAAATGGTTTGAGTTCTATAATTAAGGACTTCACCCTAACTTAGAACCACTGAAGAAGAATTATCAAAGATTTTAGTCAGAAAGGGCCTTGGTCATCACCCTGTATTGATTTACCCTGTTTTAGTGACAGATTTATCACCTGTACTCACATCCAAGTCCAAGGGGCTCTAAAGCCCAGCTCTCTCTATGGTACGATATTTTATTCCCAGGGGTGGAGAGAATTAGGAATCCAAGTCCAAAGCTATACCAGTTAAACACGGGAAACCAAGCACACATTTTCATCAACTTTTGCTCCTGACAGCCCATCAGAATGACAGAAGTACAGATTATCACCGAAACAACTCAGAGAAGTGAGGCATTGGTAGAACACAAGCAGCCATCAGCAAATAAATTTTTCCCCAAACACAATTTGAGAAGAAGAAAAGAGAGGGAAAGCCACAACCCAGAATATGCTCCAAAGGGGCTGCAGTTGGCATGAAAGCTTATCCTCCTGGTCCCTAAATAAGTTCTGGGTTCCTGTGGCAGCTATGGGGCAAGAAGCACTGGGACACTGGGATAAGCAGGAGAATGCAGGTGGACAAGGGGACTGCCACTGTCAGAGAAAAGAAGTTGTATACACAGGTGGGGAAAGACGAGGAGGAGGCCTATCAACAGGCCAGGCTGGGGCCCCTGCACAGAGGCTCAATTCTGTGATGAGATGAAAGTTCACATATTTGCCTCCCACCACTAGACTATGAATAAGGTAACCACATAATTTATCATCTGAAGTCAGGAACTTTGAGATTCAAAGGGCGTACTCTTATACCAGGACAAGAGGCATGAACAGGGAATGTCCCAGGCTACGTGGATATAGGGTCTCCCTAGGCATGAGTTCCTCAGGGCAGGAACTAGGTCTCATTCTGCTCTGTATTCACAAGACCAAGGAGGGTCTCAGTAAACATGCAGAATAACTCATGTGACTACTTTCTCCAGTAAATCAAATTTGCCAAAAGCAATCGGTATAGTATTTCTACCAGGGCTGCCTTGTTGCACAAGTCCAGGAGGCACTATCACAGCCCCATGCAGCAGCTGTGTTCACATAAAAGGAGATGCACTTTTTTTAAGAAATTTGTTTTTAAACCCTCTCTAAATGAGCTTTGAAATGAACTTCCTCCACATCCACAGCCAACCAAAGCTCTGCCCTGAAGCCACTTTCCCACTGAACTTGCTGTGACCTTCCATGCTCATCCCTCCCTTGGCAGGGACAGGCTGTCAGAGCCCTGAGAGCTGCAGAGACAGCTGATGCCCCATACTGTGAGCCCAGAGCCTTTTTTCACTAGGCCGCTCCAATTCTGGCATTATCTGACTTAGCAACTCAAATCAAAGATCATCAGGCATGATCAGCAGATCTGCATGCTCAAGTCTAGATGCTGACAGCAATACTGACAGTCAGAACACACATTAAGAGCAGAACGGCCCTAAAACTTGTTCTAAGTCCTTTCCCTGTTTGCATCAGTTTGCTGTAGTTATCCACAGGTAAGGTACTAAAACAAGGGCCCTAGGATTTATCTCTTTTCCGAAGAGAAAACACCCAAAAAGCACAAGTGAACTTTCTTGCAGGGTTGTTTCAGGGACGGCCAGAAACAAGCACACAGCAGGAGCTAGCACTGGGCTCTGAGACTGACAGCTGTGAGTCCTATTAATGGACCTCCAGCACCCTTCTCACATTTCACTGCTTTAATCCAAGCTACCAAACAATTCTAATGAGACCAGCCTATAAACTATTCAGGTGCCTCTGAAGCAATCATCTCAAAGTCCTCCCACAAGAGGGGGTAGATGTGTGGGTGCAAAAAGAGAAATGGGGACGAAAGCAGTGGGACCACAGGCCAGACCTCAAGGTGCCTTGCATTTCTTGGACCCCGTTATCAGATCACATGCTAGGTGTATAATGTGAATTCCCATGTTTATAAATCCTGTAATTACTTTGCAAACTGTATTGCTCTGTAATGTGTTCTGTGCTGCACCATATTTTGTGTTAAAAGTAATAGTCTGTAAAACGTAAGCAATAAGTGGAAACAACTTGGTCCTCTCTTGTTTTTCTTGAAAGACTGGGTTTTCAAGTAGAACTATAGCAGAGAACTAAAGAAATATTGTTTATAAGCAAAATGCCCAAGATGTCTGCAAACAGGACTTCCTTAGGTGAGCGAGATTCAAAGCTCCAAAACAGTAAGCATTGTAGACAAACTATAATCATTTTATTGAGGATTTACTGTGTGCAAAGCACAAGCTCATGTCTTAAATTACTTTCAGATGCCACTAGTAATTTTGATAATAACTACCTACCAATGCCAAATGCTCAAACTAGTACCCAACTAGTTCCCCTAACATTCCAGTAATCCATCCTCAATCTCATTACCTCTTACCCACTGGACTATTTTCTAGGAACCTCTTACTCATCCCCAAGTTGGCTGAGACACCACCATAATTTTTTTACTTTCCAAGACACAACTTGGAACACCCTAGAAGCCTGCTCAAAAACCTTCAATGAACCCTCAGAGCCTGCTTAAAAAACAGCTTAACAGCCCTGGTGTGGCCTTCACGCCCTCTGAGGCTGGGCACCAATCTCTCTCTAGGAAGCATAGTTCAGGGGAAGAGTTTGGGTTCTGAACACAGATAGCCCCATTTCAGATGCCAGCTCTACCACTTATCTTCACCTATTAAAGGGGAATTACAACAGCAACTAACAAGATGGTTGTGAGGATGAAGGAAAACAATTTGCCTAAAAGAGCTCTGCACAGGCCTAGTATGCAGAACTGTTCCATAAACGTTAGCTACTTTCATTATCCTCAGCTTCTTCCACTCACTGAACAAACAGTCGAGCACCGCTGTGGGCCAGGCACTGTCCTGTCCTGATGCTCAGCATACAGACTGAACAAAACAAAGCCCTTGCCCTCTGGGAGCTTCCCAAGAATAGGGGGAAGGAGAGTACCCCAGAGCTTCAGTACACATGATCCATGGGCCAAAGTGGAACTTCTCCAGACTGCTCCAGCATTGCTCGGCACTATTTCCACCTGGAAAGTTTACTTCTACATGACCAAATCCTGCCTATCTTATAAGATCCAGCTCCAGGGCCACCATTTCCAGAAGCTTTCGCTAGTTACCTCCCACAGAAGGGCAGCCTGGACTCAGCACTCTGCATCTCTTGTAACTGGTTGGCTGTAATGTACGACACGAGGTCCTCCCGTGCAAACGTCTCCTCTGCTATAATCACTAGTTTGAAGGCAGGGAATAGAATTTTTCTCCCTTTAACTCCCTGGCACATCTTATCTTCACATACACACAAACACAAAATGTGTGAAACGGGCAAATAAATCTCTACCCTAATTATCCTCTCATCATGCTATGACTAAGCCATGAAATCTAAAGACAAATCTGGACTACAAAGAGGTGTTAGGAAAGAAAAGAAATACCTTTGGAGCGCCACATAATACAAATACACGATATCAGAGTTTAGTGATTTATCTTGGCTAAGAAGTTATAAAGTCTCTTTCTTTATGTGACTACTTCTATCTTCCTAGATGGGGTTGGGAAGCTGGTAAAGTTTCGGTGGACTGGTTAACTTCTAAGATTTTCATGCTTTTACATCCATGAATCAAAAACAGAGAAAGATCAAGGCTTTATACACTTTCAGGATGTCATCAGAGTATCCAGTTTCTAACATGCATTGAACAGCACCAGTACAGAACAGAGGGAGGATTCATCCACTCGTCTAGAGGGCTTCAGACAGATGTGTACTGTGCTCTCAGACTCAGGGCTGAATCAATAATGGACAGGGGTGGCTAATGACGTCCAGCCAGAATTGGTTCAGTATGATTCAGAGTTCAGAGACAGCACATTACTGCTAAGCAGGGGTCAAAGAGACCTAGCTTCCACCCCTCCCGGAACCCTGGGGGCAATTGTAACCACTGGACCAGAGAGGGGTGGTCAGTGGCCTTCAGAGCCCCTGGTCCTCACACTGGGGCAGTCTAATCAGATAACAAATGACCCTCAGAAAACTCAGCCTTTGATTTCAAATAAGAAATGTGTTGTATTCTAGACGAGCAAAAGAACAAATGAAACAAACATTTCTTTAATAACCATAACCCAACTTTAGTGAAGACTGCCCAGCACTAAGCAAGTAACACGCTCACAACTGAAAGAAGGAATGAGTCTATCCGGAGAAAGGATTTTTCCACATAACTGAGGACTGATTCTAAATGTCTTAAGTTTCCATTTAGTTAATGGAAATCTCCTAAAATGTACTAGATATTTCAATTATAGAGAATACTCTAGAGTTTGGCTTTTCTTGAAGTCACCATTACAAATATAGCCATTGTGTGAAGCTCAAGTCCAAGAGTTGCTTTCCAGGGTCCTATAAAATAGAGCAAATCAGAGGAGAACTCTGTCATATCCAGGTCCTTGGTCTTCCCCTACCTTCACTTACTGCTGAGACACTGGGGAGACAAACTTCTCCACAAGTTTTAGTTAGGGAGGTGGCAGGAATAGTTTGGAGGAATAGAATTGATAGGGTAGCCTCTGGCTGTCCTGAGCTGGTGTCATATATCTGTTAAGCCAGAGGGATGTAAAAGTTGCTCTCAGGAAAGCCATGTGCCTTCCGGAGATATAAATGTTCAATCCCTCATTATGTTAATTTACTCAATAAATATTTATTGAGTGGCCACCATGTCCCAAGCACTGTTTTAGGCAATAGAGACGCTAATGACTTTGCCTGTCTTCCTAAACTGCCATAAGAGGTCTCTGCCTCAAGAATCTTACATTCAAGTAGAAGGAATTTCAAATAGTGGCAAAGTAATTGACTGAGGGTAGAGACTATTTTAGCTAGGGACGTCACAGAAGGTTTCTAAACAGTGAGTTTAAGCTGAGACCCAAATGATAGGATATAGCTCATAACACAGAGATCGGGAGAAAGCCAACTAACCATTAGAAAGCCCTCTGAAGCACAATCTAGAGACAGAGATCAGGGCGGCTGGAGGACAGTAAAAGACAGCAGGAATGAGAACAAGGCCAAGAGACAGCTAGGGCTAGGCCTTCGGCACAAGGTCATTAACCCTTTAAAGTAAATGTTTTAATTTTATTTTAAGTGTAATGGGAAGACACTGGAGAAGGTTAGGCTGACAAGTGATAGAACCCAATTTATGATGTTAAAAGATTTCTTACGGCCGGACGTGGTGGCTCACACCTGTAATCCCAGCACTTTGGGAGGCCAAGGAGGGCAAATCACCTGAGATCAGGAGTTTGAGACCAGCCTGACCAACATGATGAAATGGGATATAAAAAGTTAGCAGGGCGTGGTGGTGCGTGCCTGTAGTCCCAGCTACTCGGGAGGCTGAGGCAGGAGAATCGCTTGAACCCAGGAGGCCAAGGCTGCAGTGAGCCAAGATTGCAGCACTGCACTCCAGCCTGGCAAAGAGGGAGACTCTGTCTCAAAAAAAAAAAGATTACTTGGAATGCTGTGTGCACTGGAGGCTCACCATGGCCAACCTTGTTTGTAAACTGTGCTGATGTGACAATAGCACATAGTGGTTAAGAGTGCAGACTCTGGACTAGATTCTGCCACTTACTACTGGTGTAACTTTGAGCAAATTAATTCCTCTATGTGCCTCAGTTTCTGCATCTGTCAAAGGAAGATATTTGCTGTTTTAGTTTCTGTGTTAAGGATAAAAGTTAAAAAAGGGGGGCATCCAAGTGTCTAAATATCACTAATATGCACTCACTTCTTTCCAAGAGGCCTCTAGCATATCAGTCTGTTCTCTCCTCTCTCCCTCCTTCTTTCCCTCCCCACCCAACTCCCAAAGGAAAGAGACAGGTGGCACAATCTTGTTAACGAAGTAAAAAGTGCCTCTCCTTTTTATTGCTGGAGACTATCACTAGGGTGGGAGGAAGAAGTATGACCAAAATGTGATCTAGAATTCAGTGCACCACTAAGTAGAACACTGTTTCTTAAACATAAAGCCAATCTTCTCTTGTGTAAAAAGGTTTTCCTTCTCAAAGTGAAAAATATCTCTGTGGCTAAAGTCATTCATGCTGAGCATTTCAGCAACATGGTAGACTCCCACATGCCTGATTGTTCATTTTCTAACAGCTGCAGGCAGAATCTAGTGAACTCTTAATGATCCATGAGGCTTTCAGCCTACCATGCATCCTCTCTCACAGCAAGCATGTAGTTTTCAATATCAGGGAGCCCGGCTTCTCCCTTCAAAAGGCAAGAGAGGGTGAGTGTATCAATATTCCTTCTACAGTGTGAAAACTAGAATTTCTAGATTTCCTTCACTGGGACCCTGTATGATATAATACCATGAGTTTTCTATTTGGAATTTTCTGAGAACAAATCACAATTTAAATTCAAGTTCTTCAATTAGTAACAAAGGTTAGGATGGATGCCAAGGCTTTCATCCAACTAAAACTCATTTTCTGGATTTACTGGATATGAAGGAAACAAGGAATATTCCTGGCTGATTCCCAGGTGTCCCCTCCCACTCGCTTACCCCTCCCCACTTCATTCTCATGAGAAATGAAAGTCACCCACGGGATTTGGATGCCCATTAGAATCTTCCTGCCTTACAGAACCATGGCTACAAATTCATCCCTCTCATAAAGCTATACTGAATTGGGATATGACTATAAGAGAGGAAATTGTCACAGGGATTTCTGTTTTTTTAATGACAAGGCACATTAAGCAAAAAACACAAAAGGCCACCTCAAATACAAGCAAGCAGGAGACACTTATTATGCAGCTTAATATAATTAAATTTATTTATTTAGTTTTTGGTTTTTTTCTTTTGGGATGGGTCTCACTCTGTCACCCAGGCTGGAGTACAGTAGTGTGATCTTGGCTCACCACAATCTCTGCCTCCCAGGCTCAAGCAATCCTCCCACCTCGGCCTCCCAAGTAGCTGGGATTGTAGGTGTGTGCCACCATGCCCAGCTAGTTTTTTGATTTGTTTTGTTTTGTTTTGCTTTGGTAGAGATGGGCTTTCACCATGTTGCCCAAGCTAATATAATTAAATTTCATAAGCAGTTACTATATGCTGGGTACTGCTGTGCAAGCAACGGGTTCAGACACACAAAGAAAAATCAAACTATGGCCCTCTTCTGCAAAAATATCAATATTATAGTTGAAACAAGTAGCAAATGGCAACAACACAAAGCAAAACATGGTCTGGCAAAGTGTGGTGTGGGCTCAGTGGTATGGGAGCAAGCAATTTTAACTGGGAAAAATTAGCACAGGCTTCACAGGAGCCATACCATTTAAGCTGAGTCTTCAATCATGAAAAGAAGTTTCACAAGGCCAACAAGAGGCAATCCATACCGAGGAAAGAGAATGGGGTGGCAGGAGGATGCACCAAATCAGTGTGGCTACAGTATGGAGGGAACGTGGTGGAAGAAAAGCAAAGAATGGCATGTTTAGGACAAAAATATTAGAGGGTGTTGAGTATCATGCTCAGGTGTTTGGGCTTTCTTGTTTAGGCAGCAGAGAACTCAAGGCTTCGGAGCAGGGATGGACAAACAAATCTGTTTTAGAAAGCTCACCTGTAAAAGATGTAGTACTGATTACAAAAAAAAAAAGAGAGAGGAAGAAAGAAAGCCACTTGGCCTAGGGAGGGAAACTAGTTGGAAAGCAGCTTCAAAAGGCTAAGGAAGAGAAAAATGGCATCTGATTCCTATAGCAGAGGCAGAATTAGAAGAAAAAAAGGCAGAGGTCTGACAGGTAGACACTTCAGATAAAATAATAGGGCCAGGCGCAGTGGCTCATGCCTGTAATCCCAGCACTTTGGGAGGCCAAGGCGGGTGGATCACGAGATCAGGAGATCGAGACGATCCTGGCTAACACGGTGAAACCCCGTCTCTACTAAAAATACAAAAAATTAGCAGGGCATGGTGGCGGGCACCTGTAGTCCCAGCTACTCAGGATGCTGAGGCAGGAGAATGGCATGAACCCGGGACGCGGAGATTGCAGTGAGCCGAGGTTGCACCAATGCACTCCAGCCTGGGCAGCAGAGCGAGACTCCTTCTCAAAAAATAAAAAAGACGACATTTTCTTCATGCTTTTCTGCCATTTTCAAATAGGCACACATTCTTAAGGGTGGGGGGGACAAAAAATTATTATTTCAGAGAAAAAAACTACTAAAATTTATTGACAACTGGATTGTGTGTGCTGGGAAAGAGGAACATTTGAAACATAAAGAGTTAAAAGTTAGGACCGAGGGCAGTGGCTCACGCACCTGTAATCCCAGAATTTTGGGAGGCTGAGGAGGGCAGATCACCTGAGCTCAGAAGTTTGAGACTAGCCTGGGCAACATGGTGAAACCACGTTTCTACCAAAAATATATATATGATAATTTTTTTTTAAGTTAAAAGTTAACCCCAGACTTCCATTGATGGTGACTGGTCATGCCTCAAACCTAAACAAGAACAAAGGAGGAAAGGAAGCATAGTTCATCCACCATCTTCTTCTGACCAATGAGAAAAGGGAAAGGGTATTAAATCTAGCTTGGGTCCCACTAACCCAGAGCTGAACTAAAATTACTCTGCAGTGCTCATGAAAACAGTTTTGTTTTGTTTTTAAGATGGAGTCTCGTCCTGTCGCCCAGGCTAGAGTGCAGTGGTACAATCTCAGCTCACTGCAACCTCCACCTCCCGGGTTCAAGCAATTCTCCTGCCTTGGCCTCTCTAGTAGCTAAGATTACAGGTGCCTGCCACCACGCCCAGCTAGTTTTTGTATTTTTAGTAGAGATGGGGTTTTGCCATGTTGCCCAGGCTGGTCTTGAACTCCTGACCTCAGGTGATTCACCCACCTCAGCCTCCCCAAGTGCTGGGATTACAGGCGTGAGCCACCGCGCCCAGCTGAAAACACAGTTTTCTAAGCAAAATAAATATAAACAAAGGAACGTGTAAACAATGTGACAGCAGGATATGCTTAAGAAACAGTTTCAAGTTTAAAGTCCTTTTTTAAGTGTCTTTAGCACGCCAAGAATGTATATGCTAATAAATTAGTTCTCTAATTTTTAAGACAACTGTTAAATAACAATATTGCACTATTTGGCCCAAAAGTATCATGGTCTGGATTACCACATTCACTACAGTTAGATCATATTTCTTCATTGTCTAAGTTAATTCTCTCATATTAATTGATATTTGTTCCTATTACCCTGTCACTTCAAATCTGAAATGTTGAATTAGGAGACTTTTCAGTTCAAAAGCCAATAGACACACAATTTAAGTACAAATAAAACTGAATACATGTGAGTAAAATTATTGGTTTGTATCAGTATCAATATCCTGGTTGTGATTTGATACCATAGTTTGGCCAAATGTTACCATTTTGGGAAACTGGGCATTTATAAAAAGGATCTCTCTATATTTTTCCTTATAACTGCATGTGAATCTATGATTACCTCAACTTTAAAAGGGAGAAGGTAGCCTAAAAAAACAAAACAAAACAAAAGCTAATGGGCAACTGTGTCCTGTGAAACCCTATTTTCTCTTACCACACATAGACCAGCAACAAAAACGTAAGCTTTGCAGAGAGTAGAGTGGTGGTTACCAGGGTGCCTGGGGGATTCCGCTGGGGAGACACAAAATTTCAGTTAGACAAGAGGAATAAGTTTAAGGGATCTATTGTACAATATGGTAACTATAGCTATTAATAATGTACTGTATTCTTAAAAATCACTGATGGCCCGAGGCGGGCAGATCACAAGGTCAGGAGATCGAGACTATCCTGGCTAACACAGTGAAACCCCGTCTCTACTAAAAATAGAAAAATTAGCTGGGTGTGTTGGCGGGTGCCTATAGTCCCAGTTACTCGGGAGGCTGAGTCAGGAGAATGGCATGAACCCAGGAGGCAGAGCTTGCAGTGAGCTGAGATTGTGCCACTGCACTCCAGCCTGGGCGACAGAGCCAGACTCCATCTCAAAAAAAAAAAAAAAAATCACTGATGGCTGGGCACCGTGGCTCACACCTGTAATCCTAGCACTTTGGGAGGCCAAGGTGGGTGGATCACCTGAGGTCAGGAGTTCCAGACCAGCCTGGCCAACGTGGTGAAACCCTGTCTCCACTAAAAATACAAAAATTAGCTGAGCGTGGTGGCACACGCCTGTAATCCCAGCTACTTGGGAGGCTGAGGCAGGAGAATCACTTGAACCAGGGAAGTGGAGGTGGCAGTGAGCCAAGATTGTGCCACTGCACTCCAGCCTGGGTGACAGAGCAAGACTCCATATCAAAAAAAAAAAAAAAAAACAAAAACCGGGTGCGGTGGCTCACGCCTGTAATCCCAGCACTTTGGGAGGCCGAGGCAGGCGGATCACAAGGTCAGGAGTTCAAGACCAGCCTGGCCAACATGATGAAACCCTGTCTCTACTAGAAATACAAAAACTAGCTGGGCGTGGTGGCATGTGCCTATAATCCAAGCTACTCAGGAGGCTGAGGCAGCAGAATTGCTTGAACCAGGACCCAGGAATTGGAGGTTGCAGTGAGCCGAGATCGTGCCACTGCACTCCAACTTGGGCTACAGAGGGAGATTCTGTCTCAAAGAAAAAAAAAGAAACCACTGAGAGATTTTAAATCTTCTCACCATAAAAAAAAAACTATGTGAGGTAACGCATATACTAATTAGCTCGATTTAGCCATTCCACAATATTACATATTTCAAAGCATCATGTTGTACATAATATATACAATTTCTGTCAATTAAAAATACATTTCTTTTTTTTCCTTTGAGACAAGTCTCCCTCTGTCTCCCAGGCTGGAGTGCAGTGGCGCGATCTCGGCTCACTGCAACCTCCGCCTCCCAGGTTCAAGCAATTCTCCTGCCTCAGCCTCCTGAGTAGCTAGGATTAGACGTGCACCACCATGCCCGGCTAATTTTTTTTTTAGTAGAGACAGGGTTTCACCGTGTTGGCCAGGCTGGTCTTAAACTTCCGACCTCAGATAATCTGCCTGCCTTGGCCTCCCAAAGTGCTGGGATTACAGGGGTGAGCCACCATACCCAGCTACATTAATTTTTTAATAAAAAACTTTTTTCAAAAAAGGGAGGCTTTAGAGCTAATTGCTTATAAGTAAAAGCATGAAAATGTATCAGATTCTGAAGCTCACACACCACAAAGTAAAAGGGAGAAAGTAAGAGAAGATTCATGGATAATAAGCTTTACACAGTCCTGTAAAGAGGTATGGCAGGTAGTATTATTTCTCTCCATCGTACAAACCAGGAAGCAAAGGCTCAGTGACGTAAAGTGGTCTGCCCAAGTCTACGCACCAGAGTAAAGCAAGTGTTCACAACTCAATATAAAAACATGAAAACGAAAAGTAATTTCCTACTAGGAGAAGAGTGGGTGAGGAGAGGCAGAAAGGAGGAGGACGGATAAATACACCTAAGATAACATTACTTAAGTGGCATAATCTCTAAAGCATCGGTGTAAATATCCAGGCTCAAGACCTGTTACAGGGCTTCACATTATGAGCTATAGAGAAGGAGACACAGTTAAATGTGTCCCTACCCAACAACAGAGGGTGCAGATTCTCACCCCCAACTAAAAAATGACTTACGTAGCTAAGAGCATGACACAGGCCAAAGCTAACCTTTGAATCCCTGACGGATAGGCCTCTATAATAGCAAGGTATTACACAACCTGGCCTGCAATTATTATTTGTATTTGACCATCAAAAAATCTTGTGGAATACCATGAACAGGAAGGGTTAGAGGTCTTTTCATTTATTAGACAGATTTTACTGAGTAACAACTATGTGCCCAGGCACTAAGCAAGGTGTTACAGGTAAAATTTTTTTTTTAAAAAAAGGGGGTAGATATGGGGTGAGAGGTACAGACATTAATCAAATTATCACAACATAAATTAAGCCATGGTAAATGTTACAAGGTAAAGCTTTGAAGGCATACAAAATGGATGCAGGAATGCCCAGCAGGAACAGATCTAGGTTATGGGATTTCAAAAACAAAACACATCATCTAGTGAGGAAAGCTCATCATCTAGTGAGGAAGACTTGTACAAAGAGGTAGCTTGAGTATAGTGCAATACCAGGTAAAAGTGCTTCCTTGTGTTCGAAGCCTGACAAGATGTTCTAGGCTTATCTATCTCAGACACTTCCTGCTTAGATTTGAAACCAGCCACTTCTCCAAGGAGCCCCAATTCCTTTCACTGGGAATTGGCCCTTTCAGATTAGCTCTGTGCCCTCTGACATGGCTTGAAAGGGCTCCTACTGGCTAATATGAGACCCCAAGAATATGCTCAAATGAAATGGAACACCAAGTATGTTTAAATTCATGAGTTATATTAATACTAAAAAGATCCTCTTTCTTTTGGAGACTGGTAGACACTAACTCATGTTCTGAAAATCTAAGGAAAGAATAAAGCAGTCAAACTACCTTTCCTATACAGAATGCATTTCAGAATAATCAACTAGTTGAAGAGGCAAAGTTCTTTATAGAAGAATCACAGCTAATAAATAATAGAACTGAAGGAAATGACAGAATTAGAAAATGTCCTATTTTTGTGACAATTGAGGATAACTGAACACAAACTAATTAGTGGTGACATTAAGGGACTGGCGGTAATTTTGTTAGGCGTGATAATGGTACCATGGTTATTTTTTAAGACCTTATTACGGATACATATTAAAATATTTATAGGTAAAATGATAGGACACGTGGAATGTGCTTTAAAATTCTCCAGGGGACTGGGGGGCAGCAGAGGGAAGACAGATGAAACAAAAGCAGCAGAACACTGAGAGTTGTTGAAGCTGGATGATGAGTATGGAGGTTCATTGTTTCATTTTCTTTACTCTTACGTATCTTTAAAAAAAAAAAAAATCCATGACAAAAGGTTGGGAAAAAAGATCCACCTTTATGCATGGGATAATCATCACAATGCACACTTCAAATGGCAAAAACGTGCAAATGACCTAAATCTCTATCAATAGGAGACAAATTAAGTAGATCATAACACATAAAAAGGAATCCTATGAGGCCATAAAAATGACCATATTTCAACAAGAAAACCTATCTGGCTAACTTTTTACACTGAGTAAAACAAAACAACAAACAGGCTATAGAATAGCATATATGGTGAAATTCTAATGTGATATATGCACAGAGAAATGCTGGGAAGGCTGTTCCCCACAGTGTGGGCATCTCTGGGAGGTAATGTATTAGGCAAGTTATTTTCCTCACTGTTCTGTGGCAACTTCTCATAAAGACACTGACCCACGTAATTCTTTGGGAGGCAACAGGGTTCAAGTTTATTTTTAGTTTCCTCAAATTTAAAATGAGGTTGAAAATATGGTTCTAGTGGTGATTTAATGAATAAAATACTGAAAGCAATTATCACAAGATCTGGCATATAACTAGATATTCAAAACATGTTAGAGGCCAGGTGCAGTGGTGCATGCCTGTGATCCTAGCACTTTGGGAGCCCAAGACAGGAGAAGTGCTTGAGTCCAGGAGTTCAAGAGTACCCTGGGCAACACAGACGACCCTATCTCTACAAAAATTTCATTGACTGATTGATTGATTAATTGACTGATTGAGAAAGAGTCTCACTCTGTCACCCAGGCTAGAGGGCAGTGGTATGATCTCTGCTCACTGCAACCTCTCCCTTCTGGGCTCAAGCGATCCTCCCACCCCAACCTCCTGAGTAACTGGAGTTATGGGCACCTGCCACCACGTCCGGCTAATTTTTAAATTTTTTATAGAGATAGGGTTTCACCATGTTGCTCGGGCTGGTCTCGAACTCATTAGCTCACGCAATCCGCCCACCTCGGCATCCCAAAGTGCAAGGATTACACAGGCATGAGCCACCACACCCTGCCGCTAGAAAAGATGAAAAACAAAGAAACAAAGAAACAAACAAACAAACAAAAAACCTGCATGCCTGCAGTCCCAGCTACTCAGGAAGCTGAGGTGAGAGGATCACTTAAGGCCAGGAGTTTGAGGCTGTAGTGAGATATGATTACACCACTGCACTCCAGCCTGGACAACACAGTGAGAGACTATCTCCAAAAAAAAAAAAAAAAAAAAAAAAGGGCCAGGTGCAGTGGCTCATGCCTGTAATCCCAACACTTTGGGAGGCCGAGGCTGGCGGATCACAAGGTCAGGAGATCGAGACCATCCTGGCCAACACGGTGAAACCCCATCTCTACTAAAAATACAAAAATTAGCGGAGTGTGGTGGTGCATGCCTGTAGTCCCAGCTACTTGGGAGGCTGAGGCAGGAGAATCACTTGAACCAGGGAGGCGGAGGTTGCAGTGAGCCGAGATTGCACCACTGCACTCA
This sequence comes from Homo sapiens, assembly GCF_000001405.40. Taxonomy (NCBI): domain Eukaryota; kingdom Metazoa; phylum Chordata; class Mammalia; order Primates; family Hominidae; genus Homo; species Homo sapiens. Next base: position 121,578,698 of record NC_000002.12, read on the forward strand.
AGCCTGGCAACAGAGCAAGACTCCGTCTCAAAAAAAAAAAAAAAAAGTTAGACCTCTTTTTGCTTTTTTACATTCCAAAACCAAAATAAAGCAATTGCTTCTTAAAAGCACAAGCATTTGGAAGTGACAGTAAGAGGAATTAAAAACACACACACACAAAAAAAAACTTCACTCTGTAAGTCTAAAACTCATACACTTATACACTTTCCCTCTTCCTCCATATAAATACCATAAAATTCATCCTGTTAAAGTGTACAATTCAGTAATTTAACTATTTGTTGAAACCTAATATACATTTGTTTCATTTTAAAGACAGAATTCAGTCTTCCTTAATACAGCCCCATAATGTATCTTCTGAAACAAATCTTTGAAAATACAGTATTATCCATGTCCTTAGACCGTCACATCATAACAACATTTTAGAGGTGAGCCTAGTCATTTATTCATATGGTTTTTTTACTCTCACATCAAATGCCTGTGAAAATTCAGCATTCTCTCAGAACCAGGCTTCTCCGTAATTTACTATGAAGAAGACAGAGGGGCTGGGGGGATCTGAAGGAGCTTTCTCACATGTATGGGATTCCTTCACATATGGAATCCCTTCCCCTCTTCTAGCTCACTTGTTAAAAATTGGTGTTTCATGTGCATACCATAAACTTCATCCTTTTAAAGTGTACAACTCCGTAATTTACAGTATATGCACAGGTTGTGCAGCCATCACCACTAATTCTAAAATATCTTCATCATCTCAAAAGAAACCGTTATCCATTAGCAGCTGCTCCCGATCCCTCCTCCTCTCAGTCCCTGGCAACCACTAATGCAATTCTCATTCTCCCTAAGGCTGTTTTGTTGGTGAAGGGGAGAGGAAGATGCAAGACATTCATTCTTGAGTCAAAGGATCTCCATTCTATGAGGTTTGTAATATACAAAGAACATGCTTTAACTCCACATGTACCATTATGCATTGAGGAAGATAAATAAGCATCTTCCTCTTGAATTAATCCTTCTACTATAAAGCAGAAATCAAACCAAACTGCCAGATTTGGCTTACTCTGACTGCATTGCTAATAAACTCTGAACATTTGGCATGGCATATTTCATAATCTTCTATCTCAAAAGTCTGAGGCAAAAATAACAAAAAAAGAAAATCTGCAGCAATTACCACGAAAAAATAAACTAAATGTAAAAAGTAGTAAATGAAGTCATTAAAACAAGCTAAATTCATACCAGTGTTTGCTCATTTCACTGGCAAAATTCATCGAAACAGTTCAAGTATTAAATGTAGTAAGAGATTTTCTACAGATTTTTATTTTTGTCTTTTTAGAGCAACCAGATTAAAATTTAAGGGAAAAAAGTGGGACTGATGCAGTGGAATATGCTTTAGTGGATCCCTGATCCTAACTGTAATATTGCTTGGGTATTGTCCATATATTAAAGATGCAAAGTTACTTTATTGTGAGCAGAATTCCAAAAGAAAAATTAAGAAATCACTGTGAGGTACCAGTGATCTTCCCTAATTTCAGAACTGCAACTGTATACCTAACAAGGGCATTACTTTTTACAACAAATCTTTTATTTCTTCATGTAGCAGACAACATAAATAATGTATCATCTTTAATCATATCCTGACAAATACCTTCTCAAAAGCACTTGTAGAAGAAAATTTTAAAATTTCTCTTTATAAAATAATGTATGCCTATTGCGAGGTATTTTAAAAATGCAAGACAGAAATATAACCTATCTATAATTTTATCAATTAGATTAACACCATTAACATTTTCATTTCTTTCCAGATCATTTTTCTACACATTTGTACAAAGTTGAGCCTTTGCTGTATTTAAATTTTGCACTTGCCTTTTTCATTTTACATTATTCCATTAGCATGTCCCCCAAATCACTGAAAACTCTTTATAAACTACACTTGCTGCAGAGTGCACCATCGCCTGGATAAACATGTAAATATTTGTACACATTTATCTTATATTCTCCTAGTGCTGGGTAGTTAAGATTTCCCAATTTGAAAGCCATTATTTCTTATTTCAAGTGTTTTTTAAATCAATCATGCACATATTTTTTTTCTTGGACACACAACGCATGCACAGAGGCCATATAATTTGGTTCCAAAGGACTTGGATATTTTCAAGCCATTGTGATGCAGAGTAACTGCCAAAAACTACATTCCTGTCTGAGAAAAAATATCGTTCATATCATTAGGACTTTGGAATAAACAAACAATGACCCATACATTCTTTAAAAACCACTTAGAAATTAAAGGCCATGCCCTCAATCAGTCAAAAAGCATTCTCTCCTATCTTAAACGTGCAATCAGACCCCTCTGCTGACCTTTAATACCAAAAACGTGAGGAAGGAAGATTCACTTTGTTTACCTGTGTGTCATTTTGGTAATGGCTATCTTATATAGCTGACCTTGAATTTCTAATTTAGACTCTATTCACAGGCAGACCAGCATTCCACAAAGGTCACTCTGCAGAGCAAAGGATCCCAGGAACTATAATACAGTACCCTAGAATCGTTTCTCTGCCTCCCAAAAGGCCTTTTGTTCTTTTTTTTTTTTTTTTTTTTTTTTTGAGATGGAGTCTCGCTCTGTCGCCCAGGCCGGACTGCGGACTGCAGTGGCGCAATCTCGGCTCACTGCAAGCTCCGCTTCCCGGGTTCACGCCATTCTCCTGCCTCAGCCTCCCGAGTAGCTGGGACTACAGGCGCCCGCCACCACGCCCGGCTAATTTTTTGTATTTTTAGTAGAGACGGGGTTTCACCTTGTTAGCCAGGATGGTCTCGATCTCCTGACCTCATGATCCACCCGCCTCGGCCTCCCAAAGTGCTGGGATTACAGGCATGAGCCACCGCGCCCGGCCCCTTTTGTTCTTAAGTAAGAAATAAATAAGGCCAGGAATGGTGGCTCAAGCCTATAATCCCAACACTTTGGAAGGTCAAGACAGGAGGATTGCTTGAGCCGAGGAGTTTGAGACCAGCCTGGGCAACATGGTGAGACCCCATCTCTAAAAACAATTTTAAAATTAGCTGATCAGGGTGGCGAATGCCTATACTCCCAGCTACTTGGAAGGCTGAGTTAGGAAGATTGCTTGAGCCCGGAAGGCAGAAGTTGCAGTGAGCCAAGATCGTGCCACTGCACTCCCAACTGGACGACAAAGCGAGATACTGTCTCAAAAAAGAAAAGAAAAGTCCAGGCACAGTGGCTCATGACCGTAATCCCAGCACTTTGGGAGGCCCAGGCGGGCGGATCACTTGAGGCCAGGAGTTCAAGACCAGCCTGTCCCAACTGAAAACACAAAAATTAGCCAGGTGTGGTGGCAGGTGTCTGTAATCCCAGCTACGTGGGAGGCTGAGGCAGGAGAATCATCTGAACCCAGGAGATGGAGGTGGCAGTGAGCCAAGATCGTGCCACTCTACTCCAGCCTGGGCGACAGATAATCTGTAGAAAGAAAGAAGAAAGGAAGGAAAAAAAGGAAAAAAGAAAGGAAGAAAAAAAGAAAAAGGGAAGTGAGGGAGCAGAGGGAGGGAAGGAGGACAGGACAGGACAGAACAGGACAGGAAAGGGAGAGAGAGAGAGAGAGAAAGAGAAAGGGAGAGAGAGAGAAAGAGAAAGGGAGAGAGAGAGAAAGAGGAGGAGAGAGAGAGAGAAAGAAAGACAAAGACAGAAAGATGGATGGATGGATGAATGGATGGAAGGAAGGAAGGAAAAGAGAGAAAAAGAAGGGGGGAAGGAGGAAGAGAGAGAAAGAAAGATACATGTTTTTGGAAGGAAGGAAAGAAGGGAGGGAGAAAGAAAGAGAGGAGAGAGAGAAAGAAAGACAGAAAGAAAGGCAGAAAAGAGGGAAAGACAGAAAGGAACAAAGACAGGAAGACAGAAAGCAGGGAGGGAGGGAAGAGAAAAGGAAAGGGAAAGGGAAAGGGGAAGGGAGAGAGAGGGAGAGAGAGGGAGAAAGTCTTCTTCCTAAACTGGCTCTAAGGTAGTCAAAATTATTCTTCTGGCTGTTAAAATGCTAGTCCACCTAAAATCCTTACACCTTCAAAAGGTGTTTTTCTTTTCTTTCTTTCTTTCTTCCTTTTTTTTTTTTTAACTGAGACAGAGTCTTGCTCTGTCGCCCTGGCTGGAGTACAGTGGCGCGATCTCAGCTCTCTGCAACCTCTGCCTCCCAGGTTCAAAGCAATGCTCTTGCCTCAGCTTCCCAAGCAGCTGGGACTACAGGTGCCTGCCACCACACCTGGCTAATTTTTGTATTTTTAGTAGATACGGGGTTTCACCATGTTGGCAAGGCTGGCCTCAAACTCCTGACCTCAAGTGATCCACCCGCCTCAGCCTCCCAAAGTGCTAGCATTACAGGCATGAACCACCGTGCCCAGCCAAAGGTGTTTCACTTATTCATCTGCGAATACCAAGCCAGTGCCCAGTTACTATAAGGGACCGTTGTTGCTCTTCCAAGCATCTGCTGAACTTTTTCTTTTATTCCCTCCATTGAAAATTTAAATGTACCTACCCCCTACTATTAGTCCAGTAGGAAATCTAAGACTTGTTTTATTTTTCTTACCATACTCCCTAAACAATGTGATTACAAAGCAAAGTTATACCTATTAGCCAGAGGTTGCATGAAGGACCATTCAAATTCCAGTTAAATGCTATGTGGTTTAGAGACTATTACTTAACCCGGAGGAGTCCCAGAGCTAACTAACCTCTGGGAATTGTGATAAAATTGAAGAATAATGCATATATAAAAACCTGACACATAGCAGGAGATCAAATACATGGTGATTATCTTCATGATGTTCAGACCATTTCTTTTCTACAATCCCCACTGCCACTTATCCATTTTGGCAAAATATGCAAAGCAAACATTTCTAATTCACTCTTGACTTCACTCAAGCAAAATCATCTCCCTTTTTTCATAGCATGCCCATCAAGTACCCATATAGTACTTATCAAAGCTAGTACCTCCCCTTTCAAGTCCATTCCTGTTCTTGCTCATTTGTATTCTCTTTCGTTCTTCACTGCTATGGTGTGGATGTTTGTGTCCCCTCCAAAATTTATGTTGAAACTGCAACTTAGTGTGATAGCATCAAGAGTTGAGGCTTTGGGGAGGTGATTAAGTCATGAGGGCAGAGCTCTCATGAATGAGACTAACACTTTATGAAAGTGTTAGGGTCTTTTCTGAAATACCTTTATGTAAAAAATCGTGGGGAGGGCAGGTGGAGGAACTAGCTAGACGCTTTTTTGCCCTTCCACTCTTCTGCCATGTGAGGACACAGCGTTTGTCCCTTCCAGAGGATGCAGCAACAAGGTATCATCCTGGTAGCCAAGACCAGGCCCTCACCACTCAACCTACCAGCACCTTGACCTTAGACTTCCAGGCTCCAGAACTGTAAGAAATACATTTATTTTTTATTTTTGTGGAGATGGGCATCTTGCTTTCTTTGTTGCCCAGACTGGTCTCAAACTCCTGGGCTCAACTGATCTTCCCACCTCGGCCTCCCAAAGTGCTGGGATTACAGGCATGAGCCACTGCACCTGGCCAAATTTTTATTATTTATAAATCACCCAGTCTGTGGTTATTTGGTTACTGCAGCAGAAACAGACTAAGACGTTCTCTATGATCAGTTTTATGCTCTTTTGGATGCAATTTCTTCCAACACTGAAAAACTTGTAGGGCATTCCATTACTTAAACAGTCAAATAGCTGCTTACATGGCGACTTAAAGTCTCTCCCTTACTCCAGCCTGGGTGAGAATCAACTACCTGAAACTTAGACATGATCTAAGCCTGGTTTTTAAGGAAAGGTGGAGAGGGAGGCTAAATGCCTCCAGATGATTCTGATATGCCTCACAAAGAGATGACTGCTTATTTCCAGAATAGATTTAAAAAAAAATAAAAATGGTGGGGTATGTACCCCACAATTCTTTTTTTTTTCTGGAAACAGGGTCTCACTCTGTCACCCAGGTGGGAGTACACAATCCACTTTAGTACACATTTTGACACACTGAGAAACCTGGCCCAGTAGCCTTCACCCATTACAATGCAAAGACACTCAGCCAATGCACCCTCAACTAATGTCTCTTAAAATGACAAATAAACTGTTTATCCCTCTGTGGCCTCTCTACCACTGTTTGGCTGTTTGGGTACAATTTAAATCCATAACAGGTCATCAAAGGCAAGTAGTGATAGTGCTGTAATGCTGGATCAACCACAAAGAAACAAAAGAAGGCTATCACACTGGATGCTATAAAATGATCATAAAGCTAACAAGTACTTACTGTATGTCAGCACTTACGATACGTCAACCACTTTCTACACATGAACTCTTTTACCCTCACGACAACCCTATGGATCAACACTGTCCCCATTTTGCAGAAGAAAAACTATGGAGAGATTAAGAAACTTATCCAGTACCACACAGCTAGTGACGGAAGGTCTAAAGGGAGGAGTGTGAATTCTAACCCAAACAGTCTGGTCCCAGGTTAACTTTTCAATTATAAATTGCCTATTTTACATAGCTGGAGTCACCTTCAAATAAAAGAAGAGAAAGAAGAACACCAACTAGAAACTGACGAGGGGAAGCCCCAACATTACAAAATGCTTTCAAGACATCTCTGTAGCTTGAGAGCATTTGTCAGCAGGTTACAAAAAACAACAGATGGAATAGCCAGAGGTAGGTCATGATTTCAGAGGATGTGCAGGTACAGAAAGCAACTGCGAAGTGAGATTTAGAACACAGCTCCACAGAGACTAAGTATACTTGCTCTCCTTTGCCAGCGTTCCCATTTCTAGGACCGCATCCCCTGCCCTAAACAGGGTATATCTAATTTTGGAGATAGGAAAAAACAAAAAACAGATCAATTTTCCTTATAGAAAGCAATCAAGAGCTCAGTCTATAAAAATAAGTCTTTTGGCCAGGCATGGTGGCTACTGCCTTTATCCCAGCACTTTGGGAGGCCGAAGCGGGCAGATCACGAGGTCAAGAGATCGAGACCATCCTGGCCAACATGGTGAAACACCATCTCTACTAAAAATACAAAATTAGCTGGGCACGGTCGTGCGTACCTGTAGTCCCAGCTGCTCAGGAGACTGAGCCAGGAGAATCGCTTGAACCCAGGAGGCAGAGGCGGTTGCAGTGAGCCGAGATCGTGCCACAGCACTCCAGCCTGAGCAACAGAGCAAGACTCCATCTCAAAAAAAAAAAAAAAAAGTCTTTCAACCAAGATACTTAAGGTTTCTCAAGAGCACAGCTACTTGGGGGAAAAAATAGTGACTTCTGGATGGCTTCCCATTCTGCCACACTCAACCTGACCACTCTACTTGCTCCTTTAGTTAAAGATAACAGACATGGGCAGAAAGAAACAAACACATACATAATACAAACATAGCTGACATGTACTTTGACGTTTTTGAGGACCCTATTCTTTTTTTCTTTTTTTGAGACATAGTCTCCTTCTGTCATCCAGGCTGGAATGCAGTGGCATGATCTCGGCTCACTGCAACCTCAGCCTCCCAGTTCAAGCAATTCTCCTGCCTCAGCCACCCAAGTAGCTGGGATTCCAGGCACACGCCACCACGCCCAGCTAATTTTTGTATTTTTAATAGAGATGGGGTTTCACCGTGTTGGCCAGGCTGGTCTCAAATGCCTGACCTGAAGTGATCCACCCACCTCAGCTTCCCAAAGTGCTGGGATTACAGGAGTGAGACACTGCACCTAGCCCCTGTTCTTTAAAAAGAAAGAAAAATTTTAAATCCTAGATGTATTATTTAAAAATTTTCCAACAATAAAAAACTTACAAAGTAGTAATCCCTATAATTCTCTCCACCCCCCTTAAAAAATACACTATTAATAGTTTGGCATATGCCATACCAGATTTTTCTCTATGCGTTGGCATAAGGTTTTCTTAAACTAAACTATGTTCAATATGAATTTAAAAATAAAAAAAAAAAGACAACTGTCCTGAGTGTGCATGAATGTGTTTCCATTGTGTCCACATCCACCTGTGCTTTGGGGCCCTGTGAGCATAAATCCTCCTCCTTCATTGTATATGAAGAGCTGCACGTTGAAGCCCCTGAGGCCTAGGTTAGTAGCTACACTTAGCCCCCATGCAGTATGTACTGTGAAGCGCACTGCTTTCTCCCAGCTGCTCTGAGCATACTTTTCTCAAAGTAGCATGACCAAGCAAGTTGGCTGATCCTGGCTAAAATAAAGTATCCCAGGGAAGAAAGATGTGGTCTTAAGAGAATAGATCTGGGCTGGGCACAGTGGCTCACACCTGTAATCCCAACACTTTGGGAGGCCGAGGCGGGCGGATCACAAAGTCAGTAGTTCAAGACCAGCCTGGCCAGCATGGTGAAACCCTGTCTCAACTAAAAATATAAAAATTAGCCGGGCACAGTGGTGCGAGCCTGTAGTCCCAGCTACTTGGGAGGCTGAGGCAGGAGAATTGCCTGAACCTGGAAGGCGGAGGTTGCAGTGAGCTGAGATCACACCACTGCACTCCAGCCTGGGCAACGCGGCGAGACTCTGTTTCAAAAAAAGAAAAAAAAGGAAGAAGACAGAGAATAGATCAGAACCTTAAGGGGTAAGAGGTATGCAGGGAATCCTGCCCTCCCCCCATCCTTAGAACATCCCCCTGCCTGGATCCAGGGCAGGGCTGGAAATTGGGCCTGGAGCTTTCCCTTTCCTAATCCCCCTACCACATCCTCCTCTTAATTTCCTTAACACCTCACCTCCCCTTCCCTTCTCATTTTAAAACCCCTCCATTTGGGACCTCTAACAGAAGAGCACAAACTGGCTCTTAGAAGAATATGTGATGAATAAACAAGAAGCTCAATGTCAGCCGGGCGAGGTGGCTCACGCCTGTAATCCCAACACTTTGGGAGGCTGAAGCAGGTGAATCACCTGAGGTCAGGAGGTTCGAGACTAGTCTGGCCAACATAGTGAAACCCCATCTCTACCACAAATACAAAAATTAGATGGGTGTACTGGCACACGCCTGTAGTCCCAGCTACTCAGGAGGCTGAGGCAGGGAAATCGCTTGAACCCGGGAGGCGGAGGTTACAGTGAGCTGAGATCGCACCACTGCACTCCAGCCTGGACAACAGAATGAGACTCCATCTCAAAAAAAAAAAGGAAAAAATAATAAAAATATATGATGAATAAACCTAAGAGCTCAACATCGGCCAGGCGCAGTGGCTCACACCTGTAATCTCAGCACTTTGGGAGGCTGAGGCGGGTGCATCACCTGAAGTCAGGAGGTTCAAGACTAGCCTGGTCAACATAGTGAGACCCTGTCTCTACTAAAAATACAAAAATTAGCCAGGTGTATTGGTACTACCCTGTAGTCCCAGCTACTCAGGAGGTTGAGGCAGGAGAATCACTTGAACCCGGGAGATGGAGGTTGCAGTGAGCCAAGATCATGCCACTGCACTCCAGCCTGGATGACAGAACGAGACTCCGTCTCAAAAAAAAAAAAAAAAAAAAAAAAGCTGAACTTCACCAGTTTAACTCCCATTCCCTATAACATAATACCCAGTGATGGTTTTAAATAAGACAGGTTATGTGGTAAGTGTATGTCTGAAGTCTTAAAGCAGAATATAATCCCTTATACATATCAATACCTAAAGAATTCAAACTTCACATTTATACAGAAAAAATGGCAACATGCCCATAAAAATACTAGTATTTTGGTAGAATTACAAAATTTAGTATAATCACTAAGGATAAATCCTCGATTTAAAGAGGTTGGGAAAGCTGGAAAAGTTCTTGCTTGATGACACAGCTGAAAGCCCAAATAATGAAGATCATCAGAAGAAAAAATAAACAAAATAAAGTACAAACACAGAGACATATTATGCCAAGCACTGGGCAGTGCCTGGGCATGCCTCAGGTCTCCATGAAGTATGCAGTAGTCTCCTCTTATGGACAAGAAATGAAGGCTCAATGGCACATCTAAATCCACACAAATAGTAAGTAGAGAGCTGTGATACAAACCCTAACCTCTGATCCCAATGCCTGAGGCTTCCACTAGACCCCTGAGGCCTCCCCCAACCAATCTAAAGTATGAAGTTCATGATTCCCCCAGTGGTCACACATGGGCCATTTGCCCCCAGTCGAGCCACTCTTCTTTTAGGAGACTTGGCACTCCTTGCCCTGTCCCTTTACATGAGTGGGAGCGACCATTTTCGTGCACAGCCATGTCTCCCCGGCTACAATGCATAGGCTGAGGGTTTATGGGGATTGTTTGGGGATTTGTGATTGTTTTACTCCAAGCTGGGAAGAGAGAAACTCAGTCTTCTGATAGTGGAGCTGCAAGATGTGAGTTGGGGTCATAAACAGCATGAACACAACACTGAAGAGAGGCCTGCATCCAAAAATGCAGCCACGGGGCAGACAGAAACACAGTTCTCGCCACCAAGTCCCCAGTGCTGTCTCCAGAGTGATCTCAACCACCACGCTGGCCAGTGACGTGCCCATCCATCTGACTTGCCTCCTATGATGAGAAAGATTACTGACCATCATTTTCTTTACAAAGGTGTTTTTTGAAAAACATTCTTTAGTTTAGGCTAGAATCAAATGGAGAATCAAATAAGATCACACACTTACCCCTCACTACCCAACAAAAACATACCACTATAGGCCGGGTGCGGTGGCTCACGCCTGTTATCCCAGCACTTTGGGAGGCCAAGGCGGGCAGACCACCTAAGGTCAAGAGTTTGAGATCCGCCTGGCCAACATGGTAAAACCCTGTCTCTACTAAAAATACAAAAATTAGCCGGGTGTGGTGGTGCACGCCTGTAGTCTCAGCTACTCAGGAGGCTGAGGCAGGAGAATTGCTTGAACCTAGGAGGCAGAGGTTGCGGTGAGCCAAGGCCGTACCATTGCACTCCAGCCTGGGTGACAAGAATGAAACTCTGTCTCAAAAAAAAAAAAAAAAAACACACTATTATTTAACAGTATTATTTGCCATCTTCCAGTTTAGCCCAGTTAAGATGAGCTGATATTTATTAGGTTATAGTAGGTGTGAAAGCACTTGGAAAAAAGAGTGGAATATTCAAAAGAAATAGATTTTGATGTTTTTTTCTCACAACTCTATTGGGAGATAAATCAATATTATCCTCATTTTGTGGAGAAAAAAAAAAGATAACTGGATTAAACAACAACAAATAGACCCAAATAGATCCATTTCAATGTGAACATCGTTGAGGTATCAGGTCTTCCTCCTCCTTCATATAGGCATCTCCTGCTCTACTGATGTTTAATACACCTTAGACAGACAATTTTCATCAATCAGTTAAAGGGGAAATGAGATCAACAAAAATAAAACTATTTTATTTACCTTATTTCCTCTTAAAATGTGCTCTTATCTGAAAGATTACAAGCAGAAGAAATAGTCTCCATTGCTGCTCCTAGAAGCAAACAGGTATCTTTGGCCCATTCCAAAGGAAAAATATCAAGAGAAATGGTAACATCCAGGATTAATATGGAGGCACTCCTGCAACACTGACAGGTGGGCAATCTGCCGAACTTTGAACCAGCAATTCAGCCTTTCAGAACTTCCAGCACAGAGGTACACAAGAGGGCAGAAACACGTATGTACAGGGATGATCAAGTGCAGTGATGCTATGGCCAAAAGATGAGAAACCACTTGGATGACAGCAACCACGTACAGAAAAAGAAATGAAAGCTACAAATGTATAGAAGAGAATATTACATTAAAAATATTTTAAATCATCTTATAAGTGATATAACTTACTCAGTGCTAAGATGATCATGACACATGTTAAACAGCTGACAAAATAGCATGATCGGTCTTATCTAAATATTCTTTCCATCTTTTTTCTACAGATATAAACAATAAGATAATTATCTCAGGGCAAAAGACTGAGTGATTTTAATTTTTTCATTACAACTTTTAAAAAATATGTTCCTGTTTATACAATAAGTACATATTGCTTTTACTGTAATAAAAACAAATTATTATCATTTGCAAAAATCATCTAAGCAGCCTCCAGAAATGTGTTTGAAAAAGGTTGTTCCCAAGCTATATGTATAAATCACAAAGAACATAAGCTTAGGATTCTCAACCAAAGTAAGAAGTCAAAGACAAAAATATCTCCATGGCTATTTTTCTAAATGTTCTTCAAAAATTATTTGATTTTTTTTTTTTTTTTTTGAGATGGAGTCTCGCTCTGTTGCCCAGGCTGGAGAGCAATGGTGCAATCTCGGCTCACTGCAACCTCCGCCTCCCGGGTTCAAGCGATTCTCCTGCCTCAGCCTGCCAAGCAGCTGGGACTACAGGCGTGCACCACCACGCCCAGCTAATTTTTGTATTTTTAGTGGAGACGGGGTTTCACCATGTTGGCCAGGGTGGTCTCCATCTCCTGACCTCGTGATCCGCCCGCTTCGGCCTCCCAAACTGCTGGGATTACAGGTGTGAGCCACTGCGTCCGGCCAAATTATTTGATTTTTAAAAATTACTTCTCTAAATCAAAAAGAAGTCAAATGCACCATGCAGAAAAAGAACTTGGACATCTTTTTTTACAAGGCTATCCATAGCCAATAAATTGTATCATGAAGCCTGAAATCTCAAACAATTATCAAATTCATCCCAGTCCTTTATATATGCACACTAATACCAAAAACCACTAGGTTGTCCTCCTCCCTAATGACATTACTCAAATTTGCTTCTCCCTCACTTCCTCTTAGTCCTAGTCCACAATGCCTTCATCAGACAATCTTCAGCACCCACTGCTGCGGTGTGTGGGTGAGACCCAGACACCTCTCCCTGAGGTCTTTCAATGGCTTCGATTGCCCTGCGAATCAGTACTAAATTCCTATACTACAGTGCTGCAGGGAAGTCTCTCTTGATTGCCCTCAGGGCTCCTCCACCTAGGAAACGTGCTCAGCCTCGCTGGTGCACAACCAGGCCACTTGTATCTCAGAATTTTATCTCTATTAAGGACGCCTGAACATCTTCCTTCATGGAGCCGGCTGGGCTATCTCTTGTCCCTCATCCAAAAGAATCCTAAAGGCCATCTCATCCACAAAGCTTTTAAGGATGTTTAAACACCAAGAGATTCCTACCAGTCATCAAAGAACTTCTTCCCCATTTATAACCACACCTATTTGTTCCATAATGGACAGCCATCTCTAACAGCTCCTTCTTTGCCCCTCCCCAAAATCCCATGTAAAATGCAGCTGTAGATCAAATAATTCTTCCAGGTTGACCTCCCATTCTCTACTTCGAGCCATTTTCATCTGATTTCTCTGGATTTCTTACCATGGTCCTTGTCACAGACTCTCCCTCTACCTAACCTGTTCAATAGATAACTTGGCAGGGCCACCAGCTTGGTTTTCTTTTTACTCCAATGCTGTCTGACAATTCCCCCTTAACCCACAGTTCAAGCTGGTGAGTTCTGTCTATAGCTGAATAACCTGGATCTCACTTATACTCAGATTGTGTCATCCATTTGCATGTTTTGCTTTTCTTCCCCTCCCACAAAGCGTCCTTTAATATCCTGCTAACTCCAGGAAGATATTTTGCTATTACATGTCTTTTTGTATTCCCTTCATAATATTTATGAAAACTTTCAGGTAGCCATCGCTCCATTTTTACTTCAGGCTCAAACCAAACTTCATCGCATTTTTATATGTTCACAAAATTATTAGGTTGCCTTAAACAATGTATGAATATAAATGTACCTAAGTAACATTAATTTTAAACACTTTTTTCTCCTTCAAAGCAGTTCCTTTTTGTGATAACTATCAAAATATTCTATTTTGATAGAACTTCATTCTTTCTATACATTTCAAAAATATATGAAGCCAACATAGGATATACATTTCAAAAACATATGAAGCCAACTAATAAATGAAGAAGGAATGGTGAACTAGAAAATCACCCTTTGGCAACCAGCATAATAATTAATAACTGTTTTTTTTTGTTTGTTTTTTTGTTTGAGACAGAGTCTCGCCGTCACCCAGGCTGTAGTGCAGTGGCATGATCTCGGCTCACTGCAGGCTCTGCCCCCCAGGGTTCACGCCATTCTCCTGCCTCAGCCTCCCGTGTAGCTGGGACTATAGGTGCCCGCCACCTCACCTGGCTAATTTTTTGTATTTTTAGTAGAGACGGGGTTTCACCGTGCTAGCCAGGATGGTCTCCTGACCTCGTGATCCGCCCACCTCGGCCTCCCAAAGTGCTGGGATTACAGGCGTGAGCCACCACGCCCGGCCTAATAACTGTTTTAAGTAAAAATCATCAATGGATTCTGAAGCTATAGGTGAAAGTTTAATGAGTAATAGGATATTTATACAGTCTCAAACTATCTCCCCACAAGATATCTATTAATTAGAAAGAGGGGAAAAAAGTAACTTTTTGAAGAAACCTGGCAAACACCTCTTTAACCACGTAGGAGGAAGAGATATCGTGTGCCTCCCGATGTGAGGCACTGAGAAGGATATGTCACATCTACAGTATTCCTGCCAAAATCTAACCAGGAAGAAGCATCAAACAACGTCAAATTGACGAACTACACACAGTAAGGTGACCTAATTCTTCAAAATTATTAAGCCAAGAAAAATAAGGAAAGACTGACAATGAACTGTTCCAGTGTAAAGGAAACTATGGCCGGGCACGGTGGCTCACACCTGTAATCCCAGCACTTAGGGAGGCCCAGGCGGGTGGATCACCTGAGGTCAGGAGTTCGAGACCAGCCTGACCAACATGGTAAAACTCCGCCTCTACTAAAAATACAAAAGTAGCCGGGCATGCTGGTGCCTGCCTATAATCCCAGCTACTTGGGAGGCTGAGGCAGAAGAATCGCTTGATCCGGGGAGGCGGAAGTTGCAGGGAGCTGAGATCGTGCCACTGCACTCCAGCCTGGGCAACAAGAGAAAAGAGAAAAACTCCGTCTCAAAAAAAAAAAAAAAAAAAGGAAACTACACAGATATGAGACCTAAATGTAGTGTGTGTTCCAGAACTGGATCATGAAACAGGATTAAAAAAATTTTTTTTTCGGCCAGGCGCAGTGGCTCACGCCTGTAATCCCACCACTTTGGGAGGCCGAGGTGGGTGGATCACCTGAGGTTGGGAGTTCAAGACCAGCATGACCAACATGGAGAAACCCCATCTTTACTAAAAATACAAAATTAGCCAGGGTGGTGGTGCATGCCTGTGATCCCAGCTACTTGGGAGGCTGAGCCAGGAGAATCACTGAACCCGGGAGGCGGAGGTTGCGGTGAGCCGAGATCGCGCCACTGCACTCCAGCCTCAGTAACAAGAGCAAAACTCCGTCTCAAAAAAAAGGCCTGGCGCGGTGGCTCACGCCTGTAATCCCAACACTTTGGGAGGCCGAGGCGGGTGGAGATCGTGAGGTCAGGAGATCGAGACCATTCTGGCTAACACGGTGAAACCCCGTCTCTACTAAAAATACAAAAAATTAGCCGGGCGTGGTGGCGGGCGCCTGTAGTCCCAGCTACTCAGGAGGCTGAGGCAGGAGAATGGCGTGAACCCGGGAGGCGGAGCTTTCAGTGAGCCGAGATCGCACCACTGCACTCCAGCCTGGGCGACAGAGGGAGACTCCGTCTCAAAAAAAAAAAAATTTTCTTGTTGCTATAAAGGACATTAGCATGACAACAGGTGAAATTTGAGTATGTCTCGTAAATCAGGTATTAATAGTCTATCAATTTTTTTTTTTAAGAGACGGAGTCTTGCTCTGTTGCCCAGGCTGGAGTGCAGTGGCATGATCTCAGGTCACTGCAACCTCCGCCTCCCGGGTTCACACCATTCTCCTGCCTCAGCCTCCCGAGTAGCTGGGACTACAGGCACCCGATACCACGCCCGGCTAATTTCTGTATTTTTAGTAGAGACGGGGTTTCACCTTGTTAGCCAGAATGGTCTCCATCTCCTGACCTCGTGATCTGCCCGCCTTGGCCTCCCAAAGTGCTGGGATTACAGGTGTGAGCCACTGCGCCCGGCCAGTAGTCCATCAATCTTAATCCTGATTTAGATAGCTGTCCTAACATTATATAAATGAATGACCTTGTTTCTAAGAACCACTGTATACACAGGTATTGCAGTGAAGCACTGTGTCTACTACTCTCAAATGATTACAATAAGCATAATAATAGAGAAAACAAGACATATGTGATAAAGAGTTAACACTGGGGTCCAGGTGAAACATACATGAAAATTTTTTTAACTGTTTTCTGAGGTTTTCACATGTCTGAATATTTTCCAAAATAAAAAGTTTAAAAAGTATATATGGTCATGATTCTAACAGGACCAAAGAACTATTTTAAATATATTCATCTTAAATATTTTTCATTAAAGTCTAACTCAAAATTCCCTCCCTTTAAGAAATCAACTGTGGGGTACGTCCTTACACCCTTTTCTTTTATGCTCCAATAAATGCTACTATTACCTCTGCTACAAAATTATAAAGAAAATACTGCATATTGCTTCAGCAGTGGGTGCTACAGTCAGACTATTCCGACTAACATCCTGCCTCTGACACTTTCTAGTCATGTAACCTCGGGCAAGTTTCTTCAGTGTCCCCACTTAAAGAATAGGAATAATCACAGGGCTTATCATACAGCATCTATGTTATAATTACACCAGGCAATGCATGCAAAACACTTAACAGTGTCTAGCACATAATGGCGCTTAATAAGTGTTAGCTACTAGTAAACATTAGCTGTTAATCATTAGCCTCATTGTTAGGTCCACGTTCTCACTCCAGCTGTTTTACTTTCTGCCTTGACATTCAATTTATTACTTCTTCTGTTGCATGTATCCTTATTTAAATTTTAGTTTTCTGAAACAAGGGAAAGTATAAGTGTTAAAAATTTTACAATCAAGTGAAATCTTCCTAAAACAGGGGGCCTCAGTCAATGGATTGTTTTATACCAGTCAGTTTTTAACTCACCCTTCACAGACTTCCCAGCCAGCTGCTGCTCTACTCAGGGACTTTATTATCAACACTGAACAACTGATGGATTCATATCTTATTACAAGAGACCCAAGGCCTCTGTTCCAGAGCACAGGCTAACTGACTAGGCCACAAGAAAACATGTAACCTCAGTCCCACATAAAAGTTAACTTTCCTCAGATTTTATGAGTATTTGGTCCCATAATATACATTTTCGTCAACTTCCTTTTACTGACCACATGCTACATATTAAAAGCACTACATGGGCTTATATACATGGGCTTACTGAATCCTCTATGTAGTAAATATCATCAGACCCCTTTTACAGATGAGGAAATACATTCTAGAGAGAAAGCTACCTGCTCAAATATATGAGTGGCAGAGCCAGAAGAGGAATCCAGACAATTCACACTCAAATCTAAAATACTTTCAGTACACTTTGTTGCCCTTGCATATAGGTAAACACATTTAGGAAGAAATGCCACTAATTACATACATCAAGGACACCATTTTTACCAACAATCCATATAAATTTTCTTGACATAACCTTTCCTAAGGTTTTTTGCTTTTGCTTAGTGCTGCTAACTGTAGCTTTTCTACTTATGACAGAGGCACCTGTCTTTTTAGATTAAACCATGGAAATTCACCTCCTACAGCCAATAGGACAAACACTGCAAGGAAAACCTGGAAAAAAATGGACAGTCTCTGAAAAGATGTGTCACTTGGTGGCAGTAGCGAGGAGACTGCCAGAAAAGGAAACAGAAGTCACTTAATCTGAATCCAATAATCTTTTCTGGCTCTCCTCTCAAGGACACAAGCGGGAAAATAAAAACCTCGATGAAAGCCAAGGTTTTGGAGATAGGCAAAGGAAATGAGAGGAACCTCCCTTATCTGTCAACACAGTCTCCTCCTGCCCATAAACACACTTGATCTAGCGGTAACATGTGCTCTGTAAAGCAGCTTAGGAGAGACTACATCTTTTACAGTCTACCAAGGAAGTGCTAACCAGAAAGGGAGAAACAGGAAAGGAAGAGAGACTTTCTCAGAACCCTCTGCAGCTTACACCTTTTGGTTCTTCATAACCCTCTTTAATCCCACTTCTCTGTCAAGGCCTCTCCAACTAAGCATACCCTAATGTTTCTTCTTTCTCCGCATGACAGAATTTATACAAATTCCTATGATGCAATTTAGCACTGACTTATTTCCTATCCTACACTGTGCACCGCCCTCTCATGTGCCCTCCCCGTTCCTCCAATCAGACCACAGGGCAGAAGAAAAGGAAGCTCTGGGTTAATAGGGAACCCACAAATTTCAAATATAAGGCAGCACGGAATGGGCCTTGAGACAAATGTACACGGAGATGAAGCCCACACAGACTGGACAGACCTAGACAGCTTAGACACTGGGCCGGGACCGTACCCAGTTTTTCCCTACTGTGTAAGTACAGCAACTGGCACATCATACGTGTTTAATTAACTCTGGTTGTTGCATAAGGACTTGAGTTCAAGTCTCAGAAATCTTAATTACTAGTTTTATCACCTTGAACAAGTTAGCTAATTTTTTGAGCATCAGTCTTCTCATTTGTAAAATGGGAAAAATAATGTCTACCTCATATGGTAATTACAATTTAAAAAATGAACACATATTTAGCACAATTTCTGGCTCACAGTAAATGCACCACAGCCATAGACTATCATTATTATTGTACAGTATTAAATACAGGTCCACAATTGCTTATCCAAAACTCTAGAGGCCAGGTATATTCTGGAATAAAGAATTTTTCAGATTTTTAGGAAGATAAAATAGTGCACGGAGAGAGAGATAGTGTGTATGTGTGTGTGTATGTGTAATATAGCCCCTTGAATAGAATCCGGGGCAGCAACTCACAATCAAGCACATTAATATTTTTGTAGTGAAACATAGCCTAGCCAGGTACATACAGACTATAAATAGTCTCATGTTAGTTCACTTCAGGTCAAATGGCAAATTAGTAATTAAAAACACTAGGCTTTCAGAGTGCTTTGAATTTTGAAACTGCGGAGAAAGGCCTGTGGGACTGTATTCACAAAAAGCACCAAGCCCCTGCTAAGAAACGTTGTTTCCAATGATCCCAGTAAAGGTACAGGTACTTGCACTGGTGTGGTGTGGATGTGAGGCTGCATGTTACTGCACTGCTGCGCAGAATCAAAGCTGTCAAGATGACCTGAGAAAGCTGCGTAGCATAAGTCCCCCCCCAATTCCCTCCAGTTGCATAGCCCAGGCGGTCTCTCCAAGACAGGTCATTCTTAACATTTCATCCCTTCTCACCTGATGAGGGAAGAAGGAAGAACAGAAGCAGCTGGAAGTGAGTGCAAGAACCTATCCCCACCACTTTTCCCTTTCTGCAAGTTTTAAGGCAGACAGGAAGAGGAGACCAGATCAATGAGGACAGCCATATTCAAAATTTGGGGTTATTTTTATTATTTAATGTCTCCTTCCAGGATTCCCATGGTCACTATGACAACAGGGAACCTTCACAAATCCTTCCATGTTGAACAGCACCGCCATGGTGTAGCATAGTGCTGTTCTGAATGTATGCTTATTTAAATAACCAATTACTCAACCCACAGATGGCTTCTACTACCAAAGAAAGTTCAAGGCCAGCTCACTGTAGATGATTAGCAGTAAGCTAACAGAATTCAAACTGATCCCAATATGAGTCTGAGTGAGAGAGGCAAGTTTTTCTGAAATATCACATAAGGTAGTCAAGTTTTACTGGAACACAGCCAAGCCTGTTCATTTACCTATTACCTGTCACTGCTTTTGCAATACAACGATTCATATTAGTTGAATATTTCAAAGAGCATATGGTCTCACAAAGCCCAAAATAGGTACTATCTGGGTTTTAAGGAAAAGTTTACTAAACCCTGTTCTTATGAAAGCAGCACTATCCAGAAAATCAGAGACCTATATTTAAATCCAGTTCCATAATCACTAGTTAAAATTGCCTCATTATTTCTAAGCCTCAGTTACTTCCTGTATAAAAATTAGGATACCACTATCTATTTACCCTGCAGGGTTGTTATAAAGACTACATGAGATAAGACAGAGAACATACCTGAAACTAAGTAAGGAATAAATGGTAGCCATTAAATTGCCCTTGATACCACATATACATCTGTCTGTAAAGAAACACTTAAATGCAAAGTTACTCAAGCTCCAGCCAACGTTTTTATTTTTATTTATTTATTTATTTATTTTTTGAGACGGAGTCTCACTCTATTGCCCAGGCTAGAGTGCAGTGGTGCAACCTCAGCTCACTGCAAACTCTGCCTCCCAGGTTCAAGCAATTCTCCTGCCTCAGCCTCCAAGTAGCTGGGACTATACGTGCGTGCCACCACGCCCGGCTGACTTTTGTATTTTTAGTAGATACGGGGTTTCACCATGTTGGCCAGGCTGGTCGTGAACTCCTGGCCTCATGATCCGCCCACCTCGGCCTCCCAAAGTGCTGGGATTACAGGCGTGATTCACTATACCTGGCCGTATTTTTTTTTAATAAGCCATTGAGCTGACATTCATCTACCTTCCCTGTTAAGAAAAGGAATAACAACACGCAAGTACTATTGTTTGGGCAAGCCAAAATTACTTCTCCATTCTCTTTTCAGCCCTTAAAGAAAAAAAAAAAACAGCCGGGCACGGTGGCTCACAACTGTAATCCCAGCACTTTGAGAGGCCGAGGCTGGTGGATCAGGCAGTCAGGAGTTCAAGACCAGCCTGGCCAATATGGTAAAACCCTGTCTCTACTAAAAATACAAAAATTAGCCAGGTGTGGTGGTGCATGCCTGTAGTCCCAGCTACTCGGGAGGCTGAGGCAGAAGAATCACTTGAACCCAGGAGGTGGAGGTTGCATTGAGCCTAGATTGCACCACTGCACTCCAGCCTGGGCGAGAGAGTGAGACTCCATCTCAAAAAAAAAAAAAAAAAAAAAAAAATTCAAGAAGCCAAGGTCCCAAGGTCAGGCATGGTGGCTCACGCCTGTAATCCCAGCATTTTGAGAGGCCGAGGCAGTCGGATCACTGGAGGTCATGAGTTGGAGACCAGCCTGGCCAACATGGCGAAGCCCCATCTCTACTAAAAATACAGAAAAAAATCAGCCAGGCATGGTGGCACGCACCTGTAATCCCAGCTACTCAGGAGGCTGAGGCACAAGAATCATTTGAACCAGGAAGCAAAGGTAACGGTGAGCCAAGATCACACCACTGCACTCCAGCCTGGGTGGCAGAGTGAGACTCTGTCAAAAAAAAAAAAAAAAAAAAATTCAAGAAGCCAAGCTTCAAAGTTTTGTTTAATATAAAGCTAATCCCTTTAATCTAAAATATTAAAGGAATTATCTATTTTAAAAATTCCAAATAAAGCCAAACTGTACCTCAGGGTTTCAATTTTAAAAATCTTGACTTATAATTAAGAAAAAAAGGGAAGCAGGATCTAAAAGGTAGTTTCCAGGTTTCAGTAAAGCAACCAGCAATACCTGGCTGAGGAGTCTAAGTTCCTGAGATCACTCATGGAACCAGTATTTGTTGAGCACCCATGATGTTCCATACTCTGGGCTCCAGATGTGAACATGCAGGCTGCCACTACACTTAGAGAAATTACAAACCATAAGACATAGCCCTTGAGTGCAAAAACCACCTCTATTAAGTAATATAAAATATTAGAGCTTGAGGGCTCCCAAGAGATTATCTAGTCTAATATCTGCATTGTACAAACAGGTTTAACTGAGTTGTCCATGGTTACAAGCAAGTTAGTGGTAAACCCCAACTTCCTGACTTTCCTTCACACTAATCTGTCCTTGTTTAGGAATTACTTCACCAAGAGTCAAGTCTTAATCTTTCATTCCTTTGTAACCCTGCAAATGTCATTCTGGAAAAACTAACCAATCTTCAAAATTCTCAATTCCTTTAGGCAGTGTTACTACTTTCTTCTTCTGTCTTCCCACAGAACTCTGTATATTTGCATTACTGCACACACTACACTGTACTGTATAACTTGTTTATTTATCAGTTTCCTCTCCATAGACTATGAGCTCCTTGAAGACAATTACTTTTGCACCAATCTAATAATTTAACATCCATGCTACCCCAGTCCCATCCCCAACCTCCTTTTCCTATTAGGACCCTGATACTATTCAAGTATCCACCCTCCTTCACATGGTCACATGCTTCACTCAAGGGAGGCCCCCACTTAAGACCAATAGGTTAAGCATGGCATTCAAAGGCAATCACGGACACTCATTTTCCAGTGGTGCTGGGATGGGCACGCAAAGTCACTCTAGCAAATGTGATGAAAGAAAAGTCTGCTGGGGAGCTTCTGAGAAAGGTTTCCTTCCCCCAAGTGAAAGGTACAAGAAGACATTCTCCTTCCCTGGACATTGCCTTAACTACTACTGGATTTATTTGAGACACTAGATTTCCTTGGAGAACTTTAGGTCATTTGAGTCAGTTTCCAATTACTCTTAAGTCAGAAGCATCCTAATATGCACATAGAAAAAGTGGTGGAGTTGTGACCCAAAAACATAGACAAGGTGATTTCATAGCCCTTAAAAATGTAACAACCATGGCTAACATCTGACTGAATGAGGAAAAGCGTTCAGCATTTTTTTTTTTTTTTTTTGAGATGGAGTCTTGCTCTGTCGCCCAGGCTGGAGTGCAATGCCATGATCTTGGCTCACTGCAACCTCTGCCTTCCGGGTTGAAGCAATTCTCCTACCTCAGCCTCCCAAGTAGCTGGGATTACAGGGTGTGCCACCATGCCCAGCTAATTTTTGTATTTTTAGTAGAGATGGGGTTTCACCATGTTGGCCAGGCTAATCTCGAACTCCTGACCTCGTGATCCGCCTGCCTCGGCCTCCCAAAGTGCTGGGATTACAGGCATGAGCCGTCGCACTCAGCCAGCTTTCAGCTTTTAAGAACTAGAACAGTACAAATATGCCCACTCTCACCCTCTTTTTCAACATAGTAGTGGAAGTCCTTCCCAGAGCAATTAGGCAAGAGAAAGAAATAAAAAGCATCCAAATTGGAAAGAGTAGGTAAAATTGTCTCTGTTTGCAGATGACATGATCTTATATACAGAAAAACCTAAAGATTCTACCAAAAAACTCTTACTCCTGATGACTGAAATCGGTACGGTTACAGGATACAAACATACAAAAATGAGTAGCATTTCTATACACCAACAACAAACTAGCTAAAAAAAGAAATCAAGAAGGCAATTCTGGCCGAGCACAGTGGCTCACGACTGTAATCCCAGCACTTTGGGAGGCCAAGACGGGTGGATCACCTGAGGTCACGAGTTCGAAACCAGCCTGGCCAATGTAGTAAATCCCCATCTCTACTAAAAACACAAAAATCAGCCGGGTATGGTGGTGCACGCCTGCAGTACCAGCTACTCAGGAGGTTGAGGCATGAAAATCACTTGAACCCAGGAGGCGGAGGTTGCAGTGAGCCGAGATTACGCCACTGCACTCCAGCCTGGGCAAAAGAGCAACACTCCATCTCAAAAAAAAAAAAAGAAGAAGAAGAAAGCGGCAATTCCATTTATGACAGCTACCAAAAATAAAATACCTAGGAATAAATTTAACCAAGGAGATGAAAGGCCTCTACAAGGAAAACTACAAAACACTGATAAAAGAAACTGAAGAGGATACAAACAAATAGAAAGACATCACATGCTCATGGATTAGAGGAATTAATATAGTTAAAATGACAATAGCAATCTACAGATTGAATGCCATTCTATCAAAATACCAATGACATTCTTCACAGAAATAGAAAAAAAAGTCCTAAAATTTGTATGGAACCACAAAAGACCCTGAATAGCCAAAGCAACACTGAGCAAAAAGAACAAAGCTAGAGGCATCACACTAACAGACCTCAAAGTAAACTACAAAGCTGTAGTAACCAAAACAACCTGGTACTGTCATAAAAACAGACACATAGGCCAATGGAACAAAACAGGGAACACAGAAATTAATCCACATATCTACGGCCAACTGACTTTTGACAAAGGTGCCAAGAACACTCATTGGGGAAAGGCCAGTCTCTTCAATAAATGTTACTGGGAAAACTGGATATCCATATGCAGAAGAATAAAACTAGATCCCCATCTCTCACCCTATAGAAAAATCAACTGTAAATGGATCAAAGACCTAAATGTAAGACCCAAAACAATAAAACTACTAGATGAAAACATTTAAGAAATGTTTCAGGACATTAGTCTGGGAAAATATTTTATAAATAAGACCTCAAAAGCACAAGAAACAAAACCAAAAATGAACAAATGGGATGATATTAAACTAAAAAGCTTCAGGGCAACCAAGAAACAAGAGAGTAAAAAGACAAGCTACAGAATGGGAGAAGATATTTGCAAATTACTCCTCTGACAGGAGACTTTTTTTTTAAGCCAGTAAAATTTAGCAGTGGGGAGTTGTATACCAACTTTAGTGACACTATGTTAAATTCTGATAACTCATTACCATTGGACCAGCCAAACGGGATTAATATCCAGAATAAACAAGGAACTCAAACATCTCAACAGAAAAAAAAAATTATATATATATACATATCCAATTTTAAAAATGGACAAATAATCTGAACAGACATTTCTCAAAGGAAGACATACCAATGGCCAACAAATATATGAAAAAATGTTCGACATCACTAATCATGAGGGAAATGCAAATCAAAACCACAATGAGGTATCAACTCACCCCTGTTAGGATGGCTATTATCAAAAAGACAAAAAATAATAAATGCTGATGAGGATGTAGCAGAGAAAAGGGAACTCTTATACACTGCTGGTGGGAACATAAACTAGTACAGCTGCTATGGAAAACAGTATGGAAGTTCCATAAAAAACTATAAATAGAACTACCATAGGATCCAGCAATCCCACTAGTGGGAATTTATTCAAGTGAAAAGAAATCAGAATATGGAAGAGATATCTGCTCCCCCATGTTCACTGCAGCACTATTCACAACAGCAAAGAATCAACCTACATGTCCAACAACAGAGAATGGATAAAGAAAATGTGGTATATTCAATGGAATATTAATTAGCCATGAAAAAGAATAAAATCCCGTCCTTCACAGCAACATGGATGGAACTAGAGGGCATTATGTTAAGTGAAATAAGCCAGGAACAGAAAGTTAAACACTACATGTTCTCACTCATATGTGAAGCTAAATAACAGTTAATCTCATAAGTAAAAAGTAGAAGAGACGATAGCAGAGGCTGGGAAGGACAGGAGGAAGAGAGGTATAGGAAGAGATTTGTTAAAGAATACAAAATTACAGCTAGATAGGAGAAATAACTTCTGGTGTTATATACCACTGTAGGATGACTAGAGTTAATAGTAATATAGTTTCAATTAGCTAGAAGGAGGATATTAAACGTTCCCAACACAAAGAAATGATAAACATTTGAGATGATGGATATATTAATTACCCTGACCTGATCACTACAAATTATATTCATCAAAATATCATTAGGTATCCCATGAGTATGTAAAATTATTTGTCAATTTTTACAAATTACTTTTAAAAAAGAACAAAATTGTAGTGACTAGACTTTATCACCTCTCATCTCTTTTAACACTCGCACCATCCAGCACCAATGCCAAACACATAAGAAGCAATTGATAATTTCAGCTAAGTGAATAAACAGATGAATGAAATAGAATTTTAGCCAGAGTTTAAAGACAGGTAGGATAGGCTGGGCACGGTGGCACACGCCTGTAATCCCGGCATTTTGGGAGGAGGAGGCGGGTGGCTTGCTTGAGCCCAGGAGTTCAAGACCAGCCCGGGCAACATGGTAAAACCTTGTCTCTACAAAAATACAAAAATTAGCTGGGCATGGTGGCGCACGTCTGTAGTCCCAGCTACTTGAGAGGCTGAGGTGGGAGGATTGCTTGAGCCCAGGAGGTGGAGGTTGCAGTGAGCCAAGATAGTGCCACTGCACTCCAGCCTGGGCGACAGAGCAAGACTCGGTCTAAAAAATAAATATACGAAGACAGGTAGGATAAATTTTATATCCAGTGATAAGTGAAATATTAGGGCAATAGGTAACGTATTTAGAAAACAGAGTACATACTAGAGCAAAGGAGTCCTGTGACTTTTTAAGTCCAAACCAATCTCAAAAGATTGAGTCAATGAAAAAAGCACAAAAGATTCTATGTCTGTAAGCCCCTTTAACAACGTCTATAGCACCTATTAGCAGTCATGCAAACTCTCCACTCTTCCTTCCATCTCAACCTTGACCCAAAGGGGCCACCCTCTAGGGAAATGAAAAGAGAGCATAAGGGGATGAGAATAGGGGAGGAAGCAGAGAGAGGAACACCACCTCTTCAGCACTTCAAGTCCAATCTAGTTTTTATTCAGGAAAACTGTCTTTGAAAGGTAAAATGGTCAACCTTCACGACTCATTTGACCCATGGGACCTGGCCCCCACCCCCACCCCCACTCCCTACCAAGGTCACATAAACAGCCTTGACCTTTAGATCCTGAAGGATATCCTCTAGGCCATTACACACAGGTCACAGAAAAGTCCTTGACAACCTATTTCTGTCCAGGTACCTGGGCCAGCTTCACAACAGTGACCTGAAGGTAAAATGCTCCACACCTTATTACCAATTCAATCCCCCAGAGAAAATCAGTGAAGACATTTGTTATTTATAAAGGGCAACTCACCAAGGTCT
Organism: Homo sapiens; assembly: GCF_000001405.40. Lineage (NCBI taxonomy): Eukaryota > Metazoa > Chordata > Mammalia > Primates > Hominidae > Homo > Homo sapiens. Next base: position 121,605,371 of record NC_000002.12, read on the forward strand.
CAGGACCTATTTGCTGCAAAACATAATATACACATTAACTTCAAGGCTACAAATGCTTGTCAACTTTCCAACAAAAAAGCCTCCCCTTATCTGTTCACTTGACCTTCTGTCAAAGTGCTAAAGGATGAGAATTTTTTGATCTGCAATGAGTATCAAAGAAAACTCTACTTTCTCCAGAATGAAATAACCCAAGGCCACAATCTGATTGAGTGTCTTACTAGAAACCAAGGAAGCATGCTGACTGCTCACAAGGGATTTTTATAAGGGCCAATTTTGATCTACCAGTGCAGCCCAGCCACCTCCAAAAGTGCCTTCTAAAGCACAGCTTACCTTGTAATTGCTAGAGTTCACCCAAGAGGTAGCAAGTCCATCCACAAGTTTATCTAACATGGTCTGGTCATGCTCAAGGTCAGCAGACTTCTGTTTGTCTGAGAAATAGTCTATCAGTTCTTGGCCAACCTGCAATCGTTTCCCCACATCCTTCTGCAACACCTGCGCCAGGCAGGACTCCATGCGAGGCTCCATAGTGGAATTCAAATCCAGATCCAGCAAAAGCTAGAGGGCAGTCACGATGACTCCCTCCCAGCAGACGTATCTGGGAGGTTGCCTCTTTGTTCGCTGAAGGTTACTAAGAGCCTGTGTTTCAAAGATGCAATCTGGGGAATGGCAACAATGCACCATGTGTGTCTGAAGAGCAGCTGGTAGGATATTAAAAGTCCAATTTAAATAACTAGTAGGAGATAAAGGAGTGAGTGGCAGAGTGATGTTCTACTACTGGGTCTGAAATACTTCATAATTCAGCAGTCCATTCTGAAAAGTAAGAGAAGAGAACGACAAATTAGCACAGATAACATAACACCCAAATGTTATGAAACATTAAATCAAAGACAAAGCAATTCATGCTGCAGAATCATTTATAATCACAAGCAGAGCGAGAAGCATGAACGGCTTGGCAACCATATCGAAATAACATAATTATTATTTTTATCAGGAAGAACATCGAAGCCCAAAGAAGAGCCAATGAGCCACACAGTTGGCAGGTTGATGTTTTCCAGAATTTCCCAGCTTGTAAATGCACCAGACAGGAAAGCAATCTTCTGCTTTAGCTAGCATATTTATTTGTAACTTCAATTCTATTTCCCACCAGAAATCTAACACCACTCTGTGTCTGAATCACTGTAGGTACTGCAGCTTACTGCCTTACTCTCAGTCTTCTAAAAAAAAACCAAGTATGGGAAATGAGGAAGGCTCTATAGAAAACACTGTTGACCAAAGTGGCTGGCTTGGTCACATTAAACAAAGTCAAGGGCAGCACCTACATCACACTACTTTACAATGGAGTAAGTGGTAGCCTCCATCTCCTCCTCCCTACAACAAAGAAAAGAAAGACACAAAAAGAGAAAGGAGGTGGGCGCAGTGGCTCACGCCTGTAATCCCAACACTTTGGGAGGCCACGGCAGGCCGATCATTTGAGGTCAGGAGTTCGAGACAGCCTGGCCAACATGGTGAAACCCTGTCTCTACTAAAAATACAAAAATTAGCTGGGCATGGTGGCAGTGCCTGTAGTCCCAGCTACTCGGGAGGCTGAGGCAGGAGAATCGCTTAAACTCAGGAGGCAGAGCTTGCAGTGAGCCGAGATTGCGCCACTGTACTCCAGCCTGGGCGACAGAGTGCAACTCCGTCAAAAAAGGCCGGGTACGGTGGCTCACACCTGTAATCTCAGCACTTTGGGAGGCCGAGGTGGGCGGATCACCTGAGGTTAGGAATTCAAGACCAGCCTGGCCAACATGGTGAAACCCTGTCTCTAAAAATATAAAAACTAGCCAGGTGTGGTGGTGGACACCTGTAATCCCAGCTACTTAGGAGGCTGAGGCAGGAGAATTGCTTGAATCCAGGAGACGGAGGTTGCGGTGAGCCGACACAGTGCCACTGCACTCCAGCCTGGGTGACAGAGCTGGACTCTGTCTCAAAAAAAGAGAAAGGAAATAGGCTCATATTCTGATCAGTTATTGACACAGTATTCTCCGCTGACAATAGCACCATTTGGGCCTAGTGTTTTGATATTAAAATTAGGAGATCTCAAAATCATGTTTGAGTAGGGTAAAATACATGATATGAGAAAAGTACCAAAACCGTTCTAACTACACAAATTGCATAAGCTCTCTCGTTAACCTATAGCTGCTGGAGCATTGTACAAATTTATTTCTGACTTACTCTAAAACCATTACTTAATTCCTTTCATTTTAAACCAAGAAGACCCATAGGAAACCTATCTTCAAGATTCAGTACCTCCCTGATACTGTGCCAAATTGAAGCTTTTTTCACACCAGTAGTAAGTCCCAACTTTCAAAGTTTCCAGAAAACATATCTTTGTTTTCTAAATAAAGTAAAATTAAAATTCTCAGTAGAGTAACTCACAGTCTGAACACAGCAATTCTCTCCCTTTCTAATACCACCCCATCCCCACCCCTAATCTCAACGTAAAAACATTGAGATTCTTTCTGAGGTATGGAATCATATACATCAAGTCATTCAATGAGGAAAACCCTCCTTCAAAGCCCCAGCACATAACTACCCATCTTCTACTTTACTGCTTCCAACAACACAGAAGAGTGAGGGAAGGATAGCATTCAACGGGACTTAGTATCTCACAGAGCAATCCTTCCTTATATTGAGGAGAGATCTGCTTTCCAGTCATGTCCAAATGCTGGAACTAGTCCCTCCTTCACAACAAAGAGCTTCAAAAGCAGCTATTATCCTTCATTCCAATTTTTAGTACAAATGTAATACTTGCAGTTCCTTTATCATCTCTTATGTTGGACTAAAGAAGGTATCAACGATACGGGAAAACTTAAGAAACCAAAAGAATCTCTTTCTGGACCTACTATTAGTCCAAGAAGCAGAACAAATAAGCACCAGGTTGGTGGTATATTAAAAATGGCCACAAATTCTTTGCTACTCCTACCTCACCCAGGTGGAGTCCAAGTCCCCTCCTGCAATGACTCTGGGCTTAACCCTGTGAAATCAGCAACTACAAAAGCAAGCAAAGACTTGCTATACAAGCAATGGAACTTGCCCTCTTAGAATGCTGCCCTGGGACGGCCATGCTGTAAGGAAGCTGGCCTAGCCTATTGGACATGAGAGGCCACTTGGGGAACCAACATGCTCTGACCAACAGCCAGCAGCAACTGCCAGACATGTGAGTGAGGCCATCTGGGACCATCTACCCATTCCAGTCGTCATCCGACTGCAGTTATGCCAGTAAGTGTAAGGAAACAAGCAGAAAAGCCACCAAGCCAAACCACAGAATTATGAGAAATAACATTTCATTGTTGTTTTATTTAAGCCACTAAATTCAGAGCGGTTGGTTACAGAGCAATAGATAACTGATATACTCCTTCTTCCCCTAAACAACTATCATTCATTTTCATTCATTCTCAATGAAAAAAAATTTCATAGCGTTTACTCCTTCAAGGGGCCTAAAATGAACAGATACTAACCAATAATAATAATAATAATACAATTTAAGGAGCTACATGAGGTGTCAGCTTCTGTGCTTACGTAATACTGATTTATATAATACTATCTCTAATTCTTCAACTCTATAAAGTAGGTGTTAACGTCCTTATTTATAAATTAAGAAATTGAGGTAAAGTATAGATAAGTAATTTTCCAAGGTTGCATGGACAATGAGTTTCCTTTCCCCACCTTGAAAACATTATTAGAAGTCTTAGCCTAATTCTGTTTTGACTCAAGAGGTCAGATTTCCTGTTTAGACAGGAAGCAACAGGCAAGAGAGCAAGGTCTCTATTCCTTAAGTAAACACTAGGAAAGTTCCCATTCGTTCAAGTCTCCCTACTGTGATTTATAAATATATATCATAAGAAAACCTCCCCTTCAACCATAATTGTATAAGATTTCTAACAAATAAGCATATGCTTCTTGAACGTAATTATGCAACAAAGGCTTAGTACACTCAAAAACAGGTCACAAATTCCTATCAACGAAATGCAAAGAATGAAAGAGACTGGAAGCCCCTAGGCTTTAAGCAGATTGAATTCTCTCTTCTTTTTCTTCTTAATTTAAAAAAGGTAACTATTCTCTCTTACACTTATTCTTATTAAACTGATGTTTTTGGACTTTTTTCATGTTTTTGTGTGTTTTCTACATCTCTATTTTCAGGGAATATTAATCACATAGTTCCAAATTCACAAGGTACAAAAGTGCAAGACCTGCCTTCCACCCCTGACCCTCCCAGCCACCCAGTTTCTCTCCTTAAAAGCAAGTAATGGCCGGGCGCAGTGGCTCAAGCCTGTAATCCCAAGACTTTGGGAGGCTGAGGCGGGCGGATCATGAGGTCAGGAGATGGAGACCAGCCTGGCCAACATGGTGAAACCCTGTCTCTACTAAAAATACAAAAATTAGCTGGTCATGGTGGCACGTGCCTGTAATCCCAGCTACGTGGGAGGCTGAGGCAGGAGAATCGCTTGAAGCAGGGAGTCAGAGGTTGCAGTGAGCCGATCACGCCACTGCACTCCAGCCTGGCAACAGAGAGAGACTTTGTCTCAAAAAATAAATAAATAAAAATTAAGCAAGTAATGTCACCAGTTTCCCATGTATCTTTTCAGAAATATTTTCAGCTATCAAAACAAATAAATATGTGTTCTCCTCCCTGAATCTTCTAGGAAGGTTTTTCTAAACATTTGCAATTAAATCATAAAAAGAGAAATCAAAAAATAATTGTATTTTAAAATGCAGAAAACTTAGAAAATAAGAGGGAAAAAGGATGACGTGGAGGAGTGAGAGAAGAAGGAGGAGGAGTTACAGGAGGAAGAGGAGCTGGAGGAGAAGGAGAAGTTACAGGAGGAAGAGTAGCCTGAGGAGGAGGAGTTACAGGAGGAAGAGAAACTGGAGGAGGAGGAGGAGTTATGAGAGGAAGAGGAACTGGAGGAGGAGGAGTTATAGGAGGAAGAGGAGCTGGAGGAGGAGGAAGAGTTACAGGAGGAAGAGGAACTGGAGGAGGAGGAGGAGTTACAGGAGGAAGAGGAACTAGAGGAGGAGGAGGAGTTACAGGAGGAAGAGGAACTAGAGGAGGAGGAGGAGTTACAGAAGGAAGAGGAGCTGGAGGAGGAAGAGGAACTAGAGGAGGAGGAGGAGTTACAGGAGGAAGAGGAGCTGGAGGAGGAAGAGGAGTTACAGGAGGAAGAGGAACTGGAGAAGGAGGAGGAGGAGTTGCAGGAGGAAGAGGAACTGGAGGAGGAGGAGGAGTTACAGGAGGAAGAGGAACTGGAGGAGGAGGAGTTGGAGGAGTTACAGGAGAAAGAGGAACTGGAGAAGGAGGAGGAGGAGTTACAGGAGAAAGAGGAACTGGAGGAGGAAGAGTTACAGGAGGAAGAGGAACTGGAGGAGGAGGAAGAGTTACAGGAGGAAGAGGAACTGGAGCAGGAGGAAGAGTTACAGGAGGAAGAGGAACTGGAGGAGGAGGAGGAGTTACAGGAGGAAGGAGAGCTGGCGGAGGAAGAGGAGTTACAGGAGGAAGAGGAACTGGAGGAGGAGGAGGAGTTACAGGAGGAAGAGGAACTGGAGGAGGAGGAGGAGTTATAGGAGGAAGAGGAACTGGAGGAGGAGGAGTTGGAGGAGTTACAGGAGGAAGAGGAACTGGAGGAGGACGAGTTGGAGGAGTTACAGGAGGAAGAAGAACTGGAGGAGGAGGAGTTGGAGGAGTTACAGGAGAAAGAGGAACTGGAGGAGGAGGAGGAGTTACAGGAGGAAGAGGAACTGGAGGAGGAGGAGTTGGAGGAGTTACAGGAGGAAGAGGAACTGGAGGAGGAGGAGGTGGAGGAGTTACAGGAGGAAGAGGAACTGGAGGAGGAGGCGTTGGAGGAGTTACAGGAGGAAGAGGAACTGGAGGAGGAGGAGTTGGAGGAGTTACAGGAGAAAGAGGAACTGGAGGAGGAAGAGGAGTTACAGGAGGAAGAGGAACTGGAGGAGGAGGTGTTGGAGGAGTTACAGGAGAAAGAGGAACTGGAGGAGGAGGAGGAGTTACAGGAGAAAGAGGAACTGGAGGATGATGAGGAGTTACAGGAGGAAGAGGAACTGGAGGAGGAGGCGTTGGAGGAGTTACAGGAAGAAGAGGAACTGGAGGAGGAGGAGTTGGAGGAGTTACAGGAGAAAGAGGAACTGGAGGAGGAAGAGGAGTTACAGGAGGAAGAGGAACTGGAGGAGGAGGAGTTGGAGGAGTTACAGGAGGAAGAGGAACTGGAGGAAGAGGAGGAGTTGGAGGAGTTACAGGAGGAAGAGGAACTGGAGGAGGAGGAGTTGGAGGAGTTACAGGAGGAAGAAGAACTGGAGGAGGAGGTGTTGGAGGAGTTACAGGAGAAAGAGGAACTGGAGGAGGAGGAGGAGTTACAGGAGAAAGAGGAACTGGAGGATGATGAGGAGGAGTTACAGGAGGAAGAGGAACTGGAGGAGGAGGCATTGGAGGAGTTACAGGATAAAGAGGAACTGGAGGAGGAGGAGGAGTCACAGAAGGAAGAGGAACTGGAGGTTGATGACGAGTTGTTACAGGAGGAAGAGGAACTGGAGAAGGAGGCATTGGAGGAGTTACAGGATAAAGTGGAACTGGAGGAGGAGGAGAAGGAGTTACAGGAGGAAGAGGAACTGGAAGAGGAGGAGTTACAGGAGGAAGAGGAACTGGAGGAGGAGGAGTTGGAGGAGTTACAGGAGAAAGAGGAACTGGAGGAGGAGGAGGAGTTACAGGAGGAAGAGGAACTGGAGGAGGAGGAGTTGGAGGAGTTTCAGGAGGAAGAGGATGAGGAGGAGGAGTTACAGGCAGAAGAGGAGCTGGAGGAGGAGTTATAGGAGGAAGAGGAGCATGAGGAGGAGGAGTTATAGGAGGAAGAGGAACTAGAGGAGGAGGAGGAGTTACAAGAAGAAGAGTATGAGGAAGAGGAGTTACAGGAGGAAGAGCAGCATGAGGAGGAGGAATTATAGGAGAAAGAGGAACTGGAGAAGGAGAAATTGGAGGAGTTGGAGGAGGAGGATTTGGAAGAATTGAAAGAGGAGGAGGACTTGGAGGAGGAGGAAAAGTGGAAGGAAGAGGAGGAATTAGAAAAGCTGGAGAGGGAAAAGAGGAGGAGGAGTTGAGGGAGTTGGAAGAGAAGGAGAAAAAGAAGAGATGAAGTTAGAGAAGTTGGAGGAGGGGGAAGAAGAGGAGCTGATGGAGCTGGAGGAGGAAGTAAAACTCTCTTCCATCCACCCATGTCCTGCCCAGGCTCTCCATGAGGGAAAAGTAGAATAAGGAAACCTAGGTCTAAAGTTAACCATAACCAGTGGTCACCTATGCCTGAGCTAAGTAAAAACCAGGTCTATTAGTCTATTATATTTAAGACACAATGGGAGGCACTGCGATACAAACATAAACAGGACTCAGCCCTTGCCTGCCTTTAGTGAGATTATGAACTACTGTTTACAATCCCTGCAGTCAGTTCTATAATCATCATTCAAAAGAGCAGTGTTACAGAGAAGAATTACCTTACAGCAGTGTTGACATCAAAGATTATTCAGAATGTAACACTATTTCTGAGTTTAAAAAAAAGTTCAATTTTCATAATTTTCCAAAAGAATATGAGAGACATTAAAATGATACAGAAGAAACAGTAGAGGAGGTGACAATAGCAAAACATCTTTATTCTTCTTCATCAGGAAAAGTTTTCTCCTTTAGCAAGATCTACTATGAAGGCTACTGAACACACTAAATGTCACTGTATCAGTCACCTGAGAAAAGGGACACATTTTGGATATTTCTGAAAAAATGGTCCAACTCTTCCCAAACCCAAACCCCTTTCATTCTCCAACATCAACATTCTCTGCCCCCACTACAGTAGTTAGGTTCCAAGCATCTCAACCTTTTCCTGTCACATCATCTTGGTCCACAGGGCCAAAACAATAAAAGGTCAAGACAATTGTCCTAGTCATGCTCCTTTATAGTACCCTGGAAAGTAGAAATTATCAGAGGAACCAGAACAATGGACCAACTCTGCTGCAGGTCAACAGGAAGAAGTTTAAAAATACCAACTTCAACAAGAAGGAAGGAACACACAATAAAAAAAGACATCTTGATGTAATGAAAAGAGGCATCAAGTTGGGAATTTTGGCCTCTGGTCTTGACTCCCAAGTGGCACTGTGGAGAATACCAGCTCTAGCATGCATCAAATAAGATTAAGAATGAAAAAGCACATGCACAAAGCCTTTTTTTTTAAAAAAAAAAAATAGCACCTATCTCCAGCCCCTTAATTACCATATCTACCTGTGGCACTTACACACACTATCAGTAAAGAACTATTAACAATGGGGGATGGAAAGAAGAGAATCAATCATAAGCTCTGACAACTTTTTTAGTCTACTGTAGACTTCTTTGTAAGAAATTAAAAGGAGGACCATTTATACTTAGTAGCTTAAAACAATAATGAATTAATATTTCCCATAAGTCTACGAGGTGGCTGGGCTCAGCTGGGAAGATCTTGTGCTAGTCTTTCCTGGGATCATTCATGCAGTTGAGTCATCTGGCATTTTTACTGCAGCTGAAGGCTCTACAATGGTGTCACTCACATGTCTGGGACTCTGGTGCTGGCTGTTGGCTGGGCCTCTCTCCACACATGATCTCTAACCATTCAGTGGCATAGCCTAGAGCTCATCATGTAGTGGCTGGAGCACTCCAAGATGACAAAGGGGGAGGCTACCAGGACTCCTGAGACCTGGGATCCACAGTTTGCATGTTACTTCTGCCACAATCTATTGGTAAAAGCAAGTCACAAGGCCAGTCCGCATTAAAAGTGTGAGGAAGCCGGGCGCGGTGGCTCACGCCTATAATCCCAGCACTTTGGGAGGCCAAGGCAGGTGGATGACCTGAGGTCAGGTGTTCGAGACTAGCCTGGTCCACATGGTGAAACCCCATCTCTACTAAAAATATAAAAACTAGCCAGGCGTGGTGGTGTGCGCCTGTAATCCCAGCTACTCAAGAGGCTGAGGCAGGGAAATCACTTGAGCCTGGGAGGCAGAGTTTGTGGTGAGCTGAGATCACACCACTGCACTCCAGTTGGGGCGACAGAGTGAGACTCTGTCTCAAAAAACAAAACAAAACAAAAAACAAAAACAAAAGTGTGAGGAAATGGATTCTACCAATCAATAGGAGGAGCTACAAAATACTGTGACGTGTTTTTCAATCTAACACGTATGTACTCAATGGGTATTTGTAGAATGAATAAATGGATGGAGCGAATATATTCATATACCCTGTTTATCCATTACCAGTCTGTCTGAATCACTTTTATTTACTCATCAATTTATCAAATATAAAATCTCACTATAGAATATACTAAAGAAATAACTATAGTCTATGACTTCACTTGAAAGAGTTTCCAGCATACTCAGAGAGGACAAGACATACATACACAGAAAAGGCCTGTCAATGTCGGAGGTCAACACAAACACGAGATGTATAACTAGTAGATTTAACAAGTAAAATACTGCACCTGCCAAATAAGGAACGTGAATAAGCACTATGAAAATTCAGAGGAAGGAATGGATTAAGAAGGCTTGGAATGACCAAGTCAAAACTATATAAACAAGATTCAGCTTGAGCTTTGTGTTAAAATGTGGCTAGGATGTGCATTTAATAGTTATGGTGGCCAGGCCCAGTGGCTCACGCCTGTAATCCCAGCACTTTGGGAGGCCAAAGTGGGCAGATCACCTGAGGTCAGGAGTTCGAGACCAGCCTGGCCAACATGGCAAAACCCCATCTCTACTAAAAATACAAAAATTAGCCGGGCATAGGGCGCACGCCTGTAATCCCAGCTACTTGGGAGGCTGAGGAAGGAGAATCGCTTGGACCCGGGAGGTGGAGGTTGCAGCGAGCCAAGATCACGGAACTGCACTCCAGCTTGCGCGTCAGGAATGAGACTCCATCTCAAAAAAAACAAAAAAAAAATAGTTACAGCACTTAAGGAAAAACAGCATAAGTAAAATGAGGGAGGTGAAGAGTGGTATGGCAGACATAGTGAGATACCTGTGAGATAAGTAGGCATTATTATTCTCATTTTGAAGATAAGAAATGCAGCTCAGAAAGGTTAAAAAAACAAAAACAGGTCGGGTGCGGTGGCTCAAACCTGTAATCCCAGCATTTTCAGAGGCTGAGGTGGGCGGGGAAGTTCGAGACCAACCTGGCCAACATGGCAAAATCCTGTCTCCACTAAAAATATAGAAATTAGCAGGGTGTGGTGGCACACGCCTGTAATCTCAGCTACTCAAGAAGGTAAGGCAGGAGAATTGCTTGAACCCAGGAGGTGCAAGTTGCAGTGAGCCAAGATCGTGCCACTGCACTCCAGCCTGGGTGACAAAGCAAGACTCTGTCTCAAAAAAAATAAATAAAATACAATTAACAAATAAATTAAAAAAAACAAAAACAAACAAAAAAACCTGCCTAAGGTTTTAAAACTAATAGCTGTCAAGCAATAATTCAAAACCAGATCTGCCTGGCCCCAAAGTTTGTGTTCTTTTCACTATACTACAGCTTCATTGAAAGTTCAAAGCATGGGCATTTACTAACTGAAACATGAAAATGTTTCAGCTACAGCATGTGGGGCGTAAGAAGGAGAAAATTAAGAAACACGAAGTCAAATCATAAATAAGGAGTTCAAGAAGCCTTAATAAAATAATATTCCATACCAGAGTATCAAGAAGGAATTAAATTACCAGCACCAGTTAATCAATAACCACATTAAAAAATCTCCCTGGGGCCAGGTGCGGTCGCTCACGCCTGTAATCTCAACACTTTGGGAGGCCAGGGCGGGTGGATCACCTGAGGTCAGGAGTTCGAGAACAGCCTGGCCAACATGGTGAAACCCCGTCTCTACTAAAAATACAAAAATTAGCCAGGCATGGTGGCAGGCGCCTGTAATCCCAGCTACTCGGGAGGCTGAGACAATAGAATCGCTTGAACCTGGGAGGCGGAGGTTGCAGTGAGCAGAGATTGCACCATTGCACTCCAGCCTGGCAACAAAGAGCAAAACTCTGTCTCAAAAAAATAAAAAATAAAAATCTCCCTGGAAAACAGGGTTGAAATTTAAAGCCAATAGGTTGATAATTTAAAGCCAGTTCTGGAAGAAGGTATGGTAGTTTCATGCCAGAAAGAAGGTATGATAGTTTAAAGCCAGAAATTAGCAGGATCTACTCACACTAAGTCAGCATATTTCTATCAATAAGACAATCTTTTCTGTATTAGGATGATTTCTGCAACAATTACAATATGATCGAAAACGAAGAAAGACGCGCTGCCATGCCCTGCCAGCAGGAAGTCTGTTCTTAGTCTACCTGTTCCTTCTGTCCTTTCCTTCTCTTTTTTCTCCCTCCCACTGTCCCACTCATTTTGAGGCCCACACATTCACTCAGTGAGCAAGCATTTACTCTGACAGGTATTGAACTATGCTAACTACTAAAAATCACAAAACTTTGTAGAGACTTCATCAAGGCCTTCAAGAAGGTCACTGCCTGAAAGAAGAAAGAGACAAACACAGTCAAAATAGTATGGGGACAAGTCTTAAACCAGAAGTTTGCAGAAAATGCTGTAGGTAGAAGAGGAAGGAAGATAAAACTGCCTGAGGGAACTCAGTAATGCTTCAACTGGGAATTGCAAGGATGGGGCACTGCACCTACCAACTAAGCTAAGCACCAAGCAGCTCAGCACCGGGGCAGCCCCAGCTTTCATTTGTCAGTCACAGGTCCTTCCCTGTCTTCCACTGCAGACTCACACTCCAGTCTCCCTGACTCCCTCCCTATCTCCTCTCAGCTTCCTTAATGGTTTCAGCACCCACACAGATGACAACAACTCCTCCTTTCTGCCTCCTCAGACCTATAACCTTCCAGTTGTCTGCTCCCAGGAATCAGCGATCTCTCCTCCGCTAGCTCATTCCCAGCAGCTTGTAAATGTCCTCTAAATCACTCATCTTACAAAGGCCCTCTCTTGAGCTCACATGCCTTTCATCAATGACACCATCAACAGTGAAGCTTCTTTAAGCCGTTGTCTACACCAGCCAGCTCCACTGATGCACACTTCCTGTCCCCTCCACAGACCCTCTGATCTGGCTTCACTTGCTCACTCCACAAGAGCAGCTCTTGTCAGAATCACCAGTGACAGCCATGTTGGCAAATCCAAGGAAGACTTTTCTGTACTTAACAAACTACACCACTCAGCAGCAATCCAAAGTCGATCGCCCCTTCCTTCTTCAAAAATTCCCTACTTGTGTGAAAACAAATGCTTATGCCTTCTTGCTACTTCTCTGGTTGCATCTACTAATTCATCTCTCATCTCTACCCACCTTCCAGATCTCTGTTGGTGGGCTCAGTCCAATGCCTCTTGTCCCCTCACACTGCTCACTCCAAAATAACCAGCATCCATTCCCATGCTTATAAACTGATGTCTCCCAAATTTGTATCTCCAAGCCAAATACCTCTGAGCTCTAGTCATATACGCTGGCCTCCTTTTGGTTCCAAACTCTTTACTACTTCAGGGCTTTTGCTTATGTTGTTCCTTCTGCCAAAAACTCTCCTTACACCTATATTGGCCCGGCTATTCTTTTTCATCTTTCAGACTTCAGCTCAAATGCTAGCTCCTCAGAGACCCATTGGAAGGCCATTCTAGGGGTACTCCCTTGTCACTGCATGCTGTTCTCTACTTTCAAGCACTTAAGGTGCAATTCTACCACGTATTTACTGTCTGATTTCCCAACAGGACTGTCAGCCTCAAGAAGGTAGGGACCTAACTATATTTTGTTCACCTAATGCCTATAATGCCTGTTGCAAACAAGGTACTCCAGAAATACTCGTCCAAAGAATAAAGTTTGCTTGGGCTGAAAATCAAAGGACAAACAGTCACTGGCAGTCATAAGTTGAGTTCCATTCTTTCTTAGAAGTAGAGGTAAGGGAGAAGGTAGAAAACATCACAAGTAAAAGGAATGTGCAAATACATATGGACAAAGCACAGACGCAAGAGTGTGCGGCCTGTTCAGAGGAAACAAGCAGTCTAGAAAGATCACAGAACTGGTTCCCAACCTGTAAACATTGCTGATCCTCACTCCTGGGATGAAAGGGGAAACTTATTAGAAGGATGTCTGATAATTATTCCATACATACACCAAGAATTATCTATACAGACAAAATATCATATTCATATGTTTTAATACTGAGAAAGTATTCATATTTTTCAAGCTTACCTTTATGCATTATGAATGTATTATGAATTTTTTAATGCAAAAATAATATAAAAAGTGTTTCTAAATTCTTAATTTGATGTTTTTATTTCAATTAACAAATACTAGAAATTCTACTAGAGTTCTCTAGCTCTGTAATTCTAGATACTAAGAAGATGAAATAATTCTCGAAAAGCCTGTAAAATACCAGTCAGGCATACAACAGAAAGACTGTACAGAAATAAGGCCCAACAGTCCATTTCTTGCACCAAAAGTCAACAGTGCTTTGGTCTTGCAGGGAAATCTATACAAGTCATCTCTGAACTGGAGAATCTAGAAACTGGATGGATATATAATTGTGTACCTTGGAAAGATCATTAAAAGCTGGAATTACTCAAGTATACTCAAGAATATTCTGCAGTAGGGAAAAAATCAGAGTTAAACTAATTTTCTCTCATTCTCTATCCCTCACTCCAGTGTGCACAATGATTAACTACAATGTAATTACGACAAAATCCAAACACAATGTAAAAGCACCAAAATGAATAAAAGGTTCAAGCTCACCACATTACATTAAAAAGGCAGGTCACCTGAACAACAAAACAAAATCATTAACATTGGTTAACTTTCAGCTGATAAAATTACAGGCCCCTTAATCTTATCTTTATGCTTTCCTGTGTTTTCCAAATTTTTTCTATGATGAATACATATTACTTTTATAATCACAATTAGAAAAATAGTATTCAAAACTCAGGCACTATCATTTCATAGTGGAGGGAAATCTACCTTTCAACACTACAGAACATAGTGAAGTAAATGATAAGAAAAAAATTCCTAAGAAAATGCAGCTGGCAGATCAGTTATTTCCACAAAAACATGTTGTAAAAAACTATAGGCTGGTCAACACAAATAACTGCAAAAACAAACAACAACAACAAAAAGGCAACTGCATTACAGTACACTTGCCATCAGAAAATAATAGAAACAAATACTACACAGGTGTCAGATAAGGTACTCATGATTAGAATTTGCCTTCACTAGTATTTTAATAAAGTAAATTTTAAAAATCCTCTCAGATATTTTAAACATATTTTTCCCTAAATGTGAACTGTAAAAGTAGAACATAGTTTTCATTCTATTTTTTCTCCTCCTGTGGTAGGTTTAGGCTATTGGGATTAAAATTGCTTCTATTTTTTTCTACTCCTTGAAACTCCCTCAAAGATGAAACAAGATGGACATCCACTGAGAACTGCTGAAGCTTGGTGATGGGCATTCCAGGGTTTGTTATAATCTCTTTACTTTTATATCTGTTAGAAATTATCCAGGGCTGGGCTTGGTGGCTTAGATCTGTAATCCCAGAGCTTTGAGAGGCCCAGGTGGGTGGATCACCTGAGGTCAGGAGTTCAAGACCAGTCTGGCCAACATAGCGAAACCCCATCTCTACTAAAAATATGAAAAGTAGCCGGGAGTGGTGGCGCATGCCTGTAATCCCAGCTACTGAGGAGGCTGAGGTGGGAGAACTGCTTGAACCCAGAGGCGGAGGTCACAGTGAGCCAAAATCGTGCCGCTGCACTCCAGCCTGGGCAACAGAGCGAGATTCTGTCTCAAAAAAAAAAAAAAGAAATTACCCAGAATTAGCAGGGCCAGTGGCACATGTCTGATTAGGGATCAGAAATTATCTATAATCAAAGTGGCATCTAATTGTGGTTGTGATTTTCATCTAAGGACTAAGGATACTAAGCTTCTTTTTTTTTGAGATGAAGTCTCGTTCTGTTGCCAGGCTGGAGTGCAGTGGCGCAATCTTGGCTCACTGCAACCTCTGCCTCCGGGGTTCAAGCAATTCTCCCACCTTAGCATTCCAAGTAGCTGGGACTACAGGTACGCGTCACCACGCCCAGCTAAATTTTGTATTTTTAGTAGAGACGGGGTTTCACCATATTGGCCAGGATGGTCTCGATCTATTGACTTAGTGATCCACCCACCTTGGCCTCCCAAAGTGCTGGGATTACAGGCATGAGCCACCACGCCCGGCCTTGACTTCTTTTCATGGATGTACTGGCCATTTGGACAGCATCTTTGAAGAAGTATCTGATCAAATCCTTTGCTCATTTGTTAACTGGGTTATGTGTCTTTTTACTGTTGATTTTAAGAATTTCTAAAATATATTTTGGATAAAAGTCCTTTATCAGATATATGACAAATATTTTTTCTCATTCTGGGATGTCTTCATTTTCTTGATGGTGCCATTTGAAAAAAAGGTTTTCTGTTTCAATTAATATCAATTTACCTGTTTTTCTTTCAGTGCCTATGTTTTAGGTGTCATACTGAAGAAGCCACGCACGGTGGCTCACACCTGTAATCCCGGCAGCTTTGGGAGGCCGAGACGGGCAGACTGCTTGAGCTCACGAGTTTGAGACCAGCCTGGGCAATGTGGCAAACCCTATCTCTATAAAAAATTCAAAAATTAATTGGTACATGCTTGTAGTCCCAGCCACTCGGGAGGCTAAAGTAGGAGGATTGTTGAGCCCAGCAGGAAGTCAAGGCTGCAGTGAGCTGCGATCCCCCTACTGTACCCCAGCCTCAGCGACAGAGTGAGAACCTGTATCAAAAAAAAAAGAAGAAAAAAGAAACCATTCTGTAATACAAGGGCATGAAGATTTACAACCATGTTTTCTTCTAAGAGTTGTTTTTTTCTTTTTTAATAGAGATGGCATCTCACTATGTTGCCCAGGCTGATCTTGAATTCCTGGGCTCAAGCGATCCTCCCACCTTGGCCTCCAAAGTGCTGGGATTACAGGTATGACCCACTAGGCTCAGCCTGAGTTTTATTGTTTCAGATCTTACATTTAGGTCTATGATGAATTCTGAATTTATATATATATAAGTGAGGTAAGGGTCCAAATTCCTTTTTTTGTTGTGTGGACCTGTACCACCATCATTTGTTGAAAAAGATTATTCTTTCTCCACCTAATTGTCCTTGCACTTTGTTGAAAATCAATTGACCATAAACAGAAGGGTTTAGTTCTGGATTCTCATTCTATGCCATTGATCTATATGTCTATCTTTATGCCAGTATCAGATTGTCTCAATTATTGTAACTTTGTAGTAAGTTATGAAAGTCCTCCAACTTTTTTTCAAGATTGTTTTGGCAATTCTGGGTCCCTTGCATTTCTACATGAGTTTTAAGATCAGCTTGTCAATTTCTGCAAACTAGGCAACTGGGTTTTTTTGTTGTTTGTTTGTTTGTTTATGAGACGGAGTCTCACTCTGTCACCCAGGCTGGAGAGCAGTGGCGTGATCTCGGCTTACTGCAAACTTTGCCTCCCAGGTTCAAGCAATCCTCCTGCCTCAGCCTCCCAACCAGCTGGGATTACAGGCGTGCACCACCACGCTCAGCTAATTTTTGTATTTTTAGTAGAGATGGGGTTTCAGCATGTTGTTGTTCAGGCTGGTCTCAAACTCTTGACCTCACACCTGCCTCAGCCTCCCAAAGTGCTGGGATTATAGGCATGAGCCACCACACCTGGCCTGGAATTTTAATAGGGATTGTGCTAAATCTATATGGGGAATATTACCATCATAACAATATTAAGTCTTCCAATCCCTGAACATAGAGTATCTTTCCATTTATTTAGATCTTTCAATGATGTTTTATAGTTCAGAATGTAAGTTCCGGCCAGGCACAGTGGCTCACGCCTGTAATCCCAGCACTTTGGGAGGTCGAGGCAGGTGGATCACTTGAATTCAGGAGTTTGAGACCAACCTGGGCAACATGGAGAAACCTAGTCTCTAAAAAAAACAAAAATTAGCCAGGCGTGGTGGTATACACCTGTGGTACCAACTACTCAGGAGGCTAAGGTGGAAGGATCACTTGAGCCCAGGAGGTAGAGGTTGCAGTGAGCTGATACTATGCCACTGCACTCCAGCGTGGGCGACGAGTGAGACCCTGTCTCAAAAAAAAAAAAAAGAATCTAAGTTCTGCATTTCTTTTGTTAACTTTATTCCCAAATGTTTTATTCTTTTTGACGCTACTGTGAATGGAATTGTTCCCTTGGTTTCACTTTTGAATTATTCATTGTAAATGTGTAACAATAAAATTAATTTCTGTATATTGATCCCGTATTCTGCAACTTTGAGGAGCTCATAACAGTTTTATAGTGCATTCCTTAGGATGTTTTATATACAAGATCATACCATCTGCAAATAGAGATTATCTTACTTCCTTTCCAATATGAACGCCTTTTCTTTCTTTTTCTTCCCTAATTGTCCCGGCTAGAACCTCCAATACAATGTTAAAGCTAAGTGTCAAAGAGACTATACATGTTTTGGTCAAGCGCAGTGGCTCACACCTATAATCCCAGCACTTTGGGAGGCCAAGGTGGGTGGATCACGTAAGCTCAGGAGTTCGAGACCAGCCTGGGCAACATAGTAAAACTCCGTCTATATAAACAATATCTATATATATATAAATTTTAAAAAATTAAAGACTATATGTCTTGTTCCTAATCTTAGGACAGCATTCTGTCTTTCATCATTAAGTATGATATTAGCTGTAGGTTTTCAAAGATGGCCTTTATCACACTGAGGAAGTTCCCTTCCATTTCTAATTTGTTGAATGTTTTTTATCATGAAACAATGTTGGATTTAATCAAATGTTTTTCCTGCCACTATTGAGATGATCATGTTGGTCTTGTCTTTTATTCTATTACATGGCATGTTACGTTAATTTACAGACATTAAGCCAACTTTGCATTCCTGGGATAATTCCCACTCGGTCACAGTACAGAATTCTTCCGATATGTTGCTATGTTCAGTTTGCAAGTATTTTGTTGAGGTATTTTACACCTATATCCATAAAGAATACTGTTCTGTAGTTTTCTTGTCTTGTGACATTTTTGCCTGGTTTTGGTATCAGCCTAATAATGTCCTCATAGGATAAACTGGAAAGTAATACCTCTTCTTTATTTTGAAAGAGTGTGTGGAGAATTTATGTTGATTCTTCTTTAAATATTTGGTAGAATCACAAAATGCAAAGTCATCTGGACCTAAGCTTTTTTGGGAGGGGCTTTTTTATTGCTAATTCAATCTCTTTACTTTATTGGTCTATTTAGATTTTCTATTTCTTTGGGAGGTTGAGGCAGGAGAATCACTTGAACCCAGGAGGCAAACGCTGCAGTGAGCCAACATCACATCACTGCACTCCACCCTGAGCAACAGAGCAAGACTCCATCTGAAACAAACAAAAGAGACCTTCTATTTCTTTTTGAGTTAATTTCAGTAGTGTCTTTCAAAGAATGCATATATTTCACATGTGTTATCTAACTTGTTGGCATAAAATGGTTCCTAGTATTTCCTTATAATCTTTTTTAATTTCCATGTAAGGTCAGTAGTGATGTCCCTTCTTTCATTCCTCATTTTATTAATTTATTAATCTAGCTCAAGGTTTGTGCATTTTGTTGATCTTTGCACAGAACCTATTTTTGGTTTGATTTTCCCTACTTTTTTTCCCTCTATTTCATTTATTTCCATTCTAGATTTTATTTATTATATTCCTTCTGCTCACTTTGGATTTAGTGTATTCTTCTTTCATTAGTTTCTTAAGGTGGAAGATTAGGTTATGGATTTGACATCTTTCTTCTTTTTTTAATACAAGCATTTATAGCTATAAATTTCCTTCTGGGAACTGCTTTTGCTGTATCCCCTAGCTTATGATATATTCTTTGTTTTTCGCATGAAGCATAGTAGGCCCTCAATAAACATTCATTGTTGAAAAATGAGTGGCAGGGGTTTTTTTCTTCTTCTTCTTGTTTTTTGAGATGGATTCTCACTCTGCCACCCAGGCTGGAGTACAGTGCACATTTGCGTGATCTGGGCTCACTGCAACCTCCACCTCCTGGGTCCAAGCTATTCTCCTGCCTCAGCCTCCCAAGTAGCTGGGATTACAGGTACCCACCACCATGCCCGGCTAATTTTTTGTATTTTTAGTAGAATGGGGTTTCGCCATGTTGGCCAGGCTGGTCTTGAACTCCTGATCTCAGGTGATCCACCTGCCTTGGCCTCCCAAACTGCTGGGATTACAGGCATGAGCCAGTGCGCCCAGCCCAGGGTTTTTCTGTTTTGTTTTGTTTTTTTCAATTTTGGTAAAACATACATAAGATTTGCCATTTTAACTATTTTAAAACGTACAATTAATTCAGTGGTATAAAGTACATTCACATTGTTTGCAACCATCATCATCATGATATGATATATTTTGCCTTTATCTCAGAGTATTTTCCAATTTTCCTGTGGCTTTCTCTTTGAATCATTGGTGATTTCAGTGTGTGTAGTTTAATTTTCACATATTCTGAATTCCCCAAATTTCCTTCTGTTATTGATATCTAATTTCATTCCATTATGGTCAGAGAACATAGTATGATTTCCATCCGTTAAATTAATTGAGGCTTGTTTTATGGCATAACATATGGTCTATCCTGAAATGTTCCATATGCACTTCAGAACAATGTGTATCCTGCTATTATTGGAAGGGGTGTTCTATAAATGTCTGTCCCTTAATGATTTAAAAGTTTGCCTGCATCTAGACAAGGTTTAAGAAAAAAAATTGTCAATTATTTCAATTTTAAAATATTCATTTTATGCCCCACTTTCTATACTAAGTATTCCATGTGCATGTACAAATGAAAAGCAAGTCTCCCTTCAAAAATAAAAATGTTTCTAGTAACACATGAAGAGTTGGTTTCTAACGGTGAAATCCACTAAAAAGCTAAGCACAAAGGAGCATATATGCTAGCTTGAGAGATTTTCTTTCTTTCATTTTTTTTTTTTTTTTTTTTTTTTTGAGACGGAGTCTCGCTCTGTTATCCAGGCTGGAGTGCAGTGGCACAATCTCGGCTCAATGCAACCTCTACTTCCCAGGTTCAAGCGATTCTCCTGCCTCAGCCTCCCAAGTAGCTGGGATTACAGGCACCCGCCACCAGTCCCAGTTAATTTTTGTATTTTTAGAAGAGACGGGTTTCACCATATTGGCCAGGCTGGTCTTGAACTCCTGACCTCAGGTGATCTGCCCGCCTTGGCCTCCCAAAGTGCTGGCATTACAAGCATGAGCCACCGCGCCCAGCCTGCTTGAGAAATTTTCTAAGAGGTTCCTGAAACAGAAAAATCCCCAGACTTAGGTGAGTAAGAAGAGAAGAGAACAGGCTGGGCACAGTGGCTCACATCTGTAATCCCAGCACTTTGGGAGGCCGAGGCAGGCACATCACAAGGTCAAGAGATCAAGACGATGGAGACCATCCTGGCCAACATGGTGAAACCTCGTCTCTACTAAAAATACAAAAATTAGCTGGGCATGGTGGCACGCACCTGTAATCCCAGCTACTCGGGAGGCTGAGGCAAGAGAATCACTTTGAACACAGGAGGCAGAGGCTGCAGTGAGCTGAGATGGCACCACTGCATTCCAGCCTGGAGGCAGAGCGAGACTCCATCTCAAAAAAAAAAAAAAGAGAGAAGAGGACATCTGATATGTCATTTGATACAGTATGACAGCTGACATGGCCATCCCAAATTTCCCAAGGGAGCTAGGTTATACCCAGTTGAAAAAAAAGAAAACTCTATTAAGTCCTGGGTATTTAATGTGAAGACAGAAGGTGTAAGAAGGATGAGGATTTAAAAAAACAAGAGAAGTCTTTCTGTGTTACTGAATAAAGAAGTCAAGCTATAAAGAATTAATACACCAATAGTTTTAAATTTGGCTTTCATTTCATCAATAAAATAAGTATAGCTACTTCATATTTGAAGCAGTACCTTCCAATGTATTAAGTTATCATACAAATGCTACTTTCTCTATTCCCTACAAAACCTCTGTCAGATTGTAATTATAATGCCTATTTTACAGACAAGAAGAGATTCAGAAGCAAAGTGACTTCTGGGGTCACATAGCAAGTATGAAACAGAACCAGAATTTTGATTCCTTTTTTTTTGTTTTGTTTTGTTTTAGAGAGATGGGGTCTTGCTATGTTGCCCATGCTGGTCTTGAACTCCTGGCCTCAAGTGATTCTCGCACTTTGGCATCCCAAAACACTGGGATTACAGATGTGAGCCACCGCACCTGGCCAGAACCAAGATTTGAACTTCACTTTCTAATTCAAAATCCAGGGCTATTTTCACCAAAATGCAGCTCCTTCTTCTCACCAACAATAGATACACATCTCTGAGTACTTTAGACACACGTATCATTTAGGAAAAAGACCTACAAAGGAAAGATATATCCACCATAATGTTCTCAAAATAAGAGCTGAAAAGCTTGAATATAGAGGAACAACTAGTACCTGGCACAGCACCTCATACTAAGCAAGTGATCCACAAAGAATAAATGAAGAGAAAGAACCATCACATGCATTCCCACAAGCAGCCTTAGGAGAGTAATTCAGCAACATTTAGTTCAGAGAGTTCAGTACATCCCATAGATGCCAATGGCAAGCCAAAAGCATGATCAAAAATAGGAAAAAGAGGAGAAAACTAGGATAACGTAGGGAAAAGAAGACACAGCACAGCAGGAAAAGAGGAGAAACAACAAAATATGCGTAACCATTGGGGGAAACTGGGTGAAGGGTAAACAAGAACTCCCTGTACATTTTTTGCAACTTCTTGTGAATCTATAATTATTTCACAATAGGAAGTTAAAGAAAACAAAAGAAGAAAAAAGTGGAAAGACACATGAAATGGAAAGGCTCTTGGTTCCAGTTTCCTAAGTTCACTGAGTACTTAATGTACCAGGCAATCTGCCAGGCACTGCCCTCAACAAGCTCCATGTTCACTGCAGAGAGAAAGACAAGTAAATAATCTATTCCACCAAGTATATCAAGACGCTTTCCTGCAAGGCTCTACTTTTCCAATTCCTTAGGAAACATGGAAAAAAGAAAGGCTACAACAGTGAAACAAATATAAGGGCACCACTAGGTAAAGCTACACCTTAGGTGTACCTGAGCATGAGAATGCAGGCTTTGCTTATTGTCCCTCACCATCCAAGCATGTTTACCTTGCTTAGGCAAGATTCATACTCCTCAGTATGAATCTGACGGACGAGGAAAACGTGCAGAGTCATGGACAGCCTTCAAAGATAAGGAACCCTGTGCTTGCTAAAGAAAGAGAACTGAAATGAGGGCTTTAGAGATTCATTTATTCATTGACAATTTAGATCTTATTATGTTACTTCAAACCCTTTCAATGCAACTTAAGTGACTTGTCAGCGAAAAATAATGTGGAACATCACCTGAGCAATGACAAAGGCTACTGAAAAGACAATTTCATATACTATCAAATAAGGAATTTTATACACTGCATACAATTTCAAATACTATGAAATACTGTGAAATTTCATACCCTGTCCACCACTATTCAATCATATTTCAAGCTCATACACTTTAAGTCTGTACTTTACTAAGTTTATACCTAACAAAAATTTGCTATATTTCTCAGATAAGCTATATTAGGACACTGCTTTTACTAAAATGAAATTTTTATAGTTATGTTTTATGGATTTACAAAAAAAATTCCAAAAGAAAAGCGCAAAAAGAGAGCTGTGCCTTAACAATGTTAGTATAAACTGGGTTGTACTACATACAGCAGCTCGGTTTCCAAAACGAGTTATGATTGCTTCAATATTTTTCCAACATAAACTTATTCCTATTCAACATTAACATGGTTTTCCTTAAAATATCAAAAAACCTAACCATCACTCTAGTCCTACATTTTCAAAAACGGTCACTTAAGAATGTAATTGAGGCCAGGCACGATGGCTTACACCTGTAATCCCAGCACTTTGGGAGCCTGAGGTGCGTGGATCACTTGAGGCTAGGAATTCGAGACCAGCCTTGCCAACATGGTGAAACCCCATCTCTACTAAAAATACAAAAATTAGCCAGGCATGGTGGTGCACGCCTGTAACCCCAGCTACTCCTGATGCTGAGGCACAAGAATCGCTTGAATTTGGGAAGCAGAGGTTGCACAGTCAAGATCACCCCACTGCACTCCAGCCTGGGTGACAGAACAAGACTCTGTCTCAAAAAAAAAAAAAAAAGAATGTAATTGAATATAATCAAATAAACACTTTAATGCACTGCTGATGAGAATAAAAAGTAGTAATACATAGGACAATTTGGCAACATCTCTTCACCCAACCAGTTCAAAATCTAAGAATGCATCTAAGGAAAAATTTATCAAGTATGCTAAAATGGGGTGGGCACCATGGCTCCTGACAGAGCGAGACTCCATCTCAAAAAAAAAAAAAAAAGTATACCAAACTGAACATATCAAGTTGTTCACTGCAGCTGGTCATCCTTTTTTTTTAATTCTTTTTTCTCTTTCTTTGTTTTGGTCATCCTTTTTTAATGAAATAATCCTAAATGTTAACGAACAGGGAAGTGGGAAATAAATTACAGTACATCCGTACAACAGCATACTATGCAGTTACCAACAATGATGATAAAAAATCTGTTCTTGCCGGGCGCGGTGTCTCAGCCTGTAATCCCAGCACTTTGGGAGGCCAAGACGGGCAGATCATGAGGTCAGGAGATCAAGACCATCCTGGCTAACACGGTGAAACCCCGTCTCTACTAAAAATACAAAAAATTAGCCTGGCATGGTGGCAGGCACCTGCAGTCCCAGCTACTTGGGAGGCTGAGGTGGGAGAATGGCATGAATCCGGGAGGCGGAGCTTGCAGTGATCTGAGATCGCACCACTGCACTCCAGCCTGGGTGATAAAGCGAGACTCCATCTCAAAAAAATATATAAAAAATAAAAAATAAATAAATAAATCTGTTCTTATTGGACTTTAAAGGTATCTGCAATCATTTTAGTGAAAAAAGCAAACTAGAAAACAATTAGAAAAGCAAACTAGGCCGGGAGCGGTGGCTCACGCCGGTAATCCCAGCACTTTGGGAGGCCGAAGCCAGTGGATCACCTGAGGTCAGGAATTTGAGACCAGCCTGGCCAACATGGTGAAACCCCATGTCTACTAAAAATACAAAAATTAGCTGGGCATGGTGGCAGGCACCTGTAATCCCACGTACTTGAGAGACTGAGGCAGGAGAATCACTTGAACCTGGGAGACAGAGGTTGCAGTGAGCCAAGATCACACCACTGCACTCTAGCCTGGGCGACAAGAGCGAAACTCCATCTCAAAAAAAATAAAAAAGCAAACTAGAAAACAAAAATGATGCCATTTTTGTTTATAAAATAAAAACTTTTTTTTATATGCATCTTGCATAGAAAACGTATGGAAGGGAACACACTAAAATGTTAATACTATGTTTTCCCTTTTTTTATTGAGATGGAGTCTTGCTCTGTCACCCAGGCTGGACTGCAGTGATGCAATCTTCGCTCACTGCAACCTTCGCCTCCCAGGTTCAAGCTATTCTCCTGCCTCAGCCTCCTGAGTAGCTGGGATTACAGGTGTGCACTACCATGCCCAGCTAACTTTACATTTTTAGTAGAGACAGGATTTCACCATGTTGGCCAGGCTGGTCTCAAACTCCTGACCTCAAGCGATCCACCCGCCTCCGCCTCCCAAACTGCTGGGATTACAGGCGTGAGCCACCACGCCCAGCCTCTATTCCTATTCTTTCTAGTTAAATCATACTCTATCCAATAAATTCCAGAAAGTTGTTTTTAAAGTTAAATCAAATTGTAATCCTGATATCACAATCATCATCCATTACTACAAGTATTGAAAACTACAGAAAGTTTGGTAGATCACCATATTGGAAAGAAACACACACACACACACACACACACACACACACACACACACACACGCAGAAGCAATTATTCAGTAAATCTTCTGTATCTAGTACCCATCTCTAGAAGGCAGTATTGGTAACATCTACAAGGAAACAAAACTTATTCCTGCCTCGTCCAGTCACAAAATTCTTGCCAAGTCAAAAGAGAAAAGCAAACAAGAAATGAGAAGAGGCCGGGCATGGTGGCTCACGCCTATAATCCCAGCACTTTGGGAGGCCAAGGTGGGTGGATTGCCTGAGGTCAGGAGTTTGAGACCAGCCTGGCCAACATGGCAAAACTCTGTCTCTACTGAAAATAAAAAAATTAGCCGGGCATGGTGGTGGATGCCTGTAATCCCAGCTACTCAAAAGGCTGAGGCAGGAGAATCGCTTGAACCCAGCAGAGGTTGCAGTGAGCCAAGATCTAGCCATTGCACTCCAGCCTGGACAACAAGAGCGAAACTACGTCTCAAAAAAAAAAAAAAAGAGGCCGGGCGCAGTGGCTCACGCCTGTAATCCCAGCACTTTGGGAGGCCGAGGTGGGTGGATCACAAGGTCAGGAGATCAAGACCATCCTGGCTAACATGGTGAAACCCCATCTCTACTAAAAATACAAAAAATTAGCCGGGTGTGGTGGCAGGCGCCCATAGTCCCAGCTACTCGGGAGACTGAGGCAGGAGAATGGCATGAACCCGGGAGGTGGAGGTTGCAGTGAGCCGAGATTGCGCCATTACGCTCCAGCCTGGGTGACAAAGCGAGACTCCAGCTCAAAAAAAAAAAAAAAAAAAAAAAAGAAATGAGAAGAAAAGTGCTCAATTTGCTTTTGATCACTGAACTATAGTCATATTTTAATTCAAAAAATGACACATGACATGTTTCTACGCCATTTTAAAATTACTTTTTTTTTTTTTTTTTTTGAAATGGAGTCTCGCTCTGTCACCATGCTGGAGTGCACTGGTACGATCTTGGCTCACTGCAACTTCCGCCTCCTAGATTCAAGCAATTCTCCTGCCTCAGCCTCCCGAATAGCTGGGACTACAGGCACACACCACCAGGCCCAGCTAATTTTTGTATTTTTAGTAAAGACGAGGTTTCACCATGTTGACCAGGATGGTCTCGATCTCTTGACCTCGTGATCTGCCCACCTCGACCTCCCAAAGTGCTGGGATTACAGGCGTAAGCCACCAAGCCCGGCCTGAAATTACATTTTTTAAACATATTTTTAAAATACATATTGCAGGCCAGGCACAGTGGCTCACACCTGTAATCCCAGCACTTTGGGAGGCCAAGGTGGGAGGATCGCTTGAGCTCATGAGTTTGAGAACAGCCTGGGCAACATAGTGAGACCCCATCTCTACAAAAAATACAAAAATCGGGCCAGGCGCAGTGGGTCACACCTGTAATCCCAGCACTTTGAGAGGCTGAGGTGGGTGGGTCACCTGAGGTCAACAGTTCGAGACCAGCCTGGTCAACATGGTGAAACCCCGTCTCTAGTAAAAATGCAAAAATTAGCTGGGCGTGGTGGCGTGCCCATGTAATCCCAGCTACTCGGGAGGCTGAGGTGGGAGAACTGCTTGAACCCAGGAGGCGGAGGCTGTAGTGAGCCGAGATCACGCCACTGCACTCCAGCCCAGGCAACAGAGCAAGACCCCATCTCAAAACAAATAAAATAAAATAAAATAAATAAATAAAATAAATACAAAAATCAGCCAGGCATGGTAGTATGCACCTGTAGTCCCAGCTACCTGGAAGGCTGAGATGGGAGGATGGTTGGAGCCTGGGAGGCAGAGGTTGCAGTGAGCTGAGATTGTGCCACTGTACTCTAGCCTGGGCGACAGAGCTTTGTCTCAAAAAACAAACAAAAATGTATCTTGTATTGCAGGCTGGATTTCATCAAAACCTCCAACGTGAATAATCTGGGAATATCTATTTATAGCAATGTTAAGGCACGTAACTTTTAACCCAAAATGTCAACTTCTGGGAATTTATTCATATATGTGCAAAAATAATATATTATAGAATTATTCTTTGCAGCATTGTTTATAAAAGCAAAAGATTAGATAAAACTAAATGTTCATCAATAGAGGACTCAGGAAATCATGATATGCCATGCAACAGCATACTATTTAGTCATACAACTCATTTAAAAAAAAAAAGGAGGAAGTCTTCAATGTACTCACATAGAATGATTTCCAAGATACATGAAGTTTAAAAAAAGTAAAATGCGCTGGACGCGGTGGCTCATGCCTGTAAACCCAACACTTTGAGAGGCCGAGGTTGGCAGATCACCTGAGGTCAGGAATTCAAGACTAGCCTGACCAGCATGCAGAAACCTCGTCTCTACTAAAAATACAAAATTAGCCAGGCATGGTGGCACATGCCTGTAATCCTAGCTACTAGGGAGACTGAGACAGGAGAATCACTTGAACCTGGGAGGTGGAGGTTGCGGTGAGCCAAGATTGCGCCATTGCACTCTAGCCTGGGCAGCAAGAGTGAAACTCCATCTCAGAAAAAAAAAAAAGCAAAATGCAAAAGTAGTCTATAATCAGCCACGAACTGTACAAAAACAGAGGGAGGTGTGTGTGTGTGTGTGTGTGTATATATATGTATGTGTGTGCATATATATATATATATATATAGGCTTTTTTTCATGAATATAATTAATAACATTGGTGACTCCAGGGAAAGAAATTGGGTGGATGGCAGACAAGCTAGGAGAGAAACTTAAATTTTTAATTCATGTGTATATATTACCTGTTCAAAAAAAAGTTTATAATAGAAAAATTTCATGCATTTAACTAATAGTCCTATTTCTCACTCTACACAATTTAAGCAAGATGAAGCGAATTCTCATATAACTATAATATACTTACATTCACTCATAATAAAAAGAGATACAAGTATATCCCCCAGATACCTTCTTAAAACTTCTATGTTCAATAATGCACATAATAAACTTGTAACTGCAATTCAAAATATTAATAATACCATCACTATTCAGAAGCAAACAAAATAGCAACAAGTTTCCTAAAAGAACAATGTCTAACCCCTCCCCGCAAATTCCAAAATTGAATCACTGACCAGTTTATAATTCAAGTAAGGATATGAAAATACAAGAGTCCTGATTTCATCAACATCTAGGACTCCCCATAACATGTTAGTTTCAAACAGCCTTTTTCTCTCAGCAAGAGTGCTTTCTTGCCTCTTATCTGTAGCCACTTCTCAAAATGAGAACATGACATTACTATAGCCAAAAGTCAATCTCCTTGTCTCATGGTCACAAGCTAGGTCCCCAGCCAACACTGCTCTCTCAAAAATGGAAGACAACAAAACAGGGCCAGGCACGGTGGCTCACACCTGTAATCCCAGCACTTTCGGAGGCAGAGGTGAGTGGATCATGAGGTCAGGAGATCGAGACCATCCTGGCTAACACAGTGAAACCCCGTCTCTACTAAAAATAAAAAAAAATTAGCCAGGCGTGGTGGTGGGCACCTGTAGTCCCCGCTACTCGGTAGGCTGAGGCAGGAGAATGGCGTGAACCTGGGAGGCGGAGCTTGTAGTGAGCCCCACTGCACTCCAGCCTGGGCGACAGAGCGAGACTCCGTCTCAAAAAAAAAAAAAAAACCAGACCCCAGAGTACCCACCAGGAGAGTGTGCACCTGGTTCACAGCCTCACATCCTTCAGGCCAAAATAGGAAGGGACCACATCTCTTTCCCCAACCCCAGCTTAGGATCCCATCCCTCTTCAGTTTTCCCATAGTAGCACGCTTAATACACAGAATAATAACCATTACTTGTCTGCCTTCCTTCTTAGGCATGGAGCTCCTTGGCAACAAGGCTTGAGAGCCTTTCTCTCTGCCCTTAAACATAACAGCAAAGTTTGCTGAATGATGATTTTGATCAAGTTACACAGTTTGTTCAATCTCTAGTAATTACCTAGGATATACCCTAGAATAACACTTTTATTTTAATGTCAGCAGTTTCTTTAAAGACTCTCTGTTTTTAGGCCCATTTCTTATTAATGCCTTGTGTACACCCTTTCTGCATCACCTCCAGTCTCCCTACCCCACCCCAAAAGAGGTCTAGTAACCAGATAATTACAATGAGATGTTTCTAATCTCCCAGTGCTTAGTCATTCTTTCATGACTCCATAAAATCAGTAACTCTACAATTAAACTAAATACTGTCCCTTTGTCCAAACAAATCCTCCTTTGGCCACTTCAGAAATCCACTGCATGTTCTGAAAAGAAAGACAGAATGGCAAGCTTTTCCCACTATGTTTACTTTAGAAACGCAGTCACAGACCACAGGAAATCTGCCTGGCACGCCAATCACTGCCAACAGGTACGCTCAATCAGCAGTAAGCCCAGACAGCTCATATTGAGAGCATTTTTTAGAGGGCCATCTTCCTCAGAATAGGATCCCATGCCTGGAGGATAATTTATTAAATGAAAAGAATGCTGCTTCTGTCAAGCTTTTTAGACAAAATATATGCACAAAAGTAGAACAATAGCTATAGATTCAGATACATACCAGCCCAACTTCTCCATAAAGAAGGATGGAGATAGCAAAAGATAGTTTGCATCCCTCCTTCCTACTCTCCCTGGCATAAATCATGCTTCCTACTAAGGGAGTTTAAACTCTTGTTAAATCAGTCTCTTAGAGAGCTAGGCACTGTGGCTCACACCTATAATCCAATCCCAGCACTTTAGGAGGCTGAAGAGGGAGGATCACTTGAAGCCAAGAGTTCTAGGCAGCAGTGAGCTATGATCACACCACACTGCACTCCAACACGGGCAACAAAGCGAGATTGCGTCTGTAAAAAAAAAAAAGAAAAGAAAAGAAAAGAAAAGAAAGAAAATGACTCTGTTGATTGACAATTACCTGGAAAGCATATGAAATACTGTGTTTACTCTGGCCTCTCTGATGTTGTTATGTTGCTTGGAACTAAAGAGAATAAAATAATTCCTTCCTTTGTTTCCACTATTAATAATAAATGTCTTCTAAAAAAGACAATAGATGAATAACCAACACCTCAGATAATAAAAGTGTTTACATAACAAGATACTAAGAAATACCTTAAGAGTCAAAATTTACTGGAAAACAAAAAGCAAAGGCCAACCTTCAAGCTGAATCTTTCCCTTCACTGACATCTGGACTATAGATTACAAAACGGACTCCCCAGAGAGGTCTGATCTCTTAGGGCAAGTAACATTAGCCACTACCAAACACTAAAGAGTGTGATGGAGGGAAATATGTTAATACAGATTCAGAGAGAAAGATCAGAGACTTCACTAGTTAACTTCTGGAATTTCTGGACAAGAATTTTCTAATGCTGTTTATTTTAATTTTTTGTTAGAAAAGTAATACATACTCATTGCTCAAACTCAAAATAATTTTTGAGACTAAGAGCATTTGTCAAAAATGAAAAGGCAAAATCTAGACATACAAAATAACCTCTAAAATGAGTATATTTCTCAATTCAAAATTCAGTTACCAGAATCTTAAATAGCTAGTTAACAAATTTTCAGGCCAGGCGCAGTGGCTCACGCCTGTTATCCCAACCCTTTGGGAGGCACAGGCAGGCACATTGCTTGAGCCCAGGAGTTTGAGATCAGCCTGAGCATTATTATGAGACCTTGTTTCTAAAAAAATAATAAATTTTGAGGCCGGGCATGGTGGCTCATGCCTGTAATCCCAGCACTTTGGGAGGCTAAGGCAGGTGGATCACAAGGTCAGGAGTTCAAGACGAACCTGGTCAAGATGGAGAAACCCGGTCTCTACTAAAAACACAAAAATTAGCCAGGCACAGTGCAGGCGCCTGTAATCCCAGCTACTCGGGAGGCTGAGGCAGGAGACTCGCTTGAACCCATGGGGTGGAGATTACAGTGGGCTGAGACTGCGCCACTGCACTCCAACCTGGGTGACAGAGTGAGACTCCATTTCAAAAATAATAATAATAATAATAATAATAATAATAATAATAAATTTTAGGGTGGCGCAGTGGCTCATGCCTGTAATCCCAACACTTTGGGAGGCCGAGGCGGGTGGATCACCTGAGGTCAGGAGTTCGACACCAGACTGACCAATATGCTGAAACCCCATCTCTACTAAAAAAATACAAAATTAGCAGGGTGAGGTGGCTCATGCCTGTAATCCCAGCTACTCAGGAGGCTGAGGCATGAGAATCACTTGAACACAGGAGGCGGAGGTTGCAGTGAGCCAAGATCACACCACTGCACTCCAGCCTGGGCAACAAGAGCAAAACTCCCTCTCAAAAAAATAACAATAATAATAATAAATTTTTTAAAAAATTTCAGACATCCATAAAATGAGCCACATATTATGCTACCTAACTAGAACTTACCCAAATACCATGTGTCACACACAAAAAAGTCCTAAGGCATTGGAAAGATCAAGATACTACCGTCAATCCCTACATTTGGTAAAATGACTTAAAAGGACCTGAGTAAAAAACTTTGAAGAACTTTTTAATACATCAACCAGTAATTTTTTAAGAACGATTTTCTGCAACTACCCCAAATATATCCACATAGATCTATGTTCAGCTTCACAATTCAGTCAATATAGGTTAAGCATACCACCTGTATGGTACTAGACTAGGCACCAGAGTGATGTCCACTCCTCAAGAGAAAAGGAAATTGAGAAAGAAAGAAATAGAACATATACTCTCCTACCCCAAAGGTCCTTACAATCTGTTTTTGGGACACAAACTATTTAAAAGTTAAATAACAACACAAAGTTAAAAGAAAGGAGGGGAATTCATATTTATTAAGTGCCTCATATATCAAGCAGCAACACAATAACACACACAAAACATCCACATCTCCTGTTTTGAGGGAAGAAAATAAGGAAAGAGGAGAGGTTGAGAGAATAGAAAATGAAGTCAAAAACCCAAAGCAAACTATAAATGCCACTCAGGGATACAGAAAATAAGTAACTAAAACATTTATATTGGTCTTCAACAAATGGTACTAGGACAACTGGCTATCTACATGAAAAAAAAAGAAGTCAGACCCCTACCTCACACCATGTACAAAAATTAACTCAAAGTGGATCAAGGACCTCAAAGTAAGAGCTAAAATTATAAAATCTTAGAGGAAAACATAGGGATAAATCTTCATTACTTTGAATTTGGCAACAAATTCTTATATATGCTAACATAAACACAAAGCTTAAAAAAAAATTTAGGCTGGCGTGGTGGCTCATGCCTATGATTATAGGCAGCACTTTGGGAAGCCAAGGCAGGTGGATCACCCAAGGTGAAGAGTTTCAGACCAGCCTGGCCAACATGGTGAAACTCCATCTCTATGAAAAATACAAAAATTAGCCAGGAATGGTGGTGCATGCCTGTAATCTCAGTTACTCAGGAGGCTGAGGCAGGAGAATGGCTTGAACCCAGGAGGCAGAGGTTGCAGTGAGCTGAGATTATGCCACCGCATCCTAGCCTGGGCGACAGAGTGAGACTCCATCTCAAAAAAAAAAAGAATTGAAAAACTTTTTTAAGAAAAAAGGAATCCTTCCTGTAAGAGATAACTTTAAAAAGAATAAAAAACAAAAAAGGAGATAACACAAGCAACAAAAGAGGACATTATCAAGAAAGTAAAAAGACAACCTACCCAGAGTGAGAAAATATTTGCAAATCATATATCTGACAAAGGACTTGTAACCAAAAGATATAAATCAATCATAAAACTCAAAAACAAAAAGGCAAACAATCCAATTTAAAAATAAGAAACAGACTTGAACAGACATTTCTCCAAAGAAGACATACAAATGACCGATAAACACATGAAAAGATGCCTAACAACTTAGTCATTAGGAAAATTAAAATCAAAACCAAATTAAGATACTACTTATATTATAGAATGGTTATAATAAAAATAAAAATTAAAAAAAAACACAGAAAATGACATGTGTTGGTGAGAATGTGGAGAAACTGGAACCCTTGTACATTGCTAGTCAGAATGTAAAATGGTACAGCCACTGTGAAAAACAGTTCAGCAATTGTTCCAGAAAGTTACAACATAGAATCACCCAAATGACGCAACAATTCCACTCCAAGGTATATACCCAAAAGAAATGAAAACAGAGATTCAAACAGATATTGTACAATAGTGTTCACTGCACCATTATTCACAATAGCCAAAGAGCAGAAACAAGCCAACGTCCACCAACAAATTAATGGATAAACAAAATGTGGTATATCCATACAATAGAACATTACTCAGCAATAAAAAAAGAATGGTGTTCTTTTTTATTTTTTTTTTTTTTGAGACAGAGTTTTGCTCTTTTTGCCGAGGCTGGAGTGCAGTGGCATGATCTCGGCTCACTGCAACCTCCGCCTCCCAGGATCAAGCAATTCTCCTGCCTCAGCCTCCCAAGTAGCTGAGATTACAGGCACACACCACCACACCCAGCTAATTTTTTGTATATTTAGTAGAGACAGGGTTTCACCATGTTGGTCAGGCTGGTCTTGAACTCCTGACCTCAGGTGATCCACCCGCCTTGGCCTCCCCAAATGCTGGGATTACAGGCATGAGCCACTGTGCCCAGCCAACAATGGAGTACACTGCGCAAATGGGGCCAGGTGCGGTGGCTCACGCCTGTAATCCCAGCACTTTGGGAGGCTGAGGTAGGCGGATCACAAGGTCAGAAGATTGAGACCATCCTGGTTAACACAGTGAAACCCTGTCTCTACTAAAAATACAAAAAAATTAGCCGGGCTTGGTGGTGGGTGCCTGTAGTCCCAGCTACTCGGGAGGCTGAGGCAGGAGAATGGCGTGAACCCGGGAGGCAGAGCTTGCAGTGAGCCAAGATTGCGACACTGCACTCCAGCCTGGGCGACAGAGCGAGACTCTGTCTCAAAAAAAAACAAACAAACAAAAACAAAAAAACACTGTGCAAATGAAATAAGCCAGTCACAAAAGGAAAATATTGTATGATTCCATTTATATGAAATATCCAGAATAGGCAAATCCATTGAGTCAGAAAGTAGATCAGAGGTTACCAGGTGCTGGGAGACAGAGGAATGGGGAGTTATTGCTTAATGGCTACAGAGTTTCTATTTGGGATGATGGAAAAGATTTGGAAACAGATTATGGCAATGGTGGCACAATAGCATTAATGTAATTAATGCCACTTAATTGCATACTTAATAATGGTTTAGGCCAGGCACAGTGGCTCACACCTGTAATCCCAGCACTCTGGGAGGGGAACAAGGCAGGCAGATCACCTGAGGTTGGGAGTTCAAGACCAGCCCGGCCAACATGGAGAAACCCTGTCTCTACTAAAAATACAAAATTAGCCAGGCATGGTGGCGCATGCCTGTAATCTCAGCTACTCCGGAGGCTGAGGCAGAAGAGTCACTTGAACGCAGGAGGCAGAGGTTGCAGTAAGCCAAGATTGCACCATGGCACTTCAGCCTGGGCAACAAGAGGGAAACTCCATCTCAAAAAAAAAAAAAAAAAAAGGATTATAAATCACGCTACTATAAAGACACATGCACACGTATGTTTACTGGGGCACAATTCACAACAACAAAGACTTGGAACCAACCCAAATGTCCAACAATGATAGACTGGATTAAGAAAATGTGGCACATATATACCATGGAATACTATGCAGCCATAAAAAAGGATGAGTTCATGTCCTTTGTAGGGACACGGATGAAGCTGGAAACCATCATTCTGAGCAAACTATCGCAAGGACAAAAAACCAAACACCACATGTTCTCACTCACAGATAGGAACTGAACAATGAGAACACTTGGACACAGGGTGGGGAACGTCACACACTAGGGTCTGCCATGGGGTGGGGGGCCGGGGGAGGAATAGCATTGGGAGAAATACCTAATGTAAATGACAGGCTGATGGGTGCAGCGGGCCAGCATTGCACATGTATAACTATGTAACGAGCCTGCACGTTGTGCACATGTACCCTAGAACTTAAAGTATAATACAAAAAAATGGTTTAAATGGACAATTTTATGTTATGTATATTTTACTACAATAAAACACTTGAAAGAAAAAAAAACTTTATCAGGTCTTCAGTTATCTGGATTGTCTAAGGTTAGATTTCATATCAGGAGCTCAAATCTAAAAAGGACTGTACAGTCACCTGATCTAATCCTCGTGGAAACCCTAGTGGGAAGTCTGCATCTCTACATCCCTCCTGACTAGTGAGTGGTTTCCAGATGCTGCCAGATAGTGGCAGCATACCTTTCCCCAAGGCAGCCCACTGACCTTCATGAAGGAAGAACAACCTGAGCTGGAAAAAAAAAAAATGGGATAAATGAAAAGCATGCTGAAGATTTTAAAAGCCAAATTCTGCTATTCTGCAGGTGTGTGACAATTAACAAATTATTCAACTTCTCCAAGTCTCTGCTTTCTCTCATTATAAAATGACAATAGCACCTGCCTTTAAATGTTACTGTAAGAATTGGCAGAAGTATACCTCTAGCACCCATCCAACTGCCTGGCAAATGGTGAGTGTTCTATCTCATGGTAATTGCTAGTGTGACAATAGGTCTATGTGCTACCTTTCAGCTAACCAAAGGCTGAGCAGGATATGGCCTGGGCTGGGAGAACACTATGACTTACCAGAACTTAAATAAAACAGCCACCAGCACCACAGAAAAACATCAGAGAAGGAGCTGTTTTTATGCAGTTCAAGTCTCTTAGGAAAGACTGGCTTATTGTTCCAAGAACGAACCCAGCTACTCTTCATTTAGGAAGGCACTGCTACACAATTCATTTTCTCTATACAACAGGCCTCTGTTAGCATGTCCGGGCTACTGTTCGTAACAGAGTCTGCCTCTACCCACAGGAAAGACACAGTCTATGAAGAAAATTCGCTAAAAGGTAGTCCCCAGAGGCTGCTCTCAAACTTGTGTAGCCCCAGAAGCACTTGGGGAACCTGTTAAAAAAAAAAAAAAAACAGGTATCGCCCACACCCACAGATATTCTGATTACTAAATATTTTACACAGGAGCCTAGCACACAACTGTTTAAAGAAACACTAGAAGGTAGGCCACAAAAATGTAAAAAGATCACATTCTGATGTGGACAACTACAACAATCTGTCCCACAAAGCAAAGGCTGCATTTTCCTCTATGCCCATCTAGAAATGGAATAGTTTTGGTCATGCCAGACAGGATTGGAAACCAAGGAAGTAACAGAGACCACCTGCATGTAATACCCAATGTGAGTTTCATACAGTTTCATCATACTGAAGGCCCTCATGATTGCTTATTCTTTTTTAAAATAAACACAAAAAGTAATGAAAAATAAAAATAATGTACCAGCTACACCTCATATAATAGCAAAAAATATACTTAAATTATATTCACCAGAAGTTGGTAACATTTTTGTGAAACTAACACATTCTTAGATTGCTGGGAAAATTACTAAATGGTACGAATTTTTGGTTAGCTAGTGGCAATACATATTAAAAGTCATAAATATGAGGCTGGATGTGCTGGTGTGCACCTACAGTCCCAGCTACTCAGGAGGCTGAGGTGGGAGGATCACTGAGCCCAGGAGTTCGAGTAGCCTAGGCAACATAGTAAGACCCTGCCTCTTTAAAAACAAACCAAAAAAAGCTCATACCCTTAAATTCAATAATCCCACTTATTTGAATTTATCCTAAGGGAATAACACAAAAGAAACTATACAAAAAAG
The DNA here is from genome assembly GCF_000001405.40 of Homo sapiens. Classification (NCBI taxonomy): domain Eukaryota; kingdom Metazoa; phylum Chordata; class Mammalia; order Primates; family Hominidae; genus Homo; species Homo sapiens. Next base: position 121,642,092 of record NC_000002.12, read on the forward strand.
ATAATCACTATTGGATTACATATAATAAAAAAAAAAAGATAACTACTCAGACACAGTGGCTCACGCCTATAATCCCAGCACTTTGGGAGGGTGAGGCAGGAGGATTGCTTGAGTCCAGGAGTTTGAGACCAGCCTGGGCAACATAGTGGGACCCTGTCTCTACAAAAAATACAAAAATTAGCAAGGGTGGTGGCGCACACCTGGCTAATCCCAGCTACTCAGGAGGCTGAGGTGGAAGGTCAAGGCTGCAGTAAGCCATGATCATACCACCACACTCCACCCTGGGTGACAGAGCAGGTATCTTTTTGCTAAAAAAAAAAAAAAAAAGAAAAAAGAAAATCTTCCTGTCAAAACTCTCAGGCCAGGTGCAGTGGTTCACACCTGTAATCCCAGCATTTGGGAGGCTGAGGCAGGTGGATCACTTGAGGTCAGGAGTTCGAGACCAGCCTGGCCAACATGGTGAAACTCTGTAACTACTAAAAATACAAGAATGAGCCGGGCGTGGTGGCGCACACCTGTAATCTCAGCTACATGGGAGGCTGAGGCAGAAGAATCGCTTGAATCCGGGAGGCGGAGGTTGCAGTAAGCTGAGATTGCGCCACTTCACTCCAGCCTGGGCGTCAGAGTGAGACCCTGTCCCAAAAAAAATCTCAAACAGTTTACCAAAATTTGCCATATTAAGCAAAATGACAAAGCTATTAAAACTTAAAATTACATATACTATGTAATTATAAGAAAACCATCCATAAAACATGCAAGACCTAAAATTACTTACAAAAAGAATGGACACATGGACAGTCTCAAAGAGTGATATATCGGGAAGTAATAGCTCATGTTGAAATGGTTTGATGTGGTTTTCCTCCACTGGTCTCTCAACTTTCCATATTATTGCTACATTATTGCAGTAAGACTATAAATATATTTAACTGATTCTGCCTGGAGAGTTAATTGGACAGTAGTGAGGGAAAGTCCTACACTGACCTCAGCTATCCTGAATGAAGACAGGCTCACCTAAACGCACCATGCTATCAGATGGCCACAAGGCCAGTTCTAGATTTCTTTCCCCAAAAGATCAATCTTAACAGATACACAAAAATATAAAACCTTGAATTTACTTTTTTTCTATTCTTTTCTTTAAATACTCTAAAAGTAGTATTTTTCTAAAAGCAAGTATATACGCACTAAAGGAAAGGAGGAAATCTGATTTGACAGCTATTGGCATGGCAAAAAGACTAGAAGACTTCAAAAGCCACAACTTCAATATAAGCCAAGATGATGTAGCTAGGAAACAGCATGGTTCACGTGAAAAGGACATTAAGCTGAGAGACAGAAGGCCCAGTTCTCAATCTAGATCAATCAGGGTGAATTTCATTTGCAGACCTTGATTTCTCATCTGCAAATTGATAGGATCGTGATGCTATCTCCCCTACCCATCTCATAAGACTTGGAAGGGAACAAAGATTATGACTGTAAAAGTGCATTAAAAATCATTTTTATCTTTTAAATCTGGCCATTATTATTATGAAGACATTTATTTATAAATCTACAAAAAAAGGGTAACAGTGTGTGGAAGGATACATTCCAAACTGGTAAGTGGGTGTTTCTCCAGGAGTCTGAAATTGGGAGCCATGCCTTTACCTATATCTGCATTGTTTGAATCTTTTAGGAACATCTATTCATCTATTACTTGGGGAATTTTAAAATTTTAATTTGTAAAAGCTAATGATATCACGAATGTAAAGTGCAGAGTTCTCCACCTCTGGCTCATCTAAGAATCATCTAAAGGCTGTTAAAACTGTGGCTACCCAGGTCCCCTACAAATTCCCTGGGTGGAAGATAATAAAATAAGGCCAGGCTGCTTGTATTTTAACAAGGTCCCAAAGAGATTCCAGTGACTTGATTACTGCAACTACTACTACATGGTTATTAACTCCTACCATGTATTACCGACTTAACACATACCAGTCACTATCCTCAACACTTTACACGTATTATCTCATTTAATCCTGACAACAACCTATAGGTAGGTGCTACAATTAACACTGCCCTCCCCTCACCCTCATTTTACAGATGAAGACACTAAAATATTGAGATTATTTAACTGGCCTAAAATCACAGCACTTGTAAGTGGCAGAGCCAGAATGCACAAGGAAATTTGAAAATCATTGGTTCAGTTTCCTAACCTAAGAAAACAGCTGTATATTCTGGTCAGGTCATATCTTCTGTTTTGTTTCAGACACTGCATTTAAAGGACATTAAAAAAAAAAAAAAACAATGGCCGGGGGCAGTGGGTCACACCTGCAATCCCAGCACTTTGGGAGGCAGAGGCAGGCAGATCACCTGAGGTCAGGAGTTTGAGATCAGCCTGGCCCAACATGGTAAAACCCCGTCTCTACTAGAAATATAACAAAAATTAGCCAGGCATGTGCCACCACGCCTGTAGTCCCAAGCTACTCAGGAGGCTGAGGCAGGAGAATTGCTTGAACCTGGGAGATGGAGGCTGCAGTGAGCTGACATCACGCCACTGCACTCCAGCCTTGGTGACAGAGCAAGACTCCGTCTTGGGGGCCGGTGTAGGGGAATAGTTGGGCCAGGCTTCCTAGCACTTTGGTAGGCCAAGGCAGGAGGATCACTTGAGCCCAGCAGTTCGAGACCAGCATGGGCAACATGGTGAGGCCCTATCTCTACAAAACACTTCTAAAACAAAATTTAGAAAATTAGCCAGGTGTGGTGGTGCATGCCTGTAGTCCCAGCTACTCAAAAGGCTGAAGCAGGAGGATTGATTAAGTCCAGAAGGTCAAGGTTGCAGTGAGCCATGACCATGCCACTGCACTCCAGCTTGATCAACAGAGCAAAACTGTCTCAAAAAAAAAACAAAAAAAAAAAAAACAAGAGTTGCCTAAAGAAAGCATGGTGAGCCATATCAAACCAGGAAAGGACTAACCATTTAGGGCTGTTTGCATACCTTCACTATAATCAGCCATCGATTCATGTTATTGTCTCCCTAACTAGACTGCAAGCCCCTGAAGTGCAGGGGCCATGGATGTCTCTTCAACTGTACCCTCTTGGTACCTGATGCTCAATTCAAGAGAGAGTTTAATAAGTAAATTAATCAATAATTCTAGAAGTGTGATATCTGTCATGGGAAATATGAAGTGCTATTATGTGAAGAAGAAACAGACTTAATTCAGGTTCCTTCAGGAAGTATAACTAAGGTCAATACGTGAAAGGGAGGGAGCAGACTGTAGTAGTAATCTAAAAACATTTCTGGCAACCAAGACCTGTCCAGGGACAGATGCCTGCAGTGTGACACTGATGATCAGAATGTAGCAAACATAAGGAAGGATGCTGGACTACTGGGCCTCTAACAACTCCTCCAAAGCTCAAATTATATTAGTCTACATTAGGATACATTTGTTTATTCTTTCATACATTCTACAGTTTCCATTAGTTATACAAGTCACTTAGTCACTTAGTAAGCAACAGAGGACACACAATGTGTTCTACAAACTCCCTGTGCCATCAAGGATCTAGAGAAGAGTAAATGCACAAGAGTGAATCTAAGTAAGCAGGAAGGTGATATATACAACAGGAAGCAGCAAGGAGTGAGGAAACTTCCAGGCAGGAAACAAGACAGAAGTTAACAAAGGTGTTATGGAAGAAATGTCACCATTTGAGCACACCTGAGCTAGATCTTTAGGATCTATGAGGGGAGGTGGGATGAGGACTGTCATAAGAATTTGGGGAGGAAAATCATTGTGTGGCAGTAATGGTCTGGGCATAAAGCCGGCAGAAAAGCCCTGGGGAGGTGAAGAACAAGCTAGAAACAAGCAGTAAATGCCAGCATTTTAGAGGTCATTTAGTCAAACACATATACCCGTACTTTGTTGATGATGCCCCGCTGGCAATGGGTAAAAAAGTTAGTTCATTTTTTAAGATTACATCTTACAAACCAAAAACTGTATCAGCGATGATTTCTACTTCGCTTAGTTTTTGTTTTTAAGACTAACAGATCCTTCCCTTGTTTTGTTTTTGTTTTTAGACAAGGTATCACTCTGTCATCCAAGCTATAATGCAGTGGCACGATTTCGGCTCACTGTAGCCTCAGCCTCCCAGACTCAGGAGATCCTCCCACCTCATCCCCCCAAGTAGTTGGGACTACAGGTGCACACCACTATCCCCAGCTAATTTTTGAATTTTCTGTAGAGACACAGGGTTTCACCATGTTGCCCAGGTTGGTCTCAAACTCCATGCAACCCGCCCACCTTGGCCTCCCAAAATGCTAGCATTACAGATGTAAGCCACTGCACCCAGCCTCTTCTCTTGTTTTCTAGGAAATCTGTAAAATGTTCTGTTTTTAAACATTTAAGTTTTACTTCTGTCTACTATTTCCACTATTTGACAGCTAGATTTAGTTACCAAAAATGACAGTTTCAGTAACTCAGTTGAATCTAACATTTGTAATCACTTAAATGTTTATATTTACCAACAGTACTACAAAATAAAAATCTAAAAATTATTAAGTAGAAGATTATTAAGAATAGATGGGTCTCAAACAGTAAATTTAAGTCTCAGGCCCAAGAAGCCATCTCATTCAACTTATAAATCAAGACACTAAGCTACTTAAGAAAATAAACAAGACGGAAGCAAAAAATCTAAATCTAGGCCAGGCGTGGTGGCTCACGCCTGTAATCCCAGCACTTTGGGAGGCTGAGGCAGGCGGATCATGAGGTCAGGATATCAAGGCCATCCTGGCTAACACGGTGAAACCCCGTCTCTACTAAGAAAACGCAAAAAAATTAGCCGGGCATGGTGGCGGGCACCTGTAGTCCCAGCTACTCGGGAGGCTGAGGGAGGAGAATGGCATGAACCTGGGAGGCGGAGCTTGCAGTGAGCCCAGATCGCGCCACTGCATTCCAGCCTGGGTAACATAGCGAGACTCCATCTCAAAAAAAAAAAAAAAAAAAAATCTAAATCTAAAACCAGTAAACATGGGCCGAGCGCGATTGCTCACGCCTGTAATCCCAGCACTTCGGAAGGCCAAGGCAGGCTGATCACAGGAGGTCAGGAGTTCAAGACCAGCCTGGCCAACATAGTGAAACCCTGTCTCTACTAAAAATACAAAAATTAGCTGGGCATGGTTGTGGGTGCCTGTAATCCCAGCTACTCAGGCGGCTGAGGCAGGAGAATCACTTGAACCCAGGAGGTGGAGGTTGCAGTGAGCTGAGATTGCACCATTGCACTTCAGCCTGGGCGACAAGAGTGAAACTCTGTTTCAAAAATAAAAATAAAAATAAATAATAAATAAAACCAGTAAACAAAATATAACACACTTAAATGACAAACTTCATGTTCTTCTGGCCAATCATTTCTCAACATCCCTGTCAAACTATTTTAAGGGTCTGAAATCTTGCTCTATAAAAAGCAAGTTCCCATCATCTGAACTACACTTAAAGAGATTCTATCCCACTAGTTACTTAAGCATAATACACCAGGCTTCAGAGTTTTACTTGCTATCAATTAAAAAAAAAGTTTACCTCTTTTACATAAATAAAGTGGAATCTGTGGGTTAATTCAAAAGCCTGACATACTAGGAGATCTGGGTTTTCCGTTCTAACACAAATTTATGGTGAAAACTTAGCAAAAGCCTTTTCTGTATTTGCCAATTCAGTTGTAACACAGAGATACAATATTTGACACCTCCACCACCAACAAAGTCTCCTCTAAGGAGTCCTGACTTTGGTTAACCTTACCTGGGAGAATTAAAAGCTATGGCTGAAAACTCCTTCATAAAAACTAAAACTTTAGAAGTCTAAAATGGTGTTACAAGGTAGCCCATAATAAACAATGAATTATAGAAACTGAGATTTCAGTAACAACTGCTAAAAAGGTGTATTACACAATTTAACAAGATAACCAGATCATCAAAATTTAAATTTCTTAACAAATGTAAAAAATAAATAATATTCAATACTCTGAGGCACTGTGCTACTTTTTATCTATATGGTCGCAACATCAATGTTGCTATTCTCCCAATCCCTTGATGAGCAAACGGAGCCAATATCCAGGATCCCTCATATCGAGAGGTCAGTTACCGTCGTAAATAATCGTAGTAATAAAAACAATTTCTAATGCCAGAATTGAAAACGGACTGTGGCACCCAAATAGGGTCCAAGGTACATGGCGGCATGAAACTATTTCTCGCTTCTGACTCTTCTGCATCACGGTCTCCCAAAGGACTAGAGAATCTGAAGCTCTCATTGCCACATCTACAAATGAAAGTATCATGTTTAAAGAGCTCACAGGTTCTACGAATGGTCAGTATTTAATGAACGCACCCCACTACACAGAAACTCACCCAGCTGCAAACTCAGCTGCAAACTCACCACAGCGTGCTTTCAGACTCCACATTAATTTTTTTTAATTTTAGAAGCAAACAACTATTTTAAAAATATTATGTAATAATTTAAACTCTGGAAAGCCCCATACTCATCCCAGCAGCTCGGAAAACGGAAAGCAAAATTCGATTAGCTCCATTGTACCTAGCCAGGCTAACGTGCAAGATCACACACTCATCTTCGTCAGAGCGTCTCTGCCAATACCAAAGAACAACAAAGGCAAGTTGAGAAGTCTGCACAGGCTTAACTCAGCACTTGTTCGCTTTCCCAGCTTCAGAAAGAAGCTCTTCGAAGGCCCCGGGAACCAAGGGGACCTTGTGCATCCCATCAAGCCGGCCGCTCCGCTCGGCGCCGCTCGCGCAGCTTTTGTCTGGCCCGGTTGGGAGCCCAGGACGGGAGCCCGGGCCGCCCGCCTCCCGGCACCCCTTCTCTCTGGATCTTTCTTCACACCCATCACTCGCCAATGACTAGTTGTTGTGGGTTTCTCTCCCTCGCCCCCTCCCTTCCTTTCAAACGCGCCCCGGGCTCGCTGGCTTCTCCCACCCGGCAGGGGAGACTCGGGTTAGGAAGGGGGCCCGGGTGGGGTCTGGAAAAGGGAAACAGAGAGGGGCACACAAAGCCCGACTGACCCCAGGGCCGATCCCCTCCCTCTGCAAAGCAGCCTGGGCTCAGCGACCTACTGGTTGGATAAACAACCCTCGCATCCCGCTCCTCGCCAGGCTCCCACCTCAGGGCCGCCCCATCCCCCCAAAGTGCACCCAAGAGCCGATGACAGCGCTGGACATCGCCCCCACCCAGACCCGGCGCCCGCCACTGCGCGGGAGGGGCCAGGGCCGCGAGAGGGCTCGGGTCTGACCCTCCGCCCCCTGACCGGGTACTTACAGCCCTGTTTTTCGTTACTGTTGCCGCTGCGGACCAGAGAGCCGCCGCCTTCTCCTCCACCCCAATGAGGTTAAGCGCTTGGTGCGGGGATTAAAAAAAAAAAAAAAGAAAAAAAAAAAAAAGACCGAGAGAGCGAGAGAGACGCCGAGGGCGCCTGCGCAGTGCGGTCACCCTTTTTCTTCTTACCGCCACCAACCCGGGTACACCATAGAGAGCGTAAACCGAGACCAGAGAGGCGGCTGCCTCTCTATGGTAACGCCCCGCGCAGGCGCTGGCCTGGCCGTGTTAGGCTTCGCTGGCGTAAAGTCCCCGGGAGCTTTGCCCCTCACGGAGAACGTTAGTTGACCCTGATGGGGACCCGTAGGGTAAAGGTTTTGTTTTTGTTTTTTTTTACGGAAAAGGTTGTGGTTAGGCCCCTTGGAAAGTTGCGACAAAACTCGAGTTAGACAAGGAAGGTCGGAACTAAGTGGCCACAGCAACAATGCACCAGCAAGCAGGGAGCGTGATAGGAAGAGCTAAAGAGGAATCGGGAAACCCTGGGTAAAAGTCGTCCAAGTGGAACTTCCTTTGGTCGGGGGTCTGATACTCGAAGGAAACGGTCTTTCACTTCTGGGTTAGGGCGTCCGCCCAGAGGGCGACTGCAATGAAGGAAATTGTGCCCTGCGACTTCCCGTAACAGAGCTGTGTGTCCACGCTCCCTTTTCCGAGCAGGCGCGGACGCTTGTGCCGGAAGTAAACTTGTTAACGGTTCTTTGCCTTTTGGGGAGGGGAGACAGCCCAGAGAAGGCTTTGGAGACCCTTGAGTCGGCCAGCGAGCAGGGTTTCTTACTTGAGCGCCTCCACAAATAAACGCTCCTTCGCTCCTCCGTCGCGTGCGTTTCCCTGGGATAATAAGTGGGAAAGTGGTGGCTTTTATTTTTTTGAGACAGGGTCTCACCGCCGTCGCCCAGGCCGGATGGAGTGCAGTGGCGCGATCACGGCTCACTGCAGCCTCGACTTCCCAGGCTCAGGTGATCCTCCTGCCTTAGCCTCCCGAGTAGCTGGAATTACAGGCGTGCACCACCCCCCCCCAACTACTTTTTGTATTTTTTTGTAGAGATGGGTTTCACCATGTTTCCCAGCCTTGTCTCAAACTCCTGACCTCAAGTGATCCGCCGTCTTGGGTCTTCGAAAGTGCTGGGACAGCAGGAGTGAGCCACCGCATCTGGCCCGGAAAGTGTTTTGGAGCGTAGAAAAATGCAAATTATAGGGCTGCCTTCAAGGATCCCGAAGGACCCACAGATTTGCCGCATCAGGCTCCTATGCACGCCGGTAATTTGATGTGTTGAGATGCACTGCCCAGTGCGTTGTTTTTACTGGAGGAGCTTGTGTGCGGAGCTCCTTGCTAGTGTATGTGTTGGGATGGGAGAGAAGTGCGGGAGAACTATGAGATAATGCCCCCTGATCCTCAGGGTCTTAGGAGGTATGGTCGGAGAGGCTAAGCTAAAGTATGAAAGCCGTGTGTAGGCCCTTCTGTGTAGTGCAGAAAAGGTAGAGGTATGTGATTTGAAAGAGTAGGGATGACATGGAGGATGCGACTCCTGGTTGGATCTATAAACTAATGTCTTTGGAACGAAAGCACATGCAACCTTTTGAAAATGGATGGGTGATAATGAAAGACCATTCCAGAGAAGAAACACCATGGTGCAAAGGCTCAAGAGGCATACTGGAAGTACAATGAAGAGAGCAATCTAACTGAAATGGGAAAAAAAGAAACAAAGAGTAAAAAGTAAGATTTGATGAGAAAGATGGAATCGATTTTTAAATTTTTTTATCTACACAACAAAATTTATTATCTTAACCATTTTTGAGTGAATAATTCGTTAGTATTAAGTATATTTACCTCGTGCGGCCAGTCTCCAGAATTCTTTTCATCTTGCAAAACAAACCCCGAACCCATTAAACAATTTCTCATTCGCCATTTTCCAGCTAGCCTTGGTAACCTCCATTCTAGTTCTGTCTCTGTGAATTTGACTGTGTACCCCGTGTAAGTGGTATCATACAGTATTTGTATTTTTGTGACTGGCATATTTCACATAGCATAATCTCCTTGTGGTTTATCCATCTTGTAGCATGTGTCAGAATTTCCTTCCCTTTTAAGACTAAATAATATTCCATTGTGTGTATATACCACTTGTGTTATTTCCACCTTTTGGTTATTGTGAATAATACTGCTTCAAACATGAGTGTACAGATAACTCTTCAAGATCCTTTTAGGGTAATACAGAGATAGTAAGTTATCTTGATTGTTCACTGCCAGTTACAGACCAAACTCCTTGTTCTCCTTGTGCTCCACTTCTCAACCACTGCACTTGGCTAGTCTTAAACAAAAAAAGAAAAACCCTAATTTTAATAGCTTGTGGGGACAGACGCAGTGGCTCACGCCTATAATCCCAACACTTTGGGAGGCCGAGGTGGGTGGATCACTTGAGGTCAAAAGTTCGAGACCAGCCTGGCCAATATGGTAAAACCCTGTCTCTACTAAAAATACAAAAATTAGCCGGGTACGGTGGCACACACCTGTAATCCCAGCCACTCAGGAGACTGAGGCAGGAGAAATGCTTGAACCCAGGAAGTGGAGGTTGTGGTGAACGGAAATTGCGCCGCCGCACTCAAGCTGGGCGACAGCGAGACTCCGTCTCAAAAATTAGTATTAATAGAATGTGGGAGATTTTGAAACCAAGTATAGAAATTCATACTTTATATTGTTTAAGGTCCGTGACTAGGCATAGTAACATGATGAAAGAACTGTTTTGGGTTTGTTTGGTTTTTTTCCGAGACAGAGTCTCACTCTGTTGCCCAGGCTGGCGTGCAGTGGTGCGATCTCGGCTCACTGCAACCTCTGCCTCCCTGGTTGAAGCGATTCTCTTTCCTCAGCCTCCTGAGTAGCTGGGACTACAGGCACATGCCACCACGCCCAGCTAATCGTTGTATTTTTAGTAGAGGCGGGGTTTCACCATGTTGGCCAGGATGGTCTCGATCTCTTGACCTCGTGATCCAGCCTCCCAAAGTGCTGGGATTACAGGCAGGAGCCACCACGCCCAGCTAGAAAGATCTGTTTCAGAAAGCAACTCTGGCAGTGGAAGCTGAATACATACTCCATTTCTATAAAGCATTTATGGAGGCCTCTAGATGTGCCAGGCATTGTACTACTGCTTTATGTAAATTATTGATGGGTCCGCGAATCCATTAATATAAATGTGAGCCAGTTGTTGTGCACCCCAATTTACAGGCAAGAAAATCAAGGTTCTGAGTTGCAGATGGGCTGAGAAAAGGCTCACCAACCACATGTACGCACAAGAGATTAGGAAAGAAAACTGCCATTGGAGCCAGGCTCCAGTAAGCACTGAGTATTCATTGGTTTGGATGAGGATACTGAAAGAAAAAAATGACATGTAAGAGTGACTTTTCTCAGGAGAAAGAATAGGCTGACATCAAGAGTCTTTGCTGTCACATTAGTGGTATGTATAAGGGCACAACACAACAGAAGTACATTTTTCAAGGTTCGTAAAAGAACCCTGGGGTTTGCTTTTAGGTTTGTTTATTACCTTTAACAAATATAAAATGCCAGGTAAATATATCTTTGTATGTAGTAGAGAAATTAATAAGACATACCCTTCCCTACTCAACATTTCATCTTTGATTTTATATTCTCAAAAATATTGTGAGGTCTTTTAAGGAAATGATCTCCTTTTGGCAGATGAGGAAATTGAGGGCCAGAGAGGAAAAATTATCTTCCCAATGCCACATGCCTAATTGGTCTCAAAGCTTTGACTGGAACCTGAGCCTCCAGAATTGCTGCTATGCTTTCATCTCCCTTAGAGAGATAGATAACAGTAGTCAGAGTGAGTGGACAATTCTTCTATTCAGTCAGTCTGATCTTCCTCAGGGATGCATATCCAGACTCCCATGCAGCTAGTGATAGTTAAACAAAGAGGCAGAGAATATAGTGCATTATAAATAGCATTCATACACTCAAAAATATTGTGTGCCGATACTGTGCCAAACACTTAGCAAAGCAGGGAAAAATCCCTGTCCTCATAGCAGAGACTAAAAATATTAATAAGTAAAATATATACTAAGACAGGTAGGATAAGTGTTGGCAAGAAAAAGTGAAGCAGTGAGAGGGGAATAGGGTGAGCCGAGAGTAGGGAGGGAGGTTTTTGTTTATACCAGAGGCAGAGGAGCCCCACTGAGAAGGCAAACTGTACAAAGATCTAAAGGAGGCAAAGGAACAAGAAATGTGCCTTGGGTGGACAGGGAACATTCTGGGTGGAATAACAAGTGCAGAAATCATTAAGGCAGAAAGATGCCTACTACATTCTGAGAACAGAAAGCAGTCCAGAGTGATAGAAGCAGAGTACAGGAGGGTAAAAGTAGGAAATGAAGTCAGAGAGGTAAGAGGAATTCAAATTGGGCATGGACTTACAGGCCATTGTAAGGACTTTGGCTTTTTCTGAGGGAGATGGGAAGCCATCGTTGAGTAGAAAAATAGTGAAATTCTACTTATATATTTAAAGAATCACATTGACTTCTAGTTTGACACTAGATTATTGAGGAGCAAGGGGGACCACTTAGGAAGCTATTGTAATACTCCAGGTGAGAGATAAGTGGCATAGAAAAGGTGCAAGCAGTGGAGGGATGAGGTATCTGGATATATTCAGGGTGGCACACAGGATTTGATGACAATTTATATAGGATATGAGAAAATGAAGGGAGTCCAAGGTGACTACGATTTTTGGCCTGAGCATTTTGAAGAATGGTGTTGTCATTTACTGAACTGGGAAAGATGGAGGAGCAGGTTGGGGATGGGAAGAGATAAATTCCATTTTGGGCCAGGCAGGGTGGCTCACACCTGTAATCCCAGTACTTTGGGAGGCCAAGGCAGGCAGATCGCTTGAGCTCAGGAGTTCAAAACCAGCCTGGGTAACATGGTAAAACCCCATCTCTACAAAAATTAGCCAGGTATGGTGGCAGATGCCCATAGTCTCAGCTGCTTGGGAGGATCACTTGAGCCCTGGAGGTGGAGGTTGCAGTGAGCCAAAATGGCACCACTGCACTCCAGCCTGGGTGACAGAATGAGACCCCGTCTCAAAAAGACAAACAAAAATTCTGTTTTGGAGCTTAAATTTGAGATGCCTGTTAGAATGCCACATGAAAATATTAAGAAGAGAGTTAGATATGTAGGAGTCTGGAATTTAGAAATGTCCAGACTGGAGATGTAAATTTGGGAGAGAGCATGTAGAGAGTATTTGAAGCCATGAAATAATCTACATATAAAGTGTAGACAGATGTTTGAGAAAGGTATCTTAGGCACTGAAACAGGAGGAAACCAGGAAAAGAATCCCAGTTGAACTGGGTGGGGAGGATGGCTCAAGGAAGAACAACCATGTCAATTGCTGGGTTCTAACTGGCCACTGCTTATGATAGTGGAGTAGTAAGGATAAAAGCCTGATTGGAATGGATTTAGAATAGTGGGAACGGAATTGGAGAGAGGGAGAATAGATAATTTGGGTATGGAGTTGGTTGTAAGGATAGCGGGTAGAAAAGTGATAACTGCAAGGGGTCAAGACAGTGGTTTTAAAATTACTTCACAAATTTTTTAGTATTTCTAAAAGAATTCTTTTTTTAATAAATATAACTTCAGACCGCTATTGTTCCTTTGTATCAACTACCCTGTTATTCAAATTAACCCAACTGTCTTATAAAATTTTTTGCTACCAGCTTTATTGAGATATAATTCATATACCATACTATTCACTCATTTAAAGTATACAATTCAACAACTTTAGTGCATTCAAAGAGTTGTGCAGGGTGGGCGCGGCAGCACATGCCTGTAATTCCAGCACATTGGGAAGCCAAGACGAGGATCATTTGAGCCAAGGAGTTCGAGCTCAGCCTGGGCAACATGCAAAACCACTTCTCTACAAAAATTAGCTAGGCGTGGTGGTGTGCGCATGTAGTCCCAGCTACCTGGGAGGCTGAGGTGGGAGGATTACTTGAGCCCAGGAGGCAGACATTGCAGTGAGCGCCACTGCACTCCAGCCTGGGCAACAAAGTGAGACCCTGTCTCAAAAAAAAAAACAAAAGTTGTGCAACCACCATTACAATTTGTTTTAGGACATTTTCAGCACCCCAAAAAGAAACATTACTATGCACTTAGGGTGATAATGATGTGTCAGTGTAGGTTCATCAATTGTAACCACTCCGGTGAGGGATGTTGATAATGGGGTGACTGATTTTGATTTGCTGTGTGTGTGTGTGTGTGTGTGTGTGTGTGTGTGTGTGAGAGAGAGAGAGACAGGGTCTCACTCTGTCACCCAGGCTAGCATGCAGTAGCACAATTACAGCTCACCACAGCTTCAACCTCCCATCGCAGCCTCCTGAGTAGCTGGGACAACAAACGCGCACCACCATGCCTAGCTAATTTTTGTGTTTTCTGTAGAGACAGGCTTTCACCATGTTGCCCAGACTCGTCTCGAAGTCAGCTCAAGTGAACCCCTGCCCTGGCCTCCCAGAGTGCTGAGATTACAGGCCTGAGCCACCATGCCTGGCCAATTTGCTTTTTTTTTTTTTTTTTTTTTGAGACAGGTCTCGCTCTGTTGCCCAGGCTGGTGTGTGTGCAGGCTGGCACAATATTGGCTCACTGCAGCCTCCACCTCCTGGGCTCAAGCGATCCTCCCACCTCAGCCTTCTAAGTAGCTAGGACTACAGACATGTGCCACCATGCCTAGCTAATTTTTTTAATTTTTTTGTAGAGACGGGATTTAGCCATGTCACTCAGGCTGGTCTCAAACTACTGGGCTCAAGTGATCCTCTCACCTTGGCCTCCCAAAGTGTTGGGATTACAGGTGTGAGCCACTGCACCCAGTAGATCATGTGTTTTTTATTCTTTGTTAATATGGGCCATTACATTGCTTTTATGAATTCCCAGAGCAAATCTCACTTGATTATGATGTATAATCCTTTTTATATGTCACTGAAATTGATTTGATAGTATTTTGTTGAAGACTTTTGCATCTTTGTTAATAAGAGCTATTGAGGCAGGGCATGGTGATGAATGCCTGTAATCCCAACACTTTGGAAGGCCAAGACGGGAGGATTGCTTGAGCTCAGGAGTTGAAGACAAGCCCAGGCAACACATTGAAACCCTGTCTCTACAAAAAATACAGACATTAGCTGGGCATGATGATATATGCCTGTAGTTCCAGCTACTTGGGAGGCTGAGGCGGAAGGGTCACTTGAGCCCTGGAGGTCAAGGCTGCAGTGTGCCAAAATTGCACCACTGCATTCCAGCCTGGGCAACAGAATGAGACCCTGTCTCAAAAAATAAATAAGTAAATAAGAGATATTTGTCTCTAATTTTCTTGTGATGTCTGATTTTGGTATCAAGATAATACTGGCCATATAAAATGAGTTGGGAAATGTTCCCTCCTCATCTATTTTTTCAAGAATTTGTGAAGTTTTGCATTCATTATTATTACTTTTCTTTTTTGAGACAGAGTCTCACTCTGTCACCCAGGCTAGAGTGCAGTGGCACCATCTTGGCTCACTGCAACCACCTCTGAGTTCAAGCGATTCTCGTGCCTCAGCCTGCCGGGTAGCTGGGACTATAGGTGTGCGCCACCAGGCCCAGCTAATTTTTGTATTTTATGTATTTATTTATTTATTTATTGAGATGGAGTCCCACTCTATTGCTCAGGCTCCTAGGCTGGAGTGCAATGGCGTGATCTTGGCTCACTGCAACCTTCACCTCCCAGGTTCAAGCAATTCTCCTGCCTCAGCCTCCTGAGTAGCTGGGATTACAGGTGCGTGTCGCCACGCCTGGCTAATTTTTGTATTTTTAGTAGAGACGGGGTTTCACCGTGTTGGACAGGCTGGTCTCGAACTCCTGACCTCGTGATCCACCTACCTTGGCCTCCCCAAAGTGCTGGGATTACAGATGTGAGCTACCATGCCTAGCTATTTTTTTTTTATTTTAAGTGGAAACAGGGTTTCGTTATGTTGGCCAGGCTGGTCTCAAACTCCTGGCCTCAAGTGATCCACCCACCTCGGCCTCCCAAAGTGCTGGGATTACAGGTGTGAGCCACCATGCCCAGCCTGCGTTCTGTGTTTGTTTGTTTGTTTGTTTGTTTTTGAGACAGACTCTTGCTCTGTCACCCAGGCTGGAGTGCAGTGTTGCGATCTTGGCTCACTGCAGCCTCTGCCTCCTGGGTTCAAGTGATTCTCCTGCCTCAGCCTCCTGAGTAGCTGGGATTACAGGCACCTGCCACCAAGCCCAGCTAATTTTTGTTTTTTGTATTTTTAGTAGAGACAGGGTTTCACCATGTTGGGCAGGGAATGGTCTCGAGCTCCTGACCTCATAATCCACCTGCCTCAGCCTCCCAAAGTGCTGGGATTATAGGCGTGAGCCACCACACCTGGCCATCGTTGATTATTTTTTAAATGTTTGGTAGAATTTACCAGTGAAGCCATTTGGGCCTAGGCTTTTTTTTGTGGGTAGTTTTTCTTTCTTTCTTTCTTCTTATTAATTCAATCTCTTTATTATAAGTCTATTCAGACTTTCTATTCCTTCTCAAGTCAGTTTCAGTAGTTTATGTCATTCTAGGAATTTGTCCATTTTATGTAAGTTATCTATTTTGTTGGCATTTAGCTATTCATAGTATTCTTTTTTGATTCTCTTTATTTCTGTAAGGTCAGTATTAATGTACCTGTCTCATAATACTGTTTTTTTCCAGTGTGTTCAAATCAGGCCAAATAATTCTGATACACAATATTCGATTTATTTGTCTCTGTGGTCTCTTGTAATATATAGATTTCCTTCCATCTCATTTTTTCTTGATATATATTTATTGAAGAAATGAAATTACTTGTATATTTCTCACATTCTATATTTTTCTGATTGTATTCTTGGAAGTCATTAACATGTTCTTCTATCCCCTAGCTAGTTGATAGGTAGTTCTTTATTATGATTTAGGTTTGATTTTTTTATGGCAAACTATTTCTTTTTTTTCCACCAGTTGTCAAATGATCCTTTACTGAAATATTTTCCTTTGTGCTTCTTAACTAGCTGGGCATTCCACAGCACCACTGTTGATGTCATCTATGATTTCATGAGGGTGGTGGCTGTCAACATTACAACCCAAAGACTGGGCAGTCCCCAGGATCTCTTTAATGTTTCCAGAGAGTTCTCTGGATCTCTCCAGATTGGTGCCACATCTGTTGAGCAATGTTGATGATCTCATCAAAAGTGATATTCCCACTGTGTTTAATGTTTTTCTGTTTATTTCTGTCTTGATGGTTCCTCGAGGGCTTTGATGATCAGGGCAGAGGCAGAAGGCACCACCTCAATCTGGGCCTGTCTGTTCTGAATGGTCAGTTTTCACTGTAATCCTCAGGCCCTTCCAGTCACCCGTTGTCTTGGCAATGTCGTCACCAACCTTTTTTGGAGACAGACCCAGGGGGCCAATCTGGGGGCCAGCGCAGACGTGGCACCAACTTCACCCCCAGTGCACCTCAGGTATACGACTTTGATCTCTTTGGGGTTGAACTTTGGCAGCATGGTGGAGGCGGCTGGTGTCAGATGAACCCGGATTCGGGACTACCAAAGAAAGTTGCACCTTGGCCTCCTCCGAGCTCAGATCCGAAAGCAGCAAAACTATTTATACATCGATTATCAGGCACATAGTTTCCAATTTTATCTCTTTTCGTGAAGTTGGCAGTCATTGATGACCACTGCCTAGGTTCATTATTACAATTGAAATAGTTCAATAGAAGGCAGAGTATGGGCATCAATCAGTCCAGACTATAAGAACTTTTGGGAGGTGACTTTTGATGATTATGAGTACTACATTCTATACTATTCTTAGAACCTTGGCATCAGGGCTGGGCGCAGTGGCTCAGGCCTGTAATCCCAGCACTTTGGGAGGCCCAGGCAGGCGGATCACCTGAGGTCAGGAGTTTGAGACCAGCATTACCAATATGGTGAAATCCTGTCTCTACTAAAAATACAAAAATTAGACAGGCATGGTGGCTTGTGCCTGTAGTCCCAGCTACTCAGGAGGCTGAGACAGGAGAATTGCGTGGATCCGGGAGGTGGAGGTATCGTGCCACTGCACACCAGCCTGGGCAACAGAGCGAGACTCCATCTCAAAAATAAATAAATAAATAACCTCGGAGTCAGGAGATGGGATCTACTCCCAACTCTGCCACCAACTAGCTGAGCATCCTCTTTGGCACCTGTTTTCTTATCTGTAGAATGGGGGAATAAACTAATACAATGTCTAGGACTTTTGGCTATTCTAACATTCTCTGACTAAACAAGTAGAGGACTTAATCTTTCCCAAAGATGATTTGGGTGAGTTAAAAAGGAACTGCTGACCTTGTGTTATTATTCCCATTTCATACCAAAAATGTTTATTTCAAAGCCAACATTTATCAGTCATTAAATCCAGTAAAGTATATAACAGAGTCCATTAAAAGTATTATGAGGCAAGGTATGGTGGCTCACTTCTGTAACCCCAGCACTTTGGGAGACCGAGGCGGGCAGATTGCTTGAGTCCAGGAGTTCACGACCAGCCTGGCCCACATGGCAAGACCCCATCTCTACAAAAAATACAAAATTTAGCCGGGCACAATGGTGCATGCCTGTAGTCCCAGCTACTTGGTGGGGCTGAGCTGGGAGGATCGCTTGAGCCCAGGAGGTCAAGGCTGCAGTGAGCCATGAGTGTGCCACTCCACTCTAGCCTGGATGACATAGTGAGACCCTGTCTCAAAACAAACAAACAAAAAAAGTGAAAAGTATCAGGAGAGCAGGAAGCCAAGGCCAAAAGCGTTGTTTTCTGGATTCTAGTTCTGGCTCTGCAGCTAATCAACATGCACTCTCAGTGTCCTGTCCATAGGGTAAAAGATTGCATGAGTAGCTCTAAAGGCCTGTAAGCTTTATGATTTTATGCCTATTCTTGATTTTTCTCACAGTTTTGAGGATGCTATTTTTGTTAATATCTTTTTTTTTATACTTTTAAGTTTTAGGATACATGTGCACAATGTGCAGGTTTGTTACATATGTATACATGTGCCATGTTGGTGTGCTGCACCCATTAACTCGTTATTTAACATTAGGTATATCTCCTAATGCTATCCCTCCCCCCTCCCCCACCCTATTTTTGTTAATATCTTTAGCGCTACTTGTTTTTATCTGCATTCTGATTATGCTTTACTCAGCAACTAACTGGCATAGGCCTGCCCCAGGTGTCAGTTCGTATAGCAAATTCAGCTTGAGCATAAAGAACTTTCTGGAAGCAAAGACACCAAAATATTAGCAATTTATTATTTCTAGGTGGTAAGATTATTGGTCATTTTAAAATTTACATTTGTATTCTTTATTTTATTCTACAAACATATATTTTTTTGGCCAGGCACGGTGGCTCACACCTGTAATCCCAGCACTTTGGGAGGCCAAGGCAGGTGGATTAGCCAGGTGTGGTGATGGGCGCCTGTAATCCCAGCTACTTGGGAGGCTGAGGCAGGAGAATAACTTGAACCCGGGAGGCAGAGGTTGCAGTAAGCCAAGATCCCGCCACTGCACTCCTGCCTAGATGACAGAGTGAGACCCTCTGTCACACACACACACACACACACACACACACACTCTCTCTCTCTCTCTCTCTCTATATATATATATATACACACACACACACATATGTATATATATTTTTTAAAAAATTTTTTTTATTTTTAGTAGAGACAAGGTCTCGCTATGTTGCCCAGGCTGGTCTTGAACTCCTGGGATCAAGGGATCCTCTCACCTCAGCCTCCCAGAGTGCTGAGATTACAGATGTGAGCCACTTGGCTGGCACTTTTTTTTTTTTTTTTTTGAAATGGAGTCTCTCTTTCTTGTTGCCCGGGTTGGAGTGCAATGGCGTGATCTTGGCAACCTCCACTTCTCAGTTTCAAGCAGTTCTCCTGTCTCAGCCTCCCAATTAGCTGGGATTACAGGCGTGCACCACCACGCCCAACTAAGGCATATTTTTATAATATTTTAAAAGTTATTCTTAAGGCATTTGATAGCATATTTTTGATTGCATGCCCCAGCAAAGAGGAATCACTAAACTTTAGGTCAGTAGATTTCTTTCTCTTCCTATAATTCAGTTTGGCAGCATCTTCCATTCTAAGTTAACCTAAATACTTTAGTAATAAAGACTTACATGTATCTAATTAGATAGTCAGCTTTACTTAATCTTCTTAATCATCTAGATTAGATGTTAAGTGAAAAAATATTTTGTGCCTACAGAAATTAAGATTCGGAAAGAACAGTAGCACATACATGCTATCAACATCTGTGTCATAACTCATATGGAATCTGGATTTGCGCTACTTGGGGAACAGGTAGTGTCTGCTAGAGAAGTGGTGTGACAGAAACATGGGCAAAGGCAGGGTGTGTCTTTTGTAAATGATGAAAACAGAAGATTAAAAACAAGTTTGCTAAATCATGTTCATAACCACTCCCTGGAGAGCAATTACTCTGATTACTCGACTTACCTGGTAAGTACCACCCACTGTAGGAGAAAATACAGATGTTTGGTTCACTGTTATGGGTTTCCCCATGTGCAAAGGTGTTATGCTGCTGCTATGCTCGTCTTTAAACACTGTAGTAGCAGTTACTGAAGAATGGTAGAGTAAGGGGTGCCCTCACAGCTGTCAACTCACTGTGTGATCCAGACGAGTAACGTAGCCTGGTCGCAAGCTCCAAGGTTACTTATCTTTAGTGGAGGGGATAGTTCTAGTTTCCAGTGTTATCACGACTAGTAAAATTGATATTATAAAATCCACTTCTCAGTAAGGAAGGCAGTTTGAAAGCGTTCTTGTTGTGAGAAGCATGACAAATACAGGCAGTTCTATGGACAGTGTTTATGTAAAACAAATTATTGAATAGCCATTTGAACATTAACTGTTGCCCAGTGTGTTATAATGTGTACCTGCTCAGGCATTTTGAAGACTCTTCTTACACCTAGTGAGGACCAAGGGCAAATAGCAAAAAGTAACCTGACATAGAGTTTTAGTTTGGAGATTTTCTTTTGAATTGCCCTCAGGGAGATTTCTCAAGCAACACTGGTCCATGCCAATTTGCAAATGGACTCTTGTGCCAGTGGCTCAATCAACCCATCCAAATGCAGAGAACCATTTGGAGGCATTCAAAACCAAATGAGGGGCAATTTTCTTTCATTTATATGCTGTCTGTTAACCTCTCTTTCACCAAAAATTAACCTGATTCTGGGTATGCATACCTGAAAAAACACAATTTTTACACTCAAGGAAGTTTCATTTTTTCATAGGAAAAAATCAACTATTACTAAACTATACAGTTACTACAGTGATGGAGATGTGTGCAGGCTGCTGTAGGAACATAAAAGGGAGCGCCTAACAGGTGTGGGTGAGTCAAAGAGAGCTGGGGAGGAATGAAGGCAACATTCTTGAGCTAAACCAAATAAACAAAACATTGCAACTCACAATTATGACCTATTTCAAACTCTTAGAACTACAGTAATGATTTAGACTAGTTCTCATTTGGACAGGGTTTATTTACTCTTACGGTTTCAAGCACCCCTTAATCTTTCCATTTTAACAAGGGTATATGGAGCTTCACAGATAATATCTCCAAAAATGGGCATATTTTGACTTGTAGACCATCACCTGCACACACACTTCAAGGTCACTTTCATACAGCAAAGTGAGGAAAGAGTTTATTAGCTAGATGAGAATGTGTAAATGAGGCCGGGTGTGGTGGCTCACGCCTGTAATCCCAGCACTTCGGGAGGCTGAGATGGGTGGATCTCCTTTGGTCAGGAGTTAGAGACCAGCCGGGCCAACATGGTGAAACCCTGTCTCTACTAAAAATACAAAAATTAGCTGGCATGGTGGCGGGCGCCTGTAGTCCCAGCTACTCAGGAGGCTGAGGCAGGACAATCCCTTGAACCCAGGAGGTGGAGGTTGCAGTGAGCCAAGATCACGCCACTGCACTTCAGACTGGTGACAGAGCAAGACTGTCTCAAAAAAACAATGTGTAAATGAAACTGCCCTACTATTTCTGCTTTAGTAAAAACAACAGATTCTGGTCAGTATTTGTTCACTTATATTGGGCATAAGATAATTCCTGCTGTTTGTTGCAGATCTTGGCATACTGCCTGATTGTCCTGCATGGGAATCTTGGACTGCTACTACAGCAATTTCATGACTGTGTTTCTTCTATTTTTGTTTTTACCACGTTAGTTATATCATGCAGTACTTGAAACGAAGGTGGAGTCTGTCACTCTGTCAGCCTGCAGTTTAAAAAGTTAGATGATGCATTAAAAAATCAACAAATTTTGCCAGGAAGGCAGTGTGTGCCTGTGGTCCTAACTTCTCGGAAGACTGAGTCAGGAGGATTGCTTGAGCCTAGCAGTTTGAATCCAGTCTGGGCAACATAGTGAGACCCTTTGTCTTAAAAAAAATCAACACATTTTAAAAGTATTTCAAGATTTGTATTTGCCATATTTCCAAGCTAGTATTATTTATTTAGAGTTTCCTATTGCGGGTGAAATTCTCTTGTCTTTTGCTGTTTGCAGTAACTTGAGTCTTTTTTCATCTCTTCAGATAATCTACTTATATTCATGCCAAGTTTTCTAGTTTTCCTATTGCTTCCTCTAATTTTCAAATAGAGTATATACAATATTGAGCATAGTTTCTCATTAGTCTGTTCACAGTCACTAAACTAATCCTCAAATGTATTTGATTCTATCACTTTCCAAAATTTGCCTTTGCTGGTTCATAATATAGTTACCTAACTTCCCCAGCTCTGCCCTCGCTCATGAACTGTATTTCTCTACATTACCCCCACACTGCATTGGCATTCTGAGTCATCGGGGATTAGGTATCCTTCCTGCTATTAACTACATAATATTTAAACTTCCCCACTTGCCCATCTCCTTTATTTCGTATTCAAACACCACATGAATTAAACTAACGTTGGTTGCTTTTAACCTGTAATTCCTGACTGCAACAGGTAGTTAGTTGCCACCTCTTGAAATGAACAGATTTGACTAGAAGCTGACACTTCTTACTCCCGCTGAACTTAGTATTTTACATTTATATAAATTCAAAAAGCAAAATCATACCTTTCTTATCAATGGGCCCTCTTTGTCCATTGATAACATAATATTGCAATATAAACAAAAAGTATTTGTACCATACCTCAGAAAACAAATTAGATTACTATTAGTGCAAAACAGGGGAAAAGTAGAAAAATGTTATTGTAAAGAGACTATCACCCACTTCAAGGGATTTATCAGGTAACTGCCTGTGTAAGTTACAAAGACAATGCTAATCTATAACTAGTGTATACCTAGATGAGCCGCCAGGACATTTGTCTAATGGCAGATGGGGTAATTGGACTCCACATCTTCAACTTAGGCACATGGAAAACAGCATCCCTAAAAGTTGCCTGGGGATGACCAGTACTGAGCCAACCAGCTTAGTGGAACTGTTACGAGAGAGAAACTTCAGAGCCAAGGAATTTCTTGGCAGAGCCTCACATTCTGCCTTAGAATCATGAAAAGTTAGATCTAGAAGGTAACAGAGATCATTTAATCCACTGCCCTTATTTTACGGTGAAAAACTGAAGGCCAGAGAAGTTAAGGAGTTTGCCTAAGGTCTCACACTCGTAGTTAGTGACAGATTCAGAGCTAGAACTAGATCATCCTGACTGCATTTCAGTAGTCTTAGAGCTGGCCGACAAATCTGACAACTCACATTGAACCCATGTTCCAAAAGGTATTTTATATTGAGCTTATGAACACCGCTTTTTAAATTTATGTTATTTATTTATTTATTTATTTATTATATTTTAAGATCTGGGATACATGTGCAGAACATGCAGGTTTGTTACATAGGTATACATGTGCCATGGTGGCTTGCTGCACCCATCAATCTGCCATCCTGTTTTAAGCCCCACATTCATTAGGTATTTGTCCTAATGCTCTCCCTCCTGTTGCCCCCCATCCCTTGACAGGCCCCCGTGTGTGATGTTCCCCTCTCTGCGTCCATGTGTTCTCATTGTTCACCTCCCACTTTTGAGTGAGAACATGCGGTGTTTGGTTTTCTGTATGAACACCCCTTTCACAGAAAATTAGGCAAACAGGTTGGAATATTTAGAATAGAAAACATTTATTATAAAGTCACAAGAAATACCTGTGTAGACTTGCTGACTGGAAGTATTTGGCTTCCGTAAGACAAAGAAGAGTCTTAGTCATCTGGTTAAAGTTAAAAACGATTGTGTCACCAGGCTGAAAGCAGACATGCTGTGGAAGCAGTAGGCTGAAATTAGAACTGAATACAAGAGTTTAGAGAAAATTGAATTTGGAGCTATCTCACAACACTGGGAGTTATTCTGTTTTTGTTTGCTTTTAATAGGCACACAAAAAAGAATAGTGACTACAATGAACTCCTTGTGTAGCCCCACCAGACCCCATTTTCTTCCCTCCCCACTGAATTTGGTGCTTATATTTCCATACCTATTCATGTGGTTTTCCTATAGGTAAATGTATCCCTAAGTGATGTTTAGCATTATTTTCATATTTTAAGCTACATAAATGCTATCATATTGTATATATGTGTCTACAACTTGCATTTTTTTTTTTGCTTAATACTACATTTTTGAGATTTATCCTATTGATAAATAGGATTTCTCTAACTAATTTATTTTATTTTTTGGAGATGAGGTCCCGCTATGTTACCCAGGCTGGAATGCAGTGGCAGTTCACAGGCACAATCATAGCACAATGTGGCCTTGAACTCCTGGACACAAGTGACCTCTTGCCTCAGGCTCCTGAGTAGCTGGGGACTACAGGCCCCAGCCACTGCACCAGGCCAGCTAATTCATTTTAACTGCTTTATGGTGTTCCATTGTATGAATGTTTCAACATTTAGCTAATCTCCTATTGATTGACATCTAGTGAGTTTCCAGTTTTTTGATTTGCTTTGTTTCATTTGCTGTTTTATTTTAATGTTGCTACTGTAAACATGTTTATAAAACTGGTGCATGTGTGAAAGAGTTTGTCTAGTAACATTTACAAGGTCTCAGTGTGTGTGTGCAAATCTTGAATTTAGCAAGAAGATCTCAAAATAGCAGGTTATGAGACTAACACAAGGACTGTGTATTTTTAGAGTTTTAATTTTTTGTGAATCTGAAGAGTGTAAAATACTGTTGCCTTCTGGTTTTAATTTCTCTGATTCCTTGTGGGGCTGAGTACCTTTCCATGTGTTCACAGACAATTTGGATCTCCTCTTCTCCCTAGCTCACTTTTCAGATGAGCTGCTGAACTTTTTATTGTTCATTCTGAAAAATGTTCTATAGTCATTATGTAAATCCTTATTATATGCATTGCCAATATCTTCTCCTAATCTGGAGCTTGACTTTTCACTTTTATAATGATATATTTTCATGAACATATTTATCAATCTTTTATTTTTTATTTATACTTATTATTTCTTTAAAACATCATTTTTTCACTCTAAGGTCATAAGATATTCCCCAATATTTTTCTTTAGTTTTTTTAAAGTTTTATTTTTTTACAATCTTCAAGTCTTTTATGTGCCAGGAATTAACTTGTGTGTAGTGTGAGGTCAGGAGCTAGTTTTATTTTTTTCTACATCGACAAGCAATTGTTTAGAAACCATTAATTGAATATTACATTTCTTCCCCACAGTTGGGTAATGGCACTTTCATCATATATCCTGGACTCTCTATCAGTCAGGTTATTATTCCTGTGCCTTATTATACCATATTAACTACTATATCTTTATGGTAAGTCTCAATATCTGGAAAGCCCCTATTTGTCAAGTGGATGCAATGGGAGCTAGATGGATTTGCACTATCCTTCTTGAATACCATCCAAGAGGTATGAATACTGTGGGGAAGGAAACCCAGAAGGATGTTATCTTAGCCCTTTTGTGTTGCTATAAAGGAATACTTGAGGCTGTGTAATTTATAAAGAAAAGAGGATTATTTGGCTCACAGTTCTGCAGGCCTTATAAGAAGCATGATCCAGCCTGACCAACATGGTGAAACCCTGTCTCTACTAAAAATACAAAAATTAGCCGGGCATGGTGGTGCGCCTGTAGTCCCAGCTACTCAGGAGGCTGTGGCAAGAGAACTGCTTGAACCTGGGAGGTGGAATTTGCTGAACCAAAATCATGCCACTGCACTCCAGCCTGGGTGACAGAATCTCAGGGAAAAAAAAAAAAAAAAGCATGATGCCAGCATCTGCTTCTGGCAAGGGCTTCTGGCTGTTTCCACCAGTGGCAGAAGGGTAAGGGGAACTGGCAGATTCAGAGATCATATGGTGAGAGGGGTGGCAAGAAGTGGGAGGAGGTTCCAGGCTGTTTTTAGTGACCAGCTTTCCTGGGAACTAATAGAGTGAGAACTCAGTACCACAAGGACAGCACCAAGCCATTCATGAGGCACCTGCCCCATGACTGAGCAAAACACCTTCCATTAGGCCCCACCTCTAACATGGGGGACCACATTTTAACATGAGGTTTAGGGGGACATGAAAACTATATCGGAGACTATGGGGTCAGTCATTGTTGCAGTAGCTGAGTGGGGAAATGGGAATCCTGGAACTGGAGATCAGTGTCCCACATCAAGGAACTGTGCTCTGTGGAGACCTGTGGGCCCTCTAAGAACTCACATGTGTGTCTCCTGAGAGACATCCAGGCCTTGGATACCTGACCACAAAGGGCCTCTTGTGGTCCTTCAGTGTTATTAAGTAGAACAACAGCAACCAGCAGAGGACTCCAGTTGCTTCCAGTGAAGTAAAAAGTCACTTTCTCTGAAAGTGGAGTTAAGAACACAATTCTCCTTACAATGGCTGGACGTGCTGGCTCATGCTTGTAATCCTAGCACTTTGGGAAACTGAGATGGGCAGATAACTTGCGGCCAGGAGTTCGAGACCAGCCTGGCCAACATGGTGAAACCTTGTCTCTACTAAAATACAAAAATTAGCAGGGTGTGGTGGCACATGCCTGTGGTCCCAGCTACTTGGGGGACTGAGGCATGAGAATCCCTTGAACCTGGCAGGTGGAGGTTGCAGTGAGCTGAGATCACACCACACACTTCAGCCTGGGCAACAGAGCGAGACTCCATGACAGAAAGAGAGAGAGAGAGAGAAAGAAAGAAAGAAAATTCTTCTTACAATAACAGCAAAAAGAATAAAACAGGAATAGATTTAGCAAAAGAAGTACAAGACTTGTACACTGAAAACTGTTGAAAGAAGTTAAAGAAGACCAAACAAAATCCCAGCCAGCTTCTTTGTACAAATTGACAAACTAATCCTACAATTAATATGGAAATGCAAGAGACCAAGAAAAGCCAAACTATTTTGGAAAAAAAAAATAACAAAGTTCCTGGAGGACTCACACTTTCTAATTTCAAAGCTACAATAATCAAAACTTACTACAAACCCAAAATAATCAAAACGGCATGGTATTGGCCTACATATAGACATATTGACCAATGGAATAGAATTAAGAGTTTATAAATAAACCCATACATCTGTGTTGAATTGATTTTCAACCAGGGTGCCAATTCGGTGAGAAACAAACATCCTTTCAACAAATGGCTCTAGGACAACTGGATAGCTACATGCAAAAGAATGAAGTTAGACCCCTTGCCTCACACCATATGTAGAAATCTACATGAAACTAAAACTGCTTTAAAAAATAGTCTATTTATTTAGAAACAGGGTCTTGCTCTGTCACCCAGGCTGGAGTACTCTGACACAACAATAGCTCACTGCAGCTTCAAACTCCTGGGCTCAAGTGATGCTCCTGCCTCAGCCTCCTGATAGCTAGGATTACAGACATATGCCACCATGCCCAGCTATTATTTAATTTTTTGTACAGACCAAGACTGGGTCTTGCCATGTTGCCCAGGCTGGTCTCAAACTGCTGGGCTCAAGTGATCCTCCCACCTCGGCCTCACAGCACACTGCTGCAAATTCCATGAGATGGGTGAAAAACTATGAGTTCCCAACATGTGAGAAGGGGGAAACCTGCCTCTGAACACACATCTCCACTGGGGAACCTCAAAACCCAGATTATGGAAGAAGGATTTAACCTTGCCTAGAGCTGAAATGGATTTAGTATAAAATATAAAAGTAGAAATAGTAGCAGGAAGAGCCTTGTAGGCGCTCCCATTCTCCAGCTTGGGCCAGGGAAGCCATCCCTGACTGTATCTCACCGAGGCCATTGAGGAAGACAGTTGGCAGAATTTGGGCAGGGTCGCAGGGTGAAATAAGCTTCCAACTGAACTGTGTAATAATTTTGACTGGGCGCAAACTCTGTCGAGCAGAAATCGGGGGTGAAAGTGAACTGCTGCAGAAAGGAGCATAGGAGCCACAGCTGACAGTGTGGGCAGACAGGGAGGGGCAAGGCCTGAAAGCCATGCTTGCTTTCTTAGTGGGGAAACTTATACCCTGGGGCTAGGTCTGAGTCCTGCACACCAGCTGCCTGGAGATAAACTGTGCTGTTAGCGGGGCACAGTGGGAGTGAAACTGGCCTTGCCAACTGTGTGGTAGCTGGGTGAGCCCTGTGGCTACTTACTTTCCCCCACTTCCCTGGTGACAGAGGCGCCATAATCCACACTGGAACATAACCCCATTTGCCTGAGAATCAGCCCCCTATCCCCCACAGTGGCTGTGGCAAAAAGAGTCTGAGCTCAGACCTGCCTAATCCTGCCCCAACCTGATGGTATTTCCCTACCCATCCCAGTGCCCAGTCACAAAAGACAAACTCTTGGGAGCTTTATGGCCCTACTTATCACATGAGAAACCTGAACACTTATCCTGACCAACTTAGGGCAAGCTTATATCCCCCTTCTACTATCACAGCTGGTGCTCTCCTGAACATACCACCTCCTGGCTGGAGGCCAACCAACTCAAGATATGACAGCAACTCATGACAAAATAACACTGCTCCAAGGAAGGAAAAAACAGCTAACTCCACTATCTGCAACATCCTGGCTAAACAGAGGTCCTGTCCATGTGGCAACATCACTGCTATCATAACCAGCATTTGAGAAAGCCAGCACACTAAACATCTACAACCAAGGCTTCTCATAGAGTCTATGTCACTACCCTGCCACCTCCCCCAGAGGAGGTGCTGGTATCCATAGCTGGGAGACCTGAAGATGGATTACATCACAACACTCTTTGCAGACACTCCCCAGCATGATCCTGGAGCTTGGAAGCCCCACTGGATGCCTAGACCCAGAAAAGCAATAACAATCACCACAGTCTGGCTCTCAGAAAGCCCCATCCCTAAGGAAAGGGGGAGTGCACCACATCACGGGATCACCCTGTGAGACAAAAGAATCTGAACAGCAGCCCTTGAGTTCCAGATTTTTCCACTAAAATAGTCTACCCAATAAGAAGAAATCAAAAACATAATTCAGGTAATATGACAAAACAAGGTTCTATAACACCCACAAAAGACCACACTAGCTTCCTAGCAATGGATCCAAACCCAGAAGGAATCTCTGAATTGCCACATAAAGAAGTCAGAAGGTTGATTATTAAGCTACTGAAGGAGATACTAGAGAAAGGTGAAAACCAACTTAAAGAAATGTAAAAATCAAGCCAGGTGCGGTGGCTCACGCTTGTAATCCGAGCACTTCGGGAAGCCAAGGCAGGTCACTTGAGGCCAGGAGTTTGAGACCAGCCTGGCCAACATGGCAAAACCCTGTCTGTACTAAAACAAAAACAAAAATTAGCCTGGCTTGGTGGTACATCCCTTTGGTCCCAGCTACTCAGGATGCTGAGGTGGAAGGATCACTTGAACATAGGAGGTAGAGGTTGCAGTGAGCCAAGATCATGCAACTGCCCACCAACCTGGGTGACAAGCAAGACCCTCTCTCAAAACAAAACAAAAAGTTAAAAAAAAATACAGGACATGGATGAAAAATTCCCCAGAGGTATAGATATCATAAAGAAAAAACAATTGGGCCGGGCGTGGTGGCTCATGCCTGTAATCCCAGCATTTTGGGAGGCCAAGGCGGGCAGATCACCTGAGGTCAGGAGTTCGTGACCAGCCTGACCAAAATGGAGAAATGCTGTCTCTACTAAAAATACAAAATTAGCTGGGCGTGGTGGTGCATGCCTGTAATCCCAGCTACTTGGGAGGCTGAGGCAGGAGAATCGCTTGAACCCAGGAGGCAGAGGTTGTGGTGAGCCAAGATCATGCCATTGCACTCCAGCCTGGGCAACAAAAGTGAAACTCTTGTCTCAAAAAAAAGAAAAAAAGAAACAATCACAACTTCTGGAAATGAAAGACACACTTAGAGACATACAAAATGCACTGGAAAGTGTCAACAATAGACTAGAACAAGTAGAAGAAAAAACTTCAGAGCTTGACAAGGCTTTTGAATTAACCCAATCAGACAAAGACAAAGAAAAAGGAATTTTACAAAATGAAGAAAGCCACCAAGAAATTGGGGATTATGTTAAATAGACAAAACTAAAAATAATTGGTATTCCTGAGGAAGAAGAGAAATCTAAAAGTTTGGAAAACTTATTTGAGGGAATAATCAAGGAAAACTTCTCTGGCCTTGCTAGAGATCTAAACATCCAAATAGAAGAAGCTCAAAGAACACCTGGGAAAATCATTGCAAAAAGATCACCTAGGCACACAGTCATCAGGTTATCTAAAGCCAAAACAAAGGAAAGAATCTTGAGAGCTGCAAGGCAAAAGCCTCAGACAACCTATAAAGGAAAACCTATCAGATTAACAGCAGATTTCTCAGCAGAAACTCTACAAGCCAGAAGTGATTGAGGTCCTATCTTTAGCATCTTCAGACAAAATAATTGCTAGACAAGAATTCTGTATCCAGCAAAACTAACCTTCATATATGAAAAAGAGAGAAATTATTTTTCAGACAAACAAATGCTGAGAGAATTTGTCACTACTAAGCCAGCACTACAAGAAATGCTAAAAGGATTTCTAAATCTTGAAACAAAACTTCAAAATATACCAAAATAGAAACTCCTTAAAGCATACATTTCACAGGGCCTATAAAACAATGAAAAACAAACAAGGTATTCAGGCAACAACTAGCATGAAGAATAAAATAGTACCTCACATCTCAATAATAAAATGAATATAAATGGCCTAAATGCTCCTCTTAAAAGATGCAGAATGGGCTGGGTGTGGTGGCTCACACCTGTAATCCCAGCACTTTGGGAGGCTAAGGCAGGCAGATCACGAGGTCAGGAGATCAAGACCATCCTGGCTAACACAGTGAAACCCCGTCTCTACTAAAAATACAAAAAAATAGGCCAGGCATGGCAGCAGGCACCTGTAGTCCCAGCTAACCAGGAGGCTGAGGAAGGAGAATGGTGTGAACCCAGGAGGCGGAGCTTGCAGTGAGCCGAGATCGTGCCTCTGCACTCCAGCCTGGGCGACAGAGCGAGACTCCGTCTCAAAAAAAAAAAAAAAAAAAAAAAATTGCAGAATGGCAGAATGGATAAAAATCTA
The DNA here is from genome assembly GCF_000001405.40 of Homo sapiens. Taxonomy (NCBI): domain Eukaryota; kingdom Metazoa; phylum Chordata; class Mammalia; order Primates; family Hominidae; genus Homo; species Homo sapiens. Next base: position 121,672,976 of record NC_000002.12, read on the forward strand.
CCAACCACATATCTTCTGTCTTCAAGAGACTGGCCTAATGCATAAGGATTCACATAAACTTAATGTAAAGGAGTGGGAAAAGATATTCCTTGCAAATGGAAACCAAAAGTGAGGAAGAGTAGCTATTCTTATATCAGACAAAACAGACTTTAAAGCAACAAGTTAAAAAAGACAAAGAGGGACATTATATAATAATAAAAGGATCATTTCAACAAGAAAATATCACAATCCTAAATATATATGCACCTAACACTGGAGGTCCCAAATTTATAAAACAATTATTACTAGACCTAAGAAATGAGATAGATGGCAACACAATAATAGTCAGGGACAGCCGGGTGCAATGGCTCACAACTGTAATCCCAGCACTTTGGGAGGCCAAAGCAGGTGGATCACCTGAGGTCAGGAGTTTGAGACCAGCCTGACCAACATGGCAAAACCCTGTCTCTACTAAAAATACAAAAAGTAGCTGGGTGTGGTAGCACATGCCTGTATTCCCAGCTACTCAGGAGGCTGAGGTAGGAGAATCGCTTGAACCCAGGAGGCAGAGGTTGCAGTGAGCTGAGATTGTGCCACTGCCCTCCAACATGGGAGACAGAGCGAGACTCCATTTCAAAAAAATAAAAGAATAGTAGTTGGGGACTTCAATACTCCAGTGACAGCACTAGACAAGTCATCAAGCCAAAAAGTAAACAAAGAAACAATGGAGCTGGACATGGTGGCTCACACCTGTAATCTCAGCACTTTGGGAAGCCAAAGTGGGCAGATCACCTGAGGTCAGGAGTTTGAGACCAGCCTAGCCAACGTGGTGAAACCCCGTCCCTACTAAAAATACAAAAATTTGCTGGGTGTGGTGGCACATACCTGTAATCCCAGCTAATCAGGAGGCTGAGGCAGGAAAATCGCTTGGACCCCAGAGGTGGAGGTTGCAGTGAGCCAAGATCATGCCACTGCACTCCAGCCTGGGTGACAGAGTGAGACTCTGTGTCACAAAAGGAAGGAGGGAAGGAAGGAAGGAAGGAAGGAAGGAAGGAAGGAAAAGAATTTAAACTATACCATAGAACAAATGGTCTCAACAGATATTTACAGAACTTCTACCTAACAACTACAGAGTATACATTCTTTTTAGCAACACATGGAACATTCTCCAAGATAAAACATGGTGGGCCACAAAACATGTCTCAGTAAATTTAAGAAAACTGAAGTAATATCAAGTACTCTTTCAGACCATACTGGAAAAAAACTGGAAATTAACTCCAAAAAGAACCCTCAAAACTATACAAATACAGGGAAACTTAATAAACTGCTCATGAATGATCTTTGGGTCAGCAATGAAATCAAGATGGAAATTAAAGAATTATTTGAACTGAATGATAATAGTGACAGAACTTATCAAAACATCTGGCATATAGCAAAAGTGGTTCTAAGAGGAAAGTTCATAGCATTAAATGCCTATATCAAAAAGTCTGAAAAAGCACAAATAGCCAATCTAAGGTCACACGTCAAGTAACTAGAGAAATAAGAGCAAACCAAACCCAAACCCAGCAGAGGGAAAAAAAATTACAAGGATCAGAGCAGAACTAAATGAAATTGCAATACAAAAATGTATAAAATATAAATGAAACAAAAAGCTAGTTCTTTCAAAAAAAATGATAGACTGTTAGTGAGATAAACCAAAAAAAGAAGGGAGAAGATCCAAATAACTTCACTTAGAAATGAAACGGGAGATATTACTACTGATAGCACAGAAATAAAAAATGATTTAAGACTACTGTGAACACCTTTACACACACAAACTAGAAAACCTAGAGGAGATGGATAAATTTCTGGATATATACAAGCCTCCTAGATTAAATCAGGAAGAAATAGCAACTCTGAATAGACCAATAACAAGTAGTGAGATTGAAACAGTAATGAAAAAAAAAATGCCAACAGCAAAAAAAAGGTCCAGGACTAGATGGATTCACAGATGAATTCTATCAGGCATTTGAAGAAGAATTGGTACTGATCGTAATGAAATTATTCCAAAAGATAAACTGGAAATCCTCCTTAAATAATTCTATGAAAGCCGGGTGCAATGGCTCATACCTATAATCCCAGCACTTTGGGAGGCTGAAGCAGGCAGATCACTTGAGGTCAGGAGTTCAAGACCAGCCTGGCCAACGTGGTGAAACCCCATCTCTACTAAAAATTCAAAAATTAGCTGGGCGTAGTGGCAGGCACCTGTAATCCCAGCTACTCATGAGGCTGAAGCAGGAGAATTGCTTGAACCTGGGAGGCAGAGATTGCAGTAAGCCAAGATTGCACCACTGCACTCCAGCTTGGGCAACACGAGCAAAACTTCGTCAAAAAAAAAAAAAAAAAAAACTCTATGAAGCCAGTATCACTCTAATACCCAAACCAGGAAAAGACATAACAACAACAACAAAAATGCAGACCAATATCCCTGATGAACATAGATGGGAAAATCCTCAACAAAATACTGGCTAACCAAAACCAACAGCATATCGAAAAGATAGCACATCATGATAAAGTGGGTTTTATACTAGGGATGCAGGGATGGTTTAACATATGCAAGTCAATAAATGTGATACATCACATAAACAGAATTAAAAGCAAAAATCATATGATCATCTCAATAGATGCTGAAAAAGCATTTGACAAAATCCAGCATCCCTTTATGATTAAAACCCTAAGCAAAATCAGCATAGAAGGGACATACCTCAAGGTAATAACCATCTATGACAAACCCTCAGGCAACATTATACTGAACAGGGAAAGGTTGAAAGCATTCCCCCTGAGAACTGGAACAAGACAAGGATGCCCATTTTTATCACTGCTATTCAATATAGTACTGGAAATCCTAGCCAGAGCAATCAGACAAGAGAAAGAAATAAAGGGCATCCAAATTGGTAAAGAGGAAGTCAAACCATTGCTGTTTGCCGATGATATGATTGTATATCTAGAAAACCCTAAAGATTCATCCAAAAAGCTCCTAAACCTGATAAATGAATTCAGTAAAGTTTCAGGATATAAAATCAATGTACACAAATAAGTAGCACTGCTATACACCAGCAGTGACCAACCTGAGAATCAAATCAAGAACTCAACCCTTTTAACAACAGCTGTAAAAAATAATATAAAATACGTAGAAATATACCTAACCAAGAATGTGAAAGATCTCTACAAGGAAAACTACAAAATACTGCTGAAATAAGTCATAGATGACACAAACAAATGGGAACACATCTCATGCTCATGGATGGGTAGAATCAATATTGTGAAAATGACCATACAGTCAAAAGCAATCTACAAATTCAGTGCAATTCCTGTCAAAATACCATCATTATTTTTCACAGAACTATAAAAATAAAATCCTAAAATTAATATGGAACCAAAAAAGAGCCCACATAGCCAAAGCGAGACTAAGTGAGAAGAACAAATCTGGAGGCATCACATTACCTGACTTCAAACTATACTACAAGGCTATAGTTACCAAAACAGCATGGTACTGGTATAAAAATAGGCGTGTACATCAATGCAACAGAATAGAGTACCCAGAAATAAAGCCAAATATTTAAAGCCAACTGATCTTCGACAAAGCAAACAAAAACATAAAGTGGAGAAGGACACCCTGTTCAACAAAGGCTGCACCCTAACCACAAATGGTCAAATGGTGCTGGGATTGTTGGCAAGTCACATGTAGAAGAATGAAACTTAATCCTCATGTCTCACCCTATACAAAAATCAACTCAAAATGGATCAAAGACTTGAATCTAAGACCTGAAACCATAAAAATTCTAGAATATAATATTGGAAAAACTCTTCTAGACATTGGCTAAGGTAGAGTTAATGACTAAGAACCCAAAAGCAAATACAACAAAAACAAAAATAAATAGATGAGACCGAATTAAACTAAAAAGCTTCCGCAGAGAGAAAAAAAAATCAGCAGACTTGGCTGGGCATGGTGGCTCACGCCTATAATCTCAGCACTTTGGGAGGCCAAGGTGGGTGGATCACCTAAGGTTAGGAGTTCGAGACCAGCCTGGCCAACATGGCGAAACCCCATCTCTACTAAAAATACAAAAATTATCTGAGCATGGTGGTGCATGCCTGTAATCCCAGCTACTTGAGACGCTGAGGCAGGAGAATCACTTGAACCTGGGAGACAGAGGTTGCAGTTAGCCGAGATCGCATCACTGCACTCCAGCCTGGGCGACAGAGCGAGACCCTGTCTCAAAAATAAAATAAAATAAAATAAAATAAGGCCAGGCATGGTGGCTCATGCCTGTAATCCCAGCACTTTGGGAGGCCAAGGTGGGTGGATCACAAGGTCAGGAGATTGAGACCATCCTGGCTAACATGGTGAAACCCCATCTCTACTAAAAAATACAAAAAATTAGCCGGGTGTGGTGGCAGGCGCCTGTAGTCCCAGCTACTCGGGAGGCTGAGGCAGGAGAATGGCATGAACCCTGGAGGCAGAGCTTGCAGTGAGCTGAGATCACGCCACTGCACTCCAGCCTGAGCGAGAGTGCAAGACTCTGTCTCAAAAAAAATAAACATAAAAATAAAATAAAATAAAAATAATCAGCAGAGTAAACAGAGAACCCCCAGAGTGGGAGAAAATTTTCACAGACTATTCATCCAACAAAGGACTAATACCCAGAATCTACCAGGAACTCAAACAAATCAGCAAAAAAAAAAAATCCCATCAAAAAGTGGGCTAAGGACATGAATACACAATTCTCAAAAGAAGATATACAAATGTCCAACAAACATGAAAAAAATGCTCAACATCACTAATTATCAGGGAAATGCAAATCAAAACCACAATGCAATACCACCTTACTCCTGCAAGAATGGCCATAATTTAAATATCAAAATATAATAGATGTTGATGTGGATGTGGTGAAAAAGGAACACTTTCACACTGCTGGTGGGAATGTAGTACAAACACTATGGAAAACAGTATGGAGAATCCTTTGAGAACTAAAAGTAGAATTACCATTTGATGCAGCAGTCCCACTAATGGGTATCTACCCAAAGGAAAAGAAGTCATTGTATGAAACAGACTTACACACATATGTGCATAGCAATACAATTTGCAATTGCAAAAATAAGGAACCAGCCTAACCCTGATTTCCAGTGGAAATCCTAGGAAGTTATGATGTTAGTTCTGGGCTTGTAAAAGAAAAACAACAGCAAACAAACAAACAAAAAAGAAAAACCTTGGAAGCAAGTAATTTGAGATGGTTTATGTCAGTTTTTGTGATGAAAACTATTTTCTAATGTTTAGAAAGATGTTTCCACAATTTTTTGTTTCTTAACAGAACTAAATATTTAGCTTTTCTGTATCATATAGATGACTCAGACATTTTATGATTAGCTATTACCCAGGTTGACATAACATGACTCTAAGTTATTGAAAAAGATTTTTTAAACAATGTAAAGCTCATTTATAAACTTTTATTTATTCTCTTTTGCAAGTAAACCTTATGGTAAATAATAAAAAACATAAAAAAGTAAATAAAGTTTTATTTATTCTTAGGAAGTATGCTTGAGTAGCTCATTAAACAAAGTTAGCTACTGAAACTGTCTTTGCAGGGCTGAGCAGTGGCTCACGCCTGTAATCCCAGCTCTTTAGGAGGCCCAGGCAGGTGCATTACCTGAGGTCAGGAGTTAGAGACCAGCCTGGCCAACATGGTAAAACTCTTTCTCTACTAAAAATATAAAAAATTAGCCAGGTGTGGTGGTGGGTGCCTGTAATCCCAGCTACTTGGGAGGCTGAGGCAGGAGAACCACTTGAACCCAGGAGGTGGAGGTTGCAGTGAGCTGAGATCACATCATTGCACTCCAGCCTGGGCAACAAGAGCAAGACTCCATCTCAAAAAAAAAAAAAAAAGAAAAGAAAAGAAAAAAAGAAACTGCCTTCGCAAAATTATAACTGAGACAGTGAAAGAAATCTAACTTAACTGACCATCTTGCCTCTAGCATATAAGCTGTCTTTGTTCATTCCATCTTGCCTAGGGACTAGATTGTCTTTGTAGGACTAACATTTGACACAAGATTAGAAATTATGATTTAGGAGTCATGCAGCTGGAGGCTAAAAGATTATGACCCTCCCTAAATTTCTCTCAAGATCAGTGCTTGAGATATTTTGCAGACCCTGCACTTGATGGATCAGCTGGCTCCACCCAGATTGATAAACTGGCTCATCTGATCTTGTAGCCCCTGCCCATGAACTGACTCACTGCAAGAAGACAGCTTCAACTCCCTATGATTTCATCTCTGACCTGACCAATCAGCACTCCTGGCTCACTGGGTTCTCCCCACCCACTAGGTTGTCCTTAAAAATTCTGCTCCCAAAATGCTCGGGGAGACTGATTTGAGTAATAAAACTCTGGTTTCTGCACAGCTGGCTCTGTGTGAATTACTCCTTCTCTATTGCAATTCCCCTGTCTTGAGAAATCAGCTCTGTCTAGGCAGTGGGCAAGGTGAACCCATTGGGTGCTTACACCATCATCTTCAGTTTTTTCTTTGTAATCATGTTTACATTCCACAAATGTTAGGAACTTAACACTTTAGCCAGAACTCTAAAGTTAAATACACGGGTATTTTGTTAATCAGAGGACACGGTTGTTTTCAGTAAATCAACAGTATTAAACTAGTCTTATTTACCAACAATTTACACAAATCATTTGAACTAAAAGGCATTTGAGTTAGCTTATATTTTTCTCATAAAATATATAATTTAAGTGCTTACTTTTTCTTTAACCCAATTAATTAGAGTTTTCGTGTATTTTGGTAATGAAATATCACATCCACATGGCATATATGAACATATATACATACAGACATACAAACAAAAGCAGAGTCTGTAGCTTGATAAACTTCTTCATTTGTCAGGGGGTTTTTTTGTTTTGGTTTTGGTTTTGGTTTTCTTTTTCTTTTTTTTTTTTTTTGAGATGGAGTCTTGCTCTGTTGCCCAGGCTAGAGTGCAGTGGTGTGATCTAAGCTCACTGCAACACCCACTTCCTGGGTTCAAGCGATTCTCCTGCCTCAGCCTCCCGAGTAGCTGGGATTACAGGCGCCTGCCACTGTGCCTGGCTAATTTTTGTATTTTTAGTAGAGATGGGGTTTTGCCATGTTGGCCAGGGTGGTCTCAAACTCCTAACCTCATGATCCGCCCACCTTGGCCTCCCAAAGTGCTGGGATTACAGGCGTGAGCCACCGCACCCAGAAACCATTTGCCAGTTTTTAAATAGTTTCTCTCCCCTCTTTAGACTATGGAGCCCTAAACAACTGTTAGCAACATAACCCTTAATTTGCACTTCCAAAGACATGACTCTTAAGTGAAAATTTACATCCCAAAGGCACAGCACTTAGATCTAAGCACCATTCTCTGCTGAGATGAAGAAGGATATGGGTAAAGATTCAGTCGAAGTGAGATTGCCAGGAAAAGTATCTTAAACAAAGGCAGGGATTGTTATGTAAACTTTAAACCAATGTCTTCCCCATCTTAAGAGTTTTGTGGGTTTTTTGTTTGTTTTTTTTTAGACAAGGTGTCATTCTGTTACCTGGACTGGGGTGCAATGGTGCAATTTTGGCTCGCTGCAGTCTCCACTTCCCTAAGGCCACAAGATTTGAAGTTAGGATAATACATGTTACACTGTTAACTTTTAGCAAACTTTACTTTTGTTGAAAACCATGTAAGTTTGGGATTTTTAATTATCCTTTGCTATTACTAAGACCTCTTTAGTCCAAATCAACTTGGAATTAGTATAGATGGTTCCTTCCTGGTTCTGTAAGTACTTTAAGGCTTGGCTGAGTGCAGAGCTCACACGTTTGAGCAGACTGATTATTAGGCAATTTTCCTAACTCTATTTCTACGAGAGTTTCCCTATCAATTACTGAATACTCGTTGTGTCTTTTTCCCTCAATCAGCCAGGAGAAACCATCCATCATCCTGTCCTGAAGGGAGTTCCTCCTAGGTCTGGTCGGACCTTTGTATGGTAGTTAATTAAGATTTAGATCCCCTGTTAGGAAACCTGCAGGGTTAAGGGAATTATCAGTGGTTAATGTTAAATCATATTTTTCTAACAGAATGGCCTCATATGTTAATATTCTTAAGTCAGTAAGCTGCCTTTTTGCTTTTTTGACTTAGGATAGTTCTGACCTGGTGAGGTGTGCTCACAATGAGGTTTCCTCTAAAAGTTATTTTTGTACTTTCTTCAGTTAGCAAAGCAGTTGCTGCTACAGATTGAATGCATTTGGGCCATCCCCGGGTTACTGGGTTAAGGATTTTTGATAGGAAGGCTACTGGTTGTCAGTGGCCTCCGTGCTTTTGGGATATGCCCTTGTTTACACTGACAACAAGATGGAATAGCTACTTGAGGGTAAATCTAGGACAGGGGCAGTTACTAATAGATGTTTTAACCTTTCCACCTGTTGGATTTCTGGTAATTGCCAAATGAGGAGGGGGTTTTGCCCATCTTGCGTGAGCTTTTTGTATAAGGGTTTTGTTTTTAGGGCATAAGAGGCTATCCATAGATGACAGTATCTGACTTATCTTAAAGTTTTCTAAGTTCTTGTTTGGTCTCCGGCAGAGGCAAGGATATGATACTTTCAGTCCATTCAAGCTCAATTTGCCATTTACCTTTGCTAATTAAATGACTTGTTCTAATATTTGACTAAATAAATTTGAAGACTTCGTAAACCCTTGAGGTAAGACTGTCTATCTGTATTGCTATTTTCAATCAGAGTGAGGGTCTTCTCACTCAAAGGCAAATAGGTCCTGGCTGTCTTCCGTGAACGGACAAACCCAGAAGGCATCTTTTAAATCTATTACCATAACAACAGGGTGGGTAGTTTGGACTTGATTAATAGCTCTAAGGTCTTGCACTAACTGGTGTGACCCGTCTGGCTTCTTTACAGGCAGTATTGGAGTTTTATAGGGTCACGGAGAAGACTTTCAATTATAGGTTTTACATTTACCCTGGCTTTTAAAGGAATAGGGTACATTGCTTTCTCTTTACTACTTCTAGCTCTCTCTCTCTCTCTCTCTCTCTCTCTGACTCTCTGTCTCTTTCTCTCTCTGACTCTCTTAAGTTTTTTTTTTTTTATCCTTCTAATATTTTAACATTAGTCCTGGGGGATTATTGGGGGAATATTATTGTTGCTAGCTTTATTTCTTTTATCCTGTACCTTACTTGGGGTATTTCCCATTTTTGGGGTGAGGCTCAATTTCCCTTACCAGAAATATCTCACCTTTTGGAGGGAGGCTCAATTTCCCTTACTGGCAATGTCTCACCTTTTGGGGTGAGGCTCAATTTCCCTCACTGGAAATGTCTTGCCTTTTAGGGTGAGGCTCAATTTCCCCTACTGGAAATGTCTCACCTTTTGGGGTGAGGCTCAATTTCCCTCACTGGAAATGTCTCACCTTTTGGGGCGAGGCTCGATTTCCCTTACCGGAAATATCTTGCCTCTTTTTAATCCCCAAGATACCCCGACCAAGGAATACTTCACTGCCCCCTGTGGTTTTTCTTTCCTTAGTCCCGGCTAAGGAATGCTTTACCACCCCTACGGCTTCTTTTTCCTTGGTATGTCCCAACCAAGGAATGTTTCACTGCCCCTGCAGTTTTTCTTTCCTTAGTCCCTACCACCAAAGGAATACTTTACCAGCTCCTCCGCTGTTTCCTTCTTTGGCTTGTGCGTGATGTTGTCTGGTCCACGTGGTATGTAAGGATCCTTTACCCCAGGTCACCGGCCAGTTTCTTTCCACATTGCTGAGAGTCTGGGTTTATTCATCACACCAGGTAGGTCTCGGTTCCTCACCCCTGAGGCTGCCGAAATGAGGCGGCGGGGCACCTCCTTACAAGAGAGGACTGGAGACCGCCCAGAGGAGAGTGGGTCCCTGCATGGGCCACCAAACTGTTAGAAATGCAAAATGCTTGTTCCCTGGTGCTGCAAAGAAATAGCACTCAAACATACATTTAATTTTCTCAGCAAGGCAATTTTTACTTTCTGCAGAAAGGGTGCTCCTCACAGATGGAACAATGGTGAGATCATACCAGGACAGGGGAGGGGCAGGAGTTCTTATTCCTGACGCTAGTAGCCCCTACTGCTGTGTTGTTGCCCTAATGGCTAGGATTGGACCGCACAGTCTAAGCTAATTCTGATTGGCTATGTTAAAAAGAGCAGGAGTATGAGCTGGAGTGGTGAGGTGAGTAGTTTGGTGGGAAGGGCAGTTAGGAACAGGTAACTAAAGGTGACTTAGGTCAGAGCAGGTGACCACCAAGGGAACAGCTGTGAACTACTGATTTGGACTGGCGGGAAAGTTGTTTACTGAAACTAGAGGCAAGGAGTTGAAGAGAACTAGGAAGTTAAACTTTAAAATGAAGAATCAAAGAATAAGAGAGCTGGACATACTGACATACTGATTCTTTGAAGAGAAACTTAGGGTTCACTATATTTAACAGGAGGCCGAGACAGGAGGATCGCGTGAGCCCAGGAGTTTGAGACCAGCATGGGCAAAATAGTAAAACCCCATCTTATTAAAAAAAATTTTTTTTTTTGAAATGGGGTCTCTCTCTGTTGCCTGGGCTGGAGTGCATTGGTGCTATCTCCACTCCCTCAACCTCTCAGCCAATCCTCCCACCTCAGCTTCATGAGTAGCTGGGACTACAGGCGTGCACCACCCTGCCCAGCTAATTTTCGTATTTTTTTGTAGAGACAGGTTTTCATCATGTTGCCCAGCCTGGTCTCGAACTCCTGAGCTCAGGCAATCCTCTCACCTCGGCCTCCCAAAGTGCTGGGATTACAGGCATGAGCCACCACACCCGACCTTAAAAAAAATTTTTTTTAATATGTGGAAAGCAGACACGAGTAGAAGCCAGCACAACTAGCTAACTTCCCCTAGTGATAGAGGCAGGAGACAGGCAAATGCCATCTATGTCATTATATATAGGGAGCTTGCCTAAACATGCCCACAGTGGAAAATTCCATCCCTTAACACATGCACAGTAAGAGAAATAAATCAATGCAGAGTGGCCATTTCCTTTATTGCCTTCTGAACATTTACCTTTCTAGTGTCCTTTCTTTTTGCATCTCGCACATTAATCTCTAGCCTCATCCGGCTCTTGAATCCTTGCCTAACTTGACTTCTTTCACATCTACATCCACATCCATGTCCTCTCACGGTGCTAATTTTTCTTTTTATGAGAGCTGTTGCTAACAGATTGGCTTTTTTTTCTTAAGTCTTTAATTTACTTTTTTTTTTTTTTTTTTTTTTTTCTGAGTTCTCCTGCTCCTACGGCCAGCTGGCGGGGCTGGGCAACGGCACGGGCCTTGCCCCCGCGCACTGCTGTCTGTCTCTCCTGTTTTCTTCTGATTCTCTTTTTCACACTTACTCTTAGTGTTTCTTTTTCCTTTGCTCTTTCCCAGTTTTGTTCCTTGGTCACAGTTAACATACACCTTGGTGGCCACTTTTATAGACTAGGTGGTATTCATGCCTGCAGCTTCTGCTTGATGTTACCCTGGGCTTGCTTTACAAATAAAATATTCAGTGCATACTGATTTTCAGCAGCCTCAGGGTTAAGTGGGGTATAAAGCCAGAATGCTTTATAGAGTCTCTTATAAAACTGACTTAGGCTCTTGTCAGCTCCTTGAAGGATTTCTGAAATCTTTTTTATATTACTTGCTTTTTTCTACCAACTTTTAGACTCTGCAGAAGTGCTTCTCAGTACCTCTGCAAATGCTGAAGCTGAATTGCATTCTCTGGGTCTTTTTTTCCCTTTTTTCTAGAGTTTAACAGGCTCTTTTCTTTATACAATTTTTTATGCACTTGGAGGGTTAAACAGGCATACCCAGAGTCAGTGTAAATGTTTACAAGTCTTACCTTCACTGAGTTCTAAGGCCCGAATTAAAGCAATGAGCTCAGCTTAACAACAGTGTCCAGGGTTACCACCGCATATTCTGCACCTCTCTCTCCTTGGGGGTTGATGAAGCTGTTCCCGTCCACGTATAGCTCCCAGTCTATTGATGCCCAAGGCTGGTCCTGGAGGTTAGGTCTGCTAGAGTAAATTTGAGTCCAACACCTCTACACAGTTATGCTCGACAGGGCTTTAGCTGCCGGGAGCAAGGTGGTGGGTTCAGGGTGTTTCCAGTTTAGTAGATCAATGGTTGAAAAGGGCTGATAGATGAAAGTCTGTTGTCCCCCCCAACCCCCCGGATGTGGGCCTGGTCATTATAATAGACAGGTCCTCGTGTCTCCCTGAGAGGCATTTGCATAGCCTCTCAGATCTGAGATGGCCCACTTGACTATCTTGATTTCCTTCCTTGGTCTCTCGAAGCTCCGATCCTCCCCTTCAAGGTAAAACCTGGAGCGTGTTAGCTCCTGAATCTCATTTCTGAGGGGGTTGTTGGCCTCAGTAAAGCGGGGTAGGCTGGGATATATGGAGAAAGAATTTCTGTTATCTCTGGCGGCTCCCGCAAAACTGGCTTCTCTTGCTGTTTCTGGGACTCCCTTTTTAACTCTGTCTGCCGGCGAAGCTGCTCTTTTACTTTTGGCTTTTTTGCAATAAGCTGTTCAACAGGGCTAAATTTATGCTGGTTTTGCCTATATTATATTTAACCATGAGTCAATATAAAGGAATTTGATCTAGGTACACTGGCTGCCCTCTGACCCCTGTCACCACCTTAAATACATGGCCAATAGTTCCCTGTCTATAGTTCCTTCGGTGGGCCATCTAACACCAAAAGAGGGCAATTCTAATTCACACAGAGTTCTTAACCTCTAGGGGGTTAACTTAACTCTATAATCTCCCACAGAACCTTTCCTAAGGTTCTGTAACATGCATTTTAATAGAGTAAGTTTTGATGCTTTGATGACTTTCCTTTTATTTTTCTTTTTGAAATTTTTTAACATAGTTCCTAGCGGAGTGGGCTTACTTTGTGTCTGACCTATTTTTCTCTTGAAACAAAAAAAATTCACACTACAAGAAGGAAAGGGTAAAAGGTCACTCACTCGTCTAATTCACACTAAATCAAAATCAAAACTAAAACCAAAGTGTTGTTAAAGGCACACCTGTTCGTCAAGCAATTTATGCCAAGTCAAAATCAGAACCAAAACCAAAGTACCAATAAAGGCATGCCTGTTTATCAAGCAATTCAAGTCAAGTCAAAATCAAGGTTAAAACCAAAGTATCAAGCAATTCAAGTCAAGTCAAAAACAAAAACCAAAGTGCCAGTACAGACACGCTGTGGGTGATCAGGCCACGCTTCCACTCAAACGGAGTGGGCAAGTTCCAAAGACCAGTCTTACCAAGTTTCAGATGTCCGGACTCCAAGTGCCTGTTCCTTCCCGGTGTTCAGCCACTGCGTTGATCCTCCACCGGGGCCTGCCACGCGCTGCTCTGGCAAGGCGTTCCACTGGGGCAAATGCCTACCCGGGAGCACTCTCAGGATCCGCATTGCTCAAGCCGGAGTCCCCCACAGGGATGCTCTACAGAGCATGCATAAGCTGCCTAAGGGGCTACCTCGACCGTCAGTTAATCACCTCATTTCCCGGTCAGGGAACCAAGAAATGTAGCAGGACGAGCCACAGACGAAACTCCTCAGACACCGAATTAAAGAAGGAAGAGGTTTTTATTCGGCCGGGAGCATCAGCAGACTCATGTCTTAAGAGCCGAGCTCTCCGAAAAAGAAATTCTTGGCCTTTTTAAAGGCTTACAACTTTAAGGGGTCCATGTGAAAGGGTCGTGATAAATCGAGCAAGCGTGGGAAATGTGACTGGAGGCTACATGCATCAGCTAACAGAACAAAAAGTTTTACAGCGCTTTTTTCATACAGTGTCTGGAATTTACAGATAACACAGGTAGTTTAGGTCAGGGGTTGATGTTACTATTATTACTTTTTTTAACTCCTAGGGCCAGGTGGTGGTGCCAAGGTTGTCTGGCTATTTATCTTACTTTTGTTTTTTTCCAACTTTTTGCTTTTTATCTCCTCCTGTCTTGTGAACTAGGCAAGGTGGGGGGAGGAGGGCAGCAGGAGTAGTAGTGGTCTCCTTCCTTAAGACTAAGGGCCAGCATGCACACTGGAAGAATGGGGTGGAGCCACCAGGAATTCATGCCTAATGCTGGAGAGGAGCCACGCCTTTTCAACTTGCATGTGATGGCCTTGTATTCAATTTGTGAGGTGGATACCTGCATATAGGACCCTCCTTTTGCTTAATAAATTCCGCCCTCCTCACCTTTCTTTTCTTTTTTTTGAGACTGAGTCCTGCTCTGTTGCCCATGCAGGAGTGCAATGGCATGCTCTTGGCTCACTGCAAAACTCTGCCTCCCAGGTTCAAGTGATTCTCCTGCCTCAGCCTCCTGAGTAGCTGGGACTACAGGCATGTACCACCATGCCTGGCTAATTTTTTGTATTTTTAGTAGAGATGGGGTTTCACTAATTTGCCCAGGCTGGTCTTAAACTCCTGACCTCAAGTATCTGCCCACCTCAGCCTCCCAAAATGCTGAGATTACAAGTGTGAGCCACCGCACCTGGCACCATCCTCACCTTTCAATGTTTCTGCGTGCCTAATTTTTCTGGATTTAGCTGAACCAAGGAACAAAAAATTCTGCATCATTAGTTGTGCTGGCTTCCACTTGTGCCTGCCAGTATCCCACATTTACATTTAATCTTGGGTTCCCAAAGACAGGAACCCCATGAGACCAGGCCACACAGTGCTTCCACAGCACACCTTTCTGTAAAGACATTCCCCTGAGGCTAGTGGGCAACCCAATGCAAATCAGCCCACTCTGTGATCAGCTCATCTTCCATCAGAGTCTTAACCATTGGTAGTGAATGTTCCCACAACCTCCAGGTGTTCAAACCTGCCTTTTAATCTAAGTGCGTAAAGAACAAATAGCCCATTGCAATAATAATCATTCACTACAACCCTGTCAGCCACTTTCCAGGTTTTGCCAGTGACTCGTCAGCCACTGCACACGCAAAAGTCAAGTTCTCTCTCATAGTAAAAAGTAATTCCTGGTACCCCAAAAGCCAAAGATCAGGTACTACTTTTAACAGCTCTTGGCCTGGCACAGTGGCTCATGCCTGTAATCCCAGCACATTGAGAGGCCGAGGCGGGCAGATCACCTAAGGTCAGGAGTTCAAGACCAGCCTGGCCAACATGTTGAAACCGTGTCTCTACAAAAATACAAAAATTAGCCGGGCATCATGATGGGTGCCTGTAATCCCAGCTACTCGGGAGGCTGAGACAGGAGAATTGTTTGAACCCAGGAGGTGGAGGTTGCAGTGAGCCGAGATCGCACCACTGCACTCCAGACTGGGTGACTGAGACTCCATCTCAAAAAAAAACAACAACAAAAAACAGCTCTTAGAATTCTTCATTAGTTACAATTTTGTTTCCTCCGTGGCAATATGAATTGCAATTTGTGAATTAAAAACATTAGAATTTGAAAAAATTTTGGCTGGACATGGTAGCTTATGCCTGTAATCCCTAGCACTTTGGGACGCCGAGCGAGGCAGGCAGATCACCTGAGGTCTGGAGTTCAAGACCAGCCTGACCAACATGGTGAAACCCCTTCTCTACTAAAAAAATACAAAAATTAGCCCAGTGTGGTGGCGCATGCCTGTGGTCCCAGCTACTCAGGAGGCTGAGGCAGGAGAATCGCTTGAACCCGGGAGGCAGAGGTTGCAGTGAGCCAAGATCATGCCACTGTACTCCAGCCTGGGTGACAGAGTGAGACTCAGTCTCAAAAAATAAATAAATAATAATAAATAAAATAAAATAAAATTCAAAATTATCTGGACATCTGAATTTTATCTGACATGCCCTTTCATCATATTGCTATATCCTTTGTCTTTCCTCAATTATATTTTATCAAGAAGGCCTTTTCCAACCATTTTATTTAGTATGGCTCCCCCACCTCCACTTCTCTCATAAATTGTTCTGGCCCTAGCACCAGCATACAGCATAGTTTCCTGTTTATTTGCTTAGTGTCTGTCTCCTTCAGTATAGAATGTAATCTTGTGGCGGTCATGGTGGCTAACACCTGTAATCCCAGTACTTTGGGAGGCTGAGGCACGTGGATCATTTGAGGTCAGGAATTCAATACCAGCCTGACCAATGTGGTGAAACCCTATCTCCACTAAAAATACAAAAAAATTAGTCTGGCATGGTGGCACAAGCCTGTAGTCACAGCTACTCAGGAGACTGATGCAGGAGAATTGCTAGAACCCGGGAGACAGAGGTTGCAGTGAGCTGAGATCGCACCACTGCACTCCAGCCTGGGCGACAGAGTGAGACTCCATCTCAAAAAAAATAAAGTAATCTTGTGAGGGCAGGATTTTGATGCTATGTTCACCACTGACTCCAAAATGGCACATAGCGGGCTCTCAGTAGATATCTATTGAACAAATGGAAGCATAAATAAACAAGCAATGCTACACTTGCTTTCTCCAGCACCATGGGAGCAGATCCAGGGAGCAGACAGGGAAAGAAGGCTACAGCCCCTGCCCCCTGGTGGAGCTGGAAGAATCAATAATTTTCATTTATTTATTCATCTAATGTGCTTTGCACGCTCCCTATCTGCCAGGATCAGCTTGTTGCCAGGGATACCGGGTAAACAATCCCATAAGGTTCCTGTGGTCTGGAGGAAGAAACAGACATTAACGCACAATAGGGAGATGGTTACTTAATTATAGTGGTGAACTGTCAATGAAGGAAAAGCAAAAAAAAAAAAAAGGTCTAACCTGGTATAGGGGTCAGGGGAGACTTCCTCAAGGAAGGGATATGGAGTTGAGGCCTGAGGCTGAGCATGAATTAACTGGAGGCAGAGCTCTGTGGGTGGAGATGTCATTCCAAGCAGGAAGCCCGGTTAATGCAGGTACCTTGATAGAAGGAAGGCCAGGGTGAGGAAAAAGGCCGGGTTACAGGCAGTTACTAGGAACCTTGTGGCCTGACTTGTTGCTGAGGAGGAAGCAATAGCCAGCTCAGAGGGCCTTGTAGTTCAGGTGATGCCCCATTTCTGTGTTAGTCTATTTTTGCGTTGCTATAAAGAAATACCTGAGGCTGGGTAATTTATACAGAAAAGAGGTTTAATTTGGCTCACAGTTTAGTAGGCGCCAGGAAGCATGGCGCTGGCATCTGCTCCTGGTGAAGGCTCAGGGAGCTTTCAATCATGGCGGAAGGTGAAGGAGGAGCAGGTGTGTCACATGGTAAGAGTGGGACAGAGAGACAGAGACAGGGAGAGAGAGAGTGCAAGAGAGAGCAAAGGAGGGAGGAGGAGCCAGCCTTCCTTAAACAGCCAGCTCTCATGTGAACTAACAGAGTAAGTACTCACTCATCACCACGGGGAGGACACCAAGCCATTCATGAGGGATCCGCCCCCAAGACCCAGACACCTCCCACCAGGCCCCACCTCCAACACTGGGAATCGCATTTCTTTTTCTTTGTTTTTTAATTTTGTACTTTAAGTTCTGGGATACATGTGCAGAACATGCAGGTTTGTTACATAGGTATACATGTGCCATGGTGGTCTGCTGCACCTATCAACCTGTCATCTAGGTTTTAAGCCCCACATGCATTAGGTATTTGCCCTAAAGCTCTCCCTCCCCTTACTCCTCCCCCATAGACCCTGGTGCGTGACATTCCTGTCCCTGTGTCCATGTGTTCTCATTGTTCAACTCCCACTTATGAGTGAGAACATGTGGTGTTTGGTTTTCTGTTCCTGTGTTAGTTTGCTGAGGATAATGGCTTCCAGTTTCATCCATATCCCTGCAAAGGACATGAACTCATTCTTTTTTATGGCTGCATAGTATTCCATGTTGTATATTTGCCACATTTTCTTTATTCAGTCTATTATTGATGGACATTTGAGTTGGTTCCAAGTCTTTGCTATTGTAAATACTGCTGCAATAAACATACATGTGCATTTGTCTTTTTTTTTGAGTCAGAGTCTCGCTCTGTCGCCCAGGCTGGAGTGCAGTGGCAAGATCTCAGCTCACTGCAAACTCCGCCTCCCAGGTTCAAGCAATTCTCCTGCCTCAGCCTCCCGAGTAGCTGGGATTACAAGCGCACGCCACCATACTCGGCTAATTTTTTGTATTTTTAGTAGAGAAGGGGTTTTGCCATGTTGTCCAGGCTGGTCTCAAACTCCCAGCCTCATGATCTGCCTGCCTCAGCCTCCCAAAGTGCTGGGATTACAGGTGTGAGCCACAATGCCTAGCCATGTGTCTTTATAGTAGAATGATTTATATTCCTTTGAGTATATGCCCCATGGGAGGGAATCACATTTCAACATGAGATTTGGAGGGGACACACATCTGAACCACATCACACAGCATATTCCCAACTCCAGCTCCCTCCTCTCCACAAGAATGTAGGATACCCATCACTCCCAGGATCAGCTTCCTTGAGCCCAATCCTCTGTAACTCACTGAGATGCTATGAAGTGCCTGGTAGGTGCCACACTGTGCCACAGTCATGCTCCAAGACAGTGTGGAGTGAGGGCCAGAGGGCCAGGAGGCAGGATTGGTTTGGAGACATTGCCTTTCTTCAAACCTCAGTTTCCTCTTAAATCAAATAAATGATTGCAGAAGATAAGCTCATATTAATTCCATTTCTAGGAAAAATCTGTGTTCCAAACAGTAGCACTGACTAATGGAAAGTACAACTGGCTGTTTCCCTTGAACAGTGGGTTTATTGTTGTTTTTCCAATTATAAAAGTAATAAGATTATTTGTAAACTATAGAACAGTAGAAAAAGTTTCTTGAATGAGATTTGGTTTTCAATCAGGGCAAATAAAGACTTTTCTGGGATTAAGAGGGCTGTTTCTTCTCCATTACTTTATACGGACCCGTACTGGGGACTTGTCAGCTGTTCAAGTACAACGCACCCAGTTTTGGTTCTGTACCAGGATTAGGCCTACAATATTTCAGAATTCATATACAAACCCCAATAAAGTGTTAAAGGAGATGACTGCCCTATAACCTATGTTTTGCTGAATGTTTACTATGAGGTTTTTTTTTTACCATCCTCATGAGTATGGTATTGTAACTGAAACTCTCCAGGAAAATTCCTCTGCTTAAAACTAAAAATCAAGTGTATCTCAGGAAACTCTACTGTCCCATCTGAAATGCCTCTGTTGTGTGTTGTCTGCAAAGGTGGAGTCTCCCTGTTTTGTTCAGGCTGGTCTCGAACTCCTGGGTTCAAGGAAATCTCTCTCCTCACCCTCCTGTGTAGCGGGGACTGTAGGCACCTGGCTGTGGTGGATACTATTAAGCCAAATTCCAGTCAGCATCCTCTTTTCAATGAAGTTGAAAGGAGAGATGATGAAACTGGCAGTGTTACTGAATGGGAAATAAAGGTGGGAATACACATTGTGAGTGAAGACACGGAAGTAACTTCTGCAATACAACCTTGTAAGAGTCTTAATGCTACACTCCTTTGTTTATCAAATGATGTACCTTTATCGTAAGGGAAGAACCTGGGCCATTCCCTCTGGTGTTGAGAGGCAATTTGGAAACTCTGCCATTTCTTAGGACTGAGTATTTAATATACTATTTTGTGGAAATCTGAGAGGCAGAAATGGGATTTAATGATCTCAACTGTCATCCATCTAAAAAACCTAATTTGCAATTTTAAATAAAATGGCATGTTGCCTTCTACTATTCTCTTTTTGTTTTTTGAGACGGAGTCTTGCTCTGTCACCCAGGCTGGAGTGCAGTGGCACAATCTCAGCTCACTGCAACCACTGCCTCCTGGGTTCAAGCGATTCTCCTGCCTCAACCTCCCGGGTAGCTGGGATTACAGGCACACGCCACTATTCTAGGCTAATTTTTTTATTTTTTGAGACGGAGTCTCGCTCTTTGCCCAGGCTGGAGTGCAGTGGTACAATCTCAGCTCACTGCAACCTCTGCCTCCTGGGTTTAAGCGATTCTCCTGCCTCAGCCTCCTGAGTAGTGGGATTACAGGTGCGCACCACCACGCCTGGCTAATTTTTGTATTTTTAGCAGAGACGGGGTTTCACCATGTTGGCCAGGCTGGTCTCAAACTCCTGACCTCAGGTGATCTGCCTGCCTCAGCCTCAGCCTCCCAAAGTGCTGGCGTGAGCCACGGCTCCCAGCCTACTATTCCCCTTTTAAAACAGGAACCAACCCTGCATTTAATTTTATGAAGTCTGATTTATTTATTTATTTATTTATTTATTTATTTATTTAGAGATGGAATCTCATTCTGTCACCCAGGCTGGAGTGCGGTGGCGCAATCTCGGCTCACTGCAACCTTTGCCTCCTGGGTTCAAGCGATTCTCCTGCCTCAGCCTCCCGAGTAGCTGGGACTAAAGGTACCTGCCACCACGACTGGTGAATTTTTGTATTTTTAGTAGAGATGGGGTTTCACGATGCTGGTCAGGCTGTTCCACTATGTTGGCCAGGCTGGTTTCAAACTCCTGACCTCAGGTGATCCGCCTGCCTCGGCCTCCCAAAGTGCTGGGATTACAGACGTGAGTCACTCTGCCCAGCCGAAGTCTTATTTATGAACAAAATTTGTGTTATTAAAAAGAAAGTAGTCAGGTACGGTGGCTCATGCCTGTAATCCCAGCACTTTGCAGGGCTGAGGCGGGTGGATTGCCTGAGGTCAGGAGTTCGAGACCAGCCTGGCCAACATAGTGAAACCCCATCTCTACTAAAAATACAAAAAATTAGCTGGGTGTGATGGCGGGCACCTGTAATCCCAGCTACTAGGGAGGCTGAGGCAGGAGAATCGCTTGAACCTGGGAGGCGGAGGTTGTGGTAAGCCACGATTGCACTCCAGCCTGGGCAACAAGAGTGAAACTCCGTCTCAACCAAACAAACAAAGTAGAAAAAAATAAAATTTTCTCTGTCTCATTATCCAAAGATAACTAGTATTAAAATGTCTCACTGTATACATTACTCTTGTTTTTTTTTTTTTGTTTTTTTTTTTTGTTTTTGAGATGGAGTTTCACTCTTGTTGCCCAGGCTGGAGTGTGGAGTGCAATGGCATGATCTCAGGCCACTGCAACCTCCACCTCCCAGGTTCAAGTGATTCTCCTGCCTCAGCCTCCCGAGTAGCTGGGATTACAGGTATGCGCCACCACGCCTGGCTAATTTTTTGTATTTTTAATAGAGACAGGGTTTCTCCATGTTGGTCAGGCTGGTCTCGAACTTCCAACCTCAGGTGATCCTCCAGCCTTGGCCTCCCAAAGTGCTGGGATTACAGGCATGAGCCACCACGCCCAGCCATACATTACTCTAGTTTTAACACAGCCATCATCGAACTCTATATTAAATACTGAGTTTAGTTGTTTTCATTTATTTCAACAATAATCATTTGGCTTTATTATAATGAGTTTTTCATGATTACAGTACTATTTCACAGTACTATTCTCCTATAGTTGAGTGTTTTAGTATCATTTTTTACATTATTAATAATATTGCAATTGGTATTTTGGTACAGAAAGCTTTTATTGTACTTAGAATTATTTCCTTAGGCTAGAGTCCCAGAACAAAGATCAAAAAGTACAAACATTTTTAAGGTTCTTGACACTTTAAAAATGACTTTCCAGCAGGGCACGGTGACTCATGACTATAATCCCAGCACTTTGGGAGTCCAGCAGTTTGAGAGCTGCCTGGGCAACATAGCAAGAACCTGCCTCTGTTATTTAAAAAAAAAAAAAAAAGATTTAAAAAATTACTTCCCAAAAGCATTTGCTAGTATACATGCCCACTGGCAATATAAGTCTCTGTCTCTTGTAATTATTTTTTGAAAATATCTGCAATTTATTGGGGTGGAAGATTTTCTGAGGTGGTGTCATATTTTGGGATGGTGTGTCCCGAGCCCCAACAGAACATATTCTGAATCCAAAACCTCAAAATTGGCTAAGACCCAAAATGTTGGTCATTTGCATTTGGCAGATTAAATGAAACAAATCACCTTTCCCCCACTGACAATTCCCCATCAGGGATCACCAAGGGCCAGAAAAAGGCCAGGGACTCTGGTAGAAGTCGGGTACAGTGAGGTCATCGCAAATGGCTTTTTTCCGGGCTCTGTCACAACCTGGGAGAATATTCCTAGGGATGACAGAGCTGGGGAGGGCACACCCAGATTCTGTTTCTTACCCTCCTTCCGGCACTGCAGGTAAGAACTGTGGTTTTGATCTGTAAATGACTTGATGATGAACATCTCCAGTGGAAGTGGGCAGTCTAGGCCGAGGCTCACTAGGGGAGAGAGGCAGGCCTGAGGGAAGGTGAGAGGCACCAATGTCAGCATGACAAAGGATACTCCTCTGTCGCAGCAAGGCTTGGCAAGTGCCTCCCACAGCAAAAGGCTTCTACAAAGCTGGCAGCATCCAAAAGTCAGCATCAAACTTAAGCAAACAGAAAGAGGTTATTTAATTCCCTTTAACTAATGTGTATCTATATGGGTATATATATATATATGTGTGTGTGTGTGTGTGTGTATATATATATATATAAATGTTAAGAGGGGTTATTTCTGAATTTCTGAGATGATGAGTCATCTTTATATTCTTCTTTATACTGGTATATTATTTGTAAATTTCTAAAATAAACAACTACCATTTTCAAATTGAAAACATCCAGACTCCATAAATCATTGTAAAAATACTTTAAGTGAAAACTCAATTGGAAGGAAATTCTAGTTAAATATGGCAGATGAAACATCAGAATTTATTTCTTCTTCCTACTTGAAACATCACTAATGTTAACAAAAGTATTAAAGCAGGCATAAATCCAAAAGACAAAGAAATAGGAGAAAGAAGATGACAATAGCTTGGAGATGTCCACAAAGTAGAGGAAGCCAAAAAGTAAGGCACAGAGAACTAGCACTACACAGAGAAAGCTGCCGCTGGCCAGGCGCTGTGGCTCACGCCTGTAATCCCAGCACTTTGGGAGACTGAGGCAGGTGGATCACAAGGTCAGGAGTTCGAGACCAGCCCAGCCAACATGGTGAAACCCCATCTCTACTAAAAATACAAAAATTAGCTGGGTGTTGTGGCGTGCACCTGTAATCCCAGCTACTTGGGAGGCTAAGGCAGGAGAATTGCTTGAAGCCAGGAGGTGGAGGATGTAGTGAGCCGAGATTGTACCACTGCACTCCAGCCTGGGCAATAGAGCAAGACTCTGTCTGTGGTGGGGGAGTGGCAGGGAAGAGAAAGCTGTTCCTTATGGCTGCTGCAGGGCCTGGAAGTCGAGGAGTCCAGTGGGAAGGAACAGGCACAGGGGAGGGCAGGATGGGGCTAACAGCAGGACTGCTTGTTAGTCTGTTTAGAAGCAGGCTGTGCCCCATAGAACAGGGCCTGACCCATCTAGATGCTTAATAAACATTTGTTAATGATGCTTAATAAACATTTGTTAATGAGTGGGTGAAAGGGTAAAGGAATGGCCTTCCAGTTGGAACTGAGGCCTCTCTGGTTGCCCTGTTGAGAGGGCACATCAGAAGAACCTTTCCACATTGAGACATTGAATCTGTGCCCCCAGGGCCAAGACCACATTATGGTACTGGCACTCAAGGGCTAAATGCACACGCACCCCGTGTTCAGTGTCAAGCCTCCCTTGGTGTGGCTGCTGCTGCTGCCCCCTGCCCTCAGCCCATAGGAAGAGCCCAAGGAAATGGCTGGGACAGAGGGAAGAGGAACAGCTGGGGCTGGGAAGCAAGGATGAAACTTGGCTGACTGCACCTTCAGTGCAGACCTCTGCATGTGACCCTGTTCCTAAGCCCAAATGCACAGGGGCCTTGAGCATCTGTGGACGGGACACCACGGAAGCACGCACGCCCCTCTCCTTTCCTGCTGGAGGATGGACCTCTCTCTCCCAAGCCAGGCTTCCCTGCCTTCAATGATTCTGGACGAGCACTGCACCAGCCACTTGCCCTAGGGAGGGGATTGTTTCACAGACCCTTGACACCTAACAAACAGTCCTGCTCCCACCTAGGGGGACCCACATTTATCAAATACTGTCTTTAATTTACACTGGTTGCATTCTCTCTGCCAGCCTGTGAGGAAAAACCATTTTCCCAGTCTGAGGAAATGGAGGCTCCGATAAGCTAAATAACAACCCCCAGTCCAGTCTCTGCACCTGGGCCTGGCAAAGATTCCTCCGAGAGCTTTCCAGATTCCACACTTGCTGACTGTGGCTTCCTCTAGGCAGGGCACTGGCTAGCCCTGGGGACACTCAAAGGTAAATGGGCCTTGTTTTTTCCTTCCAGGAGTTTGCTTATCTTAGAAGAGACTGGAAAGTAGCCAAGTGGCTACAGAGCACGAGTCAGAATAGGGTCACTGTTGTAGGAGCACAAAGGAGAGAAAGAAATTCAGGTAGGGCTGGCAGGAAGAGTTCAGGGACCTTTCTAAGGAAGGAGAACTCCTGCTGACTCTTGGGAGAAAGAAGGGCTCTCCAAGCAGTTTGGCAAGGAAGTCCATCCGGTGCAGGGGGACACACGTCAGTCATGGTCAGCTGGGACAAGCTGGAGGGCAGCCTCAGAGGCTAAGGGCTGGTAGGGCAGGGGCTGAACCTTAGGCAGCTTCCCTGGCAGCACTTGTAGTCCAGCTTCTAGGAGGCAGAGTCTGGGTGGGAACACCTGAGGATGAGGAGGTATTAGAGCAGAAACCAGAGCTGGGCAGCGGGAACAGAGAGGAAGACCAACAGGAAGGACACTGCTGAGGGAAAGACAGAAGACTGTGGACAGGGAGAGGGCAGGGGAGAAAGGCCCAAAGGAGGCCCTGCCTTCGGGCCACCAGGAAACAAGAGGCACCCTATCCTGTTCTGTAGTGGGTGGGTTTTAAAGCTCTGTGTGTTAATTTCCTATCCAAAAGTCCTTTTAAAAAATAGATCATAATCCCAGCACTTTGGGAGGCTGAGGCGGGTGGATCACCTGAGGTCGGGAGTTCGAGACCAGCCTGACCAACATGGAGAAACCCTGTCTCTACAAAAAATGCAAAATTAGCTGGGTGTAGTGGTGCATGCCTGTACTTCAGCTACTCGGGAGGCTGAGGCACGAGAATTGCTTGAACCCGGCAGGCGGAGGTTGCAGTGAGCCGAGATCATGCCATTGCACTCCAGCCTGGGCAACAAGAGCAAAACTCCGTTTCGAAACAAAAAAATAGACCAACGAGGCTAGGCTCGGTGGCTCACGCCTGTAATCCCAGCACTTTGGGAGGCCAAGGTGGATGGATCACCTGAGGTCAGGAGTTCGAGACCAGCCTAGCCAACATGATGAAACCCCGTCTCTACTAAAAATACAAAAATTAGTCGGGCATGGTAGCACACACCTGTAATCTCAGCTACTCAGGAGGCTAAGGCAGGAGAATTCTTGAACCCGGGAGGCGGAGGTTGCAGTGAGCCGAGATTGTGCCACTGCACTGCAGCCTGGGAGACAAAGCAAGACTCCGTCTGAAAAAAAAAAAAAATAGACCAGTGAGTGGATAAACAAAATGTGGTATATACATACAATGGAATATTATTCAGCCTGAAAAAGCAAGGAGATTCTGACACGTGCTACTACACGGATGAACGTTATGAACATTGTGATAAGTGAGATAAGCCAGACACAAAAGGACACATCCTGTATGATTCCACTTACATGAGGTCCCTAGAGTAGTCAAATTTGTAGTGATAGAAAGTAAGATGGTGGTTGCCAGGACCTGAGAGGAGAGGGGAACGGGAAGTGAGTGTTTAATGGGCGCAGAGTTTCAGTTGGAGAGTGTGAAAAAGTTCTGTGGATGGGTGGTGGTGATGGTTGCACAACAGTGCGAAGGTACTTAATGCCACTCAACTGCACACTTAAAAATGGTTAAGATGCTACATTTTAGGCTAGGTGCGGTGGCTCATGCCTATAATCCCTGCACTGTGGGAGGCTGAGGCAGGTGGGTAGCTTGAGCTTAGAAGTTCAAAACCAGCCTGGGTCCAGGCACAGTGACTCATGCCTGTAATCCCAGCACTTTGGGAGGCCGAGGCAGGTGGATCACCTGAGGTCAGGAGTTCGAGACCATGCTGGCCAGCATGGTGAAACCCCGTCTCTACTAAAAATACAAAAATTGGCCGGGCATGGTGGTGGGCGCCTATAATTCCAGCTACTCAGCAGGCTGAGGCAGGAGACTCGCTTGAACCCAGGAGGCGGAGATTGTAGTGAGCCAAAATCATGCCATTTCACTCTAGCCTGGGAGAAAGAGCGAGACTCTGTCTCAAAACAAACAAACAAACAAACCCCACCAACCTGGGTAACATGGTGAAACCTTGTCTCTACAAAAAAAATACAAAAATTAGCTGGGCGTGGTGGTATGCACCTGTAGTCCCAGCTACTTCAGAGGCTGAGGTGGGAGGACGGTTTGAATCCTGGAGGTGGAGGCTGCAGTGAGCAGAGATGGTTCCACTGTACTCCAGCCTTGGCAACAGAGTGAGACCCTGTCTCAAAAAAATATGCATTTTAGGTATATTTACCCCACACACACACATACAAATAGGCCAGTGCAAGATGAGCCAGAAGAGAGCTGCTTCGTTCAGTCTGAGTGACTAAGAGTGATGATGCCATCCACCCAGACAGGAAGCAGACCGGGTGAGCGGGTTTGTGGGGAGAGATGAGGTCAGCTCTCAGAGGTGACAACGCTCCTAATGATCAAACCCTCAGTAGAGGCCCACTGTGCCCGCATGGGAGGTGCTTTGCCCCCACCTCCCTCAGCCTTGCAAGGTGAAGGCTCTTGCTTTCATTTCACAGGGAAGCTAACGGTGTTTAGCCAGTATGACCCAGATTTGTCCAGCCCACTGTGCCTGTCTGGGTTCGGGTGCTGAGGGCCATTCCTTGTGATGCGGCCAGCAAGCAAGGGGCGACCTGGAGCTGAGAGAGGAGGTGAGAGTCAGAGGAGCTGCAACATTTCCTGCACTGAGATCCTGGTAAAGCCACAGGCATGGCTTGGCCCCCGCAGGAAGGAAGCAAGAGGGAGAGAAGGGGGAAGCCCTACATGTAAGACACTCTCTCTACTGAGTCCTGCCGATCACAGCAGCTCCTCCTGGAGAAATGTCCACCCCAGTGTCGCCAAGTTAAGACCTCGGCCTTGCTCAGCACCTGCCCAGCAGCTGATGCTAGGACCTCTGCCAAGCATGAGGAGAGGAGCCAGCTCAGAGTGACTCATTGTACATCAGCCTGGCTCCATGGATCCGGATCAACGCCCTGGACCTCACCTGGCAGTGAGGAACCAGTGGGAAGAGAGGTGCGTGCTGGACTCCACTGGACAGCACGTAGTCTCTCGGTGGAAGCAAAGACACCAGCCTTGCACCGAGCCAGCCCAGCCAGGGAAGAGTGGAGAGGAGGCAAGGCTGGGGGCTGGTGGGTGACTGTGTAATTCCCAAGCCAGGTGAAAATCTGTACAGGTTTTGAGGAGGAGGTCACTTCTCAGCTCCAAATAATAGAAGCATCCAGAAGGAAATAACCAGAGGCTTCTGCCAATTGATCTGGAGACTGGGAAAAGGTCCCACAGTTATTAATAACCTCTGTGTTCTGGGAACTGATTTCATGCACCAGACAAAGGGATTAAAAAGTTGCTGGTGAAGGCAAAGTGGTTTCAGCCAAAGCTCTCCTTTCTGTCTCCCAATAAATGAGCATTTTTCTCCACAGAAACCCTTAGAGCTGATTGGCCCTTTGACAAATCTGGTGAGCTGGGAGCTGTGTGGCTGATTGGCATATTTTGATAACCACTCTGTCGTCGTGAAGCACTTTCTTCCGGCAACCCCCATTTCACTCGCTCTGAGTATGGGGGTGAAAACAGTTGCTTCTGTAGCTTCTGAAAAAAAGCTGAGGATGGAGCCCACTCCTGGCCTGAGCCCTTAGAAGCATGTCCTATAGGAATCCTGGAAGAGAGACACTATATTAATTAATCCTTCAAAGTTAATGCAATGAACTTCAACTCGTACAACAGAGTTGTGGTGATGCTGTTACACAGCTGCCCTTCACAGGTATTGGGCCCACTCAGTAAGGGGATACAAATAAATAGGTTAAGATCTGAGAGACTGTTAGAGAGACGGCTTCCTGTAGAGACAGTGTTAGAAACCACAGTCAGGGCTGGGCACGGTGGCTCACGCCTGTAATCCCAGCACTTTGGGAGGCCAAGGCTGGCGGATCATGAGGTCAGGAGTTCAAGACTAGCCTGGCCAACATGGCGAAACCCTGTCTCTACTAAAAAAAATACAAAAATTAGCCAGGCGTGGTGGCAGGTGCCTGTAATCCCAGCTACTCGAGAGGCTGAGGCAGGAGAATCACTTGAACCTGGGAGGTGGAGGTTGCAGAGAGCCAAGATTGTGCCATTGCTCTCCAGCCTGGGCGACAAGAGACAAGAGCAAGACTCTGTCTCAAAACAAACAAACAAACAAACAAACAAACAAAAAAACCAAAGTCAGCACAGTTAGTTTGCTCACTTACTAAACTATGAGCAACTTGAAGGAAGGGTAAGTGTCTCACCCATATCCATACCCATATCTGACAGTGCCCATCAAGATTAGCTGCTTTGTAAATTAATAATAATTGAATGCTGTTGTGACATGGTGTTATTTCAAAAGACAACCAGCCACTACTTACAACTCCATTCCTGTGATAATATATTTCCTGGTCTCAGCCAAGGAGATAAGAACTGAAACTGCCTTTGCAAAATTATGACTGAGACAGTGAAAGAGATCTAACTTCACCGACTCCATCTTCCTTCTAACTTCTAAGCTATCCTTGTTCTTTCCTGGGCATAGGCTAAACTAACTTTGGGAGAAACTTAGTTTATAGTTTAAACAAAGATGGTAACAGCCCTTTCCCAAGCTGACCTCCTTCTTGCCTGAGGACTAGATTGCCTTTGTAGTACTAACACTAGCTACAAGATTAGAAATTGTGGTTTAGGAGTCATGCAGCTGGAGGCTACAAGATTCTGACCCTCCCTACCCTGCTCCTAAGATCAGTGCCTGAGATATTCTTCAGACCCTGCACTTGATGGATCAGCTGGCACCACCCAGATCAATAAACTGGCTCATCTGATCTTGTGGTCCCCATCCATGAACTGACTCAGCACAAGAAGACAGCTTCCACTCCCTATGATTTCATCTCTGACCTGCCCAATCAGCACTCTTGGCTCACTGGCTTCCCCTCACCCACCAAATTATCTTTAAAAGCTCTGCATGGCCAATGCTGGGCACGGTGGCTCACACCTGTAATCCCAGCACTTTGGGAGGCTGAGGCGGGTGGATCACGAGGTCAGGAGATCGAGACCATCCTGGCTAACACGGTGAAACCCCGTCTCTACTAAAAATACAAAAAATTAGTCTGGCGTGGTGGCAGGCGCCTGTAGTCCCAGCTACTTGGGAGGCTGAGGCAGGAGAATGGCGTGAACCCGGGAGGCGGAGCTTGCAGTGAGCCGAGATTGCGCCTCTGCACTCCAGCCTGGGCGACAGAGCGAGACTCCATCTCAAAAAAAAAAAAAAAGCTCCACTCCCCGAATGCTTGGAGAGACTGACTTGAGTAATAATAAAGCTCCAGTCTCCCGCACAGCCAGCTCTGCGTAAATTACTCTTTCTCTATTGCAATTCCCCTGTCTTGATGAATCGGCTCTGTCTAGGCAGTGGGCAAGGTGAACCTCTTGGGTGGTTACAGAAGTATCTCTTGTCTTTGTTCCCACCTGTTCCCATTGGTGGGATCCCCAGTCCCCAAGCACAGTCAGGAGCAGATCTTTGCCAGGCTCTGTGACTCACTCACAGCCCAACACGGGTCAAGTTCACAGTTCGTCTGTGCACTCAGCACATGCAAAGGTAAATTATTCTTTCCTATCCCTATTCCTGCAGCCCCTTTGTCTACTGATATAAATGTTGACCAGAGATTTTCTAACTCCCTCTCAAAGCCTCCAACCTAAATTACTGTAAAAGATGCTTAACTGGCCTTTGGTCCCTTTCAACCTATTTTCCTTTCTGCAGTGAGAGTGCTTTTTTTTTTTTTTTTTTTTTTTTTAAGACTGAGTCTCGCTCTGTTGCCCAGGCTGGAGTGCAGTGGCGCAATCTTGGCTCACTGCAACCTCCTCCTCCCAAGTTCAAGCGATTCTCCTGCCTCAGCCTCCGGAGTAGCTGGAACCACAGGCATGTGCCACCATGCTCGGCTGATTTTTGTATTTTTAGTAGAAACAGGGTTTCTCCATGTTGGCTAGGGTAGTATCGAACTCCTGACCTCAAGTGATCTGCCTGCCTCGGCCTTCCAAAGTGTTGGGATTACAGGTGTGAGCCACCGCACCCGGCCTGATAGTGCTTTTATTCAAACACAATTGGGTTTTAATTCAGCCTCTTGAATAGCTAGGGCTATGGGCACGTGCCACCAAGCCTGGCTTCTGGCAGATTCTTATAAACATACCAGCCGGGCACGGTGGCTCATGCCTATAATCCCAGCACTTTGGGAGGCTGAGGCAGGCGGATCACCTGAGGTCTGGAGTTCAAGACCAGCCTGACCAACATGGAGAAACCCCGTCTCTACTAAAAATACAAAATTAGCCGGGCGTGGTGGCACATGCCTGTAATCCCAGCTACTCGGGAGGCTGAGGCAGGAGAATCGCTTGAACCCAGGAGGTGGAGGCTACGGTGAGCCGAGATGGCACCATTGCACTCCAGCCTGGGCAACAAGAACGAAACTCCGTCTTTAAAAAAAAAAAAAGTAAACATACCTATGACCTAGCATTTCACTCCTGAGTTATCTACTCACAAGAAATGGAAGCGTTCGGCCGGGCGCGGTGGCTCACGCCTGTAATCCCAGCACTTTGGGAGGCCGAGGCGGGTGGATCATGAGGTCAGGAGATCGAGACCATCCTGGCTAACAAGGTGAAACCCCGTCTCTACTAAAAATACAAAAAATTAGCCGGGCGCGGTGGCGGGCGCCTGTAGTCCCAGCTACTCGGGAGGCTGAGGCAGGAGAATGGCGTGAACCCGGGAAGCGGAGCTTGCAGTGAGCCGAGATTGCGCCACTGCAGTCCGCAGTCCAGCCTGGGCGACAGAGCAAGACTCCGTCTCAAAAAAAAAAAAAAAAAAAAAAAGAAATGGAAGCGTTCACAAAAAAACCTGTACTTGTCTTTCACAAAAGTTTCATTTCTAATAGCCAACCACTGGAAACAATCCAAATGCCCACCAATTGGTGAACAAATTGTAGTAATCGATACAGTGGGACACTGCTTAGAAATTTAAAAAAAATGAATTACTGATACAGGTGACATAGATGAATCTCTAAAGCATTACACTAAATGACAGAAACTAGACACAGAACACCACATACTGTATTTACAAGAAAGAACAGAAAGGCAGAACCGTTGTTTCAGAAAGCCGATCAGTGGCTACCTGCAGCTGGGAATGGGGGAAGGGGCTTGACTGCAAAGGGGCAAGAGTGATGGTTGGAGTAATGGTGGTTTTACAACTGTATGGGTTTGTTGAAACCCATTGAATATTTTATTTAAAATTGGTAAACTTTACTGTTTGTAAATTATACTTAAATAAAGTTGATTTAAAAAATAAATAGGCCGAGGCTCAGTGGCTCACGCCTGTAATCCCAGCACTTTGGAGGCCGAGGTGGGCAGATCACAAGGTCAGGAGATCGAGATCATCCTGGCTAACATGGTGAAACCCTGTCTCTACTAAAAATACAAAAAAAAATTTAGCCTGGCATGGTGGCGGGCGCCTGTAGTCCCAGCTACTCGGGAGGCTGAGGCAGGAGAATGGCGTGAACCTGGGAGGCAGAGCTTGCAGTGAGCTGAGATGGCACCACTGCACTCCAGCCTGGGCAACAGTTCGAGACTCCATCTCAAAATAAATAAATAAATAAATAAATAAATAAATAAATAAATAGGCTGGGCATGGTGGCTCACTCCTGTAATCTCAGCACTTTGGGAGGCCAAGGCAGGCACTTGAGGTCAGGAGTTCAAGACCCGCCTGGCCAACATGACAAAACCCTGTCTCTACTAAAAGTACAGAAATTTTACGGGCATGGTGTCAGGCGCCTGTAATCCCAGCTACTCGGAAAGCTGTGGCCGGAATTGCTTGAACCCGGGAGGCGGAGGTTGCAGTGAGCAGAGATCACGCCATTGCACTCTAGCCTGAGTGACAGAGCGAGACTCCAACTCAAAAATAAATAAATAAATAAATAAAGTAAATAAAGCCATATAATAGTGAAAAACCCACCATCTGAAAAAAGACTAAAGAAGTGATAGAGAATTGCACAGCGTGGAGGCTTAAGACGGCCCTCTGGAGGAATCAACTTCCATCCAACAGGGGCTGTGTTTGGTGCAGGAGAGGTAGCCTGGAGGATTGTTCTGAGGCTGTGGTTCTTAAACTTTGGTTGCCATCAGGACAGCTTGGGAACTTGGGAAAAAACAAAGGCCCAGGCCCTATCCTGCTGCCATGAGCCTGGGCCTCTGTGTTCTTGTCAGGCTCTTTCTTAGGCCGTGACCATATTGGACTTCCCTGGTTTCCTCTAAGTCACACTGCCAGTTCCTCCCCAGAGCTTTGTGTGCGTTCTTTCCCTTCCTGGAAGGCTTGGGCCCTTTCCTGCCGCTGGGGTTGGGTTAAGTCCCCTTATCATGTGCTC
The DNA here is from genome assembly GCF_000001405.40 of Homo sapiens. NCBI lineage: Eukaryota > Metazoa > Chordata > Mammalia > Primates > Hominidae > Homo > Homo sapiens. The sequence goes on from NC_000002.12 coordinate 121,705,599, forward strand.
CTGGCTTAGTGCGCCTGCTTTCCATAGCACACAACTTATAATCACTTGTTTGGCATCTGCCTTCCTCATGGGATAGTAAGCTCCATAAGGACAGGGCCCAGGTCACCAATGTGTGGAACGGTGCCTGACACACTGTTCGTTTATCTGTTCTTTGACCACGGTCCTGAAGAAATGCCCAGGAGGATTGACGAGATTGAGGTCAAGATCGTGGCCCAGTGTGTGGCGCTCCAAGCCAGCTCTTCCCCTTTCAAAACCAGAAAAGCCGCATGTTTAGATCGCTCTAGGAGATTCATCTCCATTACGATACAGGTGGGTAATGAGTTTCCCTCATAAACTTTTTTTTTCTTTTCTTTTTTATTTAATTTTCACATCAGATATGTAATGTGCCAAGGTAGTAACAAGGTTTGAGGGAGGCACATCTCACACGAATGTGAAAACTCAAAAGATCTAAACTAAGTTTTGAAACAAATCCACAAGTGGGTTTTTCCTCCACAGGGTAAGATTTTCTCCACATGTTTTGACTTGGGTGCATGGGCGTTGCCTTCCCTGCCTGTGGCCTTCAAAAGACCATGGGTGCGAAGTCCAAGCTTTGACTCTTCTGCCTATGATTCTCTGTCAAATGAGAGGCCAAAATTAAAACCACAATGAGGTATCACTAAACACCCACTAGAGTGGCTAAAATTGAAAATTCTGACTATACAAAATATTGGCAAGGATGTAGAGCGACTGGGACTCCCATACATTGCTGTTGGAAATAGTTTGGCAGGTTCCTATAAAGTTAGAATAAATTTATCATATAACCCAGAGATCCAACTTGTACGTATTTATCCAAGAGAAATAAAAACATATGTTCATTCAAAGCCTTGTATATGAATATTTATAAGTGCTTTATTAATGATAGCATAAAACTGGAAGCAATTAAAATGTCTATCAGCTGGTGAATGGACAAACTGTGCTTCATTCACCTAGCAATAAAAAGAACTACTGATGCATGGATGATGGTCTGTGAAACAGAGAAAAATGAGTCTATGCTGTATGATTCCATTCATATGAAATTATAGAAAAGTTTAGCCAGGCGTGATGGCAGGCGCCTGTAGTCCCAGCTCCTTGGGAGGCTGAGGCAGGAGAATCACTTGAACCCTGGAAGGGGGAAGTTGCAGTGAGCTGAGATTGTGCCACTGCACTCCAGTCTGGGTGGCAGAGTGAGACTCCGTCTCAAAAAAAAAAAAAAAAAAAAGAAATCATAGAAAAGACAAACTATAGGGTCAGAAATGAGATCAGTGGTAGCCTGGAACCAGGGGTTGTGGGAGGAGATTGGCCGCAAAGGAGCATGAGGGAACTTTGGAGTGATGGAATTATTCTGCATTTTGATTGTGGGGCTGGTTGCACAGGTGTATGTATTTGTCAAAATTCATTCAACATCTGGTCATGGTGGGCTCACACCTGTAATCCCAGTGCTTTGAGAGGCCAAGGCGGGCAGATCACCTAGGTCAGGAGTTTGAGACCAGCCTGGCCAATGTGGTGAAACCCCGTCTCTACTAAAAGTACAAAAGTTAGCCGGGCATGGTGGCATATGCCTGTAGTCCCAGCTATTCGGGAGGCTGAGGCAGAATTGCTCAAACTGGGGAGGCAGAGGTTGCAGTGAGCTGAGATCACACCATTGCACTCCAGCCTGGCGACAGAGCGAGACTTCGTCTCAAAAACAAACAAAAAGTTTGTTTTGTTTTTAAGGCCTACTTCAATGCAAGCAGAACAAATTTTTAATCTCCGAAAACATGGCTTTTGAAAGGAAACAATAAAAACTCTGCCACTGGGCTAGTGTTACCTGCTTAAAGGATCTGGTGGCTGAATGAAGGTCATTATATCATCAGAGAAAGCCCTCACTTCCTGACACAGTAGCATCTGTGAGGAACAATTAATTGCAACCCTATACCCCCCGCACAAGTGATTTTTATGGTCTCACAACCCCAGGTTGTTAAAATGAGAGGTCAACATCCCTGCTGGTTCGTGGGAAATTCTTCATGGACACATACCTGCCTGGTGATGTGTTGGTCATTTTTCCATTTAGCAGGCAGCTGTGGGTAACGTTTAACCAGGAAAAGAGAGGCTAAATTATGCAAGACATTTACAACGTAAAGAGGGGAGAAACTTCCGTCTGGTCACACTGGGGGTGGCAAGAGTACATATGGACTTCCTCGCGTTTTACCAGCAAAACAGGTGCCAAACATCCCCCGTGGGCTTCTGAGAGCCCCTGCTCTCAGCTTGCTGAGACTTTTGGAAACTGTTTGAAGGCTTCCAAACACCTGCTAACAGGAAGACAAAAGAGTGAGGTTTCTATTTTATGACTTCATCAGGATGATAGGAATGTTCTTGAGTCCATTGCAGCACCTTGCTCTGACCACACCAGCAGGGCGGGAGCAGGGGTGGCGCTGGCAGCAGGCCTCTTCCCACCACTGCTCTTGAGCTCATCTCTGATGGTATCATTCCCAGCTATTTGTTATAAGTTTTTCCTCTTAAACCTACAATTGTTTCAAATCTGCCAGTTTATCTTTTTTTTTCTGTTTTCTTTCCTTTTTTTTTTTTTGATTCATTCAAATATTTATTAAGCAGCTAAGGAGATACAAAGGCGACTTAAAACATTGTCAGAGGTGAGGCAAATGCACAAGTAATAGAAAGGAAAGGGCAAGGTTCACTGAATCACAGCAGCCGGAAGAAAGTGCTTTAGGGAACCAAGCGTGAGATTATTTCCAGCCTGAAGAGGCATGGGTGGCAAATCAGAAAAGGGGATTGAAATTAAAATAGAAGACTTCAGTCTGGATTGTTGATGACACTCAGTATGGACTATATTTGTCTCTCCTTTTCCTTTCTCCCCATCTTTGGGCTTAATTTACCAGCAGTGCCCAGGACTGTTCAATGCGCTTTTTCTATACTTGCTTGCATTTTCGCTTTAATGTCTTCTATGGAACTAGGTCCTTTCGGTGTTTTAGAAGTTTTTTCCTGTTTTTTTGAAGGAGTCTTGTCCTTTTGATCTTGGTGTTGACGGTTTTGAGTCTTTTCCATTCTGATTTGACTTTTGTGCATTTTTGGCTGGAGTATCTCGTATGGATTTCTTCACCGGCGCTTTTTCTTCAGCTTCCCCATCATCAAAATCCTCATCATCATCATCTTCATCTTCATCAGCAGCAACTTTTACTTTTTTCTGTGGAATCTTGCTACCACCTCCACGGGCCGACCGCTTTCCAGATACACTTAAGAGTTTCACATCCTCCTCCTCTTCATCTTCTGACTCTGCATCTTCCTCCACAGCTACTAAGTGCTGTCCACTAATATGCACTGGCCCTGAACCACACTTCAACCGTAAGACCACTGGTGGTGTGATTTCAAAGCCTCCAAGGGAATCCTTTGGCTGTACAGACATTTTCAAAGTTGCCAGTGTTACTTTAATTGGACTGCCTTTGTAATTCATTGCCTCTACTTCAACAATGTGCAATTCATCCTTTGTACCAGCCCCTAAACAGGGAGAATAGCCGCGCAGGACGGAATCACACCAGGTTTTTTTTTGTTGTTTTTTTTTTGAGATAGTGTTTTGCTCTTGTTGCCCAGGCTGGAGTGTAATGGCACGACCTCGGCTCACTGCAACCTGTGCCTCCCAGATTCAAACAATTCTCCTGCCTCAGCCTCCTGAGTAGCTGGGATTACAGGCATGCACCACCACGCCGAGCTAATTTTGTATTTTTAGTAGAGACAGGGTTTCGCCATGTTGGTCAGGCTAGTCTTGAACTCCCGACCTCAGGTAATCCACCCACCTCAGCCTCCCAAAGTGCTGGGATTACAGGAGTGAGCCACCATGCCCAGCCTCCTTTCTTTTTTTTTTTTTTTTTTAAGACAGAGTCTCGCTATATTGCCCAGACTGGTCTCAAACTCCTGGACTCAAGCAGTACTCCCACATCCCAGATAGTTGGGACTACAGGTGTGTGCCACTATGCCCAGCAAATCAGCCAATTAATAATAATAAAAGAAAAATCTGTTGCCTGTATTGGGAAGTTTTTGCTTGCCTGTGACAGAAATCTAACTCAAACTGGTTTTGGGGTGAAAAAGAAAATGATTAGCACACCTTACTGAAAAGTCTAAGGAATGTCATGCATGGCTAGATTGAGGGACTCAGACAAGGGCCTCAAGAAACCATCTCCTTCCATCTCTTGGTTTGGCTTTTTTTGGGGCTGGCTTTATTCTTGGGCTAGGGCTCCCTGTGGTGATGAAAGGGCCGCCAGCTGCTCCTCCGAGTTTGGAGACACTGTGGGAAGTGTGCCTATCCCAATAGTTCTAGCAAGAGTCCTAGGGAGGACTCTCATTTGCCCAAACTTTATAACATGTCTGTCCCTGCGGCCTGGGCCTTGTTGCACTGGCAGGACCTCTTGCTGGGGTCACTCACATAGGTTGATTTGAAAGGGAGACTCGCATGGGTTGACTAGAGTGGGGAGAGGTGGTGAATTCAAAGAAAATTGGGAGGCGAACGTTCAAGGCCAACGAGGCTGGGAACCAGAAACAGCAGACGTCTGCCACAGTCCTCCTGTGTTTCTTAGGCATTTCCTAGCATGGTGTGCTGAATCTTAGGTCTTCCCTAACCCCCACAGTGGCATCAGATAATTTCCTTCTTTCCAATGAATGAACTCATTGGGCACTTCTCTCACGCCCACATCTGAACTATTCACTCCCTTGGCACTTCCTGGGTACCTGTTCTGTGCAGTTGATTGCCAAGTGTGGGGGAGCAGGTGGGGGTGGGCACAAGGTTGAACGGGACACAGTCTGAGGGAGACAGACAGTAAACAATTACAGTGGGATCTGTCCCTCTGGGTCTTCGAGTTTGTGCCCACCTTCCTGTGTTCCCAGTTTTTGTACCTCGGAAATGCTCTCTGATGTTAGACACAGATCTGTGACAGGTAGGACAGATCAGTCAAGGTGGTGGAGGAGCGTGGTTGTGGGAGGTGCGTTGACTGTGGCTATTTACTCTGCCAGAGAGGAGGCACTGATTGCTCTGGTCAGCATAGTCTTGGAGCTGTCCCTCACCAGGGCAGGCTGGGGGTTGCATCAGAACTTCTTTTCCAGTGAGGATTTGTGGGGCTCAAATGAACTCTAGAATTTAGGGCAGGAGGGACCTTGACTGGCGAATTCAGTGACTTCTTTCCCTGATACAAGTGCCTAGGCTCAGAGAGGGAAGGGGGCTACACCATGGCACCCCAGCAAGTTCCCACATGCCCGGAAGACAATCTCCATCCCTGACTTCTGCCTTGTGTCTCCTGCCTTCCCCACCACTGCGGCCGGGGCTTTATGGAATGTAGTTAATTTCATTTCCTGGGAGGCAAAAAAATTAATCCAGTAAGAGAAGAAATAAAAGGCAATGCCTCTGGTTTACAGAATGCCATTTCCAAAAAAGGAAAATGAGTTATGGAGAAAGATTTTCATGGAATGAATGGGGGAAGTAAGAAAATAAGTAGCTAATACTGAAAGAAAAACATGACATACTGGGGACTAAAAGAGATACAGGTGAGCATAGCAACTGTGTGGCACCTACAGCAGCCTAGATAGGGCCATGGATAGCTTGCATGTGGCCAGCATCATAATTCATCAAATCCAAGATGCCTGTGGATGTAAGACACTCCACAATTTATGTACCATTAAGAAAGAAAGAAAACACTCTGCCAATTATACTCTGATATGCCACAGGTGAATTTCTGTGGCCAAATCCATGGCCTGTAGAGGTAGATGTAAAATCTGCCCCCCAGCCGGGTTCAGTGGCTCACGCTTGTAATCTCAGCACTTTGGGAGGCCGAGGCAGGTGGATCACCTGAGGTCAGGAGTTTGAGACCAGCCTGGCCAACATGGTGAAACCCCGTCTCTACTAAAAATACAAAAGTTAGCTGGGCGTGGTGGTGCATGCCTGTAATCCCAGCTACTCAGGAGGCTGAGGCACGAGAGAGAATCACTTGAGCCAGGGAGGCAGAAGTTGCAGTGAGTCAAGATCATGCCACTGCACTCCAGCCTGGGCAACAGAGTTAAAAAAAAAAAAAATCTGCATTCCTTGCTCCCAATCCCACTAAGTGAGAGTAAAAAGAATAAGAACCATGGACAGGACTGATCTGGGATGCATGGTTAAGGACAGGACAAGGACTCAACTAGGAGGAATCATTTACCTTACACCAGTTTGGATGCTAAGCATCACAGGAGAAGTTTGAGGCAAACTGCCTAACAAAAGTATGATCTTCTATGAACTGGGGTCTTTGTTGCCTTGTTCCTTCCAAAGGGATCCTCTCATTCTTAACCTGTCCATGAATGTCTCAAATATATTATTATTGATTAGAAGAATATTTTTCAGACCAGTAAGCAGCACAAAAAAATGTTTGGAAAAAGAAAACTACCCTACAGTACAGTTTCACATTTTTCTTTCCTTCTTTTTGTTTTTTGAGACAAAAGAGTCTCACTCTGTCACCCAGGCTGGCGTGCAGTGGTGTGATCTCGGCTCACTGCAACCTCTGCCTCACAGGTTCACACCATTCTCCTGCCTCAGCCTCCCGAGTAGCTGAGACTACAGGCGCCCGCCACCATGCCCGGCTAATCTTTTTGTGTTTTTAGTAGACATGGGGTTTCACCACGTTACCCAGGATGGTCTCCATCTCCCGATCTCGTGATCTGCCCGCCTTGGCCTCCCAAAGTGCTGGGATTACAGGAGTGAGCCACCGCGCCCGGCCATTCAGTTTCACATTTTTCTAAAGCAGAGCAAAAGATGAAGAAAATGGATTTGTAACTTCCAGAAGCTGGTGAAAACATTTTGCTCTAAAAAGAAATAAAAATGTCATAAGGAGAAAGGGACATAGCCCTTGGAACCAGGCTGACTTGGATTTCAATTTTGACTCCAATCAAGAGGCCTCAGGTAGAAGTAATGTCCCAAAAATGATGAGGGCAGTCACAGTTTCAAAAACAGCTGGGGGGCTCCATGCTTCCTACCCTTGCTCTTCGATGTGGGAGGTGCCATGTTACCTCTGATGAGGGGACTGCTTTAGCATTGTTTGACTCTTCCTTCATTGTTTAATTTGAAATATAATAGCTTGCATAAACTGAAAGGATAGGCCGGGCTCGGTGGCTCACGCCTGTAATCCCAACACTCTGGGGGGCTGAGGAGGGTGGATTGAGGTCAGGAGTTCGAGACCAGCCTGGTCAACATGGTGAAACCCCTGTCTCTACTAAAAATACAAAAATTAGCTGGGCGTGGTGAGTGCCTGTAATCCCCACTACTCAGGAGGCTGAGGCAGGAGAATTGGTTGAACCTGGGAGGCAGCGGTTGCAGTGAGTCGAGATCACGCCACTTCATTCCAGCCTGGGCAATACAGCAAGACTCAGCCTCCAAAAATAAAAATAAAACCCAAAAAACTAAAAGGATTATACAATTTCAAGGCTGGAAACTTGCTTAGCTCTCCTATTGCGAGGTCATTGCCAGATTGCTCAATCCAATTGTCCATTTTCGGACTGCATCTTAACATGTCTAGCAACATGGGGCCCAGCTGATCACTTTCTCCCCCGACTTCCGGGACACAGCGCACTGGCTTTTTCCTCACCTTGCTATTTCTGCTTTTCGGTGTCGTCTGCTGGTTCCTGCCCATTGTCCTGGCCTCTAGACATGAGAGGGCTCCAGGGCCCTTGCTCCTTTATGATCTCACTGGGTCTCATGGCTGTCTCCTGAACTGATGTCTCCAGCTCAGAACTCTCCTGTGAACCACAGGCTTCTCTCCAGCTGCACACTCTGTCTCACCCCATAACTATCAAGAGCATCAAATTTACCATTTTTAAAGCATAACTTCTGATCTCCACTCTTCCTTCAAACATCTTCCCACAGCCTTCCTCATCTCAGCCAAGGCACCTCCCTTCTTCCAGTTGCTCAGGTCAAAGTCCTCGGTGTCAAACCCGACTCCTCTTTTTCCCTCTTACATTCATATCAAAATCATCAGCTACACCTGTCAGCCACCTTTTTTTTTTCTTTTTTTGAGACAGAGGAGTCTCTCTCTGTCACCCAGGCTGGAGTGCAGTGGCATGATCTCAGCTCACTGCAGCTTTGACTCAAGTTATCCTCCTGCCTTACCCTCCCAAGTAGCTGGGACTACAGGCACGTGCCACCATGCCCAGCTAATTTTTTATTTTTTGTAAAGATGGGGTCTCTCTGTGTAGCCCAGGCTGGTCTCAGACTCCTGGGCACAAGTGATCCATCCACCTCCACCTCCCAAAATGCTGGGATTACAGGGGTGAGCCACCAGGCCCAGCCTACTTTCAACATTTATCCAGAATGTGAGCACTTTTCACTTTCCTTGCTATCACCAGGTCCAACCCGCCACTGACGCCCATCTGGATTACTGCAATAGCATCAACCTCCTGTGTGTCCTTACAGTCTATTCTCAGTGCTGCAGTATTGAGCATTGATCCCTTAAACCGTAAACCCACTGATGCTCCTGACTCACTCAGAGTCAAAGCCAATGGTTTACAGTGGCCTCCATGGTCCTGACGCATCTGTTTACTGTCCTTCTCTACTTCTCCCTTGGCAACTCTGTTCCAGCTACACTGGTGCCCTTGCTGTTTCTAAAATAACCACGCCTGTAGTCTCAGCTACTCAAGAGGCCAAGGCAGGAGGAATGCTTGAGCCCAGGAATTCGAGGCTGCGGTGAGCTATAATCATGCCACTGCACTCCCACCTGGATGACAGAGTGAGCCCCACCTCTAAAAAAGTAAAAATAATAAAATAACCCAGCCTGGTTGGCCTCTGGGCCTTTGCACTTGCTGTTCCCTCTGCCTTAAAAGCTTTTCCTCCAAGATCTCTGCATGGCTCCCCGAATTCCTCAAAAAGATCACTCAAATGTCATGTTCAGTATGAGGCCTTCCTGATCACCCACTGAAAATGGCAGTCCCACTTCCACCTCTAGAAGTCCCTAAGCCCATTTCTTGTTTTATTTTTCTCCACAGTACTTACCATTTGTGCCACATAATGTATTTCTTTACTTCTTTTTTTTTTTTTTTTTAGATGGAGTCTCCCTCTGTCAACCACACTGGAGTGCAATGGCATGATCTCTGCTCACTACAACCTCCGCCTCCCGGGCTCAAGCAATTCTCCTGCCTCAGCCTCCCAAGTAGATGGGATTACAGGCTCCCACCACCATGCCTGGCTAATTTTTTTGTATTTTTAGTACAGACAGGGTTTCACCATGTTGGCTAGGCTGGTCTCGAACTCCCGATATCCGGTGATCTGCCCGCCTCGACCTCCCAAAATGCTGGGATTACAAGTGTGAGCCACTGCACCCGACCTTCTTTACTTCTTTATCTGGTAATTGCTTGTCTCGCAATGCTGAATATAAGCCTCGTGGGGTCAGGAATTTTTGTTTTATTCACTGCTGATCCCCAGTGCTTGACACATGGTGGGCACTCACGAATGTTTTGAATGCATTCATTCATTAAACAAATGTGATGTGCCAGCCTTGTCCCCATCACTGGGGATACCGCCTGGGAAGCTGGGGAGGATGGTGGCATGTCCACTTGAGTAGCAAGCTGGTCAGGGGACTGGGGCAGAGGAGCAATGCCTGGGACAGAGATACCTTCTCAAGCCATGTGAATTTTCATACCATTTGCATGTATTACCTATTCAGATAATAAATTAAATGGAAAAAAAAAGTCACAGGAGAATAAGGAGCCGACTGAATAACATGCCTTTTTATGGCTGGTTCTACATTAACATCAAATCAGATAGCTGGCTAAGTACAAATTTGCAAGGTAGGGAAGTTATACGGTTTGCATTTACTAAACTACTGGGTGCAGTTTTTAAAATTATACCAGGCATGTCTTGGCAGCGGTTTTTGTTTTTTATAAAGTTGATTAGAAGTCCGGGCACGGTGGCTCATGCCTGTAATCCCAACACTTTGAGAGGCCAAGGCGGGCAAATCACCTGAGGTCGGGAGTTCGAGACTAGCGTGAACAACATGGAAAAACCCCGTCTCTACTAAAAATACAGAGTTAGCCACCTGTGGTGGCTCATGCCTGTAATCTCAGCTACTCGGGAGGCTGAGGCAGGAGAATTGCTTGAACAAGGGAGGCGGAAGTTGCAGTGAGCCGAGATCGCACCATTGCACTCCAGACCAGGCGACAGGAGCAAAACTTGGTCTAAAAAAAAAAAAAAAAAAGTTAATTAGAGAAAAGCCACAATATTTATCATCTAGCCAAGTGTTAAAGGAGAAATAGAAGAAAAATTAACACAGTCCTTCAGAATAAAAAAGCTGCCAATGAGTATCCTGCATCACTGCCAAAAAACATCTCAACATTTTCTCTTTGGGGACAGATAATTAGGATATTTCCCCAGGTTCCTCTTGCAAGAGTCCTACTTTCCCCCAAACCAGCAAACTCCTCTTTTGAATAGCCAAATCATAGAACCTGTGAATGAAGCTACAGAGAACAACAGCATTACTTATGGCACATTTGCTGTGGAAACTACGTTTGGCAAGTATCAAATGTCTGAATTTCTTTTCCTGGACCTTGTAGGGTTGACAGCATTTATTTATAACAGGGGAGATTCCAAAATTGGCTCCTATCAGCAAAGAAAAGTAATGTCTGAGATACTGCTACAAGTTCATTTTCTTTTTGTTAATAGAAATTGAAGCAGAGCAGGCCACTGCAATAATTGGTAAGCTACTTAATTATAAAACAGATTGGTTACTGCAACAGGATAAATTTGTAGACAGGTATGTGAAACATTCTCTAATTGGATCAATGGGACGGGACATTAACTCCTGACCTCAGGTAAACCCTAACTAGCCAAATTGTTTTATTATTTTGTCTTTATTTGTTTTGGAGAGAAAAAGGACAGAAATAGATCATCTACATATAACTTGAAAAATATTTCCAAAATGTTGAGGTTTACTAGCTGAAGTAGAAAAATGCTCCAAATTCTAAGTCCAGTGTTTACTTCGTGTTTATAGTTCAGGCCTCATGAATAAGAAATAAAACCAAAATAGCCCAGTGACTGGAAAACAGGAAATATACTCCGAACACCAAGGGCTACAGATTGTGTTTACAGTGATTGTGGTACTAAAGCAAAGTTCTCTTGTGTAAAATTATTTATTTATTTATTTATTTATTTATGTATTTATGTATTTATTTATTTATTTTTGAGACGGAGTCTCACTCTGTTGACAGGTTGGAGTGCAATGGTGCAATCTCAGCTCACTGCAATCTCCAGCTCCCAGGTTCAAGTGATTCTCTTGCCTCAGCCTCCCAGCTGGGATTACAGGCACCTGACAGGACACCCAGCTAATTTTGTATTTTTAGTAGAGACGGGGTTTCACCATGTTGGCCAGGATGGTCTTAAACTCCTGACCTCAAGTGATCCATCCACCTCGGCCTCCCAAGTGTTGGGATTACAGGAGTGAGCCACTGCGCCCAGCCGAAACTTTCTTTTTACATAGAGCCATCATTTTAATACATACCTAAGAACATTATATGCACTGTATATAATTATATATAATTATTTGCTGGCCAGGGGCAGTGGCTCATGCCTGTAATCCTAGCAATTTGGGACACTGAGGCAGGAGGATCACTTGAGGCCAGGAATTCCAGACCAGCCTGGGCAACATACTGAGGACCCATTTCTAAAAAAAAAAAAAAGGTTGGGCTCGGTGGCTCACGCCCATAATCCCAGTACTTTGGGAGGTGGGCAGATCACCTGAGGTCAGTCAGGAGTTTGAGACCAGCCTGGTCAACATGGTGAAACCCCATTTCTACTAAAAATACAAAAAAATAGCCGGGCGTGGTGGCTACAGATGCCTGTAATCCCATCTACTTGGGAGGCTGAGGCAGGAGAATCACTTGAACCAGGGAGGCCGAGGTTGCAGTGAGCTGAGACCATGCCATTGCACTCCACCCTGGGTGACAAGAGCAAAACTCCGTCTCAAGAAAAAAAAAAAAATTAGCCGGGCCTCATGCAAGTTCCCATAGTTTCAGCTACTCAGGAGGCCAAGGTGGGAGGATCACCTTAGGCCAGGAGTTCGAGGCTGCAGTGAGCTATTATCATGCTACTGCACTCTAGCCAGGGCGACACAGTGAGATCCTGTCTCTAAAAACCAATACAAACCAAACCAAACCAAAACTGCTTTGGCCATGCACAGCGGCTCACGCCTATAATCCCAGCATTTTGGGAGGTCAAGGTGGGAGGACTGCTTGAGGCCAGGAATTGGAGACCAGCCTGGGCAATATAGTGAGACTCCATCTCTATATAAAATAAATAAATAAATAAATAATTTGCCCATAAATATTGTAAAATTAATCGAAGTTATATTTCTTCATCTTTATACACAAATTCATAAGGTAAATATTTTCATGGTTCATGTCATTGGAATGTTGTATTGCTGGTGACCCAAACCCATTTGGTAAATATATTTTCACCAATTGTCAATTATTGGAAAGATGTTTCCTAAGCACCAAATTGCTTAAGGGGCATTTGATAGTGGTAGTTTCTGTCCTGTAGTAGTGTAGACATTGGTGGGCTGAGGCCGGGCGCAGTGGCTCACACCTGTAATCCCAGCACTCTGGGAGGCCGAGGCAGGTGGATCACCTGAGGTCACGAGTTCAAGACCAGCCTGGCCAACATGGTGAAACCCCGTCTGTACTAAAAATACAAAATTAGCCAGGTGTCGTGTCGGGTGCTTGTAATCTCAGCTATTCAGGAGGCTGAGGCAGGAGAATCGCTTGAACCTGGGAGGCGGAAGCTGCAGTGAACCGAGATCGCACCAGTGCACTCCAGCCTGGGTAAAAGAGTGAGACTCCAGCCGTGCACAGTGGCTCATGCCTGTAATCACAGTACTTTGGGAGGCCGAGGCGGGTGGATCACCTGAGGTCAGGAGTTCAAGACCAGCCTGGCCAATGTGGTGAAGCCCCATCTCTACTAAAAAGGCAAAAATTGGCTGGGCGTGGTGGCAGGCACCTGTAATCCCAGCTACTCGGGAGGCTGAGGTAGGAGAGTTACTTGAGCCCAGGAGATGGAGGTTGCAGTGAGCCGAGATTGCGCTACTGCACTCCAGCCTGGGCAACAGAGCAAGACTCCATCTCAAAAAAAAAAAAGTTAACACTAGGGTATAAACCCCTTTAATAATTTTGGATTTTTGCCAATCTCTTTAAGTGCAATGAGTTAACTGTAGATTTTCTCTGCCTGCTTCAACCTTCTCAGAAGCTGGGACCTCAGGTTCATGCCACCGTGCCAGGCTGACTGTAAATTTCAAGTGCCTGGGATCTATTGCCACCTAGCGTTATATTGCTCTGAGTTATTTCAAGGCTGAGCATTTAAGAATAGAAATCTTGTTAGCCTTCTTCATTCCATGTGTGTCCCAGTGCCCCATTTCTGCTCCCAATTCATAAAGTCACTAGGTCCCTCTACCAATAACTTGGAGAAGAAAAACAAAACAGCAAAAAAGGAAAGTCAGCCAGGCGCGGTGGCTCACGCCTGTAATCCCAGCACTTTGGGAGGCTGAGGTGGGTGGATCACTCGAGGTCAGGAGTTTGAAACCATCCTGGCTAACATGGTGAAGCCCTGTCTCTATTAAAAATACAAAAGTTAGCCAAGTGTGGGGGCAGGCGCCTGTAATCCCAGCGACTCGGGAGGCTGAGGCAGGAGAATCGCTTGAACCAGGGAGGTGAGGGTTGCAGTGAGCTGAGATCACACTACTGCACTCCAGCCTAGGCATCACAGCGAGACTGTCTCAAAAAAAACAACAACAACAAAGGAAAGTCACTAGGTCTTGTCTTTTACTTCTCCCTGTTTTTTGTTTGTTTATTTTTAGAGAGGGGGGTCTTGCTCTCTTACCCAGATTGGAGTGCAGTGGTCCCCTCCAGTGCTCACTGGTGTCTCAAACTCCTGGGCTCACGCAATCCTTCCATCTCATCTCAGCCTCCCAAAGTGCTGGGATGACAGGCGTGAAGCATTGACCCCAGCCCTTTTCCTTTCCATGGCCACGAATAATCTAGCATTTATGCTAATCTCACTGAAAGTAAACTTTAAGAACTTGAGTCAGTTCAACTGGGTCACCATAGACAATCTGTGGGCAAGCTACCTAAGCTCCCTGGGCTTCAGTTTACTCATCTGCAACATTACATATGCAAACATGTAATAAACATTAATTATTATTGCATACTTCATGTTATGCCTGAGTCCTTTTTTTATTTTTATTTTTTGAGATGGAGTTTCGCCCTGTCACCCAGGCTGGAGTGCAGTGGCGCGATCTTGGCTCACTGCAACCTCTGCCTCCCAGGTTCAAGCAATTCTCCTGCCTCAGCCTCCCAAGTAGATGGGATTACAGGCACCCACCACCACGCGTGGCTAATTTTTTTGTATTTTTAGCAGACAAGGGGTTTCCCCCATGCTGGCCAGGCTGGTCTTGAACTCCTGACCTCATGATCCGCCTGCCTCAGCCTCCCAAAGTGCTGGGATTACAGGTATGAGCCCCTGTGCCCGGCCGCCTGAGTCCTTAAATGGAGTACAAGCGTTGAAAAGTCATTATTACTTCCTATTTTATGGTCAAAAGGCAGAAATTAGGTTTCTCTATGACAATTCAGGCTGATTGTTTTAAGAGATTTTTCTTTTTTTTGGGTCAGTCTTGCTCTGTCACCCAGGCTGGAGTACAGTGGCATGATCTCAGCTTACTGCAACCTTGGCTTCCCAGGTTCAAGTGATTCTCCTGCCTCAGCCTCCTGAGTAGCTGGGATTACAGGCATGTGCCACCACGCCTGGCTGATTTTTTTTTTTTTTTTTGACACAGAATTTCACTCCAGTTGCCCAGGCTGGAGTGTGGTGGCATGATCTTGGCTCACTGCAACCTCTGCCTCCCGGGTTCCAGCGATTCTCCTGCCTCAGCCTCCTGAGTAGCTGGGATTACAGGTGCCCACCACCACAGCCAGCTAATCTTTGTACTTTTAGTAGAGATGTGGTTTCTCCATGTTGGTCAGACTGGTCTCGAACTCCCGACCTCAGGTGATCTGCCCACCTCTGCCTCCCAAAGTGCTGGGATTACAGGTGTGAGCCACTGTGCTCACCTGAGAGGTCTATTTTGGATAAAAAGTCTTTTGCACATATTTTCACTCAATCTAGTTTATCTTTTCATTCTCTTAAGTGTCTTTCACCAAGAATTTTTTTTTTGCCCTGAGATAGAGTCTTGCTCTGTCACCCAGGCTGAAGTGCAGTGGCAAGATCTCAGCTCACAGCAACCTCTGCCTTCTGGGTTCAAGCAATTCTCCTGCCTCAGCCTCCTGAGTAGCTGGGATTACAGGCGTGCACAACCACATCCAGCTAATTTTTGTATTTTTAGTAGAGGTGGGGTTCCATCATGTTGGCCAGGCTGGTCTTGAACTCCTGACCTCAGGTGTTCCACCTGTGTTGTTGGCCTCCCAAAGTGCTGGGATTATAGGAGTGAGCTACCATGCCCGGCCACATTTTTGTTTTTGTTTGTTTGTTTTTTTTGAGACAGTGTTTCGCTCTTGTTGCCTAGGCCGGAGTGCAGTGGTGCGATCTTGGCTCACCACAACCTCCACCTCCTGGGTTCAAGCGATTCTCCTGCCCTAGCCTCCTGAGTAGCTGGGATTACAGGCATGTACCACCACACCTGGCTAATTTTATATTTTTAGTAGAGACAGGGTTTCTCCATGTTGATCAGGCTGGTCTTGAACTCCCGACCTCAGGTGATCCGCCTACCTCGGCCTCCCAAAATGCTGGGATTACAGGTGTGAGCCACTGGGCGCCTGGCGTTTTTTTTGTTTTTAACTGGGCAGCCCTGAACCAGAATAGGTTCAGAAAGACTCCTCACCAAGCAAGTTTTAAATTTTGATTAAGTCCAATTTATCAACTTTTCCTTTTTATAGATCATGCTTTTGGTTTCATGTTTAACTCTTTGCCTAAACACAGGTCATGAAGATTTTTCTGTTTTCTTCTAAAAAGTTTTTTAGTTTTATGTTTTACATTTAGGTCTGTGATACATTTTGAGTTCATTTTTGTAGAAGGTGTGAAGCTAGTGTTTCCAATCAACATTGCTTGCGATGTTCACCATATATATATATATATATATATATATATATATATATATATGGAGACGGAGTCTCGCTCTGTCACCCAGGCTGTAATGTAATGGCTCTATCTCGGCTCACTGCAACCTCCGCCTCCCAGGTTCAAGTGATTCTCCTGCCTCAGCCTCCCTAGTAGCTGGGATTACAGGCGCCTGCCACCATGCCCAGCTAATTTTTGTATTTTTAGTAGAGACAAGGTTCACCATGTTGGCCAGGCTGGTCTTGAATGCCTGACCTCAGGTGATCCACCCCTCGGCCTTCCAAAGTGCTGGGATTACAGGCGTGAGCCACCGCCCCTGGCCAAGTATGATTTCAATTGAGTATATTCCTCACTTGAAAATCATTTGTAGAATTCTATTACCTTTCTGTCGTGGTATGTGTTAGCATGTTATTACACTGCCGTTAGTCATCTTCTGTTGAAAGATGGGTGGAAGCTTTATAGTCCCTCAGTTAACGTAGATTTCGAAATATGGAAATTTCCTTTGCACTTTTACTGAAGTTTGAAAACACTATTGGAAGCACAGTTTGAGGTTGGAAAATACATCTGCTATAAATATTGTGTGGGAATGCAGATCTCACGGCTTTTAACTCTCCACAGCACAGGAAGTATATAAAATAGCTTGATATTACTCGTGATTCAAATGTTGTCATCAAAATGACTTTTCAGCCTTGTAAGTTTTGAATGTAAGTGGCTTTGCCTTTTAATTCTAAATTGAACTCATTGACTTAAATTCATGAAGAAACAGCAAGTTTGCAGCAAAATCTACTTTCTGAACCTGTTCAGTATTTGATGATAATAGTTAACAGAATGTTCTCACTCACAAATTTTAAATCTTGGCCCTGAACTCAGAAAGTCTAGGTAAATCTTTATCACTGCTAAGCCTTCAAACTGCTGTGTGGTAGGCAGGGTGAGTCAGGATGTTCTGTTTCTATTTCTGTCAATCCACGGAACTGCTGATGATGGCCAAGTCCATGGGAACAAATGAAGTGCACTGGTGACTACTGCTTCAATGACACGATAGGTTCATGTATTTTCTGAAAAGCACCTGCTGGTAATTCATGCAATGACTAGCCTTCAAATACCCTGTATTTTCACAAATGGGAAATTTGTTCGACTAAGCCCTTTTCTACTATCTACGTATTTTTGCCGCTATCAGTTGTGGCCCAACTTGGCAAATCCCACTTCAGGTTATAATAAATCTTTCAACTTTGAAAACATTTTTGCTTACAGCTGCTCCACAGACTATTCAGAGGCTAATTGTTCAGTCACTTCCAGGGTGACTTCTAAGGTCCAATTTTCCTGGAACTGAGGAGGTTCCCAGAAAGTGAGACTTTCAGTGTTCAAGCCAGAAAGGTTCTGGGCAAACTGAAATAAACTGATCGCCCTAACACTTCCAACTCGGCAATGACTCTTCGAATGATCAACTAAGCAGTATTGGTAACACCTGTTAGCCCCTCAGGAGCCAAGGAAAACGTTCAAAATCATTTGTCTTGTTTTTAAACTATTGATGTTGCTTCCTCAAGCAACTGTTTTCACCAAAAGGCCAACAGTTCTAAGTTTATTTTGGTGGCTCATGCCTGTAATCCCAACACTTTGGGATGAGGAGGGAAGACGGCTTAAGATCAGGAGTTCAAGACCAGCCCAGGCAATAAAGTGAGACGTCTCTACCAAAAATAGTTAATTGGGCATCATGGCGTGTGCCTGTGGTCCCAGCTACTTGGGAAACTGAGCGGGGAGGTTCACTTGAGCCTGGCAGGCAGAGGCTATAGCGAGTCATGATCATGCCACTGCACTCCAGCCTGGGCCACAGAGTGAGATCCTGTCTCTAACAACAACAACAACAACAACATCAACAAGTTTATTTTCTCTGGCCACATTTCTTCTGCTGTTGGAATCAAACACAATTATCTCATCATTGCTAAATGGCTTTCCTTGCTTGGCTAACAAGCCACTTGGAAACTTACTTTAGTTACAGCCTCATTTTCCTGTCAAGAAATTGGGTGCTGACACTCCATTTTATTTTAATTTTTTTGAGATGGAGTTTCGCTCGTTGCCCAGGCTGGAGTGCAATGGCACGGTCTCAGCTCACTGCAATCTCTGCCTCCCAGGTTCAAGTGATTCTTCTGCCTCAGCCTCCCGAGTAGCTGGGATTACAGGCGCCTGCCACCACGCCCGGCTAATTTTTTGTATTTTTCTTTTTTTGAGATGGAGTTTGTTCTTGGTGCCCAGGCTGCAGTGCAGTGGTGATCTCGGCTCACTGCAACCTCCACCTCCCGGGTTCAAGCGATTCTCCTGCCTCAGCCTCCTGAGTAGCTGCAATTACAGGTGCCGGCCACCAAGCCTGGCTAATTTTTTGTATTTTTGGTGTTTATTTTTTTTGAGATGGAGTCTCACTCTGTTTCCCAAGCTTGAGTGCAGTGGCACGATCTCGGATCACTGCAACGTCTGCCTCCGGGGTTCAAACAATTCTCCTGCCTCAGCCTCCTGAGTAGCTGGGACTACAGGCGCCCGCCACCACACCCGGCTAATTTTTTGTATTTTTAGTAGAGACGGGGATTTCACCATGTTAGCCAGGATAGTCTTGATCTCTTGACCTCGTGATCTGCCTGCCTCAGCCTCCCAAAGTGCTAGGATTACAGGCGTGAGTCACTGTGCCCAGCCCAGTTTCTTGTATTTTTAGTAGAGATGAGGTTTCACCATGTTGGCTAGGCTAGTCTCGAACTCCTGACCTCAGGTGATATGCCTGCCTTGGCCTCCCAAAGTACTGGGATTAACAGGTGTGGGCCACCGCACCCAGCTGATACTCCATTTTAAACATCTAACTCTTCTGATGCTTTCTTATGAGTTGGGACTACTCCAACGATGAAATGCACAATCTGTAGTGCATCCAGCAGCAGCGCTAAGCAGAGGACCACATATGGTCTGTTACAACTGAGTTCCTATAGCAGAAAAGTAGCCGCAGACAGCATATACACATAAGTGTGGCTGCACTCCAGTAAGTCTTTATTTACATACACTGAAATGTGAATTCTCTATCATTTTCATGTGCTGTACTTTCTCCCCAACCACTTCAAGAAATAGGCTTTGCTGCATTAAAGTGAGATTTTAGAATTCATATTAGCAGTCTCATACCACAATCAGCCAGGGCTACAATTTCCAGTCACAGTGACCAGTTGCCTTGGCTTTGGCCACACTGTATTCCAAACGATAGTAATGGAAAAACCCGTTCTGAACTTGTGTCAACTTCATTCATTCGCCATTCAAAGGCCATTTCTGTGGCATCTATTCACTCGACACTCCATCTTATGGCCAATACACAGCTTGTGAAATGTCGGACTCCAACCAAAACTTGTCTGTGGACTAATTCTTTTTTTCCTTTATAGCTTTTTGTCTGATTATATATAATAGCAACAAAAACCTCATTAATTTTTAAAAATTAAGAAAGCGAAAAATGGCTGGCCTGGTGGCTCATGCTAGTAATCCCAGCACTTTAGGAGGCTGAGGCAAGAGGATCGTTTGACCCCAGGAATTCAAGAACACTGTGGGCAACATAGCAAGACCCGTTTCAATGAAAAAAACAAAAAAGAAACAGGGAAAAACCTAATTAGATAACTGAATTAATTTTGATATATACTTTTCCATTAAAAAAAAGTTTTTTTTACAAAAAATGTCTATAGCTGGCTGGGGGTGGTGGCTCATGCCTGTAATCCCAGCACTTTGGGAGGCCGAGGCGGGTGGATCACTTGAGGTCAGGAGTTCGAGACCAGCCTGGCCAACATGGTGAAATCCTGTCTCTAATAATACAAAAATCAGTTGGGCGTGGTGGTGCATGCCTGTAATCCCAAGTACTCGGGAGACCGAGGCAGGAGAATCACTTGAACCAGGGAGGTAGAGCTTGCAGTGAGCAGAGATTGTGCAACTGCAGTCTAGCCTGGGTAACACTGAGTGAGACTCCGTCTCTAAACAAACAAATAAGGGGGGTGGCAGGTGGCTGTTCAGGAAGGGAGAAATACTCAGTTCATCTTGCCATGTACATGTATGTGTTTGAATGCACATGCCCCTTAAGATCAAACACAACAGACTTATGTCTTCACATGGAGAACCTTGTCTGACGCTTTCCCAGGGGAAACCAGATGTCCAGATCCACGAAGCTCAGAGATGGTTCAAATAGGGCATTATTTAACAAATACATACTAAATCTTCTATGTGCCAGGAACCATTCTAGAGATCTAATCTGCTTTTTGCATGTACTTAAAACCAACTCTATTTTGCATCAGAACACCTAGCCCTGTATCGTATTAAAGACTTAAGAAATGCTAGATGAAAGAATGCTTAGTGGCAATGAATTAAAAAAAAATCTTTTTTAAGAGAGTGATAATGAATTTTTTTTGGTTTGTTTTTTGAGACGGAGTTTCGCTCTTGTTGCCCAGCCTGGAGTGCAATGGTGCGATCTTGGCTCACTGCAACTTCCACCTCCTGGGTTCAACTAATTCTCCTGCCTCCACCTCCTGAGTAGCTGGGATTATAGGCATGCGCCACCACGGCCGGCTAATTTTGTATTTTTAGTAGAGACGGGGTTTCTCCATGTTGGTCAGGCCGGGATTACAGGCGTGAGACACCACACCCAGCTTTTTTTTTTTTAAGAGACAGGGTCTTGCTTTGTCGCTCTGGCTGGAGTGCAATGGTGCAACCATAGGTCACTGTAGCCTCAAACTCCTAGGTTCAGTGATCCTTTTGCCTCAGTATCCTAAGTAGGTGGGACTATAGGCATGTGTCACCATGCCCACCTCATTTTTTTTTTTTTTTTTGAGACAGAGTCTCCTCTGTCACCAGGCTGGAGTGCAGTGGCGTGATCTTGGCCCACTGCAACCTCCGCCTCCCGGGTTCACGCGATTCTCCTGCCTCAGCCTCCCAAGCAGCTGGGACTACAGGTACCTGCCACCACGCCCATTTAATTTTTGTATTTTTAGTAGAGATGGGGTTTCACCATGTTGGCCAGGATGGTCTTGATATCTTGACCTCATGATCCACCCGCCTCGGCCTCCCAAAATACTGGGATTACAGAAGCAAGCTACCGTGCCTGGCTTCATTTTTAAAATTTTTTTGTAGAAAGAGGCTCTCATCATGTTGCCCAGGCTGGTCTCCAACTCCTAGCCTTAAGTGATCCTCCTGCCTCAGCCTCCCAAAGTGCTGGGATTACAGGCACAAGCTACTACATCTGATGGCAATGTTTTTAATGAGTCTGAATTCGTTAATGAAGGGGAAAATTTATTATTTTTTTTTCCCAATGACTCCCAAGTCCTACTCGCAAACAAATACATTGTAGAAAAAAGTTTAATTGCTGGTTATTGTTTGAATCTTGAAATACAATTCTTCACTGATGATACTGGTATAAAATGGTGGTTATTAATTCATGCTAGCACAACCAAAACTAATTTAACATTATTGGTAAAAATGAGTCATTTTTGAATCTCTATTAAAATCTGAACACATAAACAAATCTGTGCTAAAACTGGAACTGCCTTCTCACTCTACATATAATTAAACTTCCAGCTTCAACCATCTGATGTTGAAATCTAAAGCACCTCCATGAGTTAAATGTCCCCGACAAACCATGTAGATGGACAAACAAGATTGGTGGTCTTTAATTGCTGGCGACAGAAAAGGCTGCAGTTTAGTACTTAAACCTGCAGTTAGTGGTCAACTTTCTATCCAGGCAGAGTAAACTAAGGAGAGCTATGAAATATCAAAAGAAAACTAGAGGCCAGGACAAAGAGGCAATGTCAGCCAAGCCACTGCAAGATGGTATGCACCCCTGTATTTCAGCCAAGGGCAGGCAATCCAAAATTACACACTGCTTTCCTTAACTTGACCAAACAGTGTATTTTTCCTCTGAAAATCTTGTCAAAGGTTGTATTCCATTGTACCTAGTGAAATACAAAGTCCACTCTCATAAAAATATTATATTTTTCAAAAGAAATATAATACATTGAAAATCACTGATTGCTGCTTCTTCGTCTTTTTTTCCGTGAATGTGTAGGTGTTTGAGTCTCTTGTATTTCTTCTTTTACACAGGATATGGGCTGTTTGAAAACTATTTCATCATCTTTATCATCATCATTCAGTTCAGCCACTTGAGATTTTCGCCTCTCCAAAAATGTTGGTGTACAAACTGGTGTGGGGCCCTGGATTCAACAAGTAAAGATTATAATACATAAATGTAAAACATGATTATGACTTTACCCAAAAATATCATCTCTCCTCTATTTTTACAAGTTGTGCCCCATTATTTTAGCTCTGTTACCATCTTTTGGTGATACTATTGCAAAGAATAAAGAACTTAGATGCTTATCAAACTTGGTACAGAAATTCACAATTAACAAATATAGCATGTTCCATTATAAGGTTTTAGGCAGAAAATTGCTAAATCAACAATAAAGATCTACCAAATGTCACAATATTTAATTTGAAATCTTAAAATGAGAGTAGCAGAAACTGCTTCTCCTCCTTCAAATTATTTCTATAATATCTGGTGTCTGGAGTATTGAAAACCATTTTACCTGGCTATCCACAGTCTTCTCAGGAGTGTCAAGAGTACCTGAAACTTTTTTCTTCTTCTTACGTAAAACCTTAAAATAAATTTTAAAACACATCAATTTGAATATTGATCAGCTACAGTAGTCTTGAATATGTTTTCCTACTTATCCTTCTCTAATATCTTGCATGTAAAATGATAAAAAAAATTTTACCTGGCCTTTTGTAGACGTCTGACGATTAGTTTTTGAAATACTTTCCGTTTTCTGTAAAATCTTTAATAAAGAAGTTAGAAATTGACACTCATATCTTTTCTTTCTAAACTTAGCATTAGATCCTCATATATATTATCAGTAAATCCTCCCTAAATGACAAGAGCATTTCATTTTAAAAAATCAAAACTCATAAATACAGTGAATTATCTCAAGTAAAGGGCAAAACTAGGAAAAACCCAGTAGAGGAATTGACAGAGCTGCAGAGGTTGAAGGGAAGGCCAAAACCTGGAGCTCACTGATTCACAGAATCCTGAATTCAGGAGGGTGGAAGCAGGAAGAATGTGCAAAGGCAGGCCACCCCCATCTCCTAAGTCACAAACAGGGTACAGGAAAAGCAGTGCTCACATGCCTCTTTTCAAGTTTCACTGTCTCAGTTCCCAAATGGTTCACAAGAGTACCAGGGCCTAAGGCCTTGGCGAAATATTCTAATACTATTAAAGACAGTATTTGGGATTTGGGCAAAAAATTAACCACCGAGAATTGAGGCAAAGGAGGGTAACACGGTCATCTAGTTTCTGGATAAGGTTAAAAACCTAGTAAATTGGCTGGGCGCAGTGGCTCACGCCTACAATCCCAGCACTTGGGGAGGCCAAGGTGGGTGGATCATGAGGTCAGGAGTTCGAGACCAGCCTGGCTAACATGGTGATGAAACCCTATCTCTACTAAAAAAAATACAAAAAATTAGCTGGGTGTGGTGGTGTGTGCCTGTAGTCCCAGCTACTCGTGGGGGCTGAGGCAGGAGAATCGCTTGAACCTGGGAGGCGGAGGTTGCAGTGAGCTGAGATAGTGCCACTGCACTCCAGCCTGGGCAACAGAGGGAGACTCCATCTCAAAAAAAAAAAAAAAAAAGAAAAGAATGAGACCTTTACCTATACTAGCCATACCATAATAAGCTTCATTCTTGATCTATAATAAAAGACATAGCTCTCCTCACTGTGACAGATGGAGGAAAGGGTCAGTGTTTTGGTATCTACTTATAGCATACAGTAAACCAAAGACTTAATTCTGGCAGTGTCACCTCTGAATGACAATCTTTTTCTTTTTTAGCGATACGGTCTTGCTCTGTTGCTGAGGCTGGAGTGCAATGGTACAATCACAGTTCACTGCAAACTTGAAATCCTAGGCTCAGGAGATCCTGTTGCCTCAGCCTCCTGAGTAGCAAGGACTACAGGCACACACTACCTCAACTGGCTAATAAATGGCAATCTAAGAGTATTACAGTCTTTAGTTAAATAGTGGGTTTACTTCAGTAACTTAAAACAGAACATGTAAGTTAAACAAATCAGATTATCTCCTTAAAAGAAGCTTCCTCTTCTGTATAATAGAAATAACAGAATCTGGTCTCATAATGTTTTAGGAAGAACCTACAATGGAATGTTTCAAAAGTTTAGTCAGGCCAGTCATGGTGGCTCACACCTGTAATCCCAGCACTTTTGGAGGCTGAGGTGGATGGATCACCTGAGGTCAAGAGTTCGAGACCAGACTGACCAACATGGTGAAACCCCATTTCTACTAAAAATACAAAAAATTAGCCGGGTATGGTGGCACGCACCTGTAATCTCAGCTACTCATGAGGGTGAGGCAGGAGAATTGCTTGAACCTGGGAGGTGGAGGTTGCAATGAACTGAGATTGTGCCACTGCACTCCAGCCTGCCTGGGCAACACAGCAAGACTCTGTCTCAAAAAACAAAACAAAACAAAACAAAACAAAAAAGGATGGGTGCAGTGGCTCACGCCTGTAATCCTAGCACTTTGGGAGGCCGAGGCGGGCGGATCACCTGAGGTCAGGAGTTCAAGACCAGCCTGACCAACAAGGAGAAACCCCGTCTCTACTAAAAATACAAAATTAGCCGGGGTGGTGGCGCATGCCTGTAATGCCAGCTACTCGGGAGGCTGAGGCAGAAGAATCGCTTGAACCCCGGAGGCGGAGGTTGCGGTGAGCCAAGATCACACCATCGCACTCCAGCCTGGGCAACAAGGGTGAAACTCCATCTCAAAAAAGAAAAAAAAGTTTAGTCAAAAAACTGGCTGGGCACGTGGCTCATGCCTATTATTCCAACACTTTGGGACGCTGAGGTGGGTGAATCACCTGAGGTCAGGAGTTCGAGACCAGCCTGGCCAACGTGGAGAAACCCCGTCTCTACTAAAAATACAAAAATTAGCCAGACGTGGTGGTGTGCACCTGTAATCCCAACTACTTGGGAGGCTAGAGGCAGGAGAATTGCTTGAACCCAGGATGTGGAAGTTGCAGTGAGTCAAGATTGTGGTAAGTGCTAGGCTAGGTACTTTACAAGGTACAAAGCTGCCCCCTCCCCTCCCCACAACAAACCACAAAAAAGATTTCACGAATATTTACCAAAGAAGGAAAATCATAGTCAATTCCTTTTTTAGCTAATTTCTTCCTGAGTAATCTTTCTTTCTTTTTAAATCGCTCCTCCATCCGTAGCTTTTGTGTTAGTGTCCGATTCCGATTATACCGTTTCACTGATGGATATGATGGCTGCTTAAATGGAATATTCCAGTCTTTAAAGAGTTCTTTATGTACTTTTTCAGGTGGCATAAAATGACCTATTTTCAAAAAGAAAAAAACATAAAGGTATTTTAATGTTAACTTTAGAATCTCCGCAGTGCCATTCCTCACACAACAAAATGATATGGCTGGGTACAGTGGCTCACACCTGTAATCCCAGCTTCTCTCACAGCAATGCGAAGTGAATAGAGAGACAAGACCTGGGCAGCCTTGTCAGCTGTGAACTTGGGTACCTAAGACGGCCACATGCCACCATGGGCACAGGGAAGCCAGAAACTTCGCTTTGCCTCCCAAGGGCAGCAGGATCTGGACAGGGATGCTCTCTGCACCCTATGGACTGCAGGGTAGGGGGCTTCACTGGCTTCTTTCTGCAGGATAAATTACTCATCTGGTGCGTCACTCCTCCACTCCCTCTGGCTTCTCTCGTGTGGAAGAGCTACAGCCATTGCCATTTAGACAGATTTTGCAACGCGATTCCTGACCTTTGATGCTATCCCCACTGCCCTCAGGATAAATTCGGAACTCGCTGACTTAGAAGGCCTTCAGTAACCTGACCTGAAGCCTCTTCTTGCTCCTTCATCTCTTGCTACTTTTCCTCACATTCTCTCACAGCTGAATGGTTAGGCATCATTGGTTTGGCATTCACTGTCCCTCAGCCAGGAATGGTCTGTCTTCACTCCTGTCCCCTTCACCTGGCTCACTCCTGTTTAGTCTTCAGGTTTCAATGTCAACTATACTTCCTTAGAGAAGCCTTTCACAGCCCATAAGGATGGGTTAGCTGCTCCTCCCATGTGTCCCCAAGGTAACTTGTCCAGTTCCATTTAGGGTAAAAACAGCTCTCAGGCTAGATTTTAAAATTCCAATTAGAATCTGCCTGCAACATACACTGAAATCCTTGCACCATTCTGTAAGACTCATCCCAGAGATGAAGTGGCATGTCCAAGCAGCTAGGCAAGCCGCCCTTCCCACCACAGTCACCCACCAACAGCAGGCACCCAGGCAACCCTGCGGTAAGACAGGAGCACTTACACTCCAAGAGTCTTTCACCAAACAGGTAGTTGTTCATTGTTTCAGCAACTATTTTGGCAACATCCTCAGACTCAAACTCCACAAATGCATAGCCTTTGCTATTTCCAGTCTGCAACAGAGAAACCGCCACAAAAAGTAGAACAATTAAATTTGAATGCGTCATCAAATTCCTAAAATGCCATTATTTTAAATAATGTATATTAGCCCCTTATCAAATATTACGTACGACACGCTTAATTCTAACTTCAATTCACATATTCCGGGGACTGTTATGGGAAAAAGAAAAGATGCACGAGTCTGAACACACAGCTGATTTTCTGGTATTCTTGGGATTTTGGTTACATATGATAAATACACAATTCCTATGGCTGGAATTTATTCAGTAACAACACTCCGTGATATTAAAAAAGTCTTCAACTTAAAAGTCACATGGCTTAACAGTGGGAATCAGGAGGCTCATTTCCAGCACCAGTTGTGTCAGTAACAAGCAACTTGGACACTTCCACAACTGAGTCTCAGCTTAATTATCTTCAACAGGTGGATTCTGGGAAAAATTTAAATCCCTCAAAATCCATTTATAATCCCAACACTCAAAAGAGAGGGGAAGGCCAGGCGCGGTGGCTCACCCCTGCAATCTCAGCACTTTGGGAGGCCGAGGGTGGATCATCTGAGGTGAGGAGTTCAAGACCAGCCTGGTCAACACGGTGAAACCCCATCTCTACTAAAAATATAAAATATTCACTTTGGGAGGCCAAGGAGGGTGGATCTCAAGGTCAGGGGTTTGAGACCAGCCTGGCCAACATGGTGAAACCCCATCTCTACTAAAAATACAAAAAATTAGCTGGGCATGGTGACATGTACCTGTAATCCCAGCTACTCAGGAGGCTGAGCCAGAAGAATCACTTGAACCTGAGAGGCAGAGGTTGTAGTGAGCTGAGATCGCGCCACTGCACTCCAGCCTGGGCAACAGAATAAGACTCCATCTCAAAAAAGAAAAACTAGGCCAAGAGGGGTGGCTCATGCCTGTAATCCCAGCACTCCAGGAGGCCGAGGTGGGTGGATCACCTGAGGTCAGGAGTTCGAGACCAGCCTGGCCAAAATGGTGAAACCGTGTCTCTACTAAAAATACAAAAATTAGGCCGGGCACAGTGGCTCACACCTGTAATCCCCACACTTTGGGAGGCCGAGGCAGGTGGATCACCTGAGATTGGGAGCTCAAAATCATCCTGACCAATATGGTGAAACCCCATCTCTACTAAAAATACAAAAATTAGCTGGGTGTGGTGGTGCACGCCTATAATCCCAGCTATTCAGGAGGCTGAGGCAGGAGAATCACTTGAATCCGAGAGGCTGAGGGTGCAGTGAGCCAAGACTGTGCCACTGCACTCCAGCCTGGGCAACAGAGTGAGACTCCATTTAAAAAAAAAAAAAAAATTAGCCAGGCATGGTGGCAGGCACCTATAATCCCAGCTACTCGGGAGGCTGGGGCAGGAGAATCACTTGAATCCGGGAGGCGGACATCGCAGTCAGCTGAGGAACTGTGCCACTGCACTCCAGCCCGGGCGACAGAGTGAGACTCCGTCGCAAACAAAACAAAACCAAAACAAAACAAAAAAAAAATGAATAGAATGAAATAGAAAATCAGCGCATCACACAAAACAAGTTTAAATATTGTCTCATTTGGCTTTTATTTCAGTTATGCTTACATGCATATGTATGTGTGCTGGTTTGTGCTGTAAAACTTTTTTTAAAACCCTCATCTTCTTTGTGATGGTAAAAACTTACCTCTTATTGTGAGCCAAAGTCTGCAAAATACTCTTCTAGAAAATTCTGCCTATACCTGTACAAAGATTGTTCCTAGCAGCTTAATCTAAAGAGTTAAAAATATTAAAAAACCTAATGTTCGGGCTGGGCACAGTGGCTCGCTCATGCTTGTAATCCCAGTACCTTGGGAGGCCGAGGTGGGCGGATCATCTGAGGTCAGGAGTTTGAGACCAGCCTGGCCAAAACAGTGTTTAGTAGAAACACTGTTTCTACTAAAAATACAAAAATTAGCCAGGTGCAGTGGCCGGTACCTGTAATCCCAGCCACTCAGGAGGGTGAGGAAAGAGAATCACTTGAATCTGGGAGGCAGAGGTTGCAGTGAGCCGAGATCGCCCCCCAAAACAAAACCTAATGTTCAATAGGAGGGTGGATAAACTTTAGTAACCTAAGTAATGAGCAATGATGATAACAAAGGCAATAGAGTTACATGGATAAAGCTCAGATTATTGAATACAAAAATTCAGCTGAAGAATGATAGAGTAATATAATTTTAAAATAATACCATATGTACATTTATATATGTACACATATGTATTCTAGTACATATATATATAGTAAAAACTTATATATAGCAATGAAAACTGAATTTGTGGCCGGGCGCACTGGCTCACGCCTGTAATCTCAGCACTTTGGGAGGCCGAGGCGGGAGGATCACAAGGTCAGGAGTTCGAGACCAGCCTGGCCAACATAGTGAAACCCCGTCTCTAGTAAAACACACAAAAAATTAGCCAGGCATGGTGGCAGGCGCCTGTAATCCCAGCTACTTGGGAAGGTGACGCAAGGAGAATTGCTTGAACCCGGGAAGCGGAGGTTGCAGTGAGCTGAGATTGTACCACTGCACTCCAGCCCGGGCGACAGTGCAAGCCTCAGTCTCAAAAAAAAGAAAACTGAATTTGTGAATTTAATTCCCTAATTAAAGAAGTTGAAGAGCACTGGGAAGGGTACAAAAGGGACCTCAATTCTACCTACAATCTATCTTTACGACAACTAACAGATGATGGATGTGCACCCTATCCCCCACATGCTAAATCAAATAGGTGTCTATGGCTACAACCAATTAAAGTTTATGTGCGGGGAAAGAAAAGAAAGTGGGTCACTCCTCCACTATTGAAACAAGCTATGTAAAGCGTTTTCTCATTAGAAGGCAGGTATGACACAAATAGTAATTATACTTATATAGTGTTTATTGTGTACCAAGCAATCCTCTAAAGACTTTATATTTAACCTTTGACTAAATACTCCCAGGAAGTTTTACTTATATTTAACAGATCACAACACTGAAACATGGTAAGGTCATATCACTCTAACTAGTAAGGTGTAGAGCCTGACCCCAAACCTCAGCAGTCCAACTCCAGAGTCCTCACCTTTAACTATTCACTATATAAACCTTTGCTATTATAAGGATGCTTGTACCAAAGGCTAACACAAGAAAATGTATAAACCTGGGCCTCATACTAAAGCTCATTTACCAGGACTGTCAATTTAATGTAAGGATTTGGAGAAATGTAAAAAACAAACTTTTACAATAATACTGATTTTGCTCCTGTAGCTGTTTCAGATTCTAAACCTCCTCCACTCTCCTTTTTGGAATGAAATCTGATAAGCAATAATGTATGCGTGAACGTGCTCTTTAATGTCAAGGATAATACACATTTGAAAAACAAAACATTAAATCCAACTGCAAAAATCTTACCCTTTTACTTCTGGACAGCCTGAACCGTGTCACAGTGCCAAACTGGGAGAAATATGAAAAGATCTGGGTTTCGTCAAGTAGGTTAGGTAGGTGGCGCACATAGACTACTCCAGGAGTAAGTTGTTCTTGTTTTTTTCGCTAAAGACGTAAAGACCAGGTAAATTAAATATATAAATAAGAAAATCACATTGTAACAAAACCCCTAGCCCTCGGCCCAAGAACCTATTCTGCATTTCCACTTACCACAGTAGTAATTAAAGAACTGGCTGTTTAGTGTTTCTCTCCCCACAAAGGCCATGGTCAAGCAGTAGTCAACTATCTTTCCAGCCTGGCATCCCAGCACCCAGTATAATATTAGAGCTCAATAACTATGTCAATCAACGGATAAGCAAGGACATCTTTGAACAAGCCATTTTAGATCTTCTGCCCAGAGAACTCTACATAAACGTAGGCTTCAATTTGGTATGCATATTACTGTTTACTCGCACTTCATCGAAAAATTTTCGATACGCTTGTTAACTCTCACGGTACAGATTAGCCTTTCAACGTCTCAGTCATCATAGCCTTACCTCTGTAACAGGAACTTCTAAGTTTTCCTGTGTATTTTATGCTAAAAACCACAGAAAGTATAAGCGATGTCAGGGGCCCTAGTCAGCAAGTGGAACCTGGCAAATACTCTATTTTAATAACTCCCAGATCACCAACCCGGCATACAAACTTCCCGAATGTGTTAAGTCTGGGGCTCCCATTTTTGGGGGAAACGCGGAAGCGTGACAGCTCTAACCCGGAGATAACCTGTGGTATAGGAGCCTATTCCCTCCAGCTGGTTCTTTCTACTGCTTCTGTCACCCCAATACTTCCCCGTTACCCTCCACATGAAGGCTCCAGGGCCTCAGCGGCCAAACCCCTCCATCATTTACCGAACAGCGTAAACCCTTTCGTCTCGGAAACCGTGGCCTGCAAGCTTAAGAGGTCGGTCCCTGATTCGGTCGAATCCACTTGGGAGACCCTGGAGGTAATGAAGGCGAGCACGAAGGCAAGGGGCGCCCGGGCCGGAAACCGTGCAACCCCAGATACCCTCTAGACCCGGTCCATCGCCCCCGCTCGCAGCCTGGGCCAGGGTGCCTGCTCACCTGGGTTATGCGCTTGCGAACCTGCGCCACCTCCTTTTGAAACTCGACATCTTCCTGCGGATTAAGCGACAGGATTGGCCCAGCCGGGCCAGAAAAAGTCGCCATGCCAAAAGCCGCCGACGCTAACCACGCGGCGCTCCCGGAAACGTCGGGCTCCCAGCTCCCCCGAGGCGGAAGTAGAGGCAGGACAGGGGCGGGGCGAAGCGCTAAGGCGAGGCGAGGCGTGGCGAGGGGCGGGGAGGGCCATGAGTCGGGCGCGGGGTTGGAGCAGGAGTTGCCCGGAGAAGCGGGGGCGGGGCACGGGGTGTGGCGAGGCGCGGGGCGGGGCATAAATTGCGCCAGGGGCGAGGGCGGGGCACGAGGTCGTGCCGAGAGACTGGGAGAGGCGTGAGTCGCGCGGAGGCGCGACATGGGGCGTGACGAGGAGCGGAGGGCGGGGCGTGAGTAGCGCCGAGGCGCGGAGGCGGGGCGCAGGGGCGTGCCGAGGCGCGGCAGCGGGGTCTGGGGCTGGGGCTGGGCCGTGGGGAGCTCCCGCACCCTCGGCTGTCGGGGCGCCGGCTGGCTTCGCTTAAGAGTGCCTGAAACAATTACGTTCACGCCTACTTTCAAAAAAGGTCTAAAATAAATTCCAAAACAGTACCTGTGTCCTTGAGATGCTGCTCTCATTCCTCAATTTGCTTATTATTATTATTATTTTTTTTTGAGACAGAGTTTCGCTTTGGTTGCCCAGGCTGGAGTGCAATGGCGCAATCTCGGCTCACTGCAACTTCCAACTTCCGCCTCCCGGGTTCAAGCGATTCTCCTGCCTCAGTCTTCCGAGTAGCTGATTACAGGCGCCCGCCACCACTCCCAGCTTAATTTGTACGTTACCACTCCCAGCTTAATTTGTATGTTTAGTAGAAACGGGGTTTCACCATGTTGGCCAGGCTGGTCTCGAACTCCTGACCTCAGGTGATCCACCCGCCTCAGCCTCCCAAAGTACTGGGATAACAGGCGTGAGCCACCGCGCCCGGCCCTAATTTGGTTATTCTTTCACTCACTTGTGTGTGAGCTCTCCTGTGTGGCCCCGTCCGTCCGCGGCCCTTGGAGAACTTACAGCCTGAGGGCAGCATGGCTGCTTTAAGAGACCAAAGAGGCTTGTGGGGGAGAGGCACACTGGGTGGCGCCGGAGGGTCCCCCTTAGGAGGTGGCGTTAGCACCGAGGCCTGAAGGCTAAAGAGCGGGGTGTGGAGAACCGAGCGCCTGCCGTCCGCTGGACCGGACAGGCCTGCACAGTGTTCCTAGGTCTAGAAAGAAGGACGCGGCAGTGGGGTTGGAGCCCAGCACAGGAGGGAAGAGCTGCGAGGCGGCAGGCTGGAGCCCCATGACTGTGTGTCAAAGTATGAAACTGGGGTTTTGTAAATGCGAGGGGATGGGCGGGTTTAAAGCGAGGCTGTGGCTGTTTGCATCTTTCTTTTCTTTTTTTTTTTTTGAGACGGAGTCTCGTTCTGTCGTCCAGGCTGGAGTGCAGTGGCGCGATTTTGGCTCACTCACTGCAACCTCCGCCTCCTGGGTTCAAGCAATTCTCCTTCCTCAGCCTCCCGACTAGCTGGGACTACAGGTGCACACCACTACTCCCGGCTAATTTTTGTATTTTTAGTAGAAACGAGGTTTCGCCATTTTGGCCAGGCTGGTCGAGAACCCCTGACCTTAAGTGATCTACCCGCCTCGGCCTCCCAAAGTGCTGGGATTACAGGCGTGAGCCACCGCACCCGGCCTGTTTGTACCTTTCAAATACTATTATACTAGTGAGTAACTGAGTGGAGAGGAAGGGTGGGGAGTGGATTGCCGAGGAAGCAGGGAGGTGAGGCGAGAGCGACAGATCAAGCACAGCTGGTGTCAGGGGATAGCTGCGGCCGTGTTCTGGAAGCCGTGAAGGCGGCCCAGGGTGTGTGTGCCCGAAGAGTGGCCTGTGGGCCTGAGGTGGAGGCCCTGGGAGGGAGTGCCAAGCGAGGCCAGCCCACTTCCTCTGACAGACGTGCCTCCCACGCTCACAGTCTTCGCCTCCTTCACCCCTGCACCCTCCGGCTCAGCGCCACCGTCACCCCCAAGGGGGCATCCCTGACCCTGTAGCAAAGTCAGTTCTTCCAGTTAAGCGCTGTCTTCCCATTGTGTTTTCATGGGTAGGCTGGATTTTCGGGAGTGAGCGAGCAAGAGCAATTTGATTCTTTTTCAGGGCTGCCCCTTTCCATGGGCTTGTTCTTGCTCCCCCCAGGATGAAATCTTGGGGAGAGCTCCGCACTTGTGATTGCTCCTCAGATGTCAGTCAATAGAAGCATGTTCCACGCGTTCAAAATCTAATATCAAATGTCTCCTCTCCCCAGCTCAGTGTCTCTGGCAGAGAAATCCCCAAAGGGGAGCACAGTCCACATCGTCTTTATTCTTGGCTCCACTTTCTCTGTACACCCCAGTTTCTGTTTTTGGGCTTTCCAGGATTAGGACAGGGAAGAGAGGGAGGAGAAAGCAGAAAGGGGCTCCTTGCTGGCAGGT
This sequence comes from Homo sapiens, assembly GCF_000001405.40. Classification (NCBI taxonomy): domain Eukaryota; kingdom Metazoa; phylum Chordata; class Mammalia; order Primates; family Hominidae; genus Homo; species Homo sapiens. The sequence goes on from NC_000002.12 coordinate 121,739,275, forward strand.
GCCACGTGGCCAGGGAGTTTTAGAGGCTGCAAATGCCAGGTTGCTGGCACCTTGTCTCCAAGCACACTTTTGAGGTGTCCCTCACCTGGCTGCTCATGACTCTACCTGCCTGCCAGCCGAGGTCAGCTCTGTGCCCAGAGGCTCCTCCTGGAAGGGCCTTTCCAAGTGGACTTTATCATCCTGATCCTTTAAGAAGGGCCACATGTTTTGTCTGTCACTGCCATGGGATTGCTGCCAGGCAGGCCTCCTGGCTGGCATCACAGATGTTGGTGTATAAACCAGGTACAATCCCTGTATCCCCCAAATTCCAGAGGATGTAGATAAGTTCACTGGTTCCCTGAAGGTACCATCCGTGTCCTCGTGTGTGTGTGCGTGTGTGTGTGTGTGTGTGTGTGTGAACACTCCCCTCCTTCCTGAAGGTGGAATCTTGACATGTCTCATAGCTACTTAGGGGAGATGAGGATACAGGAAGGAATGACGGCAAGCACTTCTCTATGGAAATCCTTTTTCAGGTATTCCCAGTCACCTCCACCTCTATGAGTTCCTGGTCTTGCCTTACATCCCCCCAGGGGGGTAGTGATCCAAGGCTTCTCAAACTTGAATGAGCATGTGGATTGCCTGCACCAGGCAGGTGCTGATTCAGTAGGTCTGAGGTGGCCCAGGTTCTGTGTTCCTAACAAGCTTCCAGAAGAGGCCGATACTCCATAGACCACACTCCGAAGCAGGAATAGAGATTTGTGGCATTGATTACTGGGTCAGAATTCTGGGACAGAATGTATTCTGTCACCCTCAAAAGATTTGTTCAAGTCCTAATCGCTGGTACATGGGTACATGTGAATGAGACTGTACTTGGAGAGTCTTTGAGGATGGAATCACATTAAGATGAGGTCATGACCGGGCACGGTGGCTCACGCCTGTAATCCCAGCACTTTTGGAGGCTGAGGCGGGCAGATCACTTGAGGTCAAGAGTTCGAGACTAGCCTGGCCAACATGGTGAAACTCTGTCTCTACTAAAAATACAAAAATTAGCCAAGCGTGGTGGCATGTGCCTGTAATCCCAGCTACTCGGGAGGCTGCGGTGGGAGAACCGCTTGAACCTGGGAGGCAGAGGTTGCAGTGAGCCGAGATTGTGCCATTGTACTCCAGCCTGGCGACAGAGCAAGATTCTGTCTCAAAACAAAACAAAACAAAGATGAGGTCCTGTTGGGTTTGCGTTAGCTGTAAACCGTGACTAGTGTCCTATGAGAAGAGAGCATTTTGGGCGTGCACATATGCAGAATGCCATGTGATGGGCAAAGCAGAAGTTGGAGTGATGCTGCCACCAGCATCCACAATTGTGAGAGAATATGTTTCTGTTGTTTTAAGCCTTTCCGTTTGTGGTAAGTTATCCTGGCAGCCACAGGGAAAAACACAGTTGCTGTACAGGCTGCGTGGTCTGAGGACAGCACCGGTCCTGGGCCTGTCTTGGTATGTCGGGTTCTCGTTGCGTGTTAGGGCAGGTCCTGGAGGACCTCCGGGATGCTCACAGATGGATGCCAGGCCCCCTCTCCTCCTTCCCTCCCTCTCTCCCTTCCTTCCTCCTTCCCTTTCTTCCTTTTGATGTTTTTGTTTGTTTGTTTGTTTTTAATTCTTCCTTCTGATTTTGCATGTAGATGGGGAGCTACTGACACTTTGGGTGGGACAGTTCTTCACTGAGCTGGACCGTCCTGTGCACACTACTTTTGTACCCTCATCCCCTGCTCATTGTAACAATCAAGATGCCTCTGGGCATTTCCATACAGCCCCGAGCAGACTATTGAGTCCTCAGTGTGTGTCACCTGCTTCTCTTCCCGCACGAATCACCCAGGCCTCCTCCACCCCCCATGCCACCCCACCCTTATCACCTGTGGCCTGGAGCACCTATTGGGGGCCAAGCACGGAAATTGAGGAGGGCCGGTGGCAGGGCTGGGCAGGCAGCAGGGTGAGGCAGGGCACATGAGAGACCAGGAGGGAGAGGGCTCTCTGGGGTGGGGCTGAGGTTCCCCCTACTGCTCAGCCCTGTCTCCCTTCCCCCTCCTGTGTTCCTCTCCCTCCCCACCACTCTGCCTGGTCCCTGTGGGGTTGCCTGATGAGCCACTCCGATATCCGGCCCAGCCGTCCCTTACTTGGTCACAGGATTTCTTAGTATGTTCGGGTTACTATAACAAAAATATCATAGACCAGGTGGCTTATAAAAACAGACATTTACTTCTCACAGTTCTGGAGGCTGGAAGTCCATGATCAGGGTGTTGGGAGGTTGGTGTCTGTTGAGGACCCACTTCCTGGTTTGTACGAAGTGTCTTCAGTAGTGTCCTCACATGGCTGAGAGAGAAGCAAGCTCCCCGGTATCTCTTCTTATAATGTCCCTAATCGCATCATGGGGCTCCACCTCATGACCTCATCACCTCCCACAGGCCCCATCTCTTCCCACCATCAGAATGGGGATCAGGGCTTCAACATAGAAATTTTGGGAGGACACATTCAGTCCAGCAAAGGGATTCTAGGGATGGGCCTGAAAGGGGCAGCTCTGTAGGAAGAAGTGGGAAGAAACCCTTGTCTGTGCCACCTCAACAGTGTGGCCTCCATAAATGCCAGTCTGCAGAGAATTCAGGGCCATGTGATCTGAAGCGGTGAGGGAAATTTCCTTCCTCTTCTGCTGGGATTGGCCATCATTTCTGCCATGCTCTGCCCTGTGTGAAGTTTAACATGTACGGCCCCAAGACTAGACACCAAGTCTGGCAGTGTCCCATGGGAGGCTGGTGGACTGCGAGAAAGGGTGGGGGAGAGTGGAGAGTGGGGTGCCCAGAGGGCCTGGATTCCCTCTGATGGCCCCTGTGCTGACTCACCCCATCCCCTCCCCATCACGGGATCCTTTCCTGCCTTTCAGTAAGGGATGTGAGTGTCCTGGGTCCTGTGGGGCTTGCAGTCCTCATTGTGGCACCCTCTTCCCAGCCTGAAGCCTGTCTCCTGCTGGGCTCATCACCCTCCCTCATCACCCTGGTCCCCAACCCTTTTCTCTGTTCTCCTACTGCAGGCCTCAACTTCCAACCAGTCTTGTTTCCACCCCCTCCTGCCATTCAAGGAACCTTGCAGAAGTGCAGCTCCAATTATCTGGCCTTCTGGGCTATTAAATGAGGCATCATTTCACCCTTAAATTAGCCCAAATGTCTACTGTGTTCATATTCATGTTGGGAAAGGGGCAGACACAGCGGCTCACCCAGGCTCTGGTGGGCAGGGGGTGGAAATTAGTTCAACTTCTTTGGGTAGTGGTGTGACAAAATGTGTCAAGAACTTTAAAAATAGGACCTATCAAAAGAAATGATCTTAAATCCTGATAAGGGCTTACAAAGCATCACTATGCCATTTATAATAGGAAGAACTGGAAACAATCTAAACAGCCTATGATAAGGAACTGGGTTAAAACACATGGTATGTGCATTTGCTGCATGAAACATTAAAAATGTTTGCATTTCAAAATTATTTTAAAATTTATAAACCACTGCAGTCATAAAGGAGAATGAAATCATGTCCTTTGTAGCAACATGGATGGAACTGGAGGCCATCATCCTAGGTGAGCTAACCCAGAAACAGAAAACTGAATACGTCATATTCTCATAAGTGGGAGCTAAACAGTGGGTACACGTGGCCATAAAAATAGAAATGACAGATACTGGGGACTCCAAGAGAGAGGAGGTGGGAGAGGCAAAAGGCTTGAAAAATTACGTGCTGGGACGATGTTCACTGTGTGGGTGATGAGTACACTGGAAACCCAGTCACCACCAGTATGCAGTGTACCCATGTAATAAACAAGCACAGAGCTGCCCCTTTCAGGCCCATCCCTAGAATCCCTTTGCCTGATTCTAAAAATAAAATATTATAAGACACAATGAGATGATCATTTTTATGTGACAAGGGTTATTTTTTATGCGTTTATTTATTTTAAGAGACAGAGTCTCACTCTTTTACCCAGGCTAGAGTGTTGCTAGGCGATCACTGCTCACTGCAGCCTCCACCTCCTGGGCTCAAGCAGTCTTCCCACCTTGGCCTCCCAGTGTTGGGATTACAGCCATGAGCCATGGCGCCTGGCCACAACTGTTCTTTTTTTTTTTTTTTTTTTAATATATTTTAGTTCTATAAACTTTTTTAAACAGACAAGACCTACAGACTTATTTCTTCCTGGACAGACCACAGTATTGCCCCAGCTGCCAGTGGTCTTGGCGTGCTGGCTCTGGACACAAAGGCCCCAGAAGTGGCACAGCCCTCTGTGGGCCTGAATCTCCTTTAGTTGCTCCAGGTCCTCGTGGAACTTGTTGTCCAGACCATTGTCTAGGACCTGGCTATATTTCCTATCCTTTGCATGCTCCTTTCCTTTTCCCTTTGCTTTCCTTTCTTTTCCTTTCCTTTGTTTTTTCTTTTTCTTTTTCCTTTTTTTGAGACGGACTTTCACTCTTGTTGCCCAGGCTGGAGTGCAGCGGTGCGATCTTGGCTCACTGCAACCTCCACCTCCTGGCTTCAAGTGATTCTCCTGCCTCAGCCTCCCAAGTAGCTGGGATTACAGGCATGTGCCACCATGCCTGGCTAATTTTTGTTGTTGTTGTTATGTGTAATCTACATACTGTTTTATGGCAACAAATGTGAACATTTAAGCCAAATTTTTAAAGATAATAAAAGTGGAAAAAATAAAGTCAAGATAGGATTGACTACTTAAATATACTAACAACCATGGAATAAAATGAAGGGGATGCACATATCCCTAAAAATGTTAACAGGCCCAGATGGCTTTATGGGTAAGTTCTACCAAATTTTTATTGAATAAAAATGATACTATATACCCTATGAACTGTTTCAGACCCGAAAAATAAAAAAGGGAAGCTCCTCAATTAATTCTAGAATCCTAGTTTAACTTCACACCTAAACCAAATAAATAGCTTTCTTTTTTTTAACTTTAAATCATAACATTTAATTCAGTTGTGAATGTCTTCCACATCACATGTTATTTCTTTTTTTTTTCTTTTTTAAAAAATTATACTTTAAGTTCTGGGTTACATGTGCAGAATGTGCAGTTTTGTTACATAGCTATACATGTGCCATGGTGGTTTGCTGCAGCCATCAACCTGTCACCTACCTTAGGTATTTCTCCTAATATTATCCCTCCCCTAGTCATCCACCCCCTGACAGGCCCTGGTGTGTGATGTGTTCCCTGTGTCCATGTGTTCCCATTGTTCAACTCCCACTTATGAGTGAGAACACATGGTGTTTGGTTTTCTGATCTTGTGACAGTTTGCTGAGAATGATGGTTTCCAGCTTCATCCATGTCCCTACAAAGGACATGAACTCATCCTTTTTTATGGCTGCACAGTATTCCATGATGTATATGTGCCACATTTTCTTAATCCAGTCTATCATTAATGGACATTTGGGTTGGTTCCAAGTCTTTGCTATTGTTAATAGTGCCACAGTAAACATATGTGTGCATGTGTCTTTATCGTAGAATGATTTATAATCCTTTGGGTATATGCCCAGTAATGGGATTGCTGGGTCAAATGGTATTTCTAGTTCTAGATCCTTGAGGAATCGCCACACTGTCTTCCACAATGGTTGAACTAATTTACACTCCCACCCACAGTGTAAAAGCATTCCTATTTTTCTACAACCTCGCCAGCATCTGTTGTTTATTGACTTTAATGATCACCATTCTAACTGGCATGAGACGGTATCTCATTGTGGTTTTGATTTGCATTTCTCTAATGACCAGTGATGTTGAGCATTTTTTCATATGTCTGTTGGCTGCATAAATGTCTTCTTTTGAGAAGTGTCTGTTCATATTCTTTGCCCATTTTTTGATGGGTTTTTTCTTGTAAATTTGTTTAAGTTCTTTGTAGATTCTGGATATTAGCCCTTTGTCAGATGGATAGATTGCAAAAATTTTCTCCCATTCTCTAGGTTGCCTGTTCATTCTGATGATAGTTTCTTTTGCTGTGTAGAAGCTCTTTAGTTTAATTAGATCCCATTTGTCAATTTTGGCTTTTGTTGCCATTGCTTTTGGTGTTTTAGACATGAAGTCTTTGCCCATGCCTATGTCCTGAATGGTATCATGGTCCTCGGTCTTATGTTTAAGTGTTTGATCCATCTTGTGTTGATTTTTGTATAAGGAAGAGGTCCAGTTTCAGTTTTCTGTATATGGCTAGCCAGTTTTCCCAACACCATTTATTAAATAGGGAATCTTTTCCCCATTGCTTGTGTGTGTCAGGTTTGTCAAAGATCAGATGGTTTTAGATGTGTGGTGTTATTTCTGAGGCCTCCGTTCTGTTCCATTGGTCTATATATCTGTTTTGGTACCAATACCATGCTGTTTTGGTTACTGTAGCCTTGTAGTATAGTTTGAAGTCAGGTAGTGTGATGCCTCCAGCTTTGTTCTTCTTGCCTAGGATTGTCTTGGCTATGCGATGCCTGGCTAATTTTTGTATTTTTAGTAGAGACAGCGTTTCAGCATGTTGGTCAGGCTGGTCTTGAACTCCTGAGCTCAGGTGATCCACCTGCCTCAGCCTCCCAGAGTGCTGGGATTACAGGCCTGAGCCACTGCAGCTGGCCTTTGCATGCTTCTCTATGTTAAAGAACCAGTCTGGGAGTAAAAGAAAGGTCAAAACTTTAATGGAAAGACGTTCAGAAAATATGGGGAATCTCCCCACCCCCCACCAAATTTCAATATATATGTAAGAAACATCATTCAAACACATTGGAAAGTTAAGTGAGGCTCCTTTACCCACTGATGAGATTGTTAATGTTTAAGACATCTACACATTAACACTCTGTATGAATCATTACAACTACACTGGAGGGCAATTTGGCCAAGTTGATTCACTTATCACAGATCTGTTGTCTGCCAGGTATTGAAAAGGGTTCACAATGCCATGAGGTGGGGGGTGACTCAGCCCCCTTAGGAGCGTGTGGAAAGGTTGGAGGCATTTGGGGTTTTCACACAGACTTGGTGGTGCCACTGATAGGTCTGTTAGAGATATGGAACATCCTGCACTGAGTGGGACAGTCCCCTGTGTTTCTTCTGTTATCCATTGTTTCTTTTCCCCCGCCCCCTGCCTTTGCGGTGCCTTCCTGCAGACAGTGCTGAGCTCCCCACACCGCTGATTTGTTTTGACTGCGGGAATGAGTGCGGATGTGAGATTGTGTGAGTTCTGGGTGAGGTGTTAACTGTTCTGTGCTTGCTCACTCTCTTATACTGGTGCCATCTACCATGAGACATTTGCAGGCAGCCACTGCTCCCTCAGAGATGTGACGGTGCAGCCGCCCATATTCGGAAGCCCCAGACCTGTGAGCCGGATATCACTGTTTGTCATGAGCACTGAGATTTGGGGGTTGTTTGTTACACATTGTTATCATACATAACCAAACATAAGGAATAATTGTCTCCCTAAATACCACAAGCATGTCCAGCCCTCTGCCTGAAAAACATAGAAGAGGAACAAAATGGAGTGGTGGGCTGAACATGCACCGTCAACACATGATCACAGCACAAACAACATGATTACACGTTGAAGTAAGGGCCTTCAACGACAAGTTGAAAGGTGGGATGTAAAAGGAATGGGAGGAATGAGTGTGGGATGTCTGTGAAAGTTTTCCCAGGTTATAACATTTAAGACCTGAGATGAGTGGCTGGCATGGTGGCTCATGCCTGTAATCACAGCACTTTGGGAGGCCAAGGTGGGCGGATCACCTGAGGTCAGGAGTTCGAGACCAGCCTGGCCAATATGGTGAAACCCTGTATCTACTAAAAATACAAAAATAAGGCCAGGCACAGTGGTGGGCGCCTGTAATCCCAGCACTTTGGTAGGCCGAAGCAGGCGGATCACTTGAGGTCAGGAGTTCAAGACCAGCCTGGCCAACAGGGTGAAACTCCGTATCTACTAAAAATACAAAAATTAGCCAGGTGTGGTGGCAGGCACCTGTAATCCCAGATACTTGGGAGGCTGAGGCAGGAGCATTGCTTGAATCTGGGAGGCTGAGGTTGCAGTGAGCTGAGATCGTGCCATTGCACTCTAGCCTGGGTGACAAGAGTGAAACTCCATCTCAAAAAAAAAAAAAAATTAGCAGGATGTGGTGGTGCATGCTGGTAGTCCCAGCTACTTGGGAGGCTGAGGTGAGAGGATGACTTGAGCCTAGGAGGTCGAGGCTGCAGTGAGTGGTGATCACACTACTGCACTCCAGGAGTGATAGATTGAGACCCTATCTCTAAAAAAAAGATGTCCTAACAAAAGCCTGTTCTCCTTAGCCAAAAGACCAAGAAAGGAGCAGGTTAGCAAGACAGACAACTGTTCATTTTTTTTCTTCTTTTGTCACCTCTGGCCATACAGAAAACTTTTAGACAATAATGGCTCTACTCCAGCCAAACACACAGAGAAAACACTGCTGCCCCATACCTCACATATGCCAGCAAAGTCCCAGTGGGGAGCCTAGACTTCCGTCCTCATGAGGCTCGCTGATGCACCCAAACACCCCTGCCATGATGCTGTCAGAGAAAGCCAGGAGAGAAGCTGGGGCTTTGAACCTGCCAGCTGATAATGCCAGTGGTAATGGTGGTGTTGGTGGAGACCATGTGTGGAGCCTGGATTTCCAACCCCATTTAGCAGTAAAGAGAAGCCCCTACGCTTGGGTGTCAACAGAGGCCAAATGGGAAACCTGGCCATATATTTCCACCAGAAAGTCACAAGGCAGTGTCCTCCTCTTGCTGGAGAAGTATTAGAAGAAGCCAGTTAAAACAGAAGGTTTAAATAAGATCCAGAGTTTCATAGCATAATACAAAAATGTTCAGGTTTCAATAGAAAATCACTTGTCATACCAAGAACCAGGAAGATCTCAAACTGAATGAAACAAGATAATCAATAGATGCTGGTATAGTCTGAATGTTTATACTGCTTTTTCCCCCCACCAAATCCATACGTTGAAATCCTAACCGCCCCAAAGTGATGTTATTAGGAGGTAGGGCCTTTGGAAGGTGATTTGGTCATGAGGGGATAGCTCTCATGGATTAGTGACCTTATAAAAGAGGCCCTGGAGAGCCCCCTAGCGCCTTCTGCCATATGAAGACACAGTGAAAAGATGGTCATTTATGAACCAGGAAGTGTGTCCTTAGCAGACACTGAATTTGCTAGCCCCTAGATCTTGGACTTCCCAGCCTCCAGAACTGTGAGAAATCAGTTTCCGTTATTATAAGCCACCCAGTTTTTGGCATTTTGTTATAGCAGTCTGAGTGGGCCAAGAAAGATGCCAATACCAAGATGACAGAGATGTTAGAATTATCTTTTAAAGATTTTCAAGCAACCATGATTAAAATTCCTCCACGAGCAATTCTGAACATACTTGAATGAAAGAAATAGTAAGTCTCAACAAAGAAACAGAAAGTCTTGGCAATAAAATAGAGGCTATGAAAAACCAAATGGGAATTTTAGAATTGAAAAATAGAGTGAACAAAAATAAAAGCTCAGTATTTGGGCAGAATGTAGAATACAGAAGAAAGAATCAATGAACTGGAAGACAGAAAAATAAAAATTATAAATCTGAACAACAGAGAGAAAATAGGCTAAAAAATGAACACAGCACCAAGGACCTCTGAGATTATAACAAAAGATGTAATATTATTGTCATCAGAGTTTCTGAAGAAGAGAGAGAAGGGAAGGTTGAAAAAGCACTCAAAGAAAAAATGTTTAGGTTGGGCACCGTGGCTCACGCCTATAATCCCAGCACTTTGGGAGGCCAAGGCAGGTGGATCACTTGAGCCCAGGGGTTCAAGACCAGCCTGAGCAACATGTGAAACCCCGCCTCTAGAATAAATACAAAAATTGGCCAAGCATGGTGGTGCATGCCTGTGGTCTCTGCTACTTGGGAGGTTGAGGTGGGAGGATCACTTGAGCCTGTGAGGCCGAGGTTGAAGTGAGCTGTGATCGTGCCACTACATTTAGCCTGGGTGATAGAGTGAGACTCCATCTCAAAAAAAATAAAAAGAAAAAATGTTCAAAGACTCCCAAAATTTAGGAAGACACTAAGATTTAAGAAGGTGAGCAAGCAAACCCCAAACAGAATAAACTCACAAGAAGTCCATGTGAAGACACAATATAATTACATTTCTGAAAACTAAAGACAAAAAAAAAAAAATCTCAAAAGCAGCCAGAGGAAAAAAAAGACTTTACCTGTAAGGAAAAAATAATTGACAGAAGATTTCTCATTAAAAACCCTGAAGTTTAGAGAAAAGTGGCAAATTTTTCAAAGGGTGAATGTGAAGAACTGTCAGCCCAGAATCCTATACACAGGGAAAATATACATTAGCAATGAAGGGGAAATCAAGACATTTGCAGATAAAGGAAAGCTATTAGAATTTGTTGCAGCAGACCTACCCTAAAAGAATGGCAAAAAATTCTCTAAATGGGAAAGAAACAATAAGAGAAGGAAACCTTGGAACATTCGGAAGGAAGAAAGAACACAGTAAGCAAAAATATGGGTAAATTCAATAGACTTTCCTTCTCTTGAGTTTTCTAAACGATGTTTGATTGTTGAAGCGAAAATTATAATATTGTCTGATGTGGTTATAACTGTATGTAGAGGAAACATTCAACTATTATTAATGGGGGAGAGTAAAGGGATATAGGGAAATGAAGTTTCTATATTTCACTTGAGCTAATAAAATGATAATACCAGTAGACAGTGATAAATGTCTACACACACACACACACACACACACACACACACAAACACACACACGCAACATTTAGAGTAACCACAAAGCTATGCAAAGAGATCTTTTCAAAAACAGTGCAAAGTGGAATTCTTAAAAATGTTCACAGGAAGGCAGAAAAAGAAAACAGAAATAAAAAACAGAGAACAAACAGAAAGCAAAAAACCAAAATGGCAGACTTAAGTGCTAACAGGTCAATAATAACATCAAATATAAATGGTTTAAATATACCAATTGAAGGACAGAGATTGGTGAGTTAATTTTCCAAAAAAGACCCAACTATATCCTATCTGGAAGAAATTCACTTCAAATATAAAGATATAGGCAATGATAGAGGCAGGTTGAAATTAAAAAATGATAAAACATATATAATCCAAATAATAAAAGGAAAGCAAGAGTGGCTATAAAAATATCAGATAAAATAGACCAGTAGAAAAAAATGATGAGTGACAGAGAGGAACATATAATCATAAAAAGTCTATCCACTAAGAAGACATAATAATCCTAAATGTGTATGTAGCAAGCAACAGAGTTGCAAATTTGTGAAACAAAAACTGACAGAACTGAGAGGGGAAATAAAGAAATCTATGGCCTGGTGCTGTGGCTCATGCCTGTAATCCCAACACTTTGGGAGACTGAGGCGGGTGGATCACGAGGTCAAGAGATCGAGACCAGTCTGGTCAATATGGTAAAACCCCGTCTCTACTAAAAATACAAAAATTAGCTGGGCGTGGTGGTGTGCACCTGTAGTCCCAGCTACTTGGGAGGCTGAGGCAGGAGAATTGCTTGAACCCAGGAGGCGGAGGTTGCAGTGAGTAGATATTGTGCCACTACACTCCAGCCTGGTGACAGAGTGAGACTCCGTCTCAAAAAAAAAAAAAAAATCTATAATTATAGTTAGAGACCCCTCTATTGACAATTGATAGAATAAGGCCAGGTGCAGTGGCTCATGCCTGTAATCCCACCACGTTGGGAGGCCAAAGCAAGAGAACTGCTTGAGCCCAGGAGTTCAGGACCAGCCTGAGCAACACAGTGAGATTCTATCTCTACCAAAAATAAAAAAAATTTAGCTAGGCTGGATGACACACACCTATAGTCCCAGCTACTTGGGAGGCTGAGGTGGGAAGATTGCTTGAGCCCAGTAGGTTAAGGCTGCAGTGAGCTGTGGTCATGTCATTGCACTCCAGCCTGGGTGACAGAGCAAGACCATGTCTCTTAAAAAACCAAAACCAAAACAAGGCCAGGCACAGTGGCTCACGCCTATAATTCCAGCACTTTGGGAGGCGTAGGCAGGAGGATCCCTTGAGGCCAGGAGTTCAAGACTAGCCTGAGCAACATGACCAGACCCCATGTCTACGAAAAAATTAAAAAAAAATTATTAAAGCATGGTGGTGCATACCTGTAGTCCCCACTACTCTGGAAGCTGAGGCAGGAGGATCAATTGAGCTCAGGAGTTCAAGGCTGCAGTGAGCTATGATCATACCACTGTACTTCAGCCTGGGTGATAAAGTAAGACCCTACCTCTAAAAACTAACAAACAAACAAACAATAATAACAACAACAACAACACCCTACAGCTAACATCATAGTTAAGGGTGAGAAACTGGACACTTTGGCTCTAAGGTTGGGAAGAAGGCAAGGATGTCCTTTTTCCATTCCTATCCAATATCTTACTGGAAGTCCTATATAATGCATTAGGACAGGAAAAGGAAATAGGAAGTATATAGATTGGGATGAAGAAATAAAACTATTTGTTCACAGATGAAATGACTGATTCTGTAGAAAATCCCTTAAGAAATTAATAGAACAACTAGACAAATCAGCAGGGCATAGAAGAACTCAACAGCTAAAAGGGCCGAATTGCCACTCCACCCAACAACAGATCCTTTCAATTGCCTGTGGAATATATACTAAGAGAGACCATATTCCGGACTATTTAAACAAAATCTTAACACATTTACGAGAATTGAATCATAGCTCGTTCTCTGACTATATAGATTCAAACTAGCAATCAATAACACAATAACAGAAAAATCTCTAAACACTTGAAAATTAAACCATATACTTCTAGATAATCAATTAGGAAGTCACAAGAGAAATTTAAAAAATACATTGAACTAAATAAAAATGAAACTACAACATACCAAAAATTTGTGGTACACAGCTAAGAGCAGTGCCCAGAGGGAAAGTTAACAGCACTAAAATGCATCCATTAGAAAAGTGGGAAAATCTTAATAATCTAAGCTCCATCTCAAGAACCTAGAAGAGTAAAATAAAACCAAAACGAGCAGAAAGAAGAAAATAATAAAGAGCAGACGGCCGGGTGCGGTGGCTCACACCTGTAATCCCAGCACGTTGGGAGGCCGAGGCGGGCAGATCACGAGGTCAGGAGATCGAGACCATCCTGGCTAACAAGGTGAAACCCTGTCTCTACTAAAAATACAAAAAATTAGTTGGGTGCAGTGGCGAGCGCCTGTAGTCCCAGCTACTCAGGAGGCTGAGGCAGGAGAATGGCGTGAACCCGGGAGGCAGAGCTTGCAGTGAGCCGAGATTGCGCCACTGCACTCCAGCCTGGGCGACAGAGCGAGACTCTGTCTCAAAAAAAAAAGAAAATAATAAAGAGTAGAAATTGATGGAATTGAAACAGAATCGGGCATGGTGGCTTATGCCTGTAATCCCAGCACTTTGGGAGGCTGAGGTGGGTGGGTCACCTGAGGTCAGGAGTTCAAGGCCGGCCCGGGCAACATGGTGAAACCCCATCTCTACTAAAAATACAAAAATCAGCTGGGTGCAGCGGAGCGCGCCTGTAATCCCAGTTACTCGGGAGGCTGAGGCAGGAGAATCATATGAACCCAGGAGGCGGAGGTTGCAGTGAGCCGAGATCACGTCACTGCACTCCACCCCAAGTGACAGAGACTCCATCTCAAAAAAAAAAAAAAATTAAACAGAGAACTAGTTATTTTAAGAGATCAATAAAGTGGATAAACCTCCAGCAAGATTGACAAAGAGAAACAGAGAAAATGGATAAATTCTTTCTATCAGGAATGAAATACAGGGTGGCACTAGAGAGCCTGAAGATGACAAAAGAATATAAGGAAATACTATAAACAACTCTATTCAAATAAATGACTTAGACTAAATGAACCAATTCCTTTAAAAAAACACAGCTACCATAGCTCACCCAATATTAAATAGATACTTTGTAGCCTGGGCAACATAGCCAGACCCCATCTCTACCAAAAAAGACAAAAATTAGCCAGGTGTGGTGGCATGTGCCTATAGTCCCAGCTACTGGGTAGGCTGAGGCAGAAGAATCACCTGCTGACAGAGCGAGACCCCATCTCTTAAAGAAAAAGATACTTTGAGTAGCACTATGACTATTAGGAAATTGAATTTGCAATAAAAATTCCCCAAAAGAGATCTCCAAAGAAGGTTTCGTTGGAGAAGGTTTCAGCAGAGAATTCTACAACTACTTAAAGAACAAACAGCAATCTGCATAAGCTCTTCCAGATAATAGACCAGAAGGGAACACTTTCCAGTTCTTTATGAAGCTAGTATTGGGAAGGAAAAGCTTTCTCTTTATTATATTTTGTTCAGTTTATGGGGGCCTCCAAAAAATTATTTATTTGAGGCAGGGTCTCACTCTGTCACCCAGGCTTGAGTGCAGTGGCACAATCATGGCTCACTGCAGCCGTGGCATCCTGAGCTCAAGTGATCCTCCCACCTCAGCCTCTGAAGTAGCTGGGACCACAGGCATGCGCTACCATGTTCAGCCAATTTTCAAAACATTTTTTGTAGAGATGGCGGTCTCACTATGTTGCCCAGGCTGGTCTCGAACTCTTGGGCTCAAGTGATCCTCCTCGTTAGCCTCTTAAAGTGGTGGGATTACAGGTGTGAGCCACCATGCCCAGCCAGGGCCTGCAAATTAAACTGACAAAAGACAGATTAACGGAACAGAAAATCAGCATGGGCATATAAGAACTCAACAACACCATCGACTAATAGGGTCTAATTAAACTTTTTATAGGACACTCCCAAAAAAGGCTTATTTGCATGGATGCTGGAGCTAGCAAAATAAGTAGCTAGCCTACTAAATGGTTAGAGGTTTATGTCTGGGCGCAGTGGTTGATACCTGTAATCCCAGCATTTTGAAAGGCTGAGGCAGGAGGATTTCTTGAGCCCAGGAGTTCAAGACCCGACTGGGCAACGTAATGAGACCAAAAAATGAAACAGAACAAAACAACAATAACGAAAACCACACAAGAAAAGAAAGAAACAAAAAACCAGTTAGTGGCTTGTGTGCCTAACTCTAGGTAAAACGGAGAGGTGACGAAAGTTTGTATGAGAACAAATAGGATTCTTTAGGACAGACGAATGGGTTTTGGGAGAACAAACACGAGATAAGAAAGGGTTTTTTATTTTTTTTGAGACGGAGTCTGTTGCCCAGGCTATAGTGCAGTGGTGTGATCTCGGCTAACTGCAACCTGTGCCTCCCGGGTTCAAGCGATTCTTCTGCCTCAGTCTCCCGAGTTGCCGGGATTACAGGCGCGCGCCACCACGCCCGGCTAGTTTTTGTATCTTTAGTAGAGACGGAGTTTCACCATGTTGGTCAGGCTGGTCTCGAACTCCTGACTTTGTGATCTGCCCGCCTTGGCCTCCCAAAGTGTTGGGATTACAGGTGTGAGCCACTGCGCCCGGCCGATAGTTTTTTAAAAATGTAGGTGCTAGTGGTCTTACTGTCTTCTTCATGGACATGAAATTATTCTCATATAATGAGAATTAAATATGATCCTTCATGTAAAGAGTTTAGAATAATGTCAGAAACAAAGCAAGCAATAAATTATCATTTAGTTGATAAGAATCATTCCAATTCATCTGGCGAGTGCAACACACACACACACTGTATTTGTGTATGGAATAACTGTTCAAGAACACACACACAGTATGTGTGTATGAAATAACTCTTCAAGAACAAAGGGGAAACCGTTATAGGGCATGAAAGGGGAAACCGTTATAGGGCATGGAAGGGGAATTAGGACAAGGTGTGAGTGGAAAGAGAAACATCCCACCGCACACGCTTAAAAAAGCCGTTTAATTTAAAAATAGGTAATACAGCCATACAGAGAAGACATTAAAAGATCTACACAGAAAATTTTCGCTCCCAATCCATTCCCTACTCACAGTCCTACATACGTTACTTTTATTTTCCTTTTTTTTGGAAATGCACTGGCCCCCTACTCTCTCACGAAGGCTGAACTCTCTCTACATTCTTCTGCACCTGTTTTTTGTGCATACTCTTTCGTTGTCAAATATTTCCCTCCAACTGTTGTTGTGTATGAAATAAATACACACATATAAGCTAACCAGCCCCACTTGCCCGCACCACCTACACGCCCGTCCCCGCCCTCCCTCAGGCCCACGTGCTCCGAGGGCCGCCTTCGCAGGTTGTTTCTGGCGATGCCTGTCTGAAGGCCTCAGACTGAGGCCCCGCCCACTCTCCCTCTCCTCTGCCCTTTGGACGCGCGCCTCGGTTCCGAACGCAGCGGACGGCGCCTCAGGCAGCGCGGCGGACAGCCCGTCCTCCGGCGCGCCGCGAGCCTCGGAGGACCCTAGCGACGGTCGTGGCGTAAGACCGGGGGGACGCGGCGGTAGCGGCGGCCGTTGCGATTGATTGCGCTGGTTGCCTGCGGCGTCCACTTCCTTGGCCGCCCTTGCTACACTGGCTGATTGTTGTGCAGCCGGCGCCATGTCTGTGAGCGAGATCTTCGTGGAGCTGCAGGGCTTTTTGGCTGCCGAGCAGGACATCCGAGAGGCGAGCCCCCTCCCTTCCCCATTCCCTTTGCCTTTCCATGCCTAGTTGGGCCACTTCGCCCGGCCCTCCTCTGTCGCTCAGTCTCGGGCGGTGGGGACGCCTCCGAGGGTGGGTTGCTTCCCCTCTAGCTTTAGGTTAGGCACTCCCCGCCCCCGCCCAAAATTTTGCTGCTCTGTCCTGATTCCCCGTGTTCGAGTCTCAGCTTCTCAGCATCACTTGCCTCGTTTGTGTCAGTTTTCCTTCTTTTCAGCACTTGTTTATATCGAAGGCTCGATTAGCACCTGGTCTTCAGCGAATGAGCGTTTCGTGTATTTTTGTTGGTGTCTTAAAAGCACATGTGATCTGCTTAAAACTCTCCTGTGATTTCCTATGCCACACAGGATAAAAAATCAGACTCTACTGTGGCTCACATGGTTTCTCTTCAATCTCGTTTATGCTCTCTGTCTTTGTGTATGATGTTCACTTTACCTCTTCTAGTGCCCCAAATAGCTTCCTGCCTGTTTGCTTTTCCTGGAATTTGCTTCTTTCCCGTTCTTTTCCTGATTGTCTCGTATTTATCTCATTGGCGTCACAGTCTAAGCGATCTATTTCCTGTTATGTTTTCTAGTAGCACATTAACTTTTTTTAATGTGTGTAATATTGATTATTTTAAAAAAATCTTCTCCCTCATTGTATGTTAAACCGCCAGAGGGAAGGGATTGTGTGCTTGGTTCCCCGGTATTTACACAGTGCCTCGCACATAAGTATGCTCAGTGAATATTTTAAAAATGAATTAGAGGCGGGGAGCGGCGCCTCATGCCTGTAATTCCAGCATTTTGGGAGGCCGAGGCGGCCAGATCACCTGAGGTAAGGAGTTTGAGACCAGCCTGGCCAACATGGGGAAACCCTGTCTCTACTAAAAATATAAAAGAACATTAACTGGGCATGGTTGCGCACACCTGTAATCCCAGCTACTCGGGAGGCTGAAGCAGGAGAATGGCGTGAACCCGGGAGGCGGAGGTTGCGGTGAGCTGAGATCGCGCCACTGCACTCCAGCCTGGGTGACAGAGCGAGACTCCGTCTCAAAAAAAAAAAAAAAAAGAAAAAAGAATTAGAAATACCCGACTCTTGTGTTGCATTTAACTCTTCATTTTGCAAGTTGCGTTCACACACGTCATCCATTATAATGTCCCAATTGAATACTTGGGTTTAATGGGTGGCTATTATTCTTTAAAGGGTATCTGAGGAATCTAAGGCTTTTTAGTGACTTTTTGAAGTCTTACAGAGGAAATAAGTGGAAAAGTCAGGATTCAAACTTGGTTATGATAGATCACATAAGCTATCTAATGTGTTTTGTGTGAGTGTATGACAATGATTCTGTTGAGTATCTGATTTTTATTTTTAATTCTCTCTAGGAAATCAGAAAAGTTGTACAGAGTTTAGAACAAACAGCTCGAGAGATTTTAACTCTACTGCAAGGGGTCCATCAGGGTGCTGGGTTTCAGGACAGTAAGTTCTTTGTTTTGTATCCAATTATCAGTCTCTTATTTAGAGGGAGAGTTTCTATCCAGAAGACATTTTATAATGAAAAATGGCTATCATGCTTTATGGTGAGTAAAAATTGAAGAAGTAGGTGATTTGATAATTTTGGTTGATTTTTCTTCCACTTCCACACAGTATGGTTTAAACAGAGATGTTTTCTATTGCGAGGGCATTCTACTGATGATAATTACAATTGCTTAACCCATTTCCTGTTTAGAAAAAAAAAGTGCAGCTCTCTGCCAGCACAGTATTCTCAGGGTAAGCGGGAAAAGGGTTTATTATTATTTTTTTAATTTTTTTTTTTTCTGAGACGGAGTTTCACTCTTGTTGCCCAGGCTGGAGTGCAGTGGTGCCATCTCAGCTCACTGCAACCTCCGCCTCCTGGGTTCAAGCAATTCTCCTGCCTCAGCCTCCTGAGTAGCTGGTGTTACAGGTGCCCGCCATCACGCCCAGCTACTTTTTTTTTTTTTGGTATTTTTATTAGAGATGGGGTTTCACTTTGTTGGCCAGGCTGGTCTTGCACTCCTGACCTCAGATGATCCGCCTGGCTGGGCCTCTCAAAGTGCTGGGATTACAGGCGTGAGCCACTGCACCTGGCCCAAGGGTTTGTAACTCTTTTGTGTTATCTAGTGACTTTTATTTGGCCCTTTGTGTGTGTGTGTGTGTATGTGTGTATGTGTGTATATGCACCTGTGTGTATTTGAATCCAGCCTTTCAGTGATTGAATACCTTTTAATATGAGATTAACAGTATAAAATGTTCTCAAATTAATGTGTTTATAATCAGCCTCTTGAATGAAAATAAAATATGTCAAGTTTAGACATGGAACCTTCATTGTAAGGTATTGCCAGCACAGCTAAAGGAGCTGAAGTATATTTTCAGATACAAGAATGATATAATAATGCATTTACACGTGCCAGAGGCAAGTGATTTTTCTTAATGATACGGAGTTGGTCATCCTGATTGTGAATACTTGGTAAAGGCTTTTTTCTGCCAAATATGGGAGGAAGAAGCAATCCAATTTTAGGCATCCTCTGAGGAGTGAACAGGAATAGCAGCTGGTGTGCATCTCCTTAAGGATGACGTTATTTATGACAACCAAACCAATTACCAGTGTGTCTCCTAATATATTCCCTTTTAGCAAGTTGTTTATTTTTCAGTATAGCTAATTAGTAGGGAAACTGGGGATGATATTTTGAAAGCCAGGTTGAAAAGCACAGATGTGTACGTTAGTTGTGAGGTTTTTTTGTTGATTAATTTCCAGATAGATTACTTAGATTATTAAGCAAGAACTGTATTTGAAATTTGGTTAAGTTTTTCATTTGGTTATCTTTTGTGACTAGTTCCAAAGAGGTGTTTGAAAGCTCGAGAACATTTTGGTACAGTAAAAACACATCTAACATCTTTGAAGACCAAATTTCCTGCTGAACAGTATTACAGGTTTGTAAGAAAAATAGCATTATTTTATAATGTTAAGTAAAAAAAAGGAGAAAAATTATGTGTACCAAATGATTGCTTACAACTAGGCAAACATCCTGTGTAGAAGTAACAAAAAGAGAAAAAACCGAACTAATAATGGTCATGACAAAAATTGGTGATTTTATTTTTTTCTTCTTTTTACTGTCTAAATCTTAAGGAACATGTATTACTTTTGCAGTGAAAAAGCAATTAAAAAGAAAATGTGGTATGAGGGTCAAAAGTGAGAATATCTTTTTGCTATATTCAAGTTTCTTGTGAAATTGGATGAACTATAGTTAGTGAAATAATGAGATTAGGTGGCAGTATATATATGGAGTCGAGTTTTACTTTGAAGCTTGAATTTCACTGCCAAGTGATGTAATTAGCTAATATTTTATGCCATGTTTTCTTATTAAAATCAACACTGTTGATTTTAAGATACACCATTATTTTATGTACCAGTAGGGAAGGAAAATTTTGCCAGTCATAAATGTGAAACATGGGCCAGGCGTGGTGGCTCACACCTGTAATCCTAGCACTTTGGGAGGCCTAGGTGGGCAGATCACCTGAGGTCAGGAGTTTGAGACAGCCTGGCTAGCATGGCGAAACCCCGTCTCTACTAAAAATACGAAAATTAGCCAGGTGTGGTGGCTTATCCCTGTAACCCCAGCCACTTCAGAGGCTGAGGCAGGAGAATCGCTTGAACCAGGCAGGCGGAGGTTGCAGTGAGCCAAGATTGTGCCATTGCACTCCAGCCTGGGCAACAGAGTGAGACTCCATCTAAAAAAAAAAAACAACTTGTGAAACATGGATTGTGAAATGTCTCCTGGTTTCATAGGTGTTAAACTGGGAAAAACTGCACCTGAATCAAAAGTTTCTACTTATTTTAATTTTCTTACTGAAAAAGATGTTCTTTTAAGACGTATATATCAGCAGTAAATAGGATGAGTATTTTCAGGGGGTGGGTAGTATAACCTTATGAGAATATTCTTTTAAGGGAGAGGTTGACAAACCACTAGTGGCTGCTGCCTCTGGGAGCTAAGAATTGCTTTTGTTTTTTCAAGAGTTGTTAAAAAAAAGAAAATCCCAGATAAGAATATGTAACAGTGAAAGCGTCCCACAAAGCCTAAAATATTTACTACTTGGCCCTTTACAGAAAACATTTGCTGATCCTTGCTGTAAGGCAGGGGTTCCCAACCCCCAGGCCATGGACTGGTACTGGTCTGTGGCCTGTTAGGAACTGGGATGCACAGAAGGAGGTGAGCGGTAGGTGAGCGAGTGAAGCTTCATCTGTATTTACAGCCGCTTCCCATCACTTGCAGTACTGCCTGAGCTCCACCTCCTGTCAGATTGGTGGCAGCATTCGATTCTCATAGTAGTGCGAACCCTATTGTGGACTGTGCATGCGAGGGATCTAGGTTGCATGCTCCTTATGAGAATCTAATACCTGATGATCTGAAGTGGAACAGTTTCATCCTGAAACCATCCGCCCCCCTTCTGTGGAAAAATTGTCTTCCATGAAACCAGTCCCTGGTGTTGAAAAGGTCAGGGACTGCTGTTGTAATAGCTGAAGCACAGAGAGAGGTAGGACAGTAGAACAGGTGGGGTCTTTAGAGACCATCTTCTCTGGAGGTCACACACAGGCTGCCCTCTGGCTGGATTTGGCCTTCAGAAGGGTTTGTGTGACCTGCATTATGTTGAGACCTTTTTTTTGAATGTATTGCCACATTTGAGAATCAGGAGGCATTGCATAAATATCCACAGGTTGTAAAATTTCCTTTTTTCAGGCTTCTAGCTCAGTATTCTATTTTAAGTGCATTTGTTTAGTGATTGCAAATGGTAATTTTGTGAATCAGAATTTTCTTGGTATTCTGCACTCAAATCAAAATGGAGGAATACGTTGAGGATGATACATAACTGCAGTTGTCTTCAATCATCAGTTACAAATTTTTATTTTTTTCAGAGCAGTATCACTGTTCTTACTGATTAAATTTAGAAGGCACAATTGCTCTTGTCATCTGTAATCTTCAGTTTTCTTTTTTCTGTCTTTTTTTTTTTTTTTTTGAGACGGAGTGTCGCTCTGTCGTTCAGGGTGGAGTGCAGTGGTGTGATCTTGCGCACTGCAACCTCTGCCTCCCAGGTTCAAGCAGTTCTCCTGCCTCAGCCTCCCGAGTAGCTGGGACTATGGGCGCCTGCCACCACGCCTGGCTAATTTTTGTATTTTTAGTAGAGAGGGGGTTTTGCCATGTTGGCCAGGCTGGTCTTGAACTCCTTACCTCAGATTGATCAACCTGCCTCTGCTTCTCAAAGTGCTGGGATTACAGGCGTGAGCCATCGCACCCGGCGTAAATTTTCATACTCATCAAAATTAGACCATATTTGTCACTGATTAAACTTAATTGTTATAAATTCGAACTTGTAAAATTAATGCTAAATGTCATATTTCTCTTTATATATTGGGGGTTTGTGTAAGATTTTATTTGAAAAATGATCGCATTTCTAAACCGTTTGAACATGGCTGTATTAAACCCATCTTTCTGAAGGTCCCTAACCTTGGAGGCTAAATGTGCTTATTTTCATGCAGATTTCATGAGCACTGGAGGTTTGTGTTGCAGCGCTTGGTCTTCTTGGCAGCATTTGTTGTGTATTTGGAAACAGAAACACTAGTGACTCGAGAAGCAGTTACAGAAATTCTTGGCAGTAAGTGTCTTTATTAGTGGGATCTGCAGAATCAGGCATGGTTGCTTACTTTTTGGTGGAAAGGGTGGTTGTACTTTGTTTATTAAAACAAACAAGAATTAACTAAAAACCACTTATAGTTGTAGCTTGGTATCTGAGGATGATGCTTCCAGAGCTCTTCCAATACCCAAATCTGAGGATGTTCAAGTCCCTTATATAACTGGTGTAGTATTTGCATATAACCTATACACATTCTCCCACATACTTTAAATCATCTCTAGATTTCTTAAAATATCTAATACAGTATAAGTGCTATGTAAATATTTTTTTTTTTTTGAGACAGAGTCTCTGTCGCCCAGGCTGGAGTGCAGTGGTGCAATCTCCGCTCACTGCAACCTCCACCTCCCAGGTTCAAGTGATTCTCCTGCCTCAGCCTCCCGAGTAGCTGGGATTACAGGTGCCTGCCACTATGCCCAGCTAATTTTTTGTATTTTTTTTTTTTTTCCGAAATGGAGTTTTGCTCTTGTTGCCCAGGCTGTAGTGCAATGACGCAATCTCAGCTCACCACAACCTCCACCTCCTGGGTTCAAGCATTTCTCCTACCTCAGCCTCCTGAGTAGCTGGAATTACAGGCATGCACCACCACACCCGGCTAATTTTGTATTTTTAGTAGAGATGAGGTTTCTCCATGTTGGTCGGGCTAGTCTTGAACTCCTGACCTCAGGTGATCCGCCTGCCTCAGCCTCCCAAAGTGCTGGGATTACAGGCGTGAGTGACCGCACTCAGCCAATTTTTTGTATTTTTTTAGTAGAAACAGGGTTTCACCATGTTGGCCAGGCTGGTCTTGAACTCCTGACCTCGTGATTTGCCCGCCTTGGCCTCCCAAAGTGCTGGGATTACAGGCATGAGCCACCACGCCTGGCCTTTTCCCAAATATTTTCTATCCATAGTTGGTTAGCGCAGAGGGCCGACTCTACCTGGAAATGTAAAAGCTAAAAATAACAATGGCAAACACATTTGCACTTGCTTTAGTTTTTAAAATTGAATTTTTAAAAATTTCAAGCCTACAGAAAAATTGAAAGAATAGTACAATGAATACCTGTTTACATGCCACTTAGATTTACCACTTGTTAACATTTTGCTACATCTGCTTAATCTTCTCATTTTGTGTGTGTCTTTGTCAGCCATTTGAAAGTTGCAAATATCGTAACTCCTTTCTGAAATGCTTTATCATGTGCTTTCTAACAAGAAGTATATTCTGTGACACAACTAGATACTGTTTTTGATAGTATTTTTGAGGGAAGACTGAATTGAATTTTGCTTAAGAACTCAAAAAATCCATAGTGAGGTCTAGTTGCCAAGGTTGTGAATATATTAAAAAGCCAGTTTTTAAAAGATTCATCCTTTCTTCACTTACTTTGGGAGAAATTATGTGTATATTTTTATATTCTGAGGCTTAACTTGCATTCACAGCATGACTTTATTTTCATGTGTTTTTTAGTTGAGCCAGATCGGGAGAAAGGATTTCATCTGGATGTAGAAGATTATCTCTCAGGAGTTCTAATTCTTGCCAGTGAACTGGTAAGCTCAGTAACTTGCTGGTTGCTTTTTTGATCTTTCTGCTTCACTGTCAGTTTTTTTTTTTTTTTTTTTTTTTGAGACAGAGTCCCGCTCTGTCGCCTAGGCTGGAGTGCAGTGGCGCAATCTCGGCTCACTGCAAGCTCCGCCTCCCGAGTTCATGCCATTCTCCTGCCTCAGCCTCCTGAGTAGCTGGGACTACAGGCGCCCGCCACCACACCCGGCTAATTTTTTTTTGTATTTTTAGTAGAGACGGGGTTTCACCGTGTTAGCCAGGATGGTCTCGATCTCCTGACCTCGTGATCCGCCCACCTTGGCCTCCCAGAGTGCTGGGATTATAGGCGTGAGCCACTGTGCCTGGCCCACTGTCTGTTTTTAAAATGGGTACCAAAATTCAGAACGTCTTAATTCTTTTCTAAGCCATCTCTCGGTCACCAGGTAGTCACTGACTGGCACTGTATGTGTTACAATTTACTAGGCATCAGAGAAAAGCCAGATCAAATGATGAGTGCATACTTACTGAGTTAAGAATTTTTAACCGATGATAAGACCTCTTCCTTTTAGGGTAGTGGCAAAACATTTATTCCTGGTAACTGTTAATCCATGTAATTGTTTTGGACACTCATTTGTCTATATAACTAAGTTATTCTTATCCTTTATTCCTTTAACCACTATCTAGGGAAATTGCCCTGTAAAAGTCTAAAGAAAAAAAAAGCTGTCAGTAGCAAAATTGAGTAGTTGTGATAGAGACTGTGCCAGTCTGCAGAGGTGAAAATATTTACTATCTGGCTCGTTAAGAAAAAGTTTGCTTGTCCTTGCTCCAGAGGAAAGCAGTCCAGGGCTGGTCTGATGATTCCTTGATCTTTGGCCCTAGGTTCTTCTAGCTTCAGCTTCTTTCTTATGTTCCAGAACTGTTGCTCTAGTCACATCTTCACTCTAGCCAGCAGTAGGAGGAAATAGGGAAAATGGTATGCCCTCCCGCTTTAAGGACATTTCTTTGAAGTTGTACACACAACTTCTGTTAACATTCTGGTGCCTTGCCTGCAGGGAGGCAGAAATGGAGTCTATTGGAGTGGGTATGTGTGCATTGAAAACCTGAGGAAGATGGTGAGAATGGATGATGGGGTCCACTTGTAGGCTGTACCACTTGTCTGGCTTGTTGGAGACACCTGACCAGTAAACAGGAAGCATCTTGTTAGTATTAGTTAAGTGTAAGGTGTCTTTAGGACCATACATGTTGGGGCCGGGCACAGTCGCTTACGCTTGTAATGCTGGCAGTTTTGGAGACCAAGGTGGGAGGATCCCTTGAGGCCAGGAGTTCCACACCAGCCTAAGCAACAAAGCAAGACCCCTTCTCTATATTAAAAACAAACAAACAAACAAAAAACCCGTATGTTGACAGTGCACTAAAGGGGTAAGCCTGGAAAAGTGGAGAGGATTTTACAGAAAGGGGAATCTTTTTTATTATTTTAATATATTTTTTAAAGCCAGTCAAATGGAGCAGTAGGGGGTTGTATACTGACACCGAGAAGGGGAGTCTTGGGTTGGGTCTTGAAATCAATGTTAGTTCTCCTTCAAGACAGGGTTACACTAACATAATTTTAGATTCTTATCCCAAGTCTGCCTTACTTGATTCTAGGTGACTGGAGTTGCAGCTTAGTAGGTGGGCTCTAGAAATGTGATCATTTGGCCAAGGTTGGAAGAGGTAGTGGAGCTGCTGTGATTATTTTGTCGTTTCTTTCTTCGATATGATAGCAGATGAGCTGTAAAGATGCTTGTGTAATGTAACACTTTATTATGCAATAGCCAGTTTAAGAAATTAGAGAAATTTTAGATGTTAGTAATGTTAAATTTTACTTGGCAGAACTGGTCTCATTTTCAGTGGGATTCTTTTCAGAGAAGCTCCTGTCTTGTCTGTACTTGTGTGTACCCTGAGATAGAAGATCAGCGTGGCTGTCTAGGCTTGCGGTTCTTCTGGTTGTGATTCAGAGGAAGATGCGCTGAGAAGGAGCCATGTTGTAACAAGCCCCTGTTTTCTCTTTCCTGGTACAGTCGAGGCTGTCTGTCAACAGCGTGACTGCTGGAGACTACTCCCGACCCCTCCACATCTCCACCTTCATCAATGAGCTGGATTCCGGTTTTCGCCTTCTCAACCTGAAAAATGACTCCCTGAGGAAGCGCTACGACGGATTGAAATATGACGTGAAGAAAGTAGAGGAAGTGGTCTATGATCTCTCCATCCGGGGCTTTAATAAGGAGACGGCAGCAGCTTGTGTTGAAAAATAGGAGGCTCTCCTTGCTCCTGGCCTTGCTGACCTCAGCGGTTGCCAGGAAGGGGTGAGCACAGAGTGCCTCTTACGGTAGTTAGGATGCTCAGTTGCTAAACACTGCGCTTTATTTTCTTAACCAGTTGTGGTGTGAGTATCAGAATTGAAACACTTTTTTGGGGGTAAAAAATATAGCCTTTACATGGACAGAATTTTTTTTGTTGTTTCAGTGAATATGCCTGTAATTCAGTGTATTTCAGTTCCGTCAGAAAGTGTAAATGTTAGTTTCTTGGTAAAGTCCTTTTCTTGCTTACCTTGACTGTTGATGTACTGATTGAGAAGTTCATTGTCTCGTTTGTGATTCTTCCAGATGTGATGCTTGATATTTTCTATATGCGAGTTAGCCATCCACACCCAGGCATAGCCTGGATACAGTATAAAAATAGATAATTAAAAAGATGGTTGCCAAGCAAGGAAAACTTATTTTATATTTTCCCTTCCTTATTTTAAGCATTGTGAGTAAATCAGATGTTGAATTCTTTTGCCAAGGGAATTATAGCTGCAGGTTCTCTCTCACTGCCATCAAACTGTAAAAGATTAAACTGCGAAGTCAAGCTCAACAGATTATTTTGGAAAGTTTTTGTATTAAGGGATTTAGTAACATCATTTTGTTTTCCACCAGGCAGGGAGTAGGGCTTAGTGTTTTAAAACACCTCTGCTTTCTGATGTTGCCTTAATATTCTGCTATTGCAGCAATTAAAAATTGTCTTCATGTACATTTGGAACTAACACGTGATGTGATATATTCCTAAACTATGAAACCTTTTTCCTAGTAGTCAGCTAGATCATTTGTTCTGGGAGTATAAAGCCACCCACGTAAGTTAATAAGCAAAATCCTGACTATTATGTTGTTAGAGAAAAATGCTTTGCTTTGTCTGGAAGAAAGATAAAATAGTGAATTATAAATAAGTCAGGCCGGGCGTGGTGGCTCACACCTGTAATCCCAGCACACTGGGAGGCCGAGGCAGGGGGACTGCTTGAGCTCAGGAGTTCGAGACCAGCCTGGGCAACAAAGTGAGACTCCATCTCTATATAAAAACAAAAACCACGAAAGCACACACAAAATAAATCAGTGGGATTTGGTAATGTGTTTTAGAGTAAGAAATTTCAGGTTGTTGGTGACTATCCCAACAGTCATGTTTTAAATGTACAGTTTGGGGCAAGTCATGTAAATACTGTTGGTGGTCTTCCCCACACGCCCCAATTTTCAGGTAGTACTAAGAGTATGTGCCAGGAAACTCTTGCTATTGAATTGAGATGATTAAAATGGTGACTTAATCCGTAGTTATTTTGCACCCACTGAAAGGAAAGTGCTTTCCAGAATAATATGAAGTATCTAAAAGTGTCACCTTTTCTTGCCTGATCAACAATTTGGGCTTCCTGTTTGTACAAGGGGCCATTTGGCATACCTTTCACAGCTTTTATCAGGCCAAGTTAAAGGCTGACTACATTTTTTCATCATGAGGAAAGCAGTTGAAATGAGGCATGAGTTACTGTGCATTGGGATTTTAGAACAATTTTCTTGTGACAGCTCTTTTTGTGAAGTTAGGTTCTTAAAAGTGCCCATGATGGTCACTTAAAATGTGCAGTAATAGCACTGCCAGGATCAAGCATGAAAGGCTTTTAAATTAGATCATCCCACAGACAATACGTTTGATAATAGTTTTTTCTTTTAACCTCTTTAAGTATTGATTCTGCTTGAGAATATTGAAGTACTTGCCAGAAGTTGTGGATTTCAGTTTTAACAAATGCTATTAAAGTGGAGAAGCACACTCTGGTCTTGGAATTCCATTTGAGGATTTAGAAGTGTCATGTTTATAACTATTCAGTTGTGTTTGTTGCTGGCTTGTTGTAAAGCAATAAAATTTTTTTGGTCTTTTTGTAAGTGAGTGTGCTGCTGTAAGAAATCTCCCATGTGCATAACAAATTCTGAATATTTTTTGAGGCTAAAGAAGACCGGGGTGACAAGCAGATACTGCTGTGTAATGGTTACACTAACCAAAAGACACCAGCCACTCAGAGTTCTATACTGTAAAGCGCAGATAACATTTGTGTGTTATACCTTGATTGGGGAATTAAAAGTCATTTAACTGAAGATGTTGAGAAACCTGGGCTCTGGTTTTAGTATACCGGAATTACTTTTTTCCAATTTTAGAAAATCAAGCAGGTTAGAGAAAATAGAGATGAATTAGGGGACACTGTCTTATGGATTCATTTATAAGAAGAGAACCAGCCATATACACTTGGGGAGATTTGCCACATCTTAAACTTGAATAATAGTATGAGTAATGCTTAAGGGAGTTTAATAGAGAAGGAAAGCTTTGGCAGTGTTTTGAGAACTTAAGTGGCTAAAGAGATGAGACAAACATGCAGGTCGCTACTGGCATAGTTTCATAATTGTGTACTCGGAAATTAAAGTTTGCTTGTTTCTTGGTCTGGATTAAACTGTTTGTCCTCCTTTTCAGATAGAGCATCACAGTCAGGGCTGACACCAAAATAAGACTTTCCCTGAGCCTGAAATAATTTTTTTTTTTTTTTAAGTATCTACTGTAATAAGCATCAAACAAGCAGAAATAAACAATGTCCCTTCCCCTGGACAACAACAACAGCAATAACAAACATTTAAAGGCGGTAAAATTGCCAGGACTGGTGGGTTGGTTGAGTGGGCTGGGTGCGGGTAGTAGGACGAGATGGGACGGGACGGGGAGGAATCTAGCATCGCTGCCAGGTTTCTGGCTCAGGTTTGGTGCCATTCACTGAGGTGAGGAGTGTAGGAAGATCGCATGTCTGGAGGGGGCTGGGCAGCTGATGCATTTGCTTTTGGATGTGTTGGATTTATGACACTGGAGCGGCAGGTGGATAAATCAAAAGTGGGTAAGATCTCCCTGGAGAACGTGTAGAATGAGAAGAGTCACAAGCTGGGGACAAATTCTTGGTTAACAGCATGGCTTAACAAGGTAGGCAGAGGAAATGGAGTCCATGAGGAAGTGGAGAAATGGTCAGAGAGGCTAACAGAATGGGAAGAGTGGCTTGTTTCAGAAGCCAGGGAATAAAGGGTCTTAAGTTTTGGGGTGAGGGATTTAAAATAATCTACAGCCTGGGAGCTCCATGACTAATCTGTCAGGTTACGCTAGGTTATCCTGTGGGAACACCACCAGAGCTCATAGGCAAAGAACAAGGTTTCTCACTCACATTCCCTCTCCATTGCAGCTTAGCTGGGGATCTGTTCCACGTTGTCTTTATGTAGGGTGACAGAGCAGCCACTAACTGGACCATTGCTAGTTTTAGTGGGAGAGGGAGGGAGCTGTGGAGTGTCTTGCACAAATACATGATCTGGTCACTCTGACAATTATTGTTTTTTTTTTTTTTTTTTTTTTTGGAGATAGTCTGGCTCTGTCACCAGGGCTGGAGTGCATTAGTGCAATCTGGGCTCACTGCAACCTTCACCTCCTGGGCTCAAGCGATCCTCCCTCTTCAGCCTGCCTAGTATCAATAGCTGGGACTACAGGTGCAGGCTACCATGCCTGGCTAATATTTAAAATTTTTTATAGAGACAGGGTTTCACTATGTTGCCCAGGCTGGTCTCAAACTCCTGGGCTCAAGTGATCGTCCCACTTTGGCCCCCCAGTGTGTTGGGATTACAGGTGTGAGCCACTACACCCGGCTTCAATTCATTGTTTAAAGGTAGACACGTGGCCCTGCTAAACCACAAGGGGGTCGGAAGTGAAATCCTATCTTGTAGGATGAGAGTCAGGAATGGATAGACAAAATACTGAAGTTTGGGGGTATGTTTAGTTCAATTTGTTAAATATATAGTTGTAATACTTCCATATACACATGAACACCAATTGGCTTGGGAGGGAGAGAAGGTGCCCCAGGACCACTCTCCTGTTTGACAGAGTTCTCTGGTATGTGTGCATTTGTGTTGGATTTGTGTTACATTTTAAGCCAACATTCAGCGAGCTCTATGTGTTCCATGGGCTGGGCTAAACATTTTGTTTAATTATCTCATTTTGTCCTTATATAAGACAACTATGTGAGGTAGCTACTACTATTTTCCCTATTTTAGACTTGGCTTAGAGAGGGCAATTAACTTGCTGTGAGTTCATAGTTATGAAATGAAAGCGCTGCTGTTCAGAACCCAGTTATTTTGCCTCGACATTGCAACAGACCATTTCTTCCTGGATGCTCTTGCATGGCATCCCTTCATAGCCTGACAAGACAAACATCAAATCCGCAAATAGTTAAGAGCACAAAGTGTGTGTTTAACTTTGGGCTAAGTGTGGTTTGTCATAAAAATAAGCATGAAAATAAATAGACTTGGTCCTCACCCTCAAGATGTTTAGTTCTAGTTGCAGGGGAGGAGGTGGTGAGAAAAGAGATTAAACAGGTAAGAGGTTAAATATTCAACTAATATTTGAGTGCCTACTATGATCTATTTTTAACAGCTTTATTGAAATACATTCACATGTAAAATTGACCCATATCAAGTGTATGATTCAGTGATTTAATTTACCATGTGGTGGAAGCATCACCATAAATCAGTTTTAGAACTTTTTTTTAATCTCCCCAAAATATCCCTGCTCCTACTGCCAGCCCTAGGCGACACTAATCTAATTTTCATCTCTATAAATTTGCCTTTTCTGGATATTTCATAGAAATAGACTCCTACAGTATATGATCTCTTATGTCTTTTCGCTTAGCATAATGTTTTAAAGGTTCATAACATACGTTAGTTTGTTCCTTTTTATTGCTAAGTAGTATTCCATTGTTTGGATATTCCACATTTTTTTTTTTTTTGAGACGCAGTCTTGCTTTGTCACCCAGGCTGGAGTGCAGTGGCGTGATCTCTGCTCTCTGCAATCTCTGCCTCCCGGGTTCAAGTGATTCTCCTGCATCAACCTCCCGAATGGCTGGGATTGCAGGTGTGTGCCACCACGCCCAGCTAATTTTTGTGTTTTTAGTAGAGACAGGGTTTTGCCATCTTGGCCAGGCGGGTTTTGCCATGTTGGCCAGGCTGGTCTTGAACTCCTGACCTCAGGTGATCCGCCTGCCTCGGCCTCCCAAAGTGCTGAGATTACAGGCATGAGTCTGGCCAGATATTCCACATTTTATCTATACATTCATCACATGATGACACATTTAAGTTCCATTTTTTTGGCTACTATGAATAATGCTGCTCTGAACATTAGCATGCAAGTCTGTGTGAACGTAAGTTTCTATTTCTTTTGGATAGGTACCTAGGAATCTGTGGTAAAAATGGTAAGTTTATGTTTAGTTTTTAAAGAAACTGCCAATCTGTTTCCAAAGTGGCTGCACTATTTTAAATTCCCACCAGCAATATATGAGGGTTCCCTACTAGGAGTTTAAATTCAAGACAATAACAGAAAAGATGTCATAGTCACAGTACTTAGTTTCTAAATAACTTTTGAATAATTGCTATAGTTTGGGAGCTGTAGCTTGAACTAGGTCATGAAAAGAAGTGAGTTTTTTTTTTCTTTCTATATATATATATATTTTTATTATACTTTAAGTTCTAGGGTACATGTGCACAACGTGCAGGTTTGTTACATATGTATACATGTGCCATGTTGGTGTGCTGCACCCATTAACTCGTCATTTACATTAGGTATATCTCCTAATGCTATCCCTCCCCCCTCCCCCACCTTTTTTTTTCTTTTTGAGACAGTCTTACTCTGTTGCCCAGGCTGGAGTGCAGTGGCAAAATCTTGGCTCACTGCAACCTCCACCTCCTGGGTTCAAGCAATTCTCCTGCCTCAGCCTCCTGAGTAGCTGGGACTACAGGTGTGCGTCGCCACACCCAGCCAATTTTTGTATTTTTAGTAGAGATGGAGTTTCACCATGTTGCCCAGGCTGGTCTCGAACTCCTGACCTCAGGTCATCCACTCGCCTTGGCCTCCCAAAGTGCTGGGATAACAGGCGTGAGCCACCACCGAAAGAGGTGAGATTTAGACAAGCATGGAACTAGGAGAAGGTCATTTTGGTTGGGCAGAATAATTGACACCAATGTGGAAACATATCACATTTAATGGGGTTAGGGATGTCACCCATGTGAGTGGAGGAGGAACTCTGGCAAGGTTGGATTGTTAGATTTAGGAAAGCTTGAATTGGGGGGTTAGGGAGTTTGGACTTCGAATGATAGGCATTGGAGGACTGAAGGGTTTTTTTGAGGCGAGGAGGGAGCAGCTTTAGAGTCAGTCTTAGTTTTGAATCCTGCATCTATCACGTTACCAATGGGGAGAGACCACAGGCAGGGACACCTGGGAGCAAGCTCTTGCTGTCTTTGAGGTAAGGGTCAGATTGGGTAGCTGGTGATAGGCATGACTGGGTAAGGGCAGATGGAGTGCACTGCAGAGCGAGAACTGGCCAAACTTGCTGACTGATGGAGTTGGGGTAGACAGAGAGGTTGGGGTAGACAGAGAAGTTGGGGTAGCTGAGAGAAGTGAAAAGCTGCCTGAGCTTCTGAAAGAATATCCATGGGAAAAGTGGAGCTAGTTTCTGGGGGAAGAGGAGAAGATGAGAAGTTCAATTTTGCAAGTGTTGAGTTTACTGTGCTAGATGTTGCACGGCTGGCTGTACTTTTTGGACTAGAATTTTGGGTGCCTGAGGCTGGAGGTGAGGGAGTCCTTTAGATATAGAGTGGATCTTGGAACTGTGACTGTGATGAAGAGGGAGCCCAGGGACATGATTGAAGACATCAAGAAGATGGGAGGAGCAAGAGGCCTGTGTCCAGGTCTGCCCAAGCAGGAGCTGGGGCCGTTATGTGACAGATGCACTGTGCTTTCTCTCCTACTGCACTAGAAATCCTTTACTTACTATGAAGACTTTAAGGTTTTTGGCTGAAGGAAAATAAATCTATGAAAATATGTAGAATCCTCATAGAAGAAAGCTGGGCTTGTCAGAAAAAAAATGACAAAGGAAGTAACCTATTTAGCCTGACCCTTACATCAGTTACTCAAGCTCATCTGGTGTTATTTAATACTAATTAACATTTACCCACAGCCATCTGCTCTGGCTAGGGTTGTGCGTTCATCCGTTGCAGCTGTGTTTTTTCATGATAGAATGCTGGCCTCACTGTCTGGACCCACCAGCTGGACCTGCCAGCAAGACCAGTTCAGAAGTCAGAAAGATCCCCCTTCAGCTTCCTCTGCCACGTCCCTGCTGTCAGAGCTTCCTTTGAGGAACCCTTTGCTCACCCTGACAATGGAAGTTAAGCCAGATAATTTTTCACAGTTGGGAAGTACAAAGGGCAGGATGTTTGCTTTTACTTTCTGGGGGAAGACGGCAAGATTGTTGTAATCATTTAAAGGGTTGTTTTGAAAGCACAGTTGATGGACTGGGCCCTTCTACTTTGATACACTATTAGAACCAGCACCAATACAACAAAGACTCATTTTTTTTTTTTTTTGAGACGGAGTCTCGCTCTGTTGCCCAGGCTGGAGTGCAGTGGTGTGATCTCGGCTCACTGCAACCTCCGCCTCCCAGGTTCAAGTGATTCTCCTGCTTCAGCCTCCTGAGTAGTTGAGATTACAGGTGCCCGCCACCATGCCCGGCTAATTTTTGTATTTTTAGTAGAGATGGCATTTCACCATGTTGGCCAGGCTGGTCTCGAACTCCTGACCTCAGGTGATCCACCAGCGTCAGCCTCCCAAAGTGCTGGGATGACAGGCATGAGCCACCGCGCCCCGCCACAGCAAAGACTCAAAATCAGTCAGTGTTACTGTTTGGACTTTATTTCTTAACTCTCAGATCTCCAAGGCAAAGAACAAAGGATCAGCAGGGATGGACCCAGTTTCGCTTTCTTCAGCTGTTCCCGGGAGAGTTTGGCCGTCAGTCTTCCTGGGATCAGCCCCGGAGGTGGGCATGAGTGGGTTAACGACAGGAGTCCTGCCCGGGGGACTTGGGGAGCCTGTCTTATGTCCTGTCCCACCCCCTCAAAGAACAAGGACATGACTTTATATTGTTTTATAAAACTGGTGAAATGGGTGCCCAGGTTCTTGGGCTGTGGCCTGCCTGTATCACCAAGCAGCTGTAACCTTTCCTTAAACTGAAAACAGAAAGAGGAATATTTCCCCAACTACCTTAACTGAGGAAAAAGGAAGTGGGGTTGGCACAAGCATTTGTGAGCTGACTCCAGAAGGAGAAGGAGAACCTTGGCTTTAATCTTCATTTAAAAAATACACATTGGAAGGAGGGGAGGGAATATAGTTGATACTGCCTGGTGTTCTGTCAGAGGTATGGTGGGAGTTGCAGGGAATATTTAAATGTCTGTATCATTGCTTCATGAGACATTTTGTATGTTTTCCTCCTTTTTGACTCGTGCTACTTTTATTAGAAATAAGAAATCATCATAGAACATTGGGAAATTGGCTGGGCATGGTGGCTTATGCCTGTAATCTCAGCACTTTGGGAGGCTGAGGCAGGTGGATTGCTTGAACTCAGGACTTTGAGACCAGCCTGGCCAACATGGTGAAACCTCGTCTCTACTGAAAATACAAAAATTAGCCGGGCATGGTGGTACACACCCGTAGTCTCAGCTGCTAGGGGGACTAAGGCGGTAAGGCGGGAGGATCACTTGAGCCCAGGAAGTCGAGGCTGCAGTGCCTGGGTGACACAGTGAGAACGCTGTTTCAAAAAAAAAAAAAAAAAAAAGGGAAATTGCCAAAAAATTATAAAGATGTGTATATATTTTTTTGCATTGTGATTTATCCTAAATATACTACTGACTTTTAAAAGACTTTCTGAGATACCTGTGAATTCTACTATGACCTTTTGATTTGATATTGTTTAGCTAATGGCTCATGTGAATGGTCCCTTCTCTTTGCTGAACTCCTTCGCAAAAGTGCAGAGGGTTCGGTTGGTCTGCAGTTCTCTGCAAGCTCCGTGGATGCGCAGGTTCTGCAGTCAAGCTGCCTCTGTCCCTTAGCAGCACGTTTTTCATTGCCCCTTTTGTACAAAGCTGTGATAAAATCAAAACTTCAGCTAAATTAAATTTAAAAGAGTTTAATTGAGCAACAAACAATTTGCAAATCGGGCAGCCTCCTGAGCCAGAGTATGCTCAGTGACTCTAGCGTAGCCACATGGTAGAAGATTTATGGACAGAAAAAGAAAAGTGGGCCGGGCGCGGTGGCTCGTGACTGTAATCCCAGCACTATGGGAGGCCAAGGCGGGTGGATCACCTGAGGTCAGGAGTTCGAGACCAGCCTGGCCAACATGGTGAAACCCTGTCTCTACTAAAAACACAAACAATTAGGCCGAGTGTGGTGGCTCATGCCTGTAATCCCAGTACTTTCGGAGGCTGAGGTGGGCAGGTCACGAGGTCAGGAGTTCGAGATCAGCCTGACCAATGTGGTGAAACCCTGTCTCTACTAAAAATACAAAAATCAGGTGGCAGGCGCCTGTAATCCCAGCTACTTGGGAGGCTGAGGCAGGAGAATCACTTGAACCCGGGAGATGGAGGTTGCAGTGAGCCGAGATGGCGCCACTGCACTCCAGCCTGGGTGACAGAGTGAGAATTTGTCCTGGAAAAAAAAAAAAAAAAACAAAAAAACCCACATGGCTGGGCATGGTGGCTCATGCCTGTAATCCCAGCACTTTGGGAGGCCAAGGTGGGTGGATCGCCTGAGGTCAGGAGTTTATGACCAGCCCGGCCACCCTGGTGAAACCCTGTCTCTACTAAAAATACAAAAATTAGCTGGGCATGGTGGCGGGCGCCTGTAATCCCAGCTACTTGGGAGGCTGAGGCAAGAGAATTGCTTGAACCCAGGAGGCGGAGGTTGCAGTGAGCCGAGATTGCACCACTGCACTCCAGCCTGGGCAACAGAGTGAGACTCCATCTCAAAAACAAAACAAACAAGTAAAAAAACCAGAACCCGGGAGGCAGAGGGCGGAGGTTGCAGTGAGCTGAGATCGTGCCATTGCACTCCAGCCTGGGCAACAAGAGCAAAACTCCGTCTCAAAAAAAAAAAAAAAAAGTAAAAGGAAAGTGATGGACAGAAAACAGAAATGAAGTACAGAAACAGCCTGGTTGGTTACAGCTGGATGTTTGCCTTATTTGAACCATGGTTCAAACGGATGGCTACATTTGATTGGCCAAAACTTGGTGATTGGCGTTAAGTGTAGGCTATGGTCTGTTTACACCTCCACTTGTTATAGTTCACGATGTACAGAGAAACCTTTAGGCTGAACTTACAAATGTAAGGAGGCAGCTTTAGGTAAACTTGATTTAACAGCTGACATTATTGAAAAAAACATATCACTGTTGGATATTCCTATGAAACTAGATGATGTTGTATGCCATTTTCTTCTTTGTTAAAGCATTTTTACATTCATCACATCACCTGACTTTTGAAGCTGTCGTGTGACCCATTCTGTGACTCATTCTGTGTGACTCCTGGGGTTGATGGCTTGTGTCTCAGACAGTTGGAGGAGGAGGTGTTCCCAGGGGTTGCACTGCTTTTCTTCCTCAGCCAGCCCATCCTCTCTCTCTGCTATCACCTACTTACATGCTTGTTGGCTTGTTCTTTAGCCTTGAATTCTGGTCACCACTTGACAGTGTCAAGGGTTCAAAACTGATCTGCTGCTGCTGTGGAAAACACTTTTAAAAAGTTAATTTTTTTTTCTTTTTTGAGACAGAGTCTCGCTTTGTCACCCAGGCCGGAGTGCAGCGGCGCGATCTCGGCTCACTGCAAGCTCCGCCTCCCGGGGTCACGCCATTCTCCTGCCTCAGCCTCCCGAGTAGCTGGGACTACAGGTGCCCACCACCAAGCCTGGCTAATTTTTTGTATTTTTAGTAGAGACGGGGTTTTGCCATGTTGGCCAGGCTGGTCTTGAACTCCTGACCTCAGGTGATTCACCCACCTTGGCTTCCCAAAGTGCTGGGATTACAGGCGTGAGCCACTGTGCCTGCCCTTGCAACTGAAATTCTGTACCCATTAAATAATAACTCCCTTTTACCCCTCTTCCTAGCTCTAGCAACCTTCATTGTACTTTCCATCTCTATGAATTAGACAATTCTGGCTACTACATGTCAGTAGAACCACACAGTATTTATCCTTTTGTGACTGGACTGGCTTATTTCATTAGCATAATGGCTTCCAGGCTTAGCCATATTGTAACACGTGTCAGAATGTTCTTCCTCTTCAGAGCTGAGTAACATTTCATTGTGTGTGTAGACCACATATTGTTTGTCTATGACCTGCCAGTGGGTACTTGGGTTGCTCTGCCTTTTGGTTTTGGCTATGGCGAATCAGACTGCACTTTTAAGACAATGTGTCGTAGGTATGATTTTTATGGGCCATGAACTTAGGTATGCAAAAAAGTAAATTTCTCTATAACAGACCTAATTTCTGTCTTGAACATGTCTTCTCTCTTATAGTATAAACAATTCCAGTGTATTTTTCCTCAGTGACGTATTGGTGTCCTCAGTGATTTTGGATGAGAATTCAGTTTGGGATTTTTTTTCCTTCTGACCACATCCCTTTGATGGATCTCAGTTCCGTGCCATGGCAGTGTGTGTGTGTGTGTGTGTGTGAGAGAGAGAGAGAGTGTGTGTGTGTGTGAGAGAGAGAGAGTATGTGTGTGTGTGTGTGAGAGAGAGTATGTGTGTGTGTGTGTGAGAGAGAGAGGGAGAGAGGGAGTGTGTGTGTGTGTGAGAGAGTATGTGTGTGTGAGAGAGAGAGGGAGAGGGAGAGAGAGTGTGTGTGTGTGTGATTGTGTGTGCACGTGTGTGTGGCTGGTCTGCAGTCATACTCTGCCTTAGGCTGACAGCTTCGGAGGTGCAAATGTGTGTTTCCCTCATTCTACTTTGGCATCCATCATGAAGCCCGCCTTTCCTGGGCCTCGGACCATATGGCCCATGTTTGTCTTTGCTGCGGCTTTCCCTTCTCTTGACTGCAGGACCAGCTCTTCTCCACTGGTTGACTTTTACACCCCACTGGGAGACGTGGGGAAATTTGGCTTACACATTACATGGGGCCAAGGGAGTCTTGTGGGGTTGCCCCAGCATGTTGGTTGCCATTCTATAGAACTGTTCCATGCCTTAACAGTACAAGAAAGTACTGCAAGGCTGTCACCTCCTGGGAGTCTCGACAAGGGGCGGGGTGAAAGTCCCCTCTCCTCTGTCAGATCGGAATGTGTTGAGGGGTTCTGTCATCCTCTTATCTTGGAGATCACCTTCGGGGACTGGTTAGGAGCCGAGATTCTCATGAATTTCTCACTCTGAATAGTCTTCCAACTCTTTTTCTATCCTTAGAATGTTTTAATCTCCTTTCTCTAGTGGGGGAAAAACTGGCTAGAGAAGCATTTCTCTAAGCCCCATGTTTATATAGGCATACCTCTGAGATAATTTTGGGCTCAGTTCCAGACAACTACAATAAAGCAAATATCAGAATACAATGAGTCACATGAATTTCTTGGTTTCCCAGTGCATATAAAAGGTATGTTTAGGGCTGGGTGCAATGGCTCACACCTGTAATCCCAGCACTTGGGAGGCTGAGGTGGGAGGATTGCCGGAGACCAGAACTTTGAGACCAGCCTGGGCAACATAGCAAGACCCTGTCTTTACAAAAAAATGAAAAAATTAGCTGGGCATGGTGGCACACATTTATAGTCCTAGCTGTTAGTCCAAATTTCACCATTTTGTAAGCTCCCTGCTATTTTACAGACTTTGGTTAAAGCAAAACATTTTACAGGGGTTTGGGCCATGAGAAACATTCTGCCTAACCACCTGACCACAAGGCGGACAAAGGCCGTATTAAAGAAACATCCCTATCATATCTTGGTGGGCAAAGATCCAAGGAACATCACGATGACAGCCCACCGGAACAAGGGCCAGAACCACCTCATCACGGGAACATCTTTTCAATATCCTGCCAGGCAGCAAGCCACGCTGCTCAGACCCCTCCCGCCCATAGCTATAAGTACCCCCAGCATATAAGCAGTTGTGGGCACTGGCATTAGGATGGTTCCCCACTTCTGTAGGTTTTATGCTGGACATAAGCCTGCATTTGCTGTCGAGCTGCCCTCTCTGTGTGGGTGTCCCTTACCTTCCCTGCAAAACCTAACACTAGCTCCTTGGGAGACTGAGGCTGGAGGATCGTTTGAGCCCAGGAATTTGAGGTTATAGTGAGCTCTGACTGTGCCACTGCACTCCAGCTTAGGAGAAAGAGTGAGACCCTGTCGCTAAAGAACAAAGCAAAGCAAAACTCAATATCTACAAAGCGCCATAAAATGAAGTATGCCTGTACCAAGAGCTCGGAAGCTGAACTCCAGGAAGAGACGTTGAATTCTCAGCTTTGCTGTGAATTGTGGTTCCTGAGCCCCAGGGGCTGTGCTAGACATAGCCTTCAGGTTTACTTACCTGTTTTCTCCATTCTGCTCTGTCTCCTTAGAGGATGACATCAAAGGGCTGAACTAGTTTCCAGCTTCTGGATGTATCTGGCCAATGAGAAGGGAGGAAAGTAAGACTGGGATGACTTTGTCTGTTAACCCAGGATCATAGCTCCTGCCTGGGGACTTTGTCCTCACAGTTCTCTTCCTCTGTTCAGCTTCTTATAACCACACCCTTCTCTCAGCCAGGGTGACAACAGCACTGCCCTATTATTAGGTAAGGGGCACGACATTAGCCCTCATGTTTTCTTCAAACACTATCCATCCCTTTATAGATTATCCTTTTATTAAACTCTCCTCAAATTACCCAGTTTGAATGTGCCACTGATTTCCTTTTGGGGTTCTGACCGATAATAATGCACGTTCATTGACAACCACACCACCACCCATTGACTATCCAATGTGAGAGGAGGCCCCGAAGCAAAACCAGTAAGAGGAATGCATTCCGATAAGCTAACAGATGTTTACTGCATGAACCAGGTGCAGCTGCTCTTCCATCGTTATTGGCATGCTCTACTATGAGTCCGTAGGTCAGGTGCTGGGGAATGGATGGTATGTGTTCCCTGGGGGATGGGGTGGGAGGAGGTGGTTGGCTTATCTCTAGTGTTTTTACAAAAATCCTTTCTCCCTACAAATTTTAAAGGCTATGGAAGTTCATTAGTAAGTTGAAAAAAAAAAGGAACCCATGAGAAATTTAAAAAAATACTTACTTGTACCACCCAGAGGAAACTACTATTAAAATTTTGGTTTACAGTCTTCCATTTTTTTTTCTATTTCACTATAAAGAGTAATATTGATATTCGATACAAAATTTCTAGTTTTTCATTATGACAAATAATAGTGTGATAAACATCTTGGTATGCAGTCATTGATTGCATTTCTGAGGTTATTTCCTTTTGAAGATTTCTAGAACTCATATATTTCCTTTTTTTTTTTTTTTTTTTTGAGATGGAGTCTGGCTCTGTCACCCAGGCTGGAGTACAGTGGCATGATCTTGGCTCACTGCAACCTCTGCCTCCCAGGTTCAAGTGATTCTCCTGCCTCAGCCTCCCAAGTAGCTGGGATTACAGGGATGCACCAACATGCTTGGCTAATTTTTGTATTTTTAATGGAGACAGGGTTTTGCTACATTGGCCAGGCTGGTCTTGAACTCCTGACCTCAGGTGATCCACCCACGTCAGCTTCCCAAAGTGCTGGGATTACAGGTGTGAGCCACTGTGGCTGGCCGAACTCATATATTTGAATTAAGGGTGTCTTAGTCAGCTTGGGGTGCCATAACAAAATACCATAGACTAGGTGACTTAAACAATAGAAATTTATTTCTCACAGTTTTGGAGGCTGGAAAGTCCAAGATCAAGGTTCTGACTGATTTGGTTTCCGGTAAGGGCTCACTCCCTGGCTTGCAGATGGCTGCCTTCTCACTGTGTCTTCACATGACACAGATAGGGCTCTGATATCTCTTCCTCTTCTATAAGGGCACCATCTCTATCCGATTGAGACCCCACACTTATGACCTCATTTAACTGTCATAACCTCCTCATAGGCCCAATCTCCAAATACAGTCACATTGGTGGTTAGGGCTTCAACATAGAAATGTTAGAGGGTCATGATTCTGTCCCTAACAAAGGATATAAATATTTTAAAGACTAGATACATAATTTCAAATTGCTTTCCAGAAAAGCCATCCCAGTTTATGCTACCACCAGCTATATGTAAAAGTGGCTGTCTCGAAAACCAAACACCACATGTTCTCACTCATAAGTGGGAATTGAACAATGAGAACACTTGGACACAGGGTGGGGAACATCACACACTGGGGCCTGTCGTGGTGTGGGGGAGGGGGGAAGGATAGCATTAGGAGATATACCTAACGTAGATGACGAGTTAATGGGTGCAGCACACCAACACGGCACGTGTATACATATATAACAAACCTGCACTTTGTGCACATGTACTCTAGAACTTAAAGTATAATTTAAAAAAAGAAAAAAAAGTGGCTGTCTCACCACGCTGCCACTAGCATAGCTTATTATGAGTTAGAAAATTTGTTTACTTTTACCAATGTATCTTTTTACTATTTTATTGTTTATTCTTTCCTTAATACCAATATCTCAAAATACTCACTATAACCTGGGTGTGGTGGCTTACGCCTGTAATCCCAGCACTTTGCTAGGCTGATGTGGAAGGATTACTTGAACCCAGCAGCTGAGACCAGCCCGGACAACATAGCAAGATGCTGTCACTACAAAAAGTTAAAAAATTAGCTAAGCATGGTGGCGTGCACCTGTAGATCCAGCTACTCAAGAAGCTGAGTTGGGATTGCTTGAGATCGAGAGGTCGAGGCTGCAGAGAGCTATGATGGTGTACTGCGCTCCAGCCTGGGTGACAGTGAGATCATCTCTTGCTCTCAAAAAAAGAAAATTTACTACTAATATTTTTGTGGTTCTAAATTTTCCAAAAACTAGAATTATAGTCTACATTCTGCTTGTAATTTGCATCTTTTAAATTTAGAAATATAAGATGAATTTCACTTTTATTATATTTTCTTTGCATCCACTTCATTATTTAAAATTTATCATTGCTTAAAACAATTACATCAGTAGTAATGTTTATTATAAAAATTTGATTCACCTCTTTATGTGGCAAGTTTCTGAAATCACATATGGGG
This sequence comes from Homo sapiens, assembly GCF_000001405.40. Taxonomy (NCBI): domain Eukaryota; kingdom Metazoa; phylum Chordata; class Mammalia; order Primates; family Hominidae; genus Homo; species Homo sapiens. Next base: position 121,781,487 of record NC_000002.12, read on the forward strand.
CAAGAGTATCGTGTCCCTCTTTGGAAAATGCCATCTGCCATAGCTTCCTTGAGTGCAGGGATTCTCGAGGGGCTCTGGAAACTCCTATCTGTGGACTTGTTTCAAGAGACATTGGTTCCTGTGGGCACCAGGCTTCTACCCTAGCACGGTTCCTGTTCCTGCGCCATGTTGGGTCTCCCTGGGGAGAGGACAGCTCCTGGGGTGGCCTTAGGGCTGCTTCATGGCAAAGTCCAATGTATCATTCTTATGCCTTTGCGTCCTTATAGCCAAGGAAGGGGAGTGCCTGGTGCTGCCGGTGGGCCAGCTGTGGTTCCTGCCCTATGGCCTTCCCAGAGGCTCTCATTTCCGGTGTGGCTCACGGTCAGCTTGCGAGTCTGAATGTTTAGTAGCATCTGAAAAGAACCACAGTAGAGGCTGCACCCTGAAATATAGTCTGTACAGGAAAGGCAGATAATTACTTGATTCTTTCCTTTTAATTATCAGTTTCCAGAATGATGAATTGGTGCCCTAGCAACCCCCAAAAGTGACCAGTGAGGGTTTCCTTTTCCTTCTCACACGTAAAAAAGCAGCCTTATTGAGGTATAATCTTTTTCCTCTTGTTATATATATAAATTTTATTTTATTCTATTATTTTTTAAAATTTCAATAGGTTTTTGGGGAATAGGTATTATTTGGTTACCTGAATAAGTTCTTTAGTGGTGATTTCTAAGATTTTGGTGTACCCACGACCTGAGGAGCGTGCACTGTGGCCAATTTGTAGTCTTTTATCCCTCACCAGCCCCCGATCTTTCTCCCGAGTTCCCAAAGTCCGATGTATCATTCTTATGCCTCTGCATCCTCATAGCTTAGCTCCCACATATGAGGGAACAAACTATGTTGGTTTTCCATTCCTGAGTTACTTCACTTATAATAATAGTCTCCAATTCTATCCAGGTTGCTGCAAATGCCATTATTTCATTCCTTTTTATGGCTGAGTAGTATTCCATGGTATATATATATATACCACAATTTCTTTATCCACTCATTGATTGATGGGCATTTGGGCTGGTTCCATATTTTTGCAATTGCAAATTGTGCTGCTATAAACATGCGTGTGCAAGTATCTTTTTCATATAATGACTTCTTTTCCTCTGGGTAGATACCTAGTAGGGGGATTGCTGGATCAAATGGTAGATCTACTTTTAGTTCTCTAAGGAATCCTTATCGAGGCATCATTTAAATAAAATAAAATTCACCAATTTTAAGCATACAATTTTGGTGAGTTTTAAATATAATCAGGTAACTGCCACCACTATCAAGACATAGAACATTTCTACCAACTCTAAAAGTTCCTTCATGCCCTCCCTGAATCCAGGCTCCTGGCAACTATTTATCTGCCTTATCACTACAATTTTGCCTTCTCTAGAATTTCATATAAATGGACTAGTATGTAGACTTTTGTCTGGTTTCTTTCACCTAGCATAATGCTTTCATATTCTTTATTTATTTACTTTTTTGGTAGAGATGAGGTCTTGCTGTGTTGCCCAGGTAGGTCTCAAACTCCTGGCGTCAAGTGATCCTCCCACTTCAGCCTCCCAAAGTGCTGGGATTACAGGTGTGAGCCTCTGCGCCCAGCCTGCTTTTGAAATTCATCGATGTTTGTGTATAGTGGTAGTTTATTCCTTTTCTTTTTCTCCACTGCAGGAAATGGAGTTTGTTCCTTTTCTGTTGCTGAGCAGATTCATGTGTATGGATGTACCACAGTTCATTCATCCACTCACTAGCAGATGGATATTTGGGTTGTCTCCAGCTTTTTGATATCATGAATAGAGCTGCTATAAACATTCCCGTACAGGTGTTTGTGTGGATGTGTTTTTATTTCTCTTGGGTAAATAACCACGAATGAGATTGCTGACTCATGATAAGCATATAGTTAACTTTGTAAGATACTGTCAAAATGTTTTCTAAAGTGCTTATGTTTTGATTCTTACTGATCAATTAGTAACATATGCCTGTAAAAGTACACAGATCTCAAGTATATAGCTAGGTACAATTTAAATACTCAAAAAATTAAAAATAGATTACCATATGATCTAGTAATTCCACATCACTGCATATGTCTAAAATAATTGAAAGTAGGGTCTTGAGAGATATTTGAACACCCATGCTCATAGCAGCATCATTCACAATAGCCAAAAAGTGGAAGCAACCCAAGCGTCCATTGATGGATGAATGAATAAACAAAATGTGGTGTATACACACAGTGGGTTATTATTCAGCCTTAAAAAGGAAGAAATTCTGACACATGCTGCAACATGGATGAACCTGGAGGACATTATGCTTGAAATCAACCAGACTCAAAAGGACAAATACTGTTCATGATTCCACTTATAAAAGGCACCTAGAGTAGTCAAATTTGTAGTAGAATAGTGGTTGCTGAGGACTGGGGAAGGAGAAGAATGAGGAGTTACTGTTTAACGGGTGTGGAGCTTGTTTTGCAAGATGAAAAGAATTCTGTAAATTGGTTGAACAGCAATGGGAATATACTTAACACTACTGAACTGTACACTTAGAAATGCTTAAGATGATAAATATAAAAAAGATAAAAATGACAAATAAAATGATAAACATAAAAAAGAAATCATAGAAAAAATAATATATGTGCCTGTGTAACTGCCTCCAGATAAGATACCAGCACCCTAGAAGCTTCTTGTCTATTCCTAGCCACTGCTCTGCTCATCCTAAAAGTAACCCCTATGCTGACTTCTCTCATGATGCATGAGTTTTGTCTGTTTGTGAACTTAAATAAAACGCAACAATTTCTGTAACATTTTGACATAACTTGGGAGTGTCTGATAGTTTTCTTACTTTTAGACACAAGATACTCTAGACTCAGTATTCATTTTCCACTGCAGAACTGGAGTGGCCATGTCTCAAAGGTGTCTTGGTTCCCTTTAGGGGAAAACGGTATTTAGAGACCACATTATGGGCACAAGGGGTTACTAGTTGCTACTGGGTTATCACTGCTGCTGGCCTTTTCAGTGGTCACTGCTTTGACAATTTATTTATTTGTTTATTTATTTTTCAGACAGGATCGTGCTCTGTTACCCAGGCTGGAGTGCAGTGGCAGGATCATAGCTCACTGCAACCTCTAACTCGGGCTCAAGCGATCCTCCTGCCTCAGTCCCCTGAATAACTGGGACTACAAGCATGTGCTGCCTCGCCTGACTAATTTTTTAAAACATTTTTTGTGGAGATAAAATTTCACTATGTTGCCTATTCTGGTCTCAAACTCAAGTGATCCTCCTTCCTTGGCCTCCCAAAATGTTGAGATTACAGGCATGAATCACTGCACCCAGCCCATACTTTTTATTTTTTCATTATTTTTTTATTTTTTGAGACAGAGTCTCACTCTAGTCACCCAGGCTGGAGTGCAATGGCACGATCTTGGCTCACTGCAACCTCTACCTCCCGGGTTCAAGTGATTCTCCTGCCTCAGCCTCCCGAGTAGCTGGGATTACAGGTGCCCGACACCACATCAGGCTAATTTTTGTATTTTTAGTAGAAGTGGGGTTTCACCAATGTTGGCCAGGCTGGTCTCAAACTCCTGACCTCAGGTGATCTGCCCGCCTTGGTCTCCCAAAGTGCTGGGATTGCAGGCGTGAGCCACCATGCCCGGCCCCATACTTTTTAAAATAGAAAAATAATTCATGAATTTATTCTGATATTTCCAATCCAATTTACAGATGATAGCATTTTAACTTTTTTGCATTTTATGTGAATTTTATGTTTGACTCTCTTTTTTCTACCCTAAACATTTTTGTGCTTGATGATATTACCATAATTTCTTACATGCCTTCTCTCATTTTCTATATTTATATCCATATCTCTTGCTCTGCAGTAATTTCAAAATACTCATTTCAGGCTGGGCTCAGTGGCTCACGCCTGTGATCTTGGCACTTTGGGAGGCTGAGACGGGAGAATTGCCTGAGTCCAGGAGCTTGAGACCAGCCTGGACATCATGGGGAGATCCCATCTCTACAAAAATAAAATAAAATAAAAATTAAAAAAACCCAAAATACTGATTCCAATGATGTTGTTAACATTAAGTCTACTGAATGTGGTTTAAGATTTCTTTATGGTTCTTTTTTGTCCTTAGGATGTATTTGTATTTGTCCTTAGGGAGGTACTATTAATAGTCACCTGAGATAATTTTTATGCCATAAACTTGATATACTATGAAGCTCATTAGTTTCAGCTTGAGTTCGATTTTTAGGAATGGCTTTGTTTTTGCTTTTAATCTAACTTTATACAAGGTACCTTCAAAGATGCCTACATTTTATCCTTGCCTCCTCCACTCTGTTTTTTCTATTTCCCTAGAGTCATGGGTTTCAAACTGTGTGCCAAGGTACCCCAGGGCACCATTTTGATCTCAAAGAGGCATCTTTGCTGGAAAATGGGTTAGAGCAAAGAGAGGTAGGCAGAGGAAACTGTAGCCAAGCTCACGCTGCAGCAACAATCTGGGTGGGAAGCAAATTTGGATGCTGCACAGCTAAGAGAGTACCAACATGCCCTACTCAGACAAGCAGTCTCTCTTCAACTCTAGCCCCTCCCTGCACTGCATTCTTGCCCTTGTTCTTTTCCTCCTTCTTTAGGATTGGGTGCGACTCATTTCTGAAGTCTTGCTTGGGACAAAATTCCCAGCACTCTTGGGATAGGATTGGGATAACGTTCCCAGGTTGAAGCATTCTGTAGCTGAGACTTGAATTGTACAGCATCTTAGAGATAAGGAAACAGGTTCTCAGCCGTGCCCTGCACTGGGACCTGAGCCCACAGCAGTCCTGGTCCAAAGCCGATGCTCCTTCCATTTGCTGTGCTGCTGCCGCGGTCTCTATTTTCAAGGAATTCGCTGTCTGATCAGGGCGGTAAGGTGCAATGTAGGACACCAGCAATACAGGGGTGCGTAAGGGAAATAGCAGGGATGGGCTAAGAAACGGTGAGTGTAGTAGGTCTGAGCAGCCTGGGGTCAGCCACACTGTGGGTGCATCACCCCATTCTAGCTCCTACCGTCCACAGTCAGCCTTGCCTTTGAGTCCTTATCAAGTAAGCTTGGAGAAACATCGACACATCAGCTAACCTCTCTGGCTGAAAAAAGAATATGAGAAAAGATGAAATGGTAAGGATAAAGAATAATCTTATTTTTCTCTAGAAATGTATCAGGTAGAAAGAGAAAGCCTCAGGCCGGGTGTGGTGACTCACACCTGTAATCCCAGCACTCTGGGAGGCTGAGGCAGGAGGATCGCTTGAGCCCAGGAGTTTGAGACCAGCCTGGGCAACATAGTGGGACCCTGTCTCTGAAAAAAAATAAAAATAAAAAATAAATAAATAAATAAAAGAAGAAGGAGAAAAGAAGGTGAACATCTCTTACAATTCTACTCTCCAGAAATAAGTGCTTGCATCAGTTTGACTATATTCTTCCTTATTTATTCTATAGATATGACTAAAGAAAACATTTAATTATGAAAAATTTTAAACTCTGGAACAATTGGCTTTTATAGTGAACACCTATAAACCCACCATCTAGATTTTACCATTAACATTTTACTCTACTTGTCTTATCATATGTTTGTCTTCTTGCTATACTTTTTTTTTTTTGAGACAGGGTCTCACTCTGTCGCCCAGGCTGGAGTGCAGTGGTGTGATCTCAGCTCACTGCAGCCTTCTCCTCCTGGGTTTCGGCAATTCTCCTGCCTCTGCCACTCAAGTAGCTAGGATTACAGGTACAGGCCACCACACCTGGCTAATTTTTGTATTTTTAGTAGAGACGAGGTTTTGCCATGTTTTCCAGGCTGATCTTGAAGTTCTGAGCTCAAGTGATCCACCCACCTCAGCCGCCCAAAGTGCTGAGATCACAGGCATGAGCCACCGCACCCAGCGATTTACTTTTTCAAAAGAAAAACTTCACATGCTCTCCTGGAGTCTAAGACAAGATTGATCTATCTATCTGCCTGTCTATCTCTATCTATAGATATATATGCACACACACACGTACATACATAGGTACACACACGTATAAATACAGTCAAGCCTCATTATTCACAGATTCTGTATTTGTGAATTCACCTACTTGTTAAAATTTACTAGTAACTCCAAAAGTAATCTTCATGGTCATTCCCAGACATGCTCAGAGTGGTAAAAAACTGAGTTCTCCAATGTGCACATTTCCAGATGAGGTGAACAAGGGGATACTCTGCCTTCTTGGTTCAGCTCCCACACTGTAAGCAAGTGTCCATTTTGTGGTCTATTTAGTGCTACTTTTTTAACACTTAAAAATTTTAAATTTAACTTTTTTTTTTTTTGAGACAGAGTTTTTGCTTTGTTGCTCAGGCTGGAGTGCAGTGGCATGATCTTGGCTCACTGCAACCTCTGCCTCCTGGATTCAAGTGATTCTCCTGCCTCAGCCTCCCGAGTAGCTAGGGTTATAGGCGCTCGCCACCATGCCCAGCTGCTTTTTTTTTTTTTTTTTTTTTCTGAGACGGATTTTCGCTCTTGTTGCCCCGGCTGGCTTGCAATGGCATGATCTCGGCTCACTGCAACCTCTGCCGCCTGGATGCAAGTGATTCTCCTGCCTCAGTCTCCGGAGTAGCTGGGATTACAGGCATGCACCACCATACCTGGCTAATTTTTTTTTATTTTTAGTAGAGATGGAGTTTCTCCATGTTGGTCAGGCTGGTCTTGAACTCTCGGTCTCAGGTGATCTGCCCGTCTCGGCCTCCCAAAATGCTGGAATTACAGGCGTGAGCCACAGTGCCCGGCCTAATTTTAGTATTTTTAGTAGAGACTGGGTTTCACGATGTTGGCCAGGCTGGTCTCGAACTCTTAGCCTCAGGTAATCCACCCGCCTCAGCCCCCCAAACTGTTAGGATTACAGGCGTGAGCCACCACGTCCAGCCTTAACTTGTTTTTGGAGATGGGGTCTCACACAGTCACCCAGGCTGGAGTGCTGTGTCATGTATGATCATAGTTCACTGCAGCCTTGAACTCCTGGGCTCAAGTGATCCTCCCTCCTCAGTCTCCTGAGTAGCTGGGAGTACAGGTGTGTGCCACCACATGTAGCTAACACTTTTTACATTTGTATGCTTTTTTGGGGGGGATTTCACTGGTTAAAATGGCCCCCAAGAATAGTGCTCAATTGCTGTCTAGTGTTTCTAAGTGCAAGAAGGCTGTTATGTGCCTTACGTGTATTAGAAGATATGTGTATTAGACAAGCTTCACTTAGTCATGCATTACAGTGCTATTGGCTGTAATTTTAATGTTAATGAATCAATAACATGTAATAAATGAGGTGTCTTTAAAGAGAACACTCATAAAAAAAGGTTATGTATTGATTGGTTGATGAAAATCTTGTGAGCAGAGGCTTGCAGGAACCTAACCCTGTATTTCCCATAGGAGCCATAGTTCAGTATTTGTAATTCAGTGCTTGTAATGACTTTATAGAACATAACTACCAGGAATAATGAGAATTGAGTGTATATGTATATGTGTGTTTTCCCATGTGCAGCACTGTCATCTAATCTGGTTGGATTGTAAATTAGTGTAATTTGGAAAGCAGTGTATTGAGTATCTGAAAAATGCACAGTATTTGAATCTAATTACTTATTTCCTGAGATTATAGCCTGAAGGAATAATCCTAAATACTGAAAAACTTTAACTACAAAGATGTTCATTGTAGTGCCAAATAGATTACAGTATATCTACATAATGGAAAATAATAAAGTATTTATCAAGATTTTATCATAAGATTGAAAATCACTTATGATATAGTGTCATGTGGAAAACCAGGATATGCAGTTCTGTGTACGATGTGATAACTCCTTCACATTGCAGGTGTTTCCCAAATGCCATCAGCCTGCAGGGTGGGTAGGGGGCAATGAACACCTGCAGTGCCTTCCTCCCTTCTCGCCACCCCTCACCAGCACCTCCTTGGAAGTCTCTTCCTCTGGTCATGGAGGGAGGCTAGTCTTAGCCACTGCACTCTTTCCCATTAGTCTACAAGGGCTATGGTTGAAAGAAATGACCCACAATCCACGTCTACTCAGCTCCTTGAGGATCTCATCCCCAAAGCTGTGGAAGATTTCTTGTCCCTGTTTACTTCCACCCCCTGCCATACTGGTTGCAATAGGAACTGTGACAGGAGCAGGGCACTGCTGGGGCGGAGGGGGTCCTTGTCACCTGCTGGGCTGGTTGCAGCAGGTCTGGATTCTTTTCCCCAGCCCCACCACTATGTAGAGAGCACGCGATGCTCGGCAGAACCACGGTGCTGCCTCCCCTCCCCTCCCCTCCCGTCCTCTCCCCTCTCCCCTCCCCTCCCTTCCCCTCCTCTCTCCTCACCTCTCCTCTCCTCCCCTTCTTGTACCATCCTGCAGTCAGCTGCCATTTCTCTACTCCTTCATCTGGCTCTCTAGGCCACCAGCAGCAGAAGCTCCCAAGATGACCAATACTGTTTCTTGCTGGGAAGAAGGTGGTCTTTCCTTACATATGTGAAAAAGTGTAGGCATGGAACGAAGGCCAGAAGGAAAACTCGAAAGTGTTAACAGTGATGACGCTCAGATAGTAAGGCTGCGATGTACCTTATAGAGAAAATATGTGTGTTAAATAAGGCAGGTGACCTTTTCTTCCTTCTATTTTCCTGTAGTTTTCAATTTTTCTGTAATGAGCATTTATGGCCTTTATAATTGGAGGAAAGAAAGAACAGGGGCTCAGAGAGGTTAGTTAATTAGGCCAAGGGGGCACTTGCTGTATATTCACAGATAGGTAGTTGGGGCTGGGGGACAAGGGTTGTTTTCTGGAACCCGAAGCCCAGGGAGGGAGGATGCTTAGTGATAATTTTTATTGATCTTCTTGCTCACACTCTTGACCCTCCCTGGAAGAGAAATGTGGGTGAGGTCACTGTAGCATTGTCATCGCTCTGGGTTCCACCCACACTCAGGGTGAGAGGGAGATTCTGAAGCTTTGTGTTTCTTGCTAGCTAGTCAAAGGTGACTAATTCATGTGGTATGTACTGTGGATGGGACTGGCTATGTAGTTGTAAGTGCCCAGTGCAAAATGAAAATGTGGGGGGTCCCTGTATGTTCAAAAACTACTAAGAATTTCAAGACGGTGGCAGCAGAAATTTAAGTAAAGCACAGGGTCTTTCTATATGTGGGGTCTTGTGGGACCGTCCAGGTTTCTTTCCTGTGAAGCTGGCCCTGCCTGTGGACACTTCCACTGGACACCTGTAAGCCAAGCCCAGGGAAGGGATGGAAAGGGAGGCTTAGTAGTCAGTAACAGATGGAAGGCATGGGCCTGCAGGAGAGCAGTAGAGGAGAGAGATCCTCACTGGCAGCCCCATCTCCATGGCGAGTCTGGAATCCAGAATGATTCCTATTTGAGACATTAAAGAGTTAGGAGATGCAACTTCTGTTCTCTGTACTGTGCAAACATGAATGAATCTCTCCTGTCTTCTCCTTTCCTCCCCTCTCCTTCCTTCCTCTCCCCTCCTCTCCCTTCCCCGCCTCTTCTCATCTCAGTTTCCTTATTTCCACAATGAGGGGGATGGAGTTGATTTGTAGAGTCTCTGCCAGCTCTAAAAAAATTCGTGATTTGGACTTTCTGTGCTCATGTAGCCCGTGTGACAGGAGCTACAAATATGTTCCATGAGGTCCTGAGTTGACCAGCTTCTTTCAAGACGTAGGTCAGGGCAGTCACATAGAAGTATCATGGTGACCTTGGGGATGGTGACAGTGGCTAAAAGACGTTGAGAGAGACAGTGCAAGAGAGGAAAGCATCTTCACCCTGGACCCTAATATGGAGACACCTTTGACTAGCTAGCAAGAAAGATAAAACTTAAAATCTCCCTCTCTTCTGTCGAATGTGGGCGGAACACAGTGATTCTGAAGCTGCGGAGAGTGGGAAGCCATCCCCAGGGAAATGTAAACACCAAGAGCAGGTTGTGTTGGAGGAAGCAACCCTTAGCATTACAATTGCAGAAAGTACTTGGTATGTCAGGTGAATTTTTGTATTACAATGTTGGCAGAGATTTCCTGTAAATTTCTGGCAAGTAACAATATGGACCCTGATTTTAAAGGAAGCAACAGCCCTGTATAGAAGACATGAAAAAAGAACAGAATGGGATGGTCAGTTTAGAGTTTTTACTGGTTCCTTAGGTGGAAGGGCTGAAAATTAATATCAGGATCCTGCTATACGTTTAGTTTGTACATATCGATACTCAGTTTCACGCACTTCCCATTTTGTAGTGGGAGTTCAGTTATTCATAAGTTGTTTTGTTGTCTTCACAATGTCCTGTGCTGATGAGCTCTTCCAGGCATTGTTCTAGAGGTGTATTCAGAGCAGCTGGTCGAGATTCTGTTTTGCAGAGGGACAGGGTTATGGGTGTGACACGTTGAATTTGCAAATCAAATTTATGAGATGCTTTGATGACGTTTTATGTGAAGATAAAGCAAAAGAAAAGCCTCATGCTGTGGTGCAGAGAAACATAAGAAGAGTGATTTATGTGAGGAAATGGAAATTTGCAGGGCAGTTTTGCTTGGCTATGTCAATACATTTTTTCATCAGTATTTGGAATTTCGTATAAAAGAATTTGCATTTATGGCCAGGTGCGGTGGCTCACGCCTGTAACCTCAGCTCTTTGGAAGGCCAAGATCAGAGGATGGCTTGAGGCCAGGAATTTGAGACTAATCTGGGCAACATAGTGAGAACCTGTCTCTATAAAAAAATAAAAACACAAAAAAACTAACCGTGTGTGGTGGTGTGTATCTATAGTTCCAGCTACTCGGGAGGTTGAAGCGGGAAGATCACTTAAGCCCAGGAGTTGGAGGCTGCAGTGAGCTATGATCCTACCACTACAGTCTAGCCTGGGTGACAGAGCAAGACACTGTCTCAAAAGAAAAAAAAAAAGAATTTGTGTTCGTAATACTTTTAAATTTTCTTTTTTTGAAAAGTAAGGTTTTTTTTTTTTTGTCCGCTTGGCCAGTCCAAAGGTCCTTTTCATTGTCATTGGGTGGGCCAGTTTTTCTCCTCCCATCTTCTATGATGCATGTATGTTTTGGGTCAATGATCCTCTGGTGATCTCTTTTCCTTAGGTTTAATGTAACTTTTCCTCTTGCATGCCAGTTTCATGTTTTCTCACAGAAGTACTGGGAAAGGATCTTCATATTTAACTTTATTTATTTATTTATTTATTTTTGAGACAGTCTTGCTCTGTTGCCCAGGCTGGAGTGCAGTGGCGTCATCTTGGCTCACTGCAACCTCCGCCTCCTGGGTTCAAGTGATTCTTGTGCCTCAGCATCCTGAGTAGCTGGGACTACAGGTGTGCATCACCACACCCGGCTAAGTTTGGTATTTTTTGGCAGAGACAGGGTTTCACCATGTTGGCCAGGCTGGTCTTGAACTCTTGACCTCAAGTGATCAGCCTGCCTTGGTCTCCCAAAGTTCTGGGATTACAGGCATGAGCCACTGAACCTGGCTTTTATACTTAACTTAAAAATTGTTTTTATTTATTTACTTTTGAGACGGTGGTCTCACGAGGTTGCCCAGGCTGGTCTCAAACTCCTGGGCTCAAGCGATTCTCCTGCCTTGGCCTCCAAAGTGCCAAGATTAAAGGTGTGAGCCACCCCGCCCAGTCCATATTTAACGTTTGACCCAAATTTTTCTCTTTCCTTTAGGATAGAAAAATAATACATGCCAAAAGAAATTTGAGGAACAAATTCAGGTAAGTCTGGTGGTTCTGACACCACTGTGGAATTAAAAGATCACTAAACATAGCCTAAGATTTAAGGCCTGCTGGTGGAGGGAAGACAGATATTTTCATCTTTTTTAGGTCCTGAAGTTCAAAGAATGCATTAGTATTGTTTGTAATTGAAAGCATTTCTGAGATAGTAGAAGCCACAGACTCACAGCTCTGGAAAGGAATTTTAACAGGTTATCCTGTTCAGACAAGACACCAGCATCTTCATTTACTTTGTCAGAAAATCAAGGCTCACATAAGCTAGGTGGTATATACACAGGCGCCCATGAAGAAAGTGGGTCTGCTTTGTTGAAGGTTATTTAGATGAGGCCGATAGACTGCAAAGATGGCACAAGTGATCTATCCCTGGATGCACATTCTGTTTCTTCCATCAGTGGCCAGGGGGTCAGGGGACTGTTTCCTCTCCTCTTGACTGGGCAGGCTCTGTGACATCTTTTGACTGGATGTCACAGTCTTGGAGTGACACAGTGGACTTCTTGGCCCAGACCTTCAGAGGCCTTGCAGCTTCTATTTTGGCCATCTTTTTAATTATATTTTTATTTATTTTATTTGTTTTGAGACATGATTTCACTCTACCACCCGGGCTGGAATGCAGTGGCAGAAATCATAGCTCACTGCAGCCTTGACCTCCTGGGCTCAAACAATCCTCCCACCTCAGCTACCTGAGTAGCTGGGACTGTAGGCACATGCCACCACACCCACCTAATTTTTGTATCTTTTGTATCTCATCATGTTGCCCAGGCTGGTCTCTAACTGCTGGGATCAAGAGATCTGCCCGCCCCCGCCTTCTGAAGTGCTGGGATTATAGATGTGAGCCACTGTTCCTGGCCTGGGTCACTTTGAGGTCCAGTTGCTGTGTCAAGAAGCTAAGCCCAGTCAACCCACAGAATCATAAGAAATAATAAATCATTGTTTTACACCACCAAATTATGGTGTAGTTTGTTATGCAGCCATAGCTAACCAAAAGTTATGGTCAACTATCATTTGGAAACATAGGCATTTTGGGGTTACTTCTCTATGTAATCCTGCTGAAGTTTCTGTCAGTTAGAGGAGTCACCTCTAATAATAGTGGTGATAGTAGCAGTGATAATAACAATGAACGTCGTGACACAAAGAGTTAGGACTTGGCAGGTATGGAGTTTGTAGTGAGATGAAGATCATGAAAATAAATGACATCACACTTTTGTAAACGATGAATCCCACACCTATGTTATTTATTTCCTCAGCCCTGAGACAGGTCACGGAAACAGCCCTCCAGTCTTCCTCAAGAAATGTAGACTGAATCAGCATTTACCCACCCCTGGAAAAACGCAGGAGCTGCGCATTCCTGGGATCTCAGCAGGGCTTTTGGGAAGAGCAGAACTGGGCTGGAGTCACGGTTTCTGGGCTGACTCTAGATTTTCCCCGGCTTTTGCCACCTGTGATGGCTGGAGAGTATCTGAAGATGACAGGTGACTCCAGGACCTAGGGCTCCCTCCTTAGGAGCAGGGTGGGGTACCAGGTTGCACACAGGTGATGATGGGGGGGGGGGTGGGCTGTCCAGCACACAGCTTGGTGAGCAGGATTTGAGATACTCACCCCACTTTCTGGTGATACAGACCCCCTACTCCCAGTGACACAAGATGGTTGGACCCACGGCTGATTTACTGCTTTACTCCCATTCTTTATGGGGCCAGCTTTAATGAGCACCCAAGCAGAAATGCCTTTGACTCCTGCACTGTGAATAACTGTTATTAATAAAAGGGCAAGCTGCTTGCCATGGAACCTTGCATATTTCCATATTAATAATGACATAAACTCCCCCAAAATGACGTCTCAGCCACTCAAAATGCAGAGGCTCGCTTCTGTGCACTCAGGGGCTGAGGATGGGGCTAGTGAGCTCCAGAAGGAGCAACGCAGTGGGCCATGCCTGGGAGCCCAGGCCCTGGGTCCTCACTCTCCCCGTGCCCAGCTCCCTTCTCTCCCATGTGTGTCCCCATGGCGTCTACCTCTAGGGAGCAAGTAGCCAATTCCATGGGGTGACTGGAGGAGGGTCAGGAAGTTCTGTCTGCTTTCAGATATCTTCCACATGAGTCTGCCAATTTGTCTGAGATTCCATCATTTAAAAACTCAATTAACCTGAGTCCTCAAGTTACTCCAAACTCCTGGATTCCTATATGAAAAGGCAAATACCTTAGGGACAGAGTGTAGAGATTTCATCAGTTTTCAATAATAGGCTGTTAGCAATTAATGTCATTGATTCACGTGACATATTTGCTGAGCCTCTACTGTGTTCTAGGAGCTGGGAATATGGTAGTGAAAAAAACACACACAAAATCCATGCCCTCCGGAAGCTTCAAATGGAGGGAGATAAATGGTAAACAAATAAATATGTGAAATGTGCAGCACGTCGGACGGTGAGAAACATGACATTAAATAAAGTGGGGAGGAGAACGGGGAGTAGCTACACTGGGGAATTCGTGGAGTCATTTCCCACAGGGCAGTTGGCCAAGAGCAGATCCTTGGAAGATTCTCTTCGGGGACAGAGGTGTCTGGGAGAGGGCGAATTTGTGGCCACTCCTCCACATAGAGTGGCTTCCTCTCCCCTAGGTCAGGTTCCAGGGGAAGAGAGATCTCAGAAAGAAATCATGTCTCTCTAGGCCGGGCATGATGGCTCCTGCCTGTAATCCCAGCACTTTGGGAGGCCGAGGCAGGCAGATCACCTGAGGTCAGGAGTTCAAGACCAGCCTGGCCAACATGGTGAAACCCCATCTCTACTAAAAAAAAAAAAATACGAAAATTAGCAGGGCGTGGTGGCAGGTGCCTATAATCCCAGCTAATCGGGAGGCTGAGGCAGGAGAATCACTTAAACCTGGGAGGCGGAGGTTGCAGTGAGCTGAGCTTGCGCCATTGCACTCCAGCCTGGGGGACAAGAGCAAGACTTCGTCTCAAAAAAAAAAAAAGAAATCATGTCTCTCTTCTCTTTCCAGCCAGTGTCCTTAGCTTGTGAAGATTGGATGATGGCCGGGGCCCTCAGACCCCTTGGCCCCTCCTTAACTGCAGGTCTTCAAAAGCCCAACACCTGTTCGTCATTTCTGTGGCTTCCCAGGGAGTCTTACTCTTCTGCTTCAAGCTGCTGGGTTTGACTCTGAGCAGTTTCTGTGCAGCCACAAAGATTCTTATGTGAGACACACTGCTGCTTCAGAGTGCTCCAACCCATCTCCCCTGATTAAACACTAACCAGGGCTGCCACAGCAAAGTGGCTCAAATGGGTGACGTCAACAACAGATTTACTTTCTCATAGTTCTGGAGGCAGGTGTCTAGGATCAAGGTGGTGGCAAGGCTATTCCTTCTGTTGCCTCCCTCCTTGCCTTGTGGATGACCGTCTTCTCCGCGTCTTTCCAAGATCTCTCCTCTGTGCATGTCAGTGTCCTTGCTTCCTCTTCTTATGAAGACACCGGTCATGTTGGGTAAGTGCCTGCCTATGTGACCTTTTTAACTGAGTTATCTTTATAAAGACTGTCTCTAAACATAGTCCTATTCTGAGGTACTGGGTGTTAGGATTTCAACACATAAATTTTGGGGGGACACAGCTCAGCTCATACGATGAGCAACTTGCCCTTTGCAGAAGGTCCATGTGGGAGAGGAGGAGGGGCTTACTCCACACTCTCCATGGCAACTACTGAGTCTCTGGGTATTTGGTTCTTTCACAGTCCCGTCTTGGCCCTTCCACCAGCAGGCTTTTCCTTTTTCAGTTTTAGATTGCTGATCTTTGTCCATCGTCATCCAGCCTCACTCACTCTTCTTCTTCCTGGTTCCCCAGAGGCTATTGCTGGCCTCCTCTTCTCCTTTTGTCTTTGCCTCTGGAAACTCCTGATTATGAGCGGGAGCTTCCCCCTTCTTCTAATGGAGAGGTGTCGGTTGCCACCCAGAGCACAAGGTTGGCTTCCTCCCCAAATAATGACCCCAGAGCTTTCCCATACCTCAGCACTCTTCCTGGGGACTTCTCATGCCTGCCACTGGAGTGGCAACTTCTTCACCAGCTTAGCTGTGGAAGGCACAGCTGGTGGACACCTGATTTCATCTGGGAAGCAATGACCCAGTTAAAAATGCTCATCTTGGCCGGGCACGATGGCTCACGCCTGTAATCTTAGCACTTTGGGAGGCCGAGGCAGGCAGATCACAAGGTCAGGAGTTCGAGACCGGCTTGGCCAACATGATGAAACCCTGTCCCTACTAAAAATGCAAAAATTAGCTGACTGTGGTGGCGCGTGCCTTTAATCCCAGCTATTTAGGAGGCTGAGGCAGGAGAATCACTTGGGAGGCGGAAGTTGCAGTGAGCTGAGATCGAGCCACTGCATTCCAGCCAGGGCGACAGAGCAAGACTCCTTCTCAAAATAATAAATAAATAAATAAATAAATAAATAAATAAAAATGCTCATCTTAAGGCCAGGTGTGGTGGCTCACACCTGTAATCCCAGCACTTTGGGAGGCCAAGGCAGGCAGCTCACAAGGTCAAGAGATCGAGACCATCCTGGCCAACATGGTGAAACCCAATCTCTACTAAAAATGCAAAAATTAGCCAGGCGTGGTTGCAGGAGCCTGTAGTCCCAGCTACTTGGGAGACTGAGGTGGGAGGATCACTTGAACCCAGGAGGTGGAGGTTGCCGTGAGCTGAGAGACTGTGCCACTGCACTCCAGCCTGAGCGACAAAGCGAGACTCTGTCTTAAAAAAAAAAAAAGCTCGTCTTCCAGGACTCCCTTGCAGGAGAGGGCGGCCATGTGACACCATTCTGGCTAATAAAGTGGGAGTGGAAGTCACCAGGTAGTACCCTGGGAGAACTTGGAAAAGGGACACATGTTCTCTAGCACAACCACTGGCCCTTTGCCATCTGCATCCTCCAGCCTGGGATGAGAATGCAGCAGCCGCCGTCCATGACCTGCATGTTGACAACCAAATGTTAAGGCTGACAGGGAAGGAAAAGAGAAGGAAGGGGGTCCTTGGTAACATCTTTGAGCACTAGCCCTAGGCAACTACTTCTAGGTGTCTTGTTACATGAGACAAATGATTCCTAACTTGTTAAGGTAGATTTTTTTTTTTTGAGGCATTCAACTAAATGCAGTCCTGACTAATACACTTTTGGGATTGGGTATTTGTGGTTCAGTGGAGCAAGAATCAGCTACAGAGGCAGGAAGAAAAAGTCTGGTAGATGGCCTGGGATTAGGTCCTAATTCAAATTTTCACCTCAGGATAGTTCCAGGGCTTTGGTGCATGTGTATCCTCTCCTTGGCTGGTGGCTTTCACTTTTCTCTCTCCCTTCCCCAGAGCTCATGGTTGCAATGTGCCCGCTTATCGGAGTCTTCCTGGCCTTGAATGTCCTCTTCTCAGCATCCAGGAATGTCCAGACATTCATCCAACAACCAGTCTGGGCTAATGAGTCAGGCATGGTGCCTGGTGTGTAGTTAGCACTCAACACATAGACCTTAATTGAGTTAACAAATAGGAGATGATGATGGGAGCTATTGCTAGGTAACATGCACATATTTATCATGCATTTGCTTATTCATCAATTTAAAGGAAAGTTTGTTTTCTTTCATTGTAAGAAACAGCATTAGCTGTCCTTTTACTGTGTGTTAGATGCCGTGTTATGTGCTTTGCTTTAATTTTTGCTTATCTTCAGAAGAAGTCTGCAGGGTAGATATTGTGCCCATTTTATAGATGAAGAAAATAAGATTTAGAAGGCCAAAGGCACAAACACAGTAAATGGTGAAGCAAACATTCAAATGCTCTGAAGTTAACGCTTTTTTCAATATAGTATAGTAAATATACCATGCTGCAGTTCATAAAATTAATGCATGCTTATTAGAGCATAAATATTTATATACATATATGTATACATGGAATATATAGATCATATGTGTATAGTTTCTATAGAAATTATAGCAAAATAGAAAAAACAGCTTAATCTCTCCACATAGTTCAGCTTCTACCCGTATATTTCAGATGATTGAAGTCAAACTACAGGAGCAAATTGTTTGTACACTTGCTATGTACCAGGAATTGTCACAAGTTTGGTTTTTATTCACCTATCACTTAGCATGAGCATCTTTCATTGTCCATGCACTTTAATGCATTGATCAAATGCATTAATCAATCAATGATTAATGCATCAATCCAAACTCCTGCCTTTGTGTCTGGTCATTGATGGCATGCATTTTCACTTGCTGCAGGAGAACACTGGGGGCCACGGGCTTTGGGCATCTTAGAAGCCTCAATAGAAGAAGCACGATCTCAGCTCACTGCAGCCTCTGCCTTCTGGGTTCAAGTGATTCTCCTGCCTCAGCCTCCCAAGTAACTGGGAACTATAGGTGTGTGCCACCACGCCCGGCTAATTTTTGTGTTTTTAGTAGAGACGGGGTTTCACCGTGTTGGCCAGGTTTGTCTCAAATGCCTGATCTCAGGTGATCCACCTGCTTCGGCCTCCCAAAGTGTTGGGATTACAGGTGTGAGCCACTGTGCCCAGCCTAGGAATAACTTTATGACCTTGGGATAGGCAATTATTTCTTTGATATGATAACAAAAACACAATCCATAAAAAAAAGTAGGTAAACTGGACTTCATCAAAATTAAAAACTTTTGTGCTTCAAAGTAGAGTATAAAGAAAGTGAAAAGACACCCTGCAGAATGAGACAAAATATTTGCAAATTACATATCTGATGAGATCAGGTGCATTCAGGATGGTATGGCCATAGACTGCAAATTGCATATCTAATAATATATAGTCTCCAGAAGATATAAAAAATTCTTACAAGGCAACAACAAAAACACAAGTAACCAATTAAAAAGTAGGCAACAAATCTAAACAGATATTCCTCCAAAGAGTGACCAATAAGGACATGAAAAGATGCTTGCATTATTAGCTATCAGGGAAATGCAGATCAAAACCACAATGAGATATCACTTCACACCTGCTAGGATGGCTACAATAAAAAAGACTGATAATAAGTGTTGGCAAGAATGTGGGGAAACTGGAGCCGTCATACACGGCTAATGGGAATGTAAAATGGCATAGCTACTTTGCAAAAACAGTATGGCAGTTGTTCAAATGATTAGACATAGAATTAGACATCCATCTATAATTGATGAATGGGTAAACAATATGGGGTATCAATTCTATTCACCTATAAAAATGAATGAAGAATTGATAAATGCTGCAACATGGATGAACCTTGAAAAGATTATGTCAAATGAAAGAACCCAGCCACAAAAGGCTACAAACTATATGATTTCACTGATATGAAATGTCCAGAATGGGTGGCTCTTTAGAGATAGAAAAGAGATTAGTGGTTGCCTGGGGTTGAGGGCCATGGAGAGGAACTGGGGGTGATGGCTATGGGGCGCTGGGTTTCTTTTGGGTTAATAAACATGTTCTATTATTGATTGCGGTGAACTTTGCGAATGTGCTAAAAGCCATTGAATTGTACACTTTCAATGGGAGAATTGTATGTGATGTGAATTATATCAATAAAACTGTTAAATAAAGAAAAAAAATGAAATGTCAGCGAAGAGTCTGTATGCATGACCCAGGAAAGACTGGCTGACCTTCACCTTGTGACTCCACAGGCCCTGTTAGGAGGCTACTTGGAACACATCAGTGTTTGAATTTGTTCCTGTGTCTGTGTTTAGGGAGGCCCCTACTTTCTCCCGTCGCAAGGTGGCTTCCCCGCTCAGGGTGTTCAAGCTGCTCTGCTGTCTGCATGAGTATCTTCCTCCATAGGTTGTCCTGGAAGACTGGTTAGGGACCTTGGGGCTTGAAGAATGACATGGTGGTGAATTCTCTGGGTTTTCTTTTTTTATATTATTTTAGTATACTTTAAGTTCTGGGATACATGTGCAGATCTTGCAGGTTTATTACATAGGTATACACGTGCCATGGTGGTTTGCTGCACCCATCAACCCGTCATCTACATTAGGTATTTCTCTTAATGCTATCCCTCCCCTAACCGCCCACCCCCCGACAGGCCCTGGTGTGTGATGTTCCCCTCCCTGTGTCCATGGGTTCCATTGTTCAACTCCCACTTATGAGTAAGAACATGCAGTGTTTGGTTTTCTGTTCCTGTGTTGCTCTGGGTTTTCTTTTTGCCTCCCTCATATTCCAGATGGGAAGCTGGGGGAAGTGTCAACCTGAAACCATTAACAGGCACAGAAAAAAAGAAAAAGCCCCAAGAAAAGCCTGTTTATTCTAGCCAAAGGACCAAGAAATGGCCATCCAAGAAGACAATACCCACCCAATTCCAGCCAAACACAGAAAGAAAAACTGCTCCCTATGCCCACCCAGGCCCCATGGTGTTGGTGGGGCTGAGTGGGGAGCTGCATTTCGGGCCCCACCTGGAGTCAGTGAAATTACACCTGAACCTGGTGGCGATGAGGTGATGAGTGTATGTGCTTGGCTTCTGCTGGTGTCAGTGGGCCCCAGCCGGGAGCTGAATGTCCACTCTCACTTTGGCCTTCATGCTCTTTCTAAATAGGGTGACTACCTACAGAAAAGAAAGAAAAAAGGTTAAGTGAGATCTAGAGTCTTAACGCACAATGTCCTTCTAAGGAATGTGGTTTTGCCAAGAACCAGGAAAATCTCAGTTTGAATGAGAAAAGACAATCAATAGATGTCAACACAGAGATGATACAGAAATTAGATGGTAAAGCAGTCATCATTAAAATGCTGCAATAAGAAATTACAAACATGTTTGAAACAAACGAAAAATAAAGTCTTAGCAAGGCAACTGAAGGTATAAGGAAAAGCAAATGAAAAGTTTAGAACTAAAAAATACAATAACTGAAATAAAAAACTCATTGTGTGCACTCAATAGCAGGATGAATAAAAAGATGAAAGAATTGGTGAACTTGAAGACAGAACAAAAGAAATTACCTGATTTGAACAGTGGGGAAACAGATGGAAAAAAAAATGACAAGAGCCTCAGGGATCTGTGGGACAACAACAAAAGATCGAATATTTGTATTATTGGAGTTCCAGAAGGAGATAAGGAAGTATGGGCTGAAAAAGATTTGGAAAAATGACGATTGAAAACTTGCCAAATTTGGCAAAAGACACAAACCAAACTTGGCAAAAGACACAAACCAACAGAGGCTGATGAATCCCAGACAAGATAAGCCCGAAGAAATCCACACTGAAATCATCAGTCAAAAACTAAAGACAAAGAAAAATCTTGAAAGCATCTAGGGAGATAAGGCATTACCTTTAAAGAGATGATGGAGGGGCCGGGTGCGGTGGCTCACGCCTGTAATCCCAACACTTTGGGAGGTGGTGGCAGGTGGAGATGATGGAGGATTTCTCATAAGTGAACACAGAGGCCAGAAGGAAGAGGAACATTTTTCAAGTAAAATGCTGACTTGCTCCAAAATGTCTTTTTCTGCTGCCTTAAACTCACGCCATTTTTTTTTTTTTTTTTTGAGACGGTGTTTTCACTCTTGTTGCGCAGGCTGGAGTGCAATGGCACAATCTCGGCTCACTGAAACCTCTGCCTCCTGGGTCCAAGCAATTCTCCTGCCTCAGCCTCCCAAGTAGCTGGGATTACAGGCATGTACCACTATACCTGGCTAATTTTTTTGTATTTAGTAGAGATGGGGTTTCACTATGTTGGTCAGGCTGTTCTCGAACTCCTGACCTCAAGTGATCCACCCACCTCGACCTCCCAAAGTGCTGGGATTACAGGCAACTCACACCATCCTTAATTCCTTTATTTAAGCATTACCTTCTCCATGAGCATTACTCATAAATTGCAGTCTCATCTTCTTAGTGGAAATGTTAACTTTTTTTCATTAAAGCTTTGTCTAGATAATTCTTAAAAATAATTATTGGGATTAAATATCTTAACTTTTCTAATTGGTTATTGCTAAGTTATGGAAAATCTATTATTCTGAAAATTTAGCTTGTATTCTAGCTACATTGCTGAATTCCTATGAATTTTAATAGTTTTAGAGCTTATTCTTTGTAATTTATAGATAAACAAAATATCACCCAACAATGCGTTCTTCTCTATGCCATTCTAAAATGTCCAATTCTTATTTCCATTTCATGTATTTATAGTATTGGCTAAAAAAATCTAGAAAAAGGGTAATAATAACTGTTGTAGGAAGTAGTCTTGTTTTTAATTTTAACTAGCTGTGTTTAATTTTAACTAGTAGTGTTTTCTAAAGTGTGTTTCATGTGGTTCTAAGGTTTCTGAATGTTTTGGTAATGTTTGGCTAAACAGAATACATATATTATATATATATTTATATATACACTGCACAGCTTCTGAGTCTTAGATAGGACAGTGCTCACTGTGCATTTTCAGGAGGTAAGGGCAGCAGGCAAGGGCCCCTTCCTCTTTTTCGCTTTATTTGTAGAGTCTTTCATGCATCAGTTGTTAGATAGTTGGCCCTCCAAATCTCATGTTGAAATTTGATCTCCAACATGAAAGGTGGAGCCTATTGCCAGGTGTTTGGTTCATGGAGGTGGATCCTTCATAAAGGGCTTGGTGCTGTCCTTGTGGTGACGAGTAAGTTCCAGCTCTCTTGGTTCCCATGAGAACTGGTTGTTGAAAAGAACCTGGGATTTCCTCCCCATCTCTCTCTTCCTTCTTCCCTTGCTATGTGATGCCTGCTCCCCTTCCCCTTCTGCCACGAGTGGAAGCAGCCTGAGGTGTTCACTAGAAGCAGATACAGGCATCGTGCTTCTGATACAGTCTGCAGAACCATGAGCCAGTTAAACCTCTTTTCTTTATAAACTACCCAGCCTCAGGTATCCCTTTCTAGCAATGCAAATGGACTAAGACAGTTGTCTAGGGGCACACTTGGGAAAATGCTGCTTTAGAATTTCCCTGGGATGTATGCTGTGAGGAGTTGGGTTGAAATGATGTTCTCTGTAATCAAAGAAGTATCTTCCTAGTTCTGAAATATTCACTTCAGTTATCTTTGGCTCATGGAATTGGACTGGGAAAGTCAAGTGATTAAAATGAAGTTTTTTTTTTATTCTCATATTATCAAACGGTTTTAAATAAACTGGTATTAGCTTTAAAATTAAACAAGAACCCATGAAATGCAAATACTTCTGGAGAGAGAACATCTTCAGTGTGGATTTGATCAGAATTGTTCTCTGTGAGGAAGGAAGGTGCCATCTGAGAGTTCCTGTGTGTGTGTGTGTAGGGAGCTGAAAGAGGAAGCCAGGACGGAGGTAGGGGTTTGAGGCACATCACTGAGTGGGTGACATCATTTTGATTGGCTGCCAGCCAGAGGCCGTTAGGGGCCTGGGCTTTTTTTCTGCCCGTTTCAATTGTAGCCAAATTCGCCATCAGCAAGTTGAGTGAAAATCTTTTAGGCCAGTTGTTCACACATTTGGTGGATGAAATCAAATATTCGAATCACTTTTTCTGGCATTCAACAAATTCAATTTTTATGTAAAATCATCTCCTAACTCTTCAGAAAGCTGTTTATTTTTCTACTAAGAAGGCACAAGTTCAATGCTCTTTTTCAAATGAATATAATTTCTTGAAAGCCAAAAATTATAGCTTGTAATGATGTTTTTCTTTTCTTGTGATGAAATACCTCTGATCTTGGTCTATTTAATGGCAGCATTTGAATTTTCTTTCTCTCTCTTTCCTTCCTCCCCCCTTCCTCTCGCCTCCCTTTCTTTCTTCCCTCTTTCTCTTTCTTCTTTCCTTCCTTTCTTCCTGGGAGAGGGACATTAGGAGGGGAAACTGTCTCTTCTGAATGGTCTTTTCAAAATGCCTTTATTAAAGTCACCTATTAGTAGGATCTAGGAGATCCAACAAAGAAAAGAAATAACAACAACAGCAGCCACTCCTCCTCCTGCTAATGTCTGTTTACTAAGCACTTTGCATATGAGAGGGACTATTCTAAGTGCTTTGCATGTATCATCTTATTTGAGCCTCACAACATTCCTGTGAGCAGGAATTATCCGTAGATCTGAGGAAACAGAGAGGTTAAGTAATTCACTCAAGATCACACAGTTAGTAAATTACAGAGCCAGAACTTGAATCCATGCATCTTCCACTATCTACTCCAACCAGCTACATTTATTGTACAAATTAGAAATTATGAGTGACTTCAAATTAAGGCATTTCCCTTGAGAGAAGAAAAAAATATGAATCTGTTGATACTCTGGTGGAAAGAGAGAGAAAGCAGGGGAAAGGGGAAGAAATTTCAGAAGAAATGAATCAACAGATGATGTGATGTCAGAACACGGGGGGATTTCACTCCCTTCATTTTACTAGTAAGGAAACTGGGGCCCAGAGAGGGGAGGGGCCAAGTCTTGGTTGCAGCAGGTGTTGGTTCAGAGCCTGGTGTGGAGTCCAGCACTGGTGGTTTCCAACCCAGTCCTCCTCTCCTTCCATCTTACCAGGCTGCCTTCCAAATGATATATGTTTTAAGGCTCCAATTTAGTTGTTTTTAGAATGTCAAAGCCATTAGAAATTCCACGTGATGGAATGAAATTAACGAGAGCCTATTTTCCTTTTCAAAAAGTGGGAGAAGCTCCCAGACTTGTTACTGAAGCTTGAGGACACAACTTGTAGTTCTATTTACATTTACAGCTCGACTTCCGTTTCACATCTCAGAAACTGGGCCCTGATCAAAGCTGAGGCATCCCGTTTCTTTTGTCACTCAAAGATCATATGCAGTATTTTGTGTTATCTTATTGGTTGAGGTCAAAGCCAATTAACTTGGTAAATACTGGGAACTTCCTCACTAAGGAATCCAGACAGACGCTGCTAGGTCTGTTGTAGAACCAGACAAGATTTCCCCCTTCTGGGATTCCCCCCGCCCCCAATTTTTCCGATTTTATGGTTTCTATGGCATCCTGGGCTTCTGCCTGGCATGGGGTTCAGTTTCAGCCACACCACTTAGTGTGTGTGTGTGACTTTTATTAATCACAACAGCTAACACGGTTAATAGCATTTATTTTGTGCCAGATGGTTTTCTCTAGCACTCTCTGTATGTTAACTCATTTATACTTTTAACAACCTTCTCAGGCTGAATAATAGCTCCCCAACGAGGTTCACATCCTAATCCCTGGAACCTGTGAGTATGTTAGCTTAGTTGGCAGAAGGGACTTTGCAGATGTAATCAAATTAAGGATTATTTTGTTTTTTAGAGACAGGAGTCTCACTATATTGTCCAGGCTGGTCTTGAACTCCTGGACTCAAGTGATCCTCCCTCCTCGGCCTTCCAACATGCTGGGATTACAGGCATGAGTCACAACAACCGGCTGAATTAGGAATCTTGAGATGGGAAGATTGTTTTGGATTTGAGTGGGCTCGATGTAATCATGAGGGTCCTTTATGAGAGGGAGGGAGGAGGTCAGGGAGAAGAGAAGATGCTGGCATTGAAGATGGAGGAAGGGGCTGGGAGCAGCTTCAAAAAGCAGAAGCAAATCTTCCCTTGGGGCATCTGGAAGGAACCAGCCCTGTGGATACCTTGATTTTAGCTCCGTAACACTTCATTTAAACCTCTGGCTTTCAGAACCGTAAAAGATAAAATGCGTGTTGCTTTTTTTTTTTTTTTTTTTTTTTTTTTGAGACGGAGTCTCGCTCTGTCGCCCAGGCTGGAGTGCAGTGGTGGGATCTCGGCTCACTGCAAGCTCCGCCTCCCGGGTTCACGCCATTCTCCTGCCTCAGCCTCCCAAGTAGCTGGGACTACAGGCGCCCGCCACTACGCCCGGCTAATTTTTTGTATTTTTAGTAGAGACGGGGTTTCACCGTTTTAGCCAGGATGGTCTCGATCTCCTGACCTCGTGATCCGCCCGCCTCGGCCTCCCAAAGTGCTGGGATTACAGGCGTGAGCCACCGCGCCCGGCCGCGTGTTGCTTTAAGCCGGTACATTTGTGGTAATTTGTTACAGCAGCTATGGGAAACGATTCCAGGTAGGTACTATTATCGTCTTCGTTTTACCTGTGAGGAGACTGAGGCTCAGGCCCAAGGTCACACAGTTAGAAAATGGCACAACTTGGAACAAACGTTTTTCTCTCTGGCTCCAGAGATGGTCCATTTGACTAATATGATGTTTGACCTAAGGCAAGTTACTTAATTTCATCATCCTCAGTTTTCTCATCTCTATTAATCCTTATATTACTGGATAAGAGGACTAAGTGAGATATAACGCATAATATCCTAGGTGTGGTCGTGGTAATGATGATGATGACGACAATAAAAGATGTCACTTGTGAGGCGCAGGAGGTCAGCACTGCACAAGCTTTGGGCGGGAGAGTGTGGAGTAGGGAGAGACCTGGAATGTTTCCCAAAGGGGGCTTCTGCTGGTGTCTTCTGGTCTTCCTCTTCCTTTGGCTTTGTTCTCAGCAGTCAAATGCCTCTTTTCAAACTTCTACCTTAGCAGCTCTCCTCACACGCCAACTCCTTGCTCCAGCCCCACACACATATTCACAACTAGCTCAATTTTTTTTTTTTTGAGACAGAGTCTCACTCTGTCACCCAAGCTGGAGTGCAGTGGCACAATGTAGGCTCATTGCAACCTCCACCTCCTGCGTTCAAGCGATTCTCCTGACTCAGCCTCCCAAGTAGCTGGGATTACAGGCATGCACCATAATGTCCGGCTAATTTTTGTAATTTTAGTAGAGATAGGGTTTCACTATGTTGGCCCGGCTGGTCTGGAACTCATGGCCTCAAGCAATCAGCCCGCCTCGGCCTCCCAAAGTGCTGGGATTATAGGAGTGAGCCACCGTGCCCGGCTGGGTTTCCTCATTTTTTTCAGGCTTGAAATTTGAAGACATTAATAGTAACTTCCCAAGATGCATTTTTTTCAAAAGCATGCATTCAAAAGCATAGCTCAAATTTTTAACCAGCTCTTTTATGCCAAAATCCAGGGGCAGGGCAGACTCCACTTAGGAGACTGTCATCTGTGCCAGGGCTGATGGAGGCCTTTGGGACACCCTGCTTGCTGTCCCAATAGCCCTTGGTCAAGCTGACAGTTCAGACCCAAGTTGAGAGGGAAGTGCTAATGTCAGAATGGGGAATGGAGATTTTGAGAGAAAAGACCAAAAGTAGGTACATATGCGTATATGGAACTTTTATCTGATCCTAAAAGGACTCTATGTTCATTGTCCAAAATATAGAAGTGTATTAAGAGTAAAAGTCTCGCATAATTTTACCACTAGAGAGAATCGCTGTTAATATTTCCCGTGTATTTTCTACTAATCTTTTTTTTCTGCATGTATACATACTGTGAACAGTTTTGTGTCTTTTTTTTGCAGTTAATGGTATATTGTGATCGCCTCTTTATACCATTAAATTGTGTTCAAAGGATGTTATTTTTATTAGTTCTATAAGATATTCTATTTATATTCCATTCTCTTTATATCTAGATGGAAACCAAGAATGAGTCTCACTGGTATTTTAAAGGTTTCTTATGACTTTCTTGTTGATTATTTGGGTCCATTTTTTTTTCTTTTTGGTAGAGCAAGAACCCAGCAGAGTCGAGTTTCAATGGGAGCAGGATGGAGAAGAGGTTGAGAAAGTCCTGTTGCATAGGGGCTGTGCATGTGTGTGTGTATCTTTGTGGAGTGAAGAAGGTGTGGCCTTGATATCCAGAGGTTCCCCCATATGGCATCCATGGGGCTTCTTGGATTCCGCCGTTGTATTTCAGAAGCTCATCAGTTGAAGAAGCTGTACAAAGCTAGTTCTGAGATGTGGCTTTTTGTGGGCTGGGGCCTAATACAGCAAAACAAAGAAACAAGGTTTACAATCTTCCTGATTGGTTTCCTCATTATGTATTTATTTTTGAGACAGAGTTTGGCTCTTTTTGCCCAGGCTGGAGTGCAATGGTGCGATCTCAGCTCACTGCAATCTCTGCCTCTTGGGTTCAAGAGATTCTCCTGCCTCAGCCTCCTGAGTAGCTGGGATTACAGGCGCCCATCACCACGCCCAGCTAATTTTTTGTATTTTTAGTAGAGATGGGGTTTCACCATGTTGGCCAGGCTGGTCTCGAACTCCTGACCTCAGACGATCCACCTGCCTCAGCCTCCCAAAGTGCTGGGATTACAGGCGTGAGCACCGCGCCTGGCCGGGTTTCCTCATTTTTTTCAGGCTTGAAATTTGAAGACATTAATAATAACTTCCCAAGATGCATTTTTTTCAAAAGCATAAGAAGGCTCCAGTTTAGAACAAGTGCTGAGATGGACAGTGAGTCAGGGTCAAGTTCTGGGCTGCCTTTGCACCTGGGCTTGTCTTTATCCTAGCTTGTGGTAGCCATTCTCCAAAGATGACCATGCCTCCCAGTATTTCTTCCCTTGTATAGTCCTTTTCCCTTGAATCCAGGCTAGATCTCTGACTTGATTTTGATCCATAGAATGCAACAGAAGAGAGTGCACGGCTTCTGAGGTTGCAGCTTTTGGGAGAAGCCATCTACCATTGATGACAGACATGCCGTGTGGAAACCAAACCAGCCATGTGGAGAGGCTACCTGGACAGAGGCACAGGGCCAGCAGCAGCTGTGGAGACAGACATGTGAGCAAAGAAATCATCTTTGATGTACAGCCAAGTTGAGCCTTCAGATGACTCCGATTTCAGCCACCTTTGGACTGCAACCACATGAAAGACTCTAAATAGAAGCCTCCCAGCTGATCCCGGTTAACCCACAGTGCTGAAGGGGATAATAATAAATTGTTGTTTTAAGCCACTAAGTTTTGTGGGCCTTTGTTGCATAGCAATAGATTATCCAAACTATTTTTTTTATTGCAAGGTATTCTAGGTGTCTGCTGAGCTCAGGAAACTGGGAACTCCTTCAAGGCAGGGCCTGCATTTTAGCATTTTTGTTATTGTGAGAGCTAAATCCTTCGGCATGGAGAGGCAAACCTGGAATATTCAAACAGTACTTTGTTAGAAGTCTTGGGATAACATAAGAAGCAAATACAGAGAAGTGTATGAAATGCTAATCTGTCTACAAAATGTATCTTATTCATTTTCTGCTGTGGTCCACCATGGGATGCTTCTATTCCAGGCACTTGACCAGCTTCTAGGTGACAGAGGTCATTTTTTTCTTTACATACTTTTGAAAAAGTAAATACACTGATTTAAAATAAATTGGTTTAAAATGGAAAGATACAAAAGTCTCCCTCTCATCCCCATCCACAGCCATCTGATTCCCTCCAAAGGGCTCCAATAATGCCAGTTTCTTGTGTACTGTCCTGGAAATATTTGATCACCTATATAAGCATTTTATATGTGCATATGCTATACATCTATCTGCACATATATGGAATAAATATGCTTATGTATGCTAGCATACTATGTGCACTTTTTTCATATAATAATATATCTTGGAGATCTTCCCATATTGTTCTTTTTTATGGCTACCTAGTATTCTGTTGTTTCATTGTACCACAATGTATTTAATATCCTCTTGTTGAGAGACATTTAGAATATCATCAATATTTTGCTATTAAAAACAACACTGCTATGAATACCATGTGTTATAATATTACAAGTTATACCAGTACCATTTTGCACGTGTGTATTCCTCTGGAGAGTGTATTCCTAAGACTGGCGTTGTTGGGTCCGGCTGTCTGAATTCATGGTTCTCATGGGAGATGGGGCCTTTTCTGGAGAAACTCCATCTGGCCACTAAAATGCCCAGAGACAATACATACACTTAGGGATGCTTGCAGCCACAGCAGGATCTGTTAGCCTCGAGATTCTGATTTCCTCCCCAACAGCCCAAGGCAGGGAGTGCCGGATGGTGAGTTTGTGTGAAGGGCTAGAGAGTGAGGGGCCTCGGAGGGGACTGGCCTGGAAAGATAGAGCATTACACTCTTCTTTAGTGGGGGAACCAGGGAGTTATTTTCCCGTGTACAGCTGAGTTTATCCGGGTACTAGGGTAGCACAAGGACTGACCTACTTGCTGAATCTTACCCATCAAGAAACTTTCCAAAGTTTTCAAGAAGAATAGGCCAGGCTCTGGCCCTGCCTCCTGGCTATTGAAAGTTTAAAAGTATCTTTTCACTCGTGAGTGATCTCCAGCTTAGATTTTTGACCGAATTAGACTGGCCTTTCCCCTAAACTAGAAGCAAAGAAAGAGGCTTTGTAGCGCTGAAGGCCAGCAGGCATTACTTTAGCTCTGTTAGTTGAAGTTCTCGAAAATAGCCAAAAGATGGCACTAGACACGAATGATTCCACCTGGCTTCGAGGCCACCACTGCTTTCAGGGACGCCGCCAAAGCCAGAGCCTGCTTGAGCTTCCTGCCTTTTCCTGAGCTTCTGAAGCACATAATCCTTACTAGAACATGATGTTAATGAGGATGCCAAAAACAGGAAAGGAAGCAGAATGAAAGCAAGCCAACAAACAGAACAATGCCGAGCGAAGAAACAAAATGGTTTTGCTCGTGTGTCAGAGGATGGGCGGGCTCCCACAGCAATGAGAGACCTTTAGGGCAGCTTGCTTGCTCTGCCCCCAGCTCCATCCAGAAGGGTCTTATTCAGGCACTGTGGGTGTAGGCTAGATGGTGGTGGCTTAAGTTTTCATTCTGCATCTCCTAAGAAAGACCTTGCAAAGTCCCAAGCCTTGGAGGCATCTTTGTTAGGGCTACCCTTACACCCTTTGTGGGTCTGGCCTTGGGACCATGGCCTTGGCCTGTCTGCTGCATCCTACATCCCATCTGTCCAGCCATGTGCAGCCCTCACACAGCCCCAGGGCTCCTCTCCCATCTTCTCGAGGGGCCTTCTGCCACCAGGCAGAGTCTGGTCATTCCAGGGTAATTCCCCACAAGAGTCAGGGCTGGGGACCCTCTGGTGTACTGGACTCCACAGCCCCTGGGCATGAAGGTGACAGTGGTGGGGTCAGCACTGATGTAACTGTCATAGCATTGGCACTTCGTAAGTACCTAACGAATAAACCAAACAGCAAACAAAACTCCTTTGTCTGGATGGGACAAAGGAGTTTCAGAAAGTTACAGGGAGGGCTGGTGTTGTGAGGAGAAACTCAGGCCATTGCCTTTATTCCCTCCTGACCACCAGGGCTGATATGGTTTGGCCGTGTCCCCACCCAAATCTCAGCTTGAATTGTATCTCCCAGAATTCTCATGTGTTGTGGGAGGGACCCAGAGGGGGAAGTAATTGAATCATGGGAGCTGGTCTTTCCCATGCCATTCTTGTGACAGTGAATAAGTCTCATGAGATCTGATGGGTTTATCAGGGGTTTCTGCTTTTGCTTCTTCCTCATTTTTCTCTTGTTGCCGCCATGTAAGAAGTGCCTTTCGCCTCTCGCCATGATTCTGAGGCCTCCCCAGCCATGTGGAACTGTAAATCCAATTAAACATCTTTTTCTTCCCAGTCTTGGGTATGTCTTTATCAGCAGCATGAAAATGGACTAATACAATAAATTGGTACCAGTTGAGTGGGGCGTTGCTGAAAAGATACCTGAAAATGTGAAAGTCACTTTGGAATGGGGTAACAGGCAGAGGTTGGAACAGTTTAGAGGGCTCAGAAGAAGACAGGAAAATGTGAGAAAGTTTGAAGCTTCCTAGAGACTTGTTGAATGGCTTTGACAAAGATACTGATAATGATATGGACAATGAAATCCAGGCTGAGGTGGTCTCAAATGTAGATGAGGAACTTTTTGGGAACCGGAGCAAAGGTGACTCTTGTTATGTTTTAGCAAAGAGAATGGCAGCATTTTGACCCTGCCCTAGAGATTTGTTCAAAGAACTTGAGAGAGATGATTTAAGGTATCTGACAGAAGAAATTTCTAAGCAGCAAAGCATTCGAGATGTGAATTGGGTGCTGTTAAAAGCATTCTGTTTTAAAAGGGAAACAGAGCACAAATGTTCAGAAAATTTGCAGCCTGATGATGCAGTAGAAAAGAAAAACCCATTTTTTGAGGAGAAATTCAAGCTGGCTACAGAAATTTGCATAAGTAACAAGGAGCTGTATGTTAATCCCTAAGACAATGGGGAAAATGTCTCCAGGGCAGCCCCTGCCGTCACAGACCCGGAAGCCTAGGAAGAAAACATGGTTTCATGTGCTGGGCCCAGGGTCCCCATGCTGTGTGCAGTGGAGGGACTTGGTGCCCTGCATCCCAGCTGCTCCAGCTATTGCTAAAAGGGGCCAAGGTACAGCTCGGCCCATGGTTTCAGAGGGTGCAAGCCCCAAACCTTGGCAGCTTCCACTTGGTATTGAGCCTGTGGGTGCACAGAAGTCAAGAATTGAGGTTTGGGAACCTCCACCTAGATTTCAGCAGATGTATGGAAATGCCTGGATGCCCAGGCAAAAGTTTGCTGCAGGAGCAGGGCCTTCATGGAGAACCTCTGCTAGGGCAATGGGGAAGGGAAATGTGGGGTCAGAGGCCCCAGACAGAGTCCCTACTGGGGCACTGCCTGGTGGAGCTGTGAGAAGACGGCCACCATCCTCCAGATCCCAGAATGGTTGATCCACCGACAGCTTGCACCGTGTGCCTGGAAAAGCCGCAGACACTCAATGCCAGCCTGTGAAAGCAGCCGGGAGGGGGGATATACCCTGCTAAGCCGCAGGGGTTGAGCTGTCCAAGACTATGGGAGCCCACCTTTTGCATAAGCGTGACCTGGATGTGAGACCTGGAGTCAAAGGAGATCATTTTGGAGCTTTAAAATCTGACTGCACCTGCTGGGTTTTGGAATTGCATGGGGCCTGTAACCCCTTTGTTTTGGTCAATTTCTCTCACTTGGAACAGCTGTATTTACCCAGTACCTGTACCCCCATTGTTTCTAAGAAGTAACTAGCTTGCTTTTGATTTTACAGGCTCATAGGTGGAAGAGACTTGCCCTGTCTCAGATGAGACTTTGGACCATGCACTTTTGGGTTAACGCTGAAATGAGTTAAGACTTTGGGGGACTTTTGGGAAGGCACGATTGGTTTTGAAATGTGAGAACATAAGATTTAGAGGGGCCGGGGTGGAATGATATGGCTTGGCTACGTCCTCACCCAAATCTCAACTTGAATTGTATCTCCCAGAATTCCCATGTGTTGTGGGAGGGACCCAGTGGGAGGTAATTGAATCATGGGGGCTGGTCTTTCCCATGCCATTCTTGTGATAGTGAATAAGTCTCATGAGATCTGATGGGTTTATCCGGGGTTTCTACTTTTGCTTCCTCCTCATTTTTCTCTTGTTGCCGCCATGTAAGAAGTGCCTTTTGCCTCCCGCCATGATTCTGAGGCCTTCCCAGTCATGTAGAACTGTAAGTCCAATTAAACTTATTTTTGTTCCCAGTTTTGAGTATGTCTTTATCAGCAGTGTAAAAACGAACTAATACAAGGACTTATGGAGAATTGCACCTGTGTGAGCCTTGTGGCTTCCGGGGCCTCTCTCCAGTTCTCCTTTTTTCTCTTCCTTCCTTCCTCTCTCCTGAGCGAGGCCTTGCAGAGGATGGAAAGGCCATCACTGCTGGGCATGATGCAGAGCTTTGTTCTCTTTTTTTTTTTTTTTTTTTTTTTTTGAGATAGAGTCTTGCACTGTTGCCCAGGCTGGAGTGCAATGGTGTGATCTCGGCTCACTGCAACCTCTGCCTCCCGGGTTCACCCAATTCTCCTGCCTCAGCCTCCTGAGTAGCTGGGATTACAGGCACACACCACCACACCTGGCTGATTTTTTGTATTTTTAGTAGAGATGGGGTTTCACTATGTTGGCCAGGCTGGTCTCCACCTCCTGACCTCGTGATCACCCAAAGTGCTGAGATTACAGGTGTTAGCTGACGCACCTGGCCAGAGCTTTGTTTTTTTTAAATGTATATACATCTTGTGGAGCGAGACCTGTTAGCTGGAGGGCTTCCTTTCCAGAAACTGAAGTAGCTCTGGGGTGGTGGAGAATGCTCTCTGGCTAAAGAGAGCTGGCCAAGGGCATGGGCAATGGTCTGAAAATGCTGCCTATGGTAGACTGCTGTCCTTCTGTCCCACTGGGTAGTGTATCTGCCCTGCGGAAGAGGGAACATTTCCTTTCCCCAAGCAAGGGGATGCTAAAGGAGAGAGTTTAGGTTTAGACAAAGGTCAGGGGATGGTGGAACTTGTTGGAGCCCAGAGTGGGCTGTGGCCTCCTCCTCCTCCCCAAGACTGGTCCTCATCACTTTGCACCACCTGTTGCACGTTTACTGTCATTGGTTATGTCGCAAGTCTGGGCTGCTTCTGATTCCTCTCGGCGCTTGGTGCAAGTGACGTCTGATGCAGGTATGAGTGACACTCAGGTTATGATATTCCAATAGCCAGGGGCTCCGTGGAGAAGGTGAAGGGCCAGCCACATTAATAAGATTCAAGTCTTCAGCTAGACACGAAAGGAGGAGAGGAATATGAAATACAGAGAAGGAAGAGGCCAAGCAATAGAGAAAAATGAAAATTGTTAGATATTCGGTGAGCCTATTTTCCAGAACCAGGTAAAGCAGGAAATGAATTGGAGAACTGCACAAAGCCTGGCTTTCAAAGACCAGATGTTTCCTGGGGGCAAAAGAAGGGGGAAAAAAAGGGCAGATCCGTCCTATAAAGCAATCCTTTTCTTACTTTTTGAGGATGCCTGGAATGTTAACCAAAATGATGAGAAAACAGTCCAACTTCACATAAAGCTTCTCAAGCCAGGCAGCTCTGTTCCTGTAACACCACCGAGCTGTACAGTCCCTGGGCAGACTCCTCGACAGGGAAGGTGATGGGCTCTTTGCCTGTCTCCGTCAAAGGGGATAAAGAGCATCACTTACTGGCCAGTTAGTAAATGCCAGTTTCTGTGCTAAGTCGTGTACATAGATCTCTTTACTGACAGCACGCATTGCCTCTATGAGCTAGGTTCTACTGTCATCCCCATTTTACAGAGGAGGATACTGAGGCTCTTTAAGGTCATGGAACTTGCTGGAGGAGTCTGCACTGGTACTGAGCCTGACCGGAAGTCAGCATTCAGCCCCAGAAGCTCCACCCAATATTGCTTTCATTAGTAGTGAAATGGATCTTGCTGCTCATGCTCAAATGCATATGTCTAAGCATCCAGAGAAAACCAGGCTCTTAAGTTTGGGGAAAAGAAGACAGAAAAATTGTCCTGCTGCCACTCCCGCCCTCCCTGCTTTCTTGTTGCCTCTGTTCTTCCTGCCTTTTGTCATTTGATGGCTCTCCCTTGGCCCCTGTCAAAGCCTGGCCACCATCAGGGAGAAGGGATAATTGGGGATTGCTCAAAAGCATTCTGAGAGAGAGGTTTTGGGCAGAATAGAAAAAGGAATGATTAGGCCACCCTTGGCCCTCTGTGGCAGGTGGGGCAGGGAAGCACAAAGCCTGTGGTGTTGGCAGTGCATTCTCCTGCTGCTCCCTTTTTCTTCTCTGGAAGCTCCCTCCATCCATCCCTTCTGGGTGGGTGAGAGGAGGCATCTGTCACTTGGCTGGCTTTGCCACTACCACTACCCCTGCCCTAGTTCCATGCCCTTAAATAGCGTGCTCTGAGGAGGCCCTGGTTGGGAAGGCAGGTAGTGATGGTGTCTTAGGGATGCCATCCAGGGAGGGCAGGAACCACTAGTATGGTTGTCCCTCCTTGAAAGGAGTGGAGGGGATGGGGATGGGGAGCCGGCAGGAATTTGGCACCTGCCATACCCCAGGCATGCAGCCACACACTCCCCATCTTGCTTAAACCTAAGGACACTTCTGCCTGCGTGGGGGAAGGCCCATCATCACCCAGCTGGCACTCCCGCCCCAGGTGCAGGGAGCCACCAGCCCGGATGGCTGTGGGTGAGTCAAGCGTTTTGTCATGTGACCCTTCTGCTACAACTGACTGGTCCAGGAGTGGCCCCAGATTGTCGCCTGGCACAACCTGCTGAGCTAGAGCAATCGGATTCTTTCTCTCATTTTGAACTTGAACTAAGAAATGAGGAAAGGGTGCTAGGTGTCTGTGGCAGAGGCTAGGATGTTCAAGTGAGGGGGGGATAGAAACCCAGCTTGAATCCTGCTGGTAGAGAGAAGAGATTAAAAGCCTGAAAAGCAATCT
The DNA here is from genome assembly GCF_000001405.40 of Homo sapiens. Taxonomy (NCBI): domain Eukaryota; kingdom Metazoa; phylum Chordata; class Mammalia; order Primates; family Hominidae; genus Homo; species Homo sapiens. The sequence goes on from NC_000002.12 coordinate 121,817,251, forward strand.
ACAGATTCAATGCCATTTTCTCTACTGTGTTGCCTCTTCCCTCAAGGCTATTCCTATCAAACTACCAATGTCATTTTTCACAGAATTAGAAAAAACTAGAAACTCAAAAAGAGCTTGAATAGCCAAAGCAATCCTAAGCAAAAAGAACAAAGCTGGAGACATCACATTATCTGACTTCAAACTATACTACAAGGCTACAGTAACCAAAACAGCATGGTACTGGTACAAACACAGACACAGACCAATGGAGCTGTCCTTGGTGGTCTGCACAGTTTACTATGGGAAATGTAACAGGGCTGTGTTTAGTAGTTTCTTTTTTGTGGCTCCATATTTAGAGCCCAATGCTGGGGCCTCAGATCACAGGACTTCCTCCTTGGTGAAGAGATGAGGTCTTTCATTGAGGTTTGTTTGCTGCTGTAGGGAATGTGAAACATTTGATGGAAGAAGCGCTTTAGCCAGGCAGGAGCCCTTTCCTTCCCCCTGGAGAAGAGTTCCAGGGAGGCAGGTGAGCAGCAGTCAGAGTGGGGGGTCTGGGCTTGCCCCTTCAGCAGAGTCCTGGGAATCCTGGTGCCATTGGGGTTGGGAGGGCAAATGTCCAGTAGCTTGAGGAAGAGAGTAGCAGAGGGGTTAGCCCTTCTCTCCAGGGTGGACTTTCTTGTAGGCACCCCTTCTCTGCACTGGCATGGAGCACCTGCATCAGGGCAAAGATGGTGTTGGGGGCAGAGAGAGGGCCTGAGTCAGCCTTCCTGGATTGCTGGGGCTCCCATGTGACATGGCTGTGACCCCATGTTCCTGGGTCCTTATGGAGGGGCAGCTGAGTGGGGAGCAGTGGAAATTCATGGGGGCAGGGGTGAGGTCCTAGTGGTGCTGGTGTCTGCCCATCTGCCCTGTGCCCTGTGCCCTGTGCTCTGTGCCCTCTGCCTCTGGGGCTGCAGCTGGCTTGCAAATCGCAGGCATGCTCAGATGGACTTTCTGGCTCTGCCACTCCCATTTCAGCATCCTCAGTTTCCTCCAGCCATCACAAGTGCTGCGTGCCAAGATTTTTGGGTCAGCCTCCTGGCTCCCATTCTGGACCCACAATTAAAAATTGACAAGAGAAACCCCCTGCCCCTTTGCAGGTCAGCCCTGGGTTCTGCAGCCAGGAATTCAGCTTCAGGCACCATCCACAGGGATGCCTGGGAGGAGAACACGGTTGTTTTCCACAACATCAACCTCTAAGAGTCAGGGATGCTCCTTAACAACCTGCTGTGGATGGACCAGAAATTTATTTAAGCCCTCCCTGAACCTGTTTATGTTTCATTAAACTCTTTTATTGATCCTCTTAATTTTCCTTTTGCTGATTTACTCTGGGCCTTGACTTCACACCCCTCTCCCTGGAGTTCAGGTTTCAAGGGCTTCCAAAGTGTGTCTGTACCCCAGGCCCCAGCCAAGGGCCAGAGCTGCAGAATGGGCCTTCTGTGCCCTTCTGCCACCTTCAGCAACTTCCTCTTTCTGCTCTTCTAGAACCCACAGGAAGGTCAGGTCTGCCTCTCCCCTGCCTCCATTCAACCTTTGCCTTTTAAATGCTTAACCCCAAACAATGAGTCTTTGGTGGAGAAATTTCAGACTGCTATTATCTAGTGGTAGAGATGTTTTGGGGCGGGAAGACCTTTAAACTCCACTTTGTATGTGGCTCTCTAGTGGCAGAAATAATGTTCATTAAAGCCACAATCCATTGAGAGGGTGGGGAGGTTGGAAGTTTGCAGAATGACTGCTGGACCAGCTTGGGAAATTTACAGATGACCTGTTTCAATCCATTCTCATTTGCTCACGCAAATTGGGTTCCGTTTATACTTGGCATTGGAAAAAAGAAAGAAAGAAAATGAGGGCTTGGTATGTGGCTGTAGCAGACAGAAAGAAAAGGCTTGGTGACCATGTGGTGTTTGCCATTCTGTTCATTAGACCAGGAGAGAGGTTTCCTGGTCCTGCTCCTCTGGCGTGGTTACTTCTCTCTCCTTGGTATATTTCCTTTCCAGCACCATTTAGGAATGGGGTTTCTAATTAGGGGAAAACTTAAAAAAAGTTGATTAAAATATAGTTTTCTTTTTCTATTGATTTATCTAAAATCTTTATGTATTTGTAGTGGAAGGGTTTTGTGTTAGCTTACTTCACCATTTTGCTGAACTAGAAATTCTCTGCTTCTATTTTTCTAAGGAAAGAAGTACATACACTATTCAGTAAGAATATTTTTCATTGTTTATTTTTTAGTTTCAGTACTTTTAGGGGTACAGGTGGTTTTTGGTTACATGGATGAGTTCTTCAGTAGTAAATTCTGAGATCTTGGCGCAACCATCACCCGAGCAAGTGTACACTGTACCCAATATTTAGTCTTCTATCCCTCACCCCCCTCCCAGCCTCCTCCCGCTCAGGCCCCACAGTTCATTATCACTGTGTATTTTTGTATTCTTATAGCTTAGCTCCCACTTATAAGTGAGAACACACACAGTATTTGATTTTCCATTCCTGAATTACTTTGGTAAGAAAATTCTTAATACAAGGCTGATCAACCCATGTTGCCTTTTTTTCTTACTCTCTCAAAGTTACAACCCAAATTGAAAAATACAAGCTCTTCTCCAAAGAGGTGGACTGATCCCTAGACAGGGGCTAAGAGGCCCGTCTTGACTCCCCTCTCGTTTCTGTGTTCCAGTTCACCAGCCGTGTTCCTGCGGGCCTGAGCCGCTCTGGTCTGCTACAGGCCACCCGGCTTGCACCTTCCCTCCCTGAGGCCCTGATTCTTGCTTCCTGACTGTGAACTTCCTCCTGTCATTTACAGCTGGCTGTGCTTCACATTGCACACCTGGTGGGGTGGGGTGAGGGGGTGCTTGAAAATTGCAGACACTGTAGATCAGGAGAGTGACTGTTACAATTTTGGCAGATGGTAGGGAAGTGTCTTGTGGGAACCTTTTTTGTAATTTGCACCAAGTCCCCATTTGGGATAGTGTTGGGGCTGCTCAAATATTTCTTTAAGTGTGCTCTGTATTGATTTCCGTGGAGTTTTGCTTCTTCAGATACGCTCTGTTAATTGCTTCTGTTAGGTAGCGGCAGCAGCAACAAAAACAAACATTAATGAACTCCTAATAACATCTATTATTAATTGCTAACATTTACTAAGTGCTTGCTATGGACCAGACATTGTGCTAGATGCTTTTAAAATACAGTGTTTTGTTGTTGTTGTCATTGTTGTTGTAGAGACGGGGTCTCCCAGTGTTGCTCAGGCTGGTCTTGAACTCCTGCGCTCAAGCGATCCTCCTGCCTCAGCCTCCCAAAGTGCTGAGATTACAGGCGTGAGCCACCACACTTGGCCTTTAACTTACTTCAACCTACAAGGCAGTGCCAGTGTGAAACCCATTCTACCACTGGGTGCCAAGGTGTGACAAGGCGATGTAACTTGCCAGGCACTGCAGAGCAGAAGTGATGGAGCTGGTATGAAGCCTCCAGCTGTTTTACTCCAAACCCATGTTTTCTTTCTGCTGTACTGGGTCCCTGGGTTCAGAGATGAAGCAGCTCTCAGTCATGTAGGACACATTCAAGCCAACTGTTCCCATATAAGGAGCTACTGGCTATGCTGGGGTTCCCCACCGGGCAGTGGGATCCCAGGAGAGGGAGAACTGCAGTAGCTGAGGGTGATCAGAGGATGCTTCACAGAGGAGGGGACTTGTTCCTTTACCTGGGTGTGGCTTCCACTCTTTTTCATCCCCTACAGCCCTGCATCTCTGCCTGAGTCTGCCGCCTCTGTTCCTGGGTGCGCTCAGGGTTCAACATGGCGGACACTGGGGAAGATTATATTTTCCAATGGGCTGGAAGGGTGAACTCCTGACAGGGATGCAAGCTGAAAAACAAGCTCTTTACCAGATAGAAAATGGACACATGGTGATGCTTCTTGAATAATTCCATTCAGCAGCCTCCTGGGATCCGTCGCCCATGGTTTTATAAATGGTCTATCTCACAACCCACTCTCAGATGGGCCACCTCTGCCCCTCAGGCTGGCCCTGGCTGCATCTACAAGTTCTATGAGTCCCCAATTAAGAAAACAATAGCTCTCTTTTCACTGAAGCCCAGAGCTGTCAGAGTCCTTTTCAACACAACAAGAGATTCATCAGCTTCCAATCAAGGAAAATTAATTTATGTTTGTCCCAGTGTCCTGTAGCATTGGATTTCAAATAATTGTAAACAAAATGAAAAAACTCAGGCAGCTCTCTGTTTCTCACTCAGTTCTCACCGTCAGTGGGAAGCTGCTCACATAAGAGAAATAGTTGGCTGTCCTTAAACTTTGGAAAACACCACCAAGGAACCGTGTGGCTTGATGCCACTGGGCTTAGTGTCAGGAGGGTTGAGTCTTGGTGGAGGTAGGAGCATCACCCAGTCAGTGGATGACATCACCACCACTTGGTGACGTATTGAGATGCCCCAGGGGACAGAAGGAGTGGAGCCAGTGACCTCAGCAGGCACCGAGAACACTGTTTTAGGGGCAGCATTGCTAGCCATCCCCCACAAGAGGACATGTGTTGGAAACAGCACTGTGATCAGGGTTCTGGATACCATCCTGCCTCTACCAGCGAAGTCAAGTAGCCCTGGGGGCTTCTGCTTTCCCATCTGTAAAGTGAGAAGATCAGCCTGTAGCTCTGTCCAGGAGATGCCCACAGCCTTGTCCCTATGGCTGTATTAGTGCTGATTCAGCTTTTGCTGTCTAGAAGCCTACAGGCCTTTTTTTTTTTTTTGAGAAAAGACTCACTCATGAAGCAAGAGAACAGTATAAAATGATGGATAATCCACTGTTAGTTTGGGTGAGGGAGATGGAAGATGCAACCGCTTTTCAAAAACATTCAAAAGTATTTTCTTTAATTTCTGAGTGGTAGGGAAATTGGGTATATTTATTTTATCACACATTTTATTATTTATTTTATTTATTTGAAGCAGGGCCTCATTCTATCACCCAGCTGGAGTGCAGTGGTGTGATTATAACTCACCGCAACCCTGGACTCCTGGGCTCAAGTGATCCTCCTGCCTCAGCTCCCTGAGTAGCCAGGACTACAGGTGGGTGCTACCATACCCAGCTAATTTTTATTTTTATTTTTAGTAGAGACAGGGTCTTGCTATGTTGCTCATACTTGTCTTGAACTCTTGGCCTCAAGTGATCCTCCCACTTTGGCCTCCCAAAGTGCTGGAATTATAAGTGTGAGCTATAATCTGTGCCCAACTTTTTATCACACATTTTTGCATTTTCTAAAAGAATTACAATCACATGTAAGGCCTTATGAAATCCTTGTCTACCCTAAAGTCATAAAGGTTTTCTCCTATATTATTTCATAGAAATGTTGTTTTACCATTCACGTGTAGATCTACAATTCATTTGGAATTGCCTTTTTTTGGTATGGTGTGAGGTAGGGGTCAAGGTTTATTTTTGCACTGCAGCACTATTATTGCTGTAAATCAGGTGTCTGTATGTGGAGGTTTCTCCTTTGTCTGATTAGTCTGTTTGTCTATCCTTGCGCCAATACAACACTGTCTTAAATGTCACAACTTTCTTAAGAAGGTCTTGATAATCTGGTAGTGTGAGCCCTCCAACTTTGCTCTTTCTCAAAACTATTTTGATTATTTTTTGACTCTTTTCATTCCATATACACTTTAGAATAAACATCAATTTTCACAAAAACACTTGCTAGGATTTTGACTGAGACTTTATTGAATCTATGAATTCATTTGGAGAGAGTAGATATGTTGATAAGATTAGATCTTCCAATAATATATCCAACTTCAGAGCGTTGGCTTTTACCAATTCCCCTGGGGCATCATTTAGCTGAGAACCAAATTTTATGTGACTTTTTTAGCCTGGGGGTTCCAGACCAAGTTGGGTGGGATAAATTTGAGCCCCAAATCTATATGAAGTCAGATTTGTGTTCATGAATTCCCAGATAACTATTTTATTTATTTACTTTCCACTTCAAGTCTAAGCTAAAATTTCTTTGTCATCCACCTGAGTTGGTGAGAATTTTTTCTTTTCTGGTTTGTACTTTTGTTCTTCATCAGACCCACTCCCTGTAAGCATCAATCCCCAATCCCCCGGGAGTTGCGAGCTCATGCCCCTTCCTGAATCCATCCTCCTGGCCAGGTTTCACAGCAGAAGCTCAAGGATTTTCTTGGCCCCTGGGGAGTTCTATTTCCTTCTTTCAGGGCTCTGTCAAGATTGAAAAGGCTGCTTACTATATTTACCCAGCATTTCATGGTGTTTGTGCTAGAAGATGGTGTTCTCTGATCAAAATTTCAGAAAAGGTGTTGTTCTGAGTAGCCACAATATAAGCACAGAGATGGGTCCCTTTTTCAGTTTGGGATATCTTTCCCTTCTTTGGTTAGCAGAGCGTTGTTCTTGGTTCTGACCAGGAAGCCTTGGGCATTAGGTACTCCTTAGCAGAACAGATGTGACCATGTATGAAGCCACCAAGTGTGAAATAGTCTCCCTGATAGAAGAGACCATGCCATGGGACTTCCTTCCACAGGACGTTTTATTATCAGCTGGCCCACCATCTTCAGTCTATTCTCAGCTTCCGTCTTCCTCCCCTTCTCATTGCCTCACTGTGGGGCATTTTGCTATATTTTCATTACCACCTTTGAGGGATATCAGCCCTCCTGGGGAGCCCTATATTTCTCATGAATAACTTCTGGTAATGAGGGTAGAGAGAGAAGGTTGATTATTTAAAAAAATAGAAAAAAACAGCATAAACTGCTGCATCTGAAGATTGTCCCTCACCTAACCCTACTTCTCACTGAATCCTTCTGGGGCATCCAGGCAGAAATAATTCTATCTATAAGTAACTACAGATAAAATTGTTAGACACTAACATAGCATTTGTGAATTAATTAAACCGGTGTAGGTATCAGGATGTCTGACTCTGTGTCAGGCACTGTGCTAGTGCTGCATAAGACAGACAGGATATACAAAAGAAATTATTCTGAGGCTTGTTAAAATGGCAAGGAATATTTTCTTCAAGGCTATGATAATATGGGAGGGAGATGGAACTCAACTCCAAATACAGCAGGGACAAATGGGGATTTGTAGGCCATGGGCAGGGTGAGGGAGTGGAGGGAAGATCACTAAGACCTTTGATCAAGTCTCAAGGGTGGAGGAGGAGGAGCTCATTTGGCCAAGTTGGGGAGGGTTTCAATAACCTAGCTCAGCAAGATTCTCCGCCAAAACCGGATTCGGTTATGAGGCTTGGACAAAGCCTGCTTGAAAAGAGGGCCAGAGGAGGCCGACTGAAGTTTGGGCAAGGAGGGAGTCCTTGTCATGGGTCCCTGATCTCATGGAGGTGTGAGCCATGGGATGCAAAAGGTGGGCCTGGCACCACCTTGAAATCCCTGCTGTAGCTTTGTTAGGGATGCCCTGACACTAGGTCCTGGGGTCCTCACTGTGGGGCATTTTGCTATATTTTCATTACCTCCTCATAGGGATATCAGCCCTCCTGGGGAGCCCTATATTTCTCATGAATAACTTCTGGTAATGAGGGTAGAGAGAGAAGGTTATTAGAAAAAAAAAAATAGAATAAAACAGCATAAACTGCTACATCTGCAGATTGTCCCTCACCTAACCCTACTTCTCACTGAATCCTTCTGGGGCATCCTGAAGTCTCACCAGTCACTTGAGGGCAAGCCATATGTTTTCTTGGATCTGGAAGCCTTTAGCATCATCCTCACTTGGTCTTCCATGGACTCCCAGGGGAAGCTTTACCATTCATTACTTGTCAGTTGCTGACTTAGTCCCCACACACTCCAGATGCCCAGAAAAAACACCTGCATTTTTCTTCCCAAGGCAACCAACATCTGTCCCAGCCCTGTCTGTTGCAGGAAGCAGCCTGTTTACTCCCTGTAGCAGGGTAGGAAAGAGTATGTTACAGCTGGCTGTCCCTCGGTGCCAGTCCAGGGCCACACTTCACACACATCACTGGCACCTCCTCTTTGCAAAGGTGCCCAAGGTCCAACTACAATACCTTGGTTATCTGGGGTAGGAGCATGTGCACTGTTAGCCATTCACACTTCAAGTAGAAAGAGTGACCTCTATTAGCTTAGAGGAAAGTCATGCTGAGAGAGTAGGAGAGCTGAATGCAGCAAAAGTCAAAGGTTAAGAGAGTCCTGGAGTGAGTGCAAGGGTGTGTGCACCTGTGGGCACACACATACACCCAGCCGTAGAGGTGGGACGCAGCAGGCCTGCATTACCCTTCCGGGATGTGTGGTGAGAGGATGGGGAGTGATTTTATTTGTTCAGCAAACATGGGAGCACCTGCTCTTCATTAGGGACTGTGCTGGGTGCTGCAGTCAGGAGGAGGAGGAGGAGGACATGGTCACGAGATATACAGGAGCAGGAGCAGGGGACAGTTGGAGGGACAGACAAGGAGAGACATGGTGTGCTGGCAGAGATTGCACAGGAAGTGGTGGGAGGGGACAATTGTACCTGAAGGGTGGGGCCAAGAGGGGCTCAGCCTCTGAACGAGTATTCAAGCTATGCAGTGTTTGCCAGGCAGGTGGAGATGCAAGTGGGAAGGGCATTTGAATGGAGGGAACAGCATGAGCAAAGTGCAGCTGTGGGGCTCACTCTGGGAACCGTAAGTAGCTTTTTGTAGGCAGGGAGACCTTTGGGCGTGAAGGGTAGAGATGGGAGACAAAGCTAGAGAGGCCCAGGAACTTGGAAACTGTGTCAAGTAATTTCAGATTTAATCACGCGGGAAACAGGGACCAGGAATCCGGCAGCTCCGAAGCTTGGTTCAGGATTCTGTCCCAGGGGCACAAGCTGGCTCATCTTGAAGCCTCTGTCCCCTCTCTCCACTTCTAGCACAGGGCCACTGACTTCTTTTCTAGAGCCACAAGTATTTCCCAGACTCTGAGCAGGAGCTGCACGCTGATAGGGAATGCGAATGAGTCCTTAGTTACCACCCACATCCCAGAGATGGAGCTAAGCCACTGAAATAACAAGCTGTTTCTCCCTTTGGCTCTTTCTGAAGACTGTGCACTACCCAGGGCCATTCCTGCCATTACTCACAGAGCAAAAAGCTGCTGGGGATAAATGAACTGCACCTCTAACCTCGGTCTGGCTCTGCACCCAAATTTCCCTGCAACTCCCCCAGATCACTGTCTTTCTGAAATGGGGGCCTTTTGCAGCTCCTCACCTGATGGATGGTGTGGGCAGAGAGGGAGCTGCGGCCTTGGAGTCCAGGTTCCTTGGCCTGTCCCGTGGCCTTTGTATTTGCCCTTGATATTTATGATGCTGCCAATTACCCTGATCCATTCAATTACCCAGAGCAGCAGTCACTGAACCTCCCCAGGCTGTGAGATGCTTGGAAAGCCACAGATATGATGACCACAGGACAGGGGAATATCAATTTTGCTTCCCCACAGTGTCCCCTCTGCCTAAATTTCTATCCTAGTGTTATAGCAAGAATAATGCCTGGAGTGGTGATTCTCAAGCTGGGGTGATTTTGTACCCCAGGGGACTTCAGCAATGTCTGGAGACATTTGGGGTTAATAAAACCTGGGGGCTGATACTATTGGTATATAAAGGGTAGAAGCCAAGGATGCTGCTAGACATCCTGCAATGCACAGGACAGCCCTGACAACAAAGAACTATACAGTACAAAATGTCAGTAGTGCTGAGGTTGAGAAGCCCTGATCTAGAGCACTGTGGGATACTCCACTTGTATAAAATTCCCTTTTTTTTTTTTTTTTTTGAGTCTTGCTCTGTCACCAGGCTTTAGTGCAGTGTCGTGATCTCGGCTCACTGCAACCTCCACCTCCCGGGTTCAAGCCAGTCGTCTGCCTCAGCCTCCTGAGTAGCTGGGACTACAGGCGTGTGCCACCATGCCCAGCTAATTTTTTATATTTTTAGTAGAGATGGGGTTTCACCATGTTGGCCAGGCTGGTTTCAAACTCCTGACCTCAAGTGATCCATCCACCTCGGCCTCCCAAACTGCTAGGATTACAGGCATGAGCCACTGTGCCGGGCCTAAAATTCTTTTCAATGGCCTTCTGAGCAGTCTCTCTAGTGCTTCTTATTCTTTTCTCTTGGAAGGGCCTTTCAATCCTAGTTCATCTGGCAAACTTCCATGCATCCTTCAAAACCCATCTCAGGTTCACCTTTTTTTTTTTTTTTTTTTTTTTTTGAGGAAGGCATCCCTGGCCTTCCAGAACCTGACTATGAGAGTTAATGATTCCCTTCTCTGTCCTACTTCTGTACTTGCACAGATTTTGAATGCAGATGCTTTTAAGCTACCAGTACTTCATCTCTATGTCTGTCTCCCCTATTCTCTTTGAAGAGAGGGATCCTCAGGTCCCAAGTCCTTGGGAGAATAGCTGAGGAGCTCACCACATTCAGGAACCAAAGTTAAAAAAATATTGGCTGGGCGCAGTGGCTCATGCCTGTAATCCTAGCACTTTGGGAGGCCGAGGTGGGTGGATTACTTGAGGTCAGGAGTTTGAAACCAGCCTGACCAACATGGTAAAACCCTGTCTCTACTAAAAATACAAAAATTAGCTGGGTGTGGTGGCAGGCGCCTGTAATCCCAGCTACTCGGGAGGCTGAGGCAGGAGAATCGCTTTAATCTGGGAGGTGGAGGTTGCAGCGAACTGAGATTGTGTCACTCCACTCCAGCCTGGGTGATAGAGCAAGACTCCATCTCAAAAAAAAAAAAAGTTAGAAAAATATTAAAAACATGAATGAAATTCTTTCTAAATTGAATTACATAAACCTCAGTCTTTCTAAACAGATTCTCTTTACTGGGTTTCCAGCTCCAAGGGCCTCACACAGTAATTACTTAAACATTTGTTAAACTGAGTTGATAATGAAAAGGAGAGAGGGTTTTACAACATGCAAATGGTCAGCAAATGGAAGAATCCCTGATGAGCACCGAGGATTTTCATTACTTGTTAAGGATTTGAGGTTTGGGTCTTTTCGTGTTGGTTTTATAACTTTTCTTGGTCAGATGAACTGTAGATTTGGAAGGTGTGTGTGTGTGTGTGTGTGTGTTTGTGTGTGTGTGTGTGTGGTGAAATGGTAAATGGTGCCAAGTGGCTCCTTCTTGGAAACGAATGACTCATTTCTCTTTTTTCATGCCAAGCAGGTGCAGAGAAAATGTTCACCCTGAAGAAATAAGCAATCCTAAATATAGGCTTGCTTAATGAGGGATGAATATTGCTAAGTAAAGAAGGCTGTGTTTTAGATTCCATCATTCCTGAAGCTCCAGCACTCCTCCACGAGGGCTCGGCAGGGATATGAGGCTTCTCGGGGGAAGGGGGATGATTTTCATTCCGCTTAACTATTTCCGAGCCATAGCTGAAGTGAGCTTTGCCTCCGCACCTGTTTCTGCGGTATGAATTGATTCACACGAGCGCGACAAAGGGGAATGATGTCAGTAATATGTGTGGCTCATTCACCTTCGTTTTGAAGTTTGACGTCATGTGGCGGTGGGTGAAGCAAGCTTTCTCCCAATGAAAGAAGAAGCCTCAGGGATAGAGGAAAACCTTAGGAAAAAAAGCTCAAAATCCTTTGCCCCAGTGGAAGCAGAAGGGCTTCCTTTGAGTGGCACCCAGAGTGTGCTGGGGCAGGCTCATACGCGCTCGTGGGAGATGATTATTAAATGCTCAGGAATTTTGCAAGCCAGTTGTTAAACTCAGCCATTATTAAAAATTAAATTATATAAGCTTCAATGATATAAACTCTATTTTAATTTTTTCTTGTCTTCTTTTCTTTTTTTCTGAGACAGTCTCTTTCTGTCGCTCAGGCTAAGTGCAGTGGTGCAATCACGGTTTACTGCAGCCTTGACCTCCCAGGCTCAAGCGATTCTCCCACCTCAGCCTCTGGAATAGCTGGGACTGCAGGCTTGCACCATCATGTCTGGCTAGTTTTTGATTTTTTATAGAGATGGGGTCTCACTATATTGTTCAGGCTGGTCTTAGAACTCCTGGGCTCAATCTCTCAAAGAGGTGGGATTTCAGGTGTGAGCCACTATGCCTGGCCTAAATTATATTTTAAAAAGATAACAAATACTCAAAGCTCATCACTTCCCCATTATTTTGCTACCATATAGTGAATGCCCTGGAGGTTATTTCCATTTACTGTGGCTGGGTGGTTACAGAAATACTGTGTGTGCTACTGTGCATCTCTCCCCAGTTTTGTGTTCCAGTATGTCATTGGTAGCATCCTGTAAATGGGAGTATTTACACCACAGAAATTGGCAAACATACAACTTGGGGCTTTTCTCTCTTTTCCAGAGAGCCAGTTTGTAAAGCTTTACCAGTATATCACTGTGTAGACCCATGGGGCATGTGGAGGCCGGGAGGGTGCAGTGGGGGAGGGAGTCCTGAGGACCCAGATTTGGCAGAATGACTTCTGGGAGTGGCCTTTCAAGGCGGGTGAGAGGGCACCACTTTCAGTAGCCAATGTTAAAAAAGAAATGAAGAATATTTTCATGGAAAGCTTTCTGGTGTGGTGACATAAACCCTTGTCTTCCTATACAGGATACACCAGGTGTAACGTAATCCTTTCTCAATGACCCAGGGACATCATTGTGAACCCCATGGGTGTGGTGAGTGGTGCTAGTGAAGGGGGATTCTGAGGTTTGGGAACTCCAGGAGGGCAGAGTTCTGCTGCGTCACCACCAGCCTCCTAGGGATTAGCACAGTGCTTGGCACATAGTAGGCACTTAGGGACTGTTTGCTGGAAGAAGGCGTCATGTTGGGTGTTTTATCCGCATACAAAGTGGCTCTGCACTACTGTGTGGCCTTTTTTCTTCTTCTCTTTTAGAGACAGGGTCTTGTTCTGTCACCCAGGCTGGAGTGTAGTGGTGTGATCAGGGCTCATTGCAACCTTGAAATCCTGGGCTGAAGCGATCCTTCTGCCTTAGCCTCCTGAGTAGCTAGGACAACAGAGGCACACCATCATGCCTGGCTAATTTAAATAATTTTTTTTTTTTCCGTAGATACAAGATCTGGCTACGTTTCTCAGGCTGATCTTGAACTCCTGGTCTTGAGCTATCCTCCTTCACTGCCCCACCAAAGTGCTGGGATTACAGACATGAACCACCTTGCTCAGCCTTTAAATTTTTTTTTCAAAATTTTATTTTAATTAATTATATTTATTTTTAAAGAGATGGAATCTCGCTCTGTTATCCAGGCTAGAGTGCCGTGGTGTGATCATAGCTGACTGCAGCCTTGAACTCTTGGGCTGAAGCAGTCTTCCTCTGCAGCCTCCACTATGTGGTTGTGGTCTTTGATGAGGTGCTGGGCTAAATGGCAGCAGGAATGAAAAAGGGACACATTTGAGAAAGATTTAGAGAGTAAGATAGACAGGACTTAGGTGATGGATTAGATATGGAAGGTGAAAAGTGGAAGATGAGTATTAATTTTGTATTTTTTAATTAAAAAATCTCAAACATACAGTAATGAGACTGGTGTAATTAAATCTATCACCTCGACTTAATCATTTTTTACCATATTTGCCTCATCTTCTTTATTGAAGTATTTAGAGTAAATTAGAATCATGTTGACATTTCAACTCTAAATACAATAGTACCCCCCTTATCCTCTGGGGATATGTTTCCAGATGCCCAGTGGATGCCTGAAACCACTGATAGTACCAAACCCTATATACACTATGCTTCTTCCTATGCAGTAATGAGGGCAGAGGTGGGGAGGGGAGGGTAGTGTTTACAGCGTGGATATGGTGGACAAAGGGATGATTCACATCCCAGGTGGATGGAGCAGGACAGCATGAGATTTCATCATGCTACTCAGAACAGTGTGCAATTTAGAACTTGGGAATTGTTGACTCCTAAAATTCCAATTTCCATTGTAGACCACAGTTGATTGTGGGTAATTGAAATGGAGGAAAGTGAAACCTCTGATAAGAGGGGACTACTTTAATTAAGCCTACATCCCTGACATCTCCAGTGTCACCAACACCAGTTCATGGGATCATTTTCCCCATTATCCCCAAAATATATTTTACAGACTTTGTTCAAGGGTTTCTGTATTTTAGGTTTTGCGGGTCAAGAGACAAAATCACAGGAGGCTAAAGATTTTTACATTTTACATTTACAAATCTAAAAATCATTCTTAGGGCTGGGCATGGTGGGTCACGCTTGTAACCCCAGCACTTTGAGACGCCGAGGTGGGCGGATCACCTGAGGTGAGGAGTTCAAGACCAGCCTGGTCAACATGGTGAAACTTCATCTCTACTAAAAATACAAAAGTTAGCTGGGCTTGGTGGCATGGGCCTGTAATCCCAGCTACTCAGGAGGCTGAGGCAGGAGAATCGCTTGAACCTGGGAGGTGGAGGTTGCAGTGAGCTGAGACTGCGCCACTGCACTCCAGCCTGGGCGACAGAGTGAGACTCTGTCTCAAAAAAAAAAATTTCTTAGCTCATGGACCACACAAAAACTGTTGGTGGGCTGATCTTAGCTTCCCGAGCCCTGATTTGCTGACCCCTGCCTTAACACTTGCCTGGGATAAAGTGGGAACCTTTCCTGGCTCCTTCCTCTTCCCCGTCTGGCTTCCCTTACTCCCTGACAGGTTTTCCCCAGGAGCACGCCTTCATAATTCACTTGTTCACAAATTCTCATCTCAGAGTCTGCTTCTGGGAAACGTGACCCACCAGACGGCCTGATGCTGCTGGACTCTTGCGCTGGAGCTTGATGGGAGGCAGCTGAGAGCAGGGCCGAGACCACTCCCTCCGAGTCCCTGGCAGACCGAGGAGCTGGATCCTGCTTGCCTGCAGGCTCCACGGAGAGTGGGTGGATGGGTGTGACTGGCTGGGACCTCAGTCTCCAGCCCAAGCCAGAGATGTTGTCATCAGACAGATGTGGAGAGAGGCCCATAGTTAGGCTTCGGTTGGGAGATATGGTGAATTTCCTGAGGGACCCTGTGTCTCTTAATTGGAAGAGCATGAGGCTAGGAGAGGGCTGCAGCCTCCTGGGCAGTCATGCAAGGGCAGCTGTTCTCTCTCCCACCCATCCCCAGAGGGATGAACATTGGGAAGGGGAGAGAAGGTTAACAAATCAGCCCTGCCCCAGGCCCCCGACCAACTCCAAGGCCCATGAACCTGGCCTATGCTGGAGGAGGGGTGGACAGGGAGTGCTTTGAATAGAAAATGAGATTGAAGCTGTAAAATGAACAGGACTGAGCCTTAAAAACCAGAATGAGATTTCTTTAATTAACTGAAATGACCACAAAATTATGGAATCCAACTGTGATGTCATTAAGGGAGCTGCTCCCCCATGGGAAGTGGTGGTGGGGTTGTGTGTGAGCCCAGCTGGTGGCGGATACTGAGAAAAGGAAAGCTTCCTGTGCACACCCCAGTGCACAGATGAAGAAGGAAGAATGAAATGGAGCTCCGGTGCAAAGTGGCATGCAGATTTCTCCAAACTGGGACAGTTAGCGGCTCCAGTGACATCGTTAGAAGTTACAGGGAAGGACAGAGAGATGCTGTGGGAAAATGGAGATGAATGATGAAGATCTGGAGAAAACAGATGTGGAAGGAAACAGATGCAGCCAGGACGATGAGCTTCTCCTCGAAGCTGCCTGAAAAATGATGGTTTCTATGGGATCCAGGAGGAGGGGTGGAATAGTGTGGCTTAGAAAGTTAGGGAAATTGAAATGAAGGTGAAGTTCCACCGTCATCCATCACGCCAGCGCGGTGTGGGACCCCTGCCTCCCTAAGCCGGTTTATTAATGATCCAGGACAGAGAGCCCAACAGTGCCTTTGTTAAAGTCACAAATGATCCTGAGCTGGGAAGCCTTGGGAACCACGGTGGGGAGGACTGACAAATTAATACCCAAATTAGGAGGTTGAAAATATATGCGTAGCAAAGAAAAGAAACTTTCCCTGGGAAAAAGAAAACCCAGTAGATACTGAATGACTGACTCTGTGCCTACTTAAGAGAAGAAAATTCCCCTAGCTGAATTCAGTTCTTTAAAAAGTTTGTGTGGTTTTAAAAACTGCTACTAAGTTTTTTTCAAAAATTGATTTTTTCTAAAAATCAATCTAGTGCTCTTTTTCCCCTCCCCTAAATCAGTGCACGTAGACACTCAACTCATCAAATACAGTACTGGAAAGGAGCGTTATTAACAATGACCTGGGTTCCAAGCCTTCATAAAATCATAGACTGGAACTAACCCATTTTAGATATGAGGGGCCTTGGGGATTATGAGCTTCCATTCTTCATTGCACAGATGAGGCACGGAGGCCATGAGCTTGAGTGGCAGTGCAGGCCCGGCCCTGTCAGACACTCCCACTGCCTCTCCAGTGTGCTGCTCCTCCTACACCCCACATCATGCCACTCCACTCTGCACTTATTGGGAGCTCACTTTAAGGGAGGTCATAGGGTAGTTCCTAGGGAACATGAAGGGGACACTGCTTGTGACATCAAATGCATGTTTTTTTTTTTTGACGGATACTTGCTTTGTCACCCAGGCTGGAGTGCAGTGGTGCAATCTCGGCTCACTGCAACCTCTGCCTTCCGGGTTCAAGCGATTCTCCCACCTCAGCCCCCTAAGTAGCTGGGATTACAGGCACCTGCCACCATGCCCAGCTAATTTTTGTATTTTTAGTAGAGACAGGGTTTCACCATGTTGGACCAAGCTGGTCTAGAACTCCTGACCTCAGGTAATCCGCCCACCTCAGCCTCCCAAAGGGTTGGGATTACAGGCGTGAGTCACTGCGCCCGGCTTAAACTTTTTTTAAATGAAAAGTTTCAAAGAGACACAAAAGTAGAGACTAGGCTGGTGAACTTTCGCTTACCCATCCTCTGGCTTCAATAGTTACCGAAATATGTTCAGTCTTGTTTAATTTTACACTCTGTCACTACTGCTATAGTTAATGCAAGTCTAAGATCTCAGATTATTTTTTCCCCATAAATAATTCAGTATGAATTTATAATATGATTGAATAAATTTATAATTATACATACTGAAATTATAAATTGTTAACAGAATTAACACCTAATAATTCCACCCAAAAGAATTGAAAGCAATTTATCAAAGAGAAATTTGTATACTTATGTTCATAACAGCATTGTTCACAATAGCCAAGTGTCCATCAACAAATGAATTGATAAACAAATGTATTATACACATACAATGAAATATTATTCAACCTTAAAAGGGAAATAAATTCTGACACATGCTACAATGTGGATGAACTTTGAGGACATAATGCTATGTGAAATAAGCCAATCACAAAATGACAAATGCCATATGATTTCACTTAGATGAGGTACCTAGAGTTGTCAAATTTAGAGTCAGAAGGAATAGAGGTGACCAGGGGAAGAGGGAATGAAGAGCTATTATTTAGTGGGTATTAAGCTTAAATTTTTTTTTTTTTTTTTTTTTTTTGAGATGGAGTCTCACTCTGTCACCCAGGCTGGAGTGCAGTGGTGCAATCTCAGCTCACTGCAACCTCTGCCTCCCAGATTCAAGCGATTCTCCTGTCTCAGCCTCCCAAGTAGCTGGGATTACAGGTGCACCACCATGCCTGGCTAATTTTTGTAATTTTAGTAGATACAGGGTTTCACCATATTGGTCAGGCAGGTTTCACCATATTGGTCAGGCTGGTATCAAACTCCTGACCTCAGGTGATCCACCCGCCTCAGCCTCCCAAAATGCTGGGATTATAGGCATGTGCCACTGCGCCCAGCTGAGTTTAAATTTTAAAAAACGAAGTGTTCAGAAAATGGATGGTGGTGTTGGCTGCACAACAATGTCAACGTCCTTAACACTACGGAACTGTTCACTTAGCAATGGTTAAGATGGTAAATTTTATGTAATGTGTACTTTGCCACAACTAACAATAAAATCAGATACAATTAAAAATATATTTAAAAAACCAAGGCAATCTGAATAAAATATTGACTTTAGTTAATAAAAAGTTATTAATAATCTGATTACCATCAAATATCCAGCCAGAATTCAAACTTCCTTCATGGCCTCACAAATGTCTTTTCACAGTTAGTCTCTTTGAAGCTGGAGTGAAACCAGGTCCCCACATTGCACTTGGAATCTTTAGAATAAGTTCTTAGAAGTGAAATGGCTAGCTAAAAGTATACACATATTTTAAAGAATTTGGCTGCATATTACAAAATTGCCCTTCATAAATTATGTATCATTAAGCTCCTGTGTTCACTTTTTTTAAAAGCTGAACTTTTGAAATTATTTCTGGAGAGACTCCCTCCCTGAGCTGGACATTCGTTCTTATGGGTCCTCATATTCTTGCCGGCTTCTGCGCCCACCTCCATCTACCTTCTTGGTTGTTCCTCTCAATTTTTCACTGTCAAGTTATAACTCAAACTGGAAATGTGTGCAAGAATGTTCCCAGCTCACCAAAACCCCACCTCCCCTTCACTCTCTCTGGGTCTCACCGGCTGCCAGACACCTCTCCACACGCCTCTGCCTCCTCCTCCCCTCCTCCCCTTCTGTTTCTCTGACCCATGGCAGCTTGCAGGTGTGGGTGGGGAGATGGAAAGTATGGCTGGTGGGGTGTTGGGGGGTGGGGGAGTGGGGTATGGCTTTAAAACAAGGGTTGCAGGAGGAGCAGAAACAGCTTTGAGGGGCTCTGAGGCGACAACCACCTGCTCAAATAGACATTTCTGTACCTTTAATGTCTTCGCCTTTGTGACTTTGACATCATAGTCTTCCTTGGGTTGTTAGCTTTAGAGCCCCATAAAAATGGTTGAGAGATGGAGCCACGAGAGAGGGAGGCAGATAACGTTTATTGAGCATGTGTTAGGTGCAGGGATGGCACTTGCCATCTCATCTCATCCATTCAAAACCCTAGGAGGTGGACATCACTTCCTGATGAGGAAACCAAGGCACAGAGAGGGTGAACAAGCCAGCTGGTTTAGGGGCTCCTGGTGTGCCTCGAAGCCCTCCCTGCCCCAGGGGTCTCTCCAGTCTGGGTTGGGTGACTGCTCTGGGTGAAAAATGACAGGTTTACTGGCGGGGGTGGTGAGGTGGAGGTGGCGGGAAGCAAAGTCAGCAAACAACTCAGTCTGCAAACCAAAGAGACAAAACGAAACAACACATGATTACAGAATTCATAAGCCCTTGAACTTTTCCTGAACTCTCCCAAAATTTCCTTTTAAAAATACTTTCAGGACAGAAATTAAACAAAAATTTGGAATCTTTTTTTACTTTAGCAAAATAGGAAAAAAGAATTTTTCCTCTGGAGCCAGGAGGCAATTGACAAGGTTTAGGAGGGAGCTCTCTTTAGAAGGGAATGTCTTCTGGCCCTGCTTTCTCACTCTGAGCCCAGAGGGGAGACCTGATTCAGGGGATTAAGCAGTCAAACGTGAGTCCTCGAGGTGCAGCTGGGGAGGAAGAGGAGGCCAGAATAAATCTTATTTTCATTGGCCAAATCTCCAGTGATCTAATTATAGCGGGAAGATATACTGAATGCCAGACCAAAGGAAAAGGCACGAAGCCTGCCTGAGTGTCAGCAATGTTGTTATCTGTGTTGCTGGGATTTGCAGAAGACCTGGTTAGAATCGACTCCAGACTGCTTGAAATGCAGGGCTGTTCTCATCTCAGCCATCCTGGAGCTTCTTTGGCTGAGCGCGTGCTTACAGGACTATGAGTGTGTGTGTCTTCCATGCGCTCATGTGAGGCGGCATTCCTCATTTCTGATACTGACAGGGTCTGTAACATCCGGCACAAAAACGAGAATGATCAAGGGAGGAGAGCCAAAAGCCTGTGATCTGAGTTCAGGCGGCAAGCATGAAGCTGCTTCGGTTTTAGGAGGTTGTGGCTGATGGGGGAAACAATTGAGAATTATAAACTCACAAACATGAGTTTGTTCACGAGATCTGGGGGGTGAGACAGAGAGGGTCTCTATGAAGCTGGAAACAGCTGGAACTTTAGAATGAGGGAAAAAAGAGGTTCTTCGCCTAATTGGGATGGATTTGTTAGGAATAAAAACATAGAAGATAGATCTATGGTTTTGTAGCTCTTCTTCCTGAACTTGGTGAAAGCAAACACCGATTATTTTTAGTACTACTTGTGTCCAGGTGGGCCTGTTTTATTTCTCTCCATCCTGAAGCCTGGAGGTGGGTGAAGTGGACCCAGGTAGCTTGTAGCTAGTCTAAATGACAGTGAGCTTCAAGGGGATCTATATGTCCTTCCCACTAGACTGTGAACTCGTCAAAGGCAAGGACCACCACTTCTTTTTCATCTCTCTGTCTCAGTCCTTGGTATATAGCAGTTGCTGCAAAACGATGACCGAGAGGCTCTTCATTGTGTGGCTGACTGTTTCATTCTGGTTGCAGCAAAGAAGACTCAGATAGGGAAGGAGGTAGAGATGCTCATCAACTTGCAGGGAGTGGCTGATGTCTTCAAGGGCTTATGGTAAAGTTGAGTGGCAAGTATAGACGTAGCCTTGTCTGATAAGAGGTGCTGGTGCCTGCCCAGGGAACAGGCAGCACAGCAGGGCTTAGCAGAGTTCTATCTTCAGCTGTTTGTGATGAACTCAGGCTTCCTGGCCCAGCTGCAAGTGCTTAGTCAGCTGCCTCTAAAGCACTGCTATTGCTACCTTATTAACAGCTGTATGCTACAAAGGAGGGCCTTCAAATTGAATTGCAGTGACCTGATGCTCCAGTTGTTGCAGGTGCGACTGGCTAGGGCTGGCATCGTGGGTGGTAAAAGAATTTACTAAGACAGTTGTAGTTAAAAAAAAGGCAGGTTTATTAGAGAAAGTATGAAAATATGTTACAAGAGTGCAATGGGCAGTACAGCAGAGAAGGGGCTGTCTGCCAAGAGGCAGGGGCTGGAAGGATGTTTTATAAGTTCGTGCTGAAGAGGCTACATGCAGAAGGAGGTATTTGGGAAAAGAATGTTGTGCCAGTGGATTGTATGTAATCAGCCATCTCCCATCTCTCAGAACATTGTTCTCCCCTACCTGGGGGCCCTTCCTCATTGTTGCATACTAATGAGGACTCCACACCAGTTACTGTTACTGTGTAACAGAAATCCCAAACCTGGTGATGTAAAGCCACTGCTGCTTTATTATGCTCTCAGATTCTGCAGGTCGGGAGCTTAAAGGGAGCACTGCCAGGACTGCTTGACTTTGCTCCATGATGTCTTGGACCTCAGCTAGGAAGACTCAAATGACTGGGGTCTGAAATCATCCAGAGGCTTCTTCACTTCTTTGACACATGGGCTCTCTGAACTGCTTGACTTCCTGATGGCACCAGGGTAGTTGGACTTTTTACATCTCCTTTTTACAACTCCTTTTTAACAGAGGAGTTGTACTAGTCAGGGTTCTGCAGAGAAGCAGAACATATATACGCACATACACTCATATGTCGCCTAAGGACATTTTGTTCAATGATGGACTGTGTATGTGACAGTGCTCCCATAAGGTTATAATGGAGCTGAAAAATTTCTATCACCTGGTGACATCATAGCCATCATAACATCATAGCATAGCACATTACTCATGTGTTTGTGGAGACACTGAAGTAAATGCTTGCTGCACTGCCTGTCATATAAAAGTCTAGCCATACAATTATGTACAGAACATAACATTTGATAATGATAATAAATGACTGTTACTGCTTTATGTATTTACTATATTTTAAATTGCTATTTTACAGTGTACTCCTCCTACTTATAAAAAAAGTTAACCATAAAACAGACTCAGGCAGGTCAGTCAGGAGGTATTCAAAAGAAGGCATTGTTGGCTGGGCACAGTGGTTCATGCCTGTAATCCCAGCACTTTGGGAGGCCGAGGCGGGCAGATCACCTGAGGTCAGGAGTTCGAGACCAGCCTGACTAACATGGAGAAACCCTGTCGCTACTAAAAATACAAAAATATCTGGGTGTGGTGGTGCATGCCTGTAATCCCAGATACTGGGGAGGCTGAGGCAGGAGAATTGCTTGAACCAGGAGGCGGAGGTTGTGGTGAGCCGAGATTGTGCCAATGCCCTCCAGCCTGGGCAACAAGAGCAAAGCTCCATCTAAAAAAAAAAAAAAAAGAAGGCATTGTTATCCTAGGAGATGACAGCTCCATGCATGTTATTGTCCTTGAAGAACTTCCAGTGGGACAGGATGTGGAGATGGAAGACAGTGATGTTGATGTTGAAGATCCTGACCCTGTGTAGCCTTAGGC
Organism: Homo sapiens; assembly: GCF_000001405.40. Classification (NCBI taxonomy): domain Eukaryota; kingdom Metazoa; phylum Chordata; class Mammalia; order Primates; family Hominidae; genus Homo; species Homo sapiens. Next base: position 121,839,425 of record NC_000002.12, read on the forward strand.
TAATGTGTGTGTTGTGTCTTAGTGTTTAACAAAAAAGTTTAAGAAGTGAAAAAAATTTTTTTAGATAGAAGTTTATAGAATAAGGATATAAAGAAAAAAATATTTTTGTACAGCTGTAAATGCGTTTGTGTTTGAAGTTGTTACAAAAGAGCCAAATATCTAAAAAAATTGAAAAGTTTACAAAGTGAAAAGTACAATTAAGCTAAGGTTAATTTATCATTTTAAAATAAATTTAGAGTAGCCTAATTGTACAGTGTCTAGTCTACAGTAGCGGACAGTAGTGTCCTAGGCCTTCACATTCATTTATTATTTACTCATTGATTCACCCAGAGCAACTTCCAGTCCTACAAGATCCATTCATGGCAAGTGCCCTCTACAGGTGGACCATTTTTTATCTTTACACCGTATTTTTTTCTCTACTTTTTCTGCATTTAGATATGTTTAGAAACACCAATACTTACCATTGTGTTACAGTTGCTTACAGTATTTGGTATAATAACGTGCTGTACAGGTTTGTAGCCTAGGAGCAATCAGCTATACCATTCTTAGCCTAGGTGTGTAGTAAGCAATGCCATTCAGGTTAGCGTAAACTCACCCTATGATGTTCACACAGTGACAAAATTGCCTAATTATGCATTTCTCAGAACTCGTCCCTGTCATTAAGCGAAGCATGACTATATATAATATATATATATATTTATTTAAAATATATTTATTATGAGGAATTGGCTCATGGGATTTTGGAGGCTGAGAAGTCCCATGATCTGCTGTCAGAAAAGCTGGCGGTAAAATTCATTCGAAATCTAAAGGTCTGAGAACCCGGGGAACCCAGATGTAACTCCTAGTCTGAAGGCCAAAGAAGGTGAGATGAGATACTCCAGCTCATCAGTGAGTCAGAAAAAAAGAGGCTTAAATTCCCAAATTCCTCCACCGTTGGTTCTATTCCGGCCCTGGAAGATGTTCATCCGCCTCAGGGAGGGCAGTCTACTTGACTGAGCCCACCCATTCAAATACTAATCTCATGGAAATATCCACACAGATACACCCGGGAATAATGTTTATTCTGGGTCCTGACCGTCAGTCAAATTGGCGCATAAAATTATCCACCACGAGAATGTTCCCAGTGAACAAGGTGAAAGTCAACTAGTGTCATTTCCACTGTCCTCTCTTGGTCAATGCAGTCATACGTGTGCCCAGATCCATGGGAGGGACAAAACCTCCACCCCTCAGTGGGAGAAGTGTTGAAAGATTTTTAGCCATTTTTTTTTTTTTTTTGAGACGGGGTCTCGCTATGTCGCCCAGGCTGGAGTGCAGAGACGCAATCTCGGCTCACTGCAAGCTCCGCCTCCCGGGTTCACGCCATTCTCCTGCCTCAGCTTCCAGTAGCTGGGACTACAGGCGCCCGCCACCACGCCTGGCTAATTTTTTGTGTTTTTGGTAGAGACGGGGTTTCACCGTGTTAGACAGGATGGTCTCGATCTCATGGCCTCGTGATCCACCCGCCTTGGCCTCCCAAAGTGCTGGGATTATAGGCGTGAGCCACCGCGCCCGGCCAGCCATGTTTTAAAACTGCTGACACTCCCCACCCCAACCAAATTTTGCTTTTTCATCTCATGCAAACTTTTTGTTATAAACCAACTTTATTGAGGTAAAATTTACATGCCATAAAATTCACTCATTCTAAGTGAATAATTCAATGAGTTCTAGTAAAATTACTGAGTTGTGCAACCATTACTATAATCCAGCTTTGGAACTTTTTCATTCCTCCCAATAAGATCCCTTGTGCCTGTTTATAGTTAATGCTGTTCTCAGCCCCAGGTAACCACTGATTTACTTTCTGTTGCTCTAAATTTGCTTTCTCTTTGCACACAGGCTCTTTAAGGTAAAAGAAGCAGGGCTTGAACTTTGAAAAGAAGTCCCTCTGCTCTCACTCCTGCCACCATGCCTCCCTCACAACTACCATCTGATTCCTTTCCTCTCCTTGGGGGCTCAGTAATCCAGACTCTGGTGACCCATCTGGAAGGGAGTCCCAGGGCTCCCCATTTGTATAATAAGATGGGGCTGTCAATAGCACCTTGATGTCGGATGGCGAGGAGGACTCTGTGCATGAATGAAGGTAAAGTGCTTTCAGCAGGGCTTTGCGCGCAGTAGACCCTTCAGAAACACGGAGCCCTCTACAGTATTAGCTATTTATGTCCATCAGCATGAGAATGTTGGGGAGTGAGTATGAGAGTCGGCATTCTACAGAGGAGGAAACTGGAGCTTGGAAGTCTCAGGTCTCGGGGCTCATAAATGTTGGAGCAGGATGGGCATGCAGCTCCTGACTCGAGAACATCTCAGAATGTTTCCTACTGAAACATAGAGTTTGGAAAAACTTCCCATTGCCTGGGACACTCAGGTTCTTTGTATGCTTTAAGGTATGTTTCTGAAAAAGTTTCATATACATTAATTTATTTCAGATGCCTCAATATAAGGGCAGGAGCAAACTGAAGTTTTCACTGTCCTCCACAAACAGATATCAGGGGAAGCTGCTTCCTTTCCAATCAGGGTTAATGAACAAACACTCCTTAGAGGAATGGAAGCAGACTAGAGAGAGAGAGAGAGAATGGGGAGAAACAAATATTGAGTTTGGTCTGGGAAACTGAATTTACCCCACCCGCTCTTAGCTGGTAACTGAGTTCCTGTACCAGACTTGCCAGTGATTAGGTATATTACTTAACCTCATGTAGCTTCAGCTATCCTATTTCCAGAGTGGGGATTATGAGGATTAGAGATAAAGCATAAAAGTCCTTAATATTTGGTAAAGGCAAGATACATTGTAGCTAACATGGTAGTCACCATTACCATCATCACCATCACCACCACAGCACCCCATCCATCACCACCACCATCATCATTGTCATCGCCATTGGTATTTTCACCATTCAAGTTTTTATAAACGTGCTCTTCCTCAGCCAATGGGAGGGGTGATTGCTCTTTGTATCACCCTTACCTGCACCCGCATCATTTCTTCTCCTTTCCTGTGGTTATTAAAGATGAATTATCTGTGCTTTGAGTGAGGACCATCCCTACATGCACTGTAGACCACATCCTCTCCTTCCTACCAAAGTGGTACACAGAATAAATGGCCCCCAGAGATGTCCACATCCCAGTCCCCGGAACCTGTGAATATGTTACTTTACATGGAAAAGGGGGCTTTGCAAATGTGATTGAAAACTTTCAGATGGGGAGTTATTCTGGATAATCACAAGGGTCCTTAAAAGATGGAAGAGGGAAGCAGGAGTTTAGAGTCAGAGAAAGATTTGAAGATGCTGTGCTCCTGGACTTGAAGATGGAAGAAGAAATGCAGTTGGCCTTCAGAAGCTGGAAAAGGTGAGAAACACATTCTCCCCTAGAGCCTCTAGAAGGAACACAGCCTGGTCAGTATCTTGGTTTCAGCCTCAGAAGATCCATTTTGGACTTTTGACTTCTGGAAACATAAGGGAATAAATTTATGTTGTTTTAAGGCTCAATTTGTGGTGACTCGTTCCAGCAGCAATAGGAAACTCATGCCCGAACAACTTTGCTCCAACAATTCCCTTTCTCTCCTGGACCATGTCTGTCTGGACACCCTCATTGTGCAAAGTCGCCTAGTAAAGAGAACATCTTGTGAGCCCACATCCCTCTTTGGATTCCCACTGCCTCCACTCCTCTCTTGAATGCACTTGTGTCATGAGGTTGTCCTTACACTCCACTGGGACTGTTCTTGTCAGGTGGCCTCTATGGGTCAGTTCTGAGTCTTCACCTTACCTGGCCTATCAGCAGCTTTTGCACAGTGCCTCACTCCTCAGATTCTTTCCTCACTTGGTTTCCGGGGGCTTCTCTCTCGGCTGTCTTCTACACTCCTGCCAACTCCTTCTCAATTGCCATTGCTTCTTGTCCATCTTTCTAACTTCTAAACGTTGAAGGTCCCCACATCCAGCATCTGATCACTTCTTTTCTCTATTTGCATTTATTCCCTAGGTGGTCTTATTGGGTCTCATGGTTTCGAAGACCATTCAAAGGCTGAAGTCTGCCCAATCTGGACCTGCAACCAGTGATCTCTTTTGAATGCATATTCTCACAGCAGCTACCTGCTCCATGTCTCTACCTTGACACCTAAAAGGCTTCCCAGAGATGAAATGTCCGAAATCCAGCTCCCGATTTCGAACACTCAGTCCCAGTCCTGCCCCCGCTTCCAGAAAATAGCATCTCTATGTTTCTAATTGGTGAGGCCCCACATTTTAGAGTCATCCTTAATGTTTGCTTTCTGCTTACCATCCTTCATGATCCATCAGCAAATAGTATCAGATCTACCTCTCAGCATATACCCAGAATTTGACCATTTTTAACCATGGACACTACTCCTGAAAGTTTGATGGTCTGAACTCCCTTCTGCTCTCCCTAGTTCTTCCTAACTGGTCTTGTGGCCCCTGTTCTTGCCCTCTGACAGTCTAATTCTGAACCTAGCAGTGGATGGACTCTTTTATGATGCAAGTCATAGCATGTCACTCTTCCACTTAAAACCTCCCAATGGTCCTGCTTTTACCTTAATCCCACTTAAGGTAAAAGTCAAAGTCCTTAGGACAGTGTGGTTGTCCTAGAGCTGTGCACCACGTCTCCCTTCAACAGCACCTGCTGTGACGAGGGTGGTTGGTGGACAGCCCCCAGCACTGCACCTTCAATTGCTGGGGTGTTCCTGCTGGGTCCACTCTCTGGGCTGCACCTGCCAATCAGTAGGCATGGTGAGGGTACTGAGCCAGCCAGGCTATTTCTGTTTGGGATGGGACTTGTCCACTGGGGGATCTGTGCTTGAGGGTCCCCGTCACTCTGCCTGAGACGTTCTCTGGCCTGCACTGCTGCCGTGCCTCTTCCTCCACAGCCCTCCTTCCTTCCCCCTTTCTTTCCAGAGGTGTCAGACTGGCAGCACTGTGGTCTGAGAGCACTCCCTTCACATCCCTGCTCACATGCCTCCTTGTCTGAGAAATTCCCTGACTACTCTGGGAACTAGCAGTGCTGCCCCTCTTTTTCCACTCCCCTGGGCCTGGTTTATGTTTCCTCGTATTGCTCATCATCAGCTGACGTAGTCTTTTCTGATTGATTATAATTGCCTGTCTCTCCCAAGAGGGTGCATGCTCCATGGGATGGTCTGTCTGTCTGTTTTGTTCATTGCAGCATTCTCAGCACCAGAACAGTGCCAGGCACTCAGGTGACAGCCTAACATATACTTGTCCAATAAATGACAAATTGAGTGACAAAACTCTTGGGTTTTATTCTAGCTGATATCTAGGGAAAATTATCTTGAGACCAGAGTGCAGGTCAGCTGGACCTTACCTAAAGATCTCTCTCTCTCTCTTTTTTTATTAGCAACTTTAGTGAGAGATAATTCTCATGCCATACTATTCAGACATTTAAATCACTCAATTCAATGGTTTTTAGTAGATTCTGAGTGTGCAACTATCACCATAGTCAATTTTTGAACATCACCTACTAGTCTTCCCCTCACTACCTAGTCCGAGGCAATCCTAAATCAATGTAATCCCTGTGTCTTTGATTTGCCTGTTCTGGATATTTTATATAAATGGAATCATATAATATATGGCCTTTTCTTTCTGGCTTTTCACTCAGAATAGTGTTTTCAAGCTTCATCCATGTTGTAGCATGTGTCAGAAGTTCATTCTTTTTTATGGTTAAATACTATTCCACTCTGTGATTACACCATATTTTTGCTTGTCCATTCATCAGACGATGGGCATTTGGGTGGTTTTCACTTTTTGGCTAATATGGATAATGCTGCTGCTATGAACATTCAGTTATAGGTTTTTGTGTGAACACTTGTTCTCATTTCCTTTGGTTATATACCTAGGAGTGGAACTGCTGGGTCATAAGGTAACCATATATTATTTAACTTTCAGCGCAACTGTCAGACTGTTTTACAAAGTGGCTGCACCATTCTAATGATCCCTTACGACTTGAATGATCTTTAAATTCTACCCTTGACTACCTCTATGATTTTAAAAATTAATATAATTTAGAGCAGTCCCCAGGGTTCCTCTTAAGATACAGGACTTTAAAAATGGAATTTAACCAAAGAAATTGAATGGCTTGCCACTCAGTGCTGGTACTCAGTGCTCTGGAATTCATTCGGCAGCCAGATGTATGGAATCTATAATATGTTAATCAGGAAGGCAGAGTGGTGCCCTCACCAGGGAAGGCCTTTCAATTTCAGCAGCATTTACTTATTGATTGTGAAAACCCAGGGAAAGAGGGGGCGGCTTTCCCAGAGGCTTTCCTGTAGTCTTCTTTAATGCTGTCTAATTTTGAAAATGGGCCCGGGATGTGCCGAGAGGGCCAAATTCAAAGTGGGGATGGTGGTAGCACCTTGGCTTTGTGCTTCTTCTTGGCAGGGATCTCCAGTGCGAATGCCCTTTGGTATAAAGACACTGCACAGCAATGTACAAGTGACTGCAAAGTTAGGTTTCTCCCCAGCGCAGACACAGTCTGCTAGAAGGAGTGCGGCTGTGAACTCAGAGACACGTGCAAATGTAAGTCTGACTTTGCTAGAAGAGCCCAAAGAGCTCAGTCTCCAAAGGCCATGATGGGGCCAGGGAAGGACCCTGTGTGGTCCAATTTATTGATTCAAATGTACTATGCAATAAAACGACACAAGCAACAGAAGATCACATTTGCTTATAAACATGAGAACAACTCAAAATGAGAGTGAAAGGTGAAAATGCCCCTTCGTATTCCTCCTACAGCCTCTCTGCCCTCACTAGCCCCCAACCGCCTGCCCTGCTGCAATCACCCTTAGCAGAGGAGTGGGCATCCTGCCACACCTCTTCCAAAAGATCCCCATCTGAAGGTTATTTTTTGTCCCCAGTGTCTGAAGGGGTGTGCCTGTCATCTGTTACTTGAAGGACCCCTTATTGCTACTAACTGATCCCTAAAGTATTCCAAGTTCAGAGAATGATACAAAATATTTCCTAACGTTCCCTATGGGGTGTCTTTTAGCTCAGCCAAGTGGGAGGAGTGCTCTTAAGTCTCACTATGCCCTCCTTCCTTGTCTAGTCTTCAGTCAGTCTCTTGTCCATCTGCCAAAGACTCTAGGGGCAAGGCTGGAAGACACACTCCCGGCCCCATCCTTGGATGGTCATGGTAGGTCACATCCTGTACCTCCTTTGGAGAAAAGCTCCTACATGCCAGGCAATGTCTCCTGCTCTACTGATTGCCTTTGGTATGCTATTGAACTAAAAGCCCCTTTCCCGTTTCCCAGGGGTGAGGATGGGATTGAGCAAAGGGGATGGAAGGGAGTGAATTCTGTTCTGTCTCACACACATGTATATGCACAGTCACATGCACACACTTTTGTATAGTTTTTTTTTTTTTACATAAATGTGATTATGTTTTGAGAATTGTTTTGCAACTAGCTTCCCCACCCCACACAATATTATGTCTTGGAGACTGTATGTTAGTACTCATTCTTTTTAAGCACTGCCTGGTGGTCCATAGTGTGGGTGTCCATATTTTATGTAACCAGTGTGTTGAGCAAGCATGACTAGAGGGCTATAATCAGAATACAACTTCATTTTACTTCCCACTATTTCTTCAAATGTTGTCAGGGAAGAGTTTCCCCCATGTCTTAGATAAAAACTCAGGTGGTCCCATGACTAGGCTATTTATTCGTAGGTCTCCTTAAGCAGCAGAACAATATTTCTCCCCACCTCCCAGGTTTATTGCAGTATAACTGACAAATAAAAATCATATATATTTAGGGTGTACAATGTGATGTTTTGACATATGTATACATTGTGAAATGATTAAATCAAGCTGAGTAACATATCCATCACCTCACATGCTTATCATTTTTTTTTGGGTGAGAATGCTTACAATACAATCTACTCTTAGCAATTTTCAAGTGTACAATACAGTATGGTCAGCTATAGTCACCATTCTGCACATTAGATCTCTAGAGCTTCACTTATAGCTGAAAGTTTGTACCTCTGACTGATGTCACTCCATTGGTGACCCCCAAGCCCTAGGCAACCAGCATTCTATTCTCTGCTTTTATGAGTTCAATTTTTTTTTAGGTTCTAAGTGTAAGTGAGATCATGCAGTATTGGTCTTCCTGGGTCTGGCTTATTTCACTTAGCATAATGTCCTTCAGGTTCATCCATATATTTTTTTTGTTTTGAGATGGAGTCTTGCTCTGTCACCCAGGCTGGATTACAGTAGTGCGATCTTGGCTTACTGCAACCCCCGCCTCCCAGGTTCAAGTGATTCTCTTACCTCAGCCTTCTGAGTAGCTGGGATTACAGACGCCTGCCACCATACCCAGGTAATTTTTGTATTTTTAGTAGAAATGGGGTTTTGCCACGTTGGCCAGGCTGGTCTTGAACTTCTGACCTCAGGTGATCCACTCACCTCAGCCTCCCAAAGTGCTGGGATTACAGGCATGAGCCACTGTGCCCGGCCGGTTCATCCATATTATTGCAAATGATAGGTTTCTGCTTGTTTAGGTGGAAAAATATTCTATTGTTTAAATAACAGTTTTCTTTATCCATTCATCCATTGCTGAACACTTAGGTTGCTTCCTTTGCTATTGTGACTAATGCTGAAATAAACATGGGAGCGCAGATAACTCTTCAAGATATTGATTTTGTTTCTTTTGCATATATACTCAGAAGTAGGATTCACAGATCTTACAGTGGTTATATTTTTAACTTTTTGGGGAACCTCCATACTGTTTTTCATAATGGCTGTGCCAATTTACATTCCCATCAACAGTGTTCCAGGGTTCCCTTTTCTTAACACCCTTGTCAACACTTGTTATAGCAAAACAGTCTTGATTCAGAAATTAGAATGTGTAATCCAACATATTAACTTTTTAATCCTGTCTCCTGCACCTGCCTGGCTGTGGCATGGGTGTGGTTGGGCCACCAGACTTTGCAAAGGAAGTGTTGGCGGAGTGGTCACCTTCTTCTTTCTTTCTTGTTACCTCATTCAGGGTTAAACATGGGAAGGGAGGAGGAGAAAGGGAGTATAAAGTTCCACGTCGACTGATCCTGTCTCAAGATGACGTTGAGTCCACCTTCAGGGACTCCTCCGACTTCAGCTCCTCTGATGGGGCAGAGTGTTGGGAGTCTCTGGCTGCTGCTTTCCCTGGGGCCCTTGTTTCCTGCAGTCCTCTCCACAAGTCCTGGCTTATTAGAGACCCTCCACCCTTTCAGGTGACCCTTCAGGCTGGCTCTCTCTTGAATGGCCCACCTCTGGGTCACACGAAGCCCTCACATATCCTTGCCTGACACATTCTAGGAGCACCAGCCATCCCAGCGCAGCCACCTTCCCCAGGCCCCAATACTGAAGCTGCTCCCTTTCACTCACCTCTGGATTTCCTGGACAGGATTCAGACTGTGTTTCCCAAACCCTAGGGACACACAGCAAGCTCTCTGAGTGTTGACAGGGAAGTATGTCTCTCTAGATGTCTGGTGAAGGGGAGGTGCCCACTTTCCTCTACATGAGGTCTGTCTCACAGACTTCAATGGGGCTCTCCAAACATCCTTCTCACTAAATCCCTCTTCAGCTCTTTTATCACCCTCTGGGTTTGGGAAGGGGTCTCAGGATCCTGCAATTGCTGTGCAGACTCCACTTGGGTGGTTCTCATAGCTGATCTTTCATGGAGTCTCCTGCTTGTGTGCTCTCAGTTGTCTCTTGGCACCTCAGTCAAAACTCCTGATTTAGTACTGATCACATGATGCATCCATTTCCCTACTAATGAACATTTTGGTTGTTCTTTTAATATTTTTCCTTTGTTATATAAATACCACTGTTGTGAATATCATTTTAGAAAAATCTTGGTGCATAAGTGCATCTGTCTTTTTTTGACTGGATTCCACAAAATTCTGATAGCCTTGGTCATTTGCTTTCTTAGCTCACACAAAGATTTAGGAACTGCTTAGCAGAAATGCCTCTGTGTGAACGTGTTTGTGCCTGTGTGTACATGTGGGTGCACATGTATGCCTATGTCTATAGACTGGATTGGTGACTGATAGTTAAAAGAAATAAAGGTGTGGAGTAGGACAGAATATAGGACATCTCTGAGCTGCAGACAAATCTACACAGCCACCTGAGCCACCGTGGTGTTGGGGCAACAACTTCCCTGCCTGGGCAGCTCACAGGGACAGCACTGGGCAGCCAGCATGACACTTCTGGGGTGTCAGTGGCAGCACGGCCAGGACACATTTTAATAAGGCACGGAGCAAATGCTGTAAACCTGTCACAAAGATTTCTAGAGGAATAGGAATGCTAATAAATTGCTGATAGTATCAGGAATAGATAATATTTAAAATAATTTAAAAGTAGATTAAAAGGGTAAGTTTCAGTTTTTAGAAAATTTGCTTATAGGAATTCACTTATTCCTTGATGGTGTAAATAAGCACTATTATTATTATTATTATTTTTGAGACGAAGTCTCTTTCTGTTGCCCAGGCTGGAGTGCAGTGGTGCAGTCTCAGCTCACTGCAACCTCTGCCTCCCGGGTTCAAGTGATTCTCCTGCCTCAGCCTCCCGAGTAGCTGGGATTACAGGCGCCCGCCACCAGGCCTGGCTAATTTTTGTATTTTTAGTAGAGATGGGGTTTTTGCCATGTTGGCCAAGCTGGTCTCAAACTCCTGACCTCAGATAAACCACCCACTCAGCCTCTCAAAGTGCTAGGATTACAGGCGGGAGCCACTGTGCCTGGCCCAAATAAGCACTATTATAATAACGAATGACATTGAGAGCTGCATAGGGTTATTTATTTGTTTATTTTTGGTATCCAGTTGATTCTTGTTAATCATATAATCCTTCATAGATAACCTTGAGGCCTATGTATTCTCACAGTGTCATTCAAAAGCATCATGTCTGACCATAAAAAGATGCTAAAAAGGAAAGACTTTATGCATCTACAATATGACCCTGCTCTTCTACTTCTAGGCATTTACCAAAGAGAAATGAAAACGTATGTTCACACAAAGACTTTGACATGAATGTTTTCAGCGGCTTTATTCATAATAGCTAAAAGCTGGAAACAGTCCTAATGTCCATCAACAGGTGAATGGGTATAAAAATGCAGTCTTTCCATACAATAGAAAACCACTCAGCAGCAAATAAGAATGAAGTACTCATACATGCAAGGATGTGGATGAATCTCAAAATCATTACGCTGAATGAAAGAAGTCAGGCACAGAGTTCACTCTGTATGCTTCCATTTATAGAAAATGCAACGTAATTTACAGTGACAAAAAGTAGAAGAGTGGTTGCCTGCAGATGGAGGGAGACAGAAGTGTGGATTGCAACAGGGCGCAAGGAATCTTTTGGAGGTGATAGAAATGTCGAGTGTTTTGATTGTGGTGGTGGTTTCTGGGGCGTATACAACTATCAAAACTTCTGGAATTGCACCCTTTAAATGGATGCAGTTTATTGTATGTAAATTGTTTCTCAATAAACTTGAGAGGGAAAAAATACAGTCTTTCTTGAAATCTAGTTTGATTACCTTATGATTTGATGTAAGAATTAAGGGCAATAGATGTCAAATGCCCAGGACAGTGCCTGGTACACAGTGCTAGGAAAATGACAGATGTTACTGTATCACCATGGAAATAGACATGTCCACAAATGTGTTTTATGTGTACTTGTGTTCCCAGGAACTCTCTGGAAGCCCAACACATTGTTGGTCTTCTATAAATGATTTTTGATGAATGAAAGAGATTTTAGGTTATATCAACGAAACCTTTTTTTTTTTTTTTGAGGCGGACTCTCGCTCTATCACCCAGGCTGGAGTGTAGTGGCATGATCTCGGCTCACTACAACTTCTGCCTCCCAGGTTCAAGCAATTCTCCTGTTTCAGCCTCTCGAGTAGCTGGGACTACAGGTGCACGCCACCATGCCTGGCTAATTTTTGTATTTTTAGTAGACACAGGGTTTCGCCATGTTGGCCAGGCTGTTCTCAAACTCCTGACCTCAGGTGATCCACCTGCCTCAGCCTCCCAATGTGCTGGGATTACAGGCATGAGCCACTGTGCGCAGCCATATGAATCAGTCTTAATTTACACCATGATTAGGGCCCGAGGGCAGGGAGGGAATGAAGAATTCTGGTTGAAAAATTCTATGGGCAGTAGAGAGAAAGTGCTAGGGACACTGGAAAGGCTGCCTCAGTTTTCCTCTCCAGAAGTCCATCTCTGCAAGTGCATTCCTGTGCCTGCTGCATAATGTGTAGAACTGGGGGCTCACAGAGGGAGCTGGAGCAGTGTGACAGATACCACCTGCCACGTTCTCCCAGAGCTGCCTGCAGGAAAGAAGAGCTTTTTCTGTGCACTGCTTGGGCAGGGGATTATGTGCCTGTGTAGCAACTTCATCTCCCAAGCATAAAATATTGATAATCTTGGCGCTGGACAGAGACCTGGAGACACCCCCTGGAAGGTACTGTTTGCCAGCAGGTAGTGAATGATTGATGAGTGGGAAATAAAATATTGATGTTCTGAGTCGCACATCAGGCCTGTTTCCACCCAATGGGGCTTGCGTCTTGTGTTATTAAAGGCAAAAATTCAGAGAATGGGTTACTTTGCCTCTGCTTGGAACATGACAGCTTTTGGCCTGCTGTGAGTTGGACATACCCCCGAATATTAAGACTGAGGACCTCTGGAAACTTGGGAGATGGATATTGGAATCAACAACAGGAAATCCTACTTTCCCTGGGTCTGTAAAACTTACAATAACAGCTTTGTCAATGCATTCTTCTTCTTACAGAAATTATGTTGATCAAAGTTGTGCATGCACATAATTTATTTTTATTTTATTTTATTTTTGAGACGGAGTTTTTGCTCTTGTTGCCCAGGCTGGAGTGCAATGGTGCGATCATCTCGGCTCACTGCAACCTCCGCCTCCCGGGTTCAAGTGATTCTCCTGTCTCAGCCTCCCGAGTAGCTGGGATTACAGGCACATGCTACCATGCCCAGCTAATTTTTGTATTTTTAGTAGAGGCGGAGTTTCATCAAGTTGGTCAGGCTGGTCTCGAACTCCTGACCTCAGGTGATCCACCTGCCTCGGCCTCCCAAAGTGCTGGGATGACAGGCGTGAGCCACGCCTGGCCACAACAAAGACTCAAAATCAGTCTGTGTTAGTGTTTGGACTTATTTCTTTGCATCTAGATGTTAACTCTCAAATCTCCAAGACAAAGAACAAAGGATCATCAGGGATGGACCCAGGTTCTCTTTCTTCAGCTGTTCCCAGGAGAGTTTGGCCATCAGTCTTCCTGGGATTGGTCCCGGAGGTGGGCTTTGCATGCACATAACTTAAAGAGACAAATAGATCTACAGGAAAAACCGCCATCTCCTATGCATCCTGGGTCCCCTCCATTTGATCCTCTCCACAGATAAGCACTTTCAAAACGTCTTTAAGCTGATTATTTTTATAAAAAACAAATAACGTATTTCTATTGCTACTTCTCTCTTTTTTTTTTTTTTTCTGAGACAGAGTCTCACTCTGTTAGCCAGGCTGGAGTGCAGTGGTGGGATCATAACTCACTGTAACCTTGAACTCTTGAGCTCAAGCGATCCCCCAACCTCAACTTCCCAAGTAGCTGGGACTACAGGCATGTACTACCATGCCCGGATAATTTTTTAAAAAATATTTCTAGTGGAGATGGGGTCTCAGTATGTTGCCCAGGCTGGTCTTGAACCCCTGAGCTCAAGTGATCCTCTTGCTTTGGCCTCCCAAAGTGCTGGGATTACAGGCACGAGCCACTGTGCCCAGCCACTAATTGTTGACTTTAACAATTTCCTTTTTTTCTTTCTTTCTTTTCTTTTCTTTTCTTTTCTTTTCTTTTCTTTTCTTTCTTTCTTTCTTTTTCTTCCTTCCTTCCTTCCTTCCTCCCTTCCTTCCTTCCTTCCTTCCTTCCTTTCTTTCTTTCTCTTTCTTTCTTTCTCTTTCCTTCCTTCCTTTCTCTTTCCTTCCTTCCTTTCTCTTTCTTTTCCTTCCTTCCTTCCTTCCTTCCTTCCTTCCTTCCTTCCTTCCTTCCTTCCTTCCTTCCTTCTCTCTCTCTCTCTCTTTCTTTCTTTCTTTCTTTCTTTTTCTTTCTTTGTCTTTCTCTCTCTCTCTCTCTCTTTCTTTCTGAGACGGAGCAACTCTGTTGCTCAGGCTGGAGTGCAATGGTGCAATCTTGGCTCACTGCAACTTCTGTCTCCTGGTTTCAAGCAATTCTCCTGCCTCAGCCTCCCTAGCAGCTGGGATTACAGAAACATGCCATCACGCCTGGCTAATTTTTGTACTTTTAGTGGAGATGGGGCTTCACCATGTTGGCCAGGCTGGTCTCGAACTCCTGACCTCAAGTGATCCGCCTGCCTCAGCCTCCCAAAGTGCTGGGATTACAGGTGTGAGCCACCCTGCCTGGCCAACTTCAACAATTTTCGAATGATATATGGACAGCTTTGTTGAAGATGAGGTAAGGATTTGACTTGTTTATCCCACAACATAAAAACAAACACCCTTCTGTGCTCTCCATTTCCCCAATATAATTATACTAGAATTTTGGTTACAACATTATTTGGTATTTACATTATTATGAAAATGTGAAGACATTGATAGGTGAGCAAGTAGTACACTAAGATTACACTTACTTTCTTAGGTTGCTTTTTGTTTTTCCTTAGAGTTAAGAAGCATCTTGTTTTGGGTTAGTTTGCTGAATGTTCCATCGGCTTATCATTCATTCAACCCCTAAACTCCTTGCCAATTATCTAAATTTCTCCTCAAGATGTTCAGATGTGTCAGCTATCCTATCAGCTTTATCTCCTGAGGTCTGCTGATTTTCTCCAAGATCAACTAGTCGTCCTTTGGTCTTGGTGCACAGTGTCATTGTAGAGTCTTTCCACATCATCCAAGGGATGCCCTCACCCCTTTCCTGTGCTGTGTCTCAAGGGTTTTTTTTTTTTTTTTTTTTTTTTTTGTGGGTACTTGCTTATTTTGGTGGAACACAGGCTTCATCAGCTTCCTGAGAAATAGTGCCAGGCAGTCACAGTATTTTTTTCAGGGGATGATTTTATATATGTTTATGATAGTTTAGCTGAGTATAGAATTTTAAATAGGAAATTGTTTTCTTTCATAATTTTGAAGGCTTTGCTTTATTATCTTCGACCTTTTGAAAAGTTTGAAACCATCTGACTTTTTAAAATTCTTTGTTTTTGGTGACATTTCAATGCTATGAAAGCTTGTAGTCTCTTGTCTTTGTACCCAGAGATTTAAAATTTGTGATAAAGTGTCTTTGTTTGGGTCTAAGCTCATCACTTTAGAGGTATCAGTTGAGCCAGCTCTTTTTAAAAAATCAACTTTATTGAGGTTTAATTTGCATACAACAAATGCAAACATTTTAAGTGAACAATTTCATGAGTTTTGATAATTGTATAAAAGACTCACTCTTCTAATTCATTAGTTCTGAAACATTTTCTAGAATTATTTCTTTGATAATCTTTTCCCTTACTGTTTTCTTTGTTGTTTCTTTTTTGGAATTTCTATTATTTGGGTATTGGACATCCTGGAACAATCTTCTAATTTTCTTGTCTTTTCTCTCTGTCAGGGAAAAGAGTTTTGGGATCCTATTTAGTGTACTCTTCTGGGTTACCTGATTCTATAAAGGCCTCCAACTCCATTGTCTTTGAGCTAAAATTGTGGAAAACTGAGATTATTGTAAATGACTGCCTTTCATAGAGATGCAAATATACTTTGTCTGGTGCAGCTGCAAATTGATATCCCTCTTTCCCCAAGAAGCTAGTTTTGCATCGATTACATATTCACTTCAGCATTCTCTATTGTCTATGTGTCTGCTCTTTGATTTCTCCACCAAACCATTTGTAACATCTTACTGGTTCTCTTATTAATTGATGGGTTAAATAAAATCTTTGATGTGATAATTTTAACGTCTCAACTTTTTACATTTTTCAGTCTCTATCTTTTCACTCTACTCTGGGATATTTTCTTAACTTTATATTCCAAACTTTCTACTGCATTTCTTATATGTGCTATCATATTTTTAATTTCCAAGAGCTCTTTTTGTTTCCTGAATGAGAACTTAGAAAAAGAAAACTCTGTTTTTATTTCATTGGTAGAACACTTGATCTTATTTAGCTGAGGATATTAAGGATGGTTGACTTTGATGTTATCTTCTCTTGCATAGTTCTGTTTCTTCCAATTTGCTTTACTCTGTTTTGGCATCTGGTGTTCTTGTTGGATGTTTTATTCAGATGTCTGGCAACTTTCCCTGTTTACTCGTGATCAGTAGTGGGGGCTGTGAGACTGACAGGCGGTTTGGACACTGTGCATGGTCGTCAGTACAGCCTGATCTCGCTGGGCTGTTCCACTGGGGATCCTCTGACATCAGCATCTTTGGGTCTTTTTCTTAGAGAAGACCTTCCCCATCTCTGGTTTAGCATATTTGCACCTAGCTGACAGTGCCCTGTGAGCCTCTGAATTCTATTTGTAAATGCCCACTTCACCATTTTTAAGAAAATAGTTTCTCCACCCTGGACTATGCCTGGTGCCTTAGGTCTAAAGACCCTTTGCTTTATCCTCTCCAGAGAAGAAGCCTCCAGTTTTCTGCTTGGTGATGAGGAGCAGTCCCAGGCTGTGTGGAGCTGGGAAGGTTACTAGCTTTTATATAGACATTTTATTCATCCTTCTGTCTTCAGCCCTATTTTTCTGCCACTTCCAGAAAAATTCTTCAATCTTTTAGGGGCAGTGCAGGGTAATTTGGGTGCTTCCTGGCTCTCCCTAGTACAACCAGCAAAGGATTCTGTGCTCTTGAACTTTCTAAATCCATTCTCACTCATTCATCTTGCCTTCCAGTTTCCAAAATTTGGATGTAGTGATTTCATCTTCTGTTTGCTCTGTCTTCATGGCTTTATGTTTTTTTAAAATTCATTTCTAATTGTTTTAGGAGGGTTTTGGAGGGAACAAAAGTAAAAATGTCACCGAATGAACCCAGCCTCATCTAAGCAATTGGAATTTTACTTTCCCAGTTTTTTTTTCTTTCGTCTCTTTATCTATAGGCACAGCTGCTTGAAGAAACCAGGCACTGCAAGAGCTTTGTGACCCCTTGCCAAATACCAGAAGAAGATAAGACCTGCCTGGAACTGGTGCAAACTGGAACAAGTGACCCCTAGTTACCTTTAGATCATGAACATATAATTATAATGCTGAAATCTCCTCCTCTAAAAGAAAATCTCTACCATTTTGTAAACATGCGGTATATGGAGAATTATGTTTGGGACTGCACCTGTGTGTCTGGAACTCCACCCTGCATGCCTACATCTCTCCTGGCCCGCATTTAACTCTAAGATTCCCCTGCCTCCCAACACTCTGGGGGCGGGGAATATGCCTTTAGAGCAAGAGCTACCCCTTCTCCATTCTCTGGCCATTGAATAAAACCTGATTGCTTTTTCTTTCTTTCTTTTTTTTTTTTTTTCCAATTGGATGTTCTTTCTTTGCAACCTATACAAAGTAGGGGAAAAAAAACTCAGTTTACCAGTGACAAAGGAATGTGTTTATTTTTTAATCTTTTCTTGGGATTTTAATGACTCTTTTACTTCAGTTTTCATTTCTTCAATTTACCTGGTATCAAAAGGCAGTATTATATTATTAAAAGGCACCGGAAATGGCACTAGGCAGAGATAAGTTAGAATTCTGTGTTCCCCACTTATGAGCTGTGTAATATTGCTCAGGCTATTCCATGTTTCTCAGCCTGAGTACAGTCATTTGTAAAGCAGTCATTGTAGTCAAAGTGATTGGAAAGTAATAATACTTACTATTTGGGGTTGTGATGTGGATTAAAGATAATGTATATAACTTGCCTGACTCTCTGATTCTGTTTGCTTTGATACATTCTTTCCTTTGACATATTCTTTCCCACTACTCCTGAGAATGTCAAATTTAGAACCAGCACTTCCTGCAGAATTTTATTAATATGTCTTCACCAAGAGCAGGCAACATGTATTTGGTGGCTGGTGCATGAAACGTGAAAAACTCTCTTTCCTAAAGCAGACATGTTCATAATCTAGTGGGCATCTGTCAGACGGCTACAGTGTTTGAAAGTGGGAGGAGTTTGGACTTTGGCTCCAAACTTTCTTGGTGCTTCTGCTCAGTTTCCCATGGGACAATTTTACTTCCACCATTTTGGACTCTGAAGCTTGCAAAGAAGCATCTGGCTGCCATATTGTTTTGCCTCTCATTTCCAAATTGAGTCTCTCATGCAACTAAACTCAATCGTATTCCATCAGAGGCAGCAGAGATTATTCGAATCTGCTTGAAGTTTCTGTTGTTTTCTTTTTTACACTCTGATATCTTTTTGCCTCCCTCTTCTGTGGAAGTGATTTTTTCCTGCCCTCTGAGAAGGCTTTCTAGCTCCAATCAGCTTGTGTTCTGTGTTCCCCAGGATGCCTCAGAGTTTCATCCAGAGTTCCTGATATGCCACTGATTTTCTGGAATTGCCTTTTTTGGTTTTCTTTTTCCCTTCACTCTCTCATAATATATCCCCTTAGGGTGGTCCCATGAGAAAGAGTTCTGTCAGGTATAAGTACCAGGAATAGCTGAGCTTGCCCTGAATATCTGGCTAAATTTTTATCTTATGGGTATTTCTGGATTATATAGCACTCTTTCATTGGCTGCCTGGAAGCTCAGAAAGCATATTGGACTTTCCCCCAGCAAGTGCACAGAACCCCACAGTATGCACTATGTATAATGTTATCCTTGACTTTATCTTATTTTTCCCATATCGATTTTCTCACATTTATTTTTTAAACTTACTTTCTATGCATTTTTTGTTATACTGCAGCAAGTCTTTGTTAGAATGTGATGATATATATAAGCATCCAAACTAAGAGACTAGCGCCATAAAATCATTTGCCTGCAGAAGCAAGACAGGCCAGAAATAAATGTAGTTCCACAGTGGCTGAGATAACCTGCAAAGGAGAGAGCATCATGCTGGAGATTTGAGATGAATCAGGTCATCTCTGGGATGTCACGAAAGTCCATGATTGAAGTCAGTAAGACATTTGTGATTTCCTGCAACCCTGTGTGTTCCTTCTGGACCCTGAATTCTAAATGGGATGAGTCACAGGACTGACTTCACATGGCAATAGCTCTGATGGATTTGAGCAGTTGCTTTTCTGGATCGCACAATGATTCATGAACCTTGGAGAGAGACATATAGACCAGTTTCAAGTCTCAGCTCTGTGGTTTAGCACAATATTCTGAACCTAATTGAGAATTGTAGCCATGACATTTGTTGCTTGTCAAATATCCATGTGCTCATGTACGTGTCACAGTCTACTTCCTTGCATTGAGGTAGGGATTGGTTCTTTTGTACTGAAGAATAGAACAGGTGTGAGGAAACTGTGCTTGACTTTTGCTGCCTGGGTGATAAGGAAGCTAGGGTCCCAGACGGTGAATCTACAAGAGGGTGAAGCCTCCATCTATCTGGGTCCTTGAGTGAGTGACAGTGCAAAGCCCTCACCAACCCATGTTGGACATTACATGAACAAGGAGTAAACATCAATTTTGTGAAAACAGTGAGATCTTGGGGTTACATGTTACAGCAACAGAGCCTAGCCCAACCTCACTAAAACAACCCTCAGTATCCATGGTAGTAAAATGAGAATCATTATCATTCCCTGACTTATTTCTTTTTTGAAATTTAGCAGTAATACGAATGGAATCCCTGGCACCACCATCTCACCTGGAATAATATTGCAGATGTTATAATAATGAACATTTTAAATTAATTTCTTCAGCAGAGTCTGGAGATGAGGTTGAATAGGACATGGATGCAGGGCAGTATAAGATGGAAAAAAGGTAATTTTGGGGATCAGACAGACCTGGGGTTATAACCCAACCCAACACTTACTAGCTGTGTGATTTTGTGGAAAGCATTTAATCACTCTAAGTCTCTTTCTACAACTGTAAAATGTGAATAATTTTATTTAACTTGCAGGCTTATTGTAGAGATTAAAAGAGCCTGTAAAGGGTCTAGCAAGTACCTTGGCACACAGATAATTCCTTTGTTTTTGCTTCCCTGCTTGTTTCCAATATACATTTGGTCTTTGCCTGTTTCCTGGTTTCTTGGCATACAACTCCTAAAATAATTGGAATCTTCAATGTGCTGAGTGTCTTTCTGCATGCGAATGAGTTGACTGATGGCTGAAGCCCCTAGGTAGCTTCAGGATGGGAGCTGGTCACCAGGAAAGACCAAGGCAGGATTAGAGCGATGGGATTTTTTGGTCCACCCCTGAACCTACAGGGAGGGGAGAGGGGCTGAAGGTCAAGTTGATCGCCAATGGCCAATGATTTTGTCAATCATGCCTATGTAATGAAGCCTCCAACAAATCCAAAAGGATAGACTTAGGAGAGCTTCCAGGTAGTTGAATGCCTGGAGGTTCCTGGAGGGATGTGTACCCGGAGGGCATGGAAGCTCCACGCCCCTTCCCACATAATTTGCCCTGTGCGTTTCTTTATCTGTGTCCTTTGTAATATCCTTTATAATAAACCAGTAAATGCAAATAAGTGTTTTCCTAAATTCTGTGAGCTGCTCTAGCAAACAAATTGAATCTGAGGAGGGGGTTGTGGGAACTTTGATTTAGGCTGGTTGGTCAGAAGCACAGGTAAGACAACCTGCGGCTCGTGACTGGTGTCTGAAGAGGGGCCAGTCTTCTGGGACTGAGCTTTCAACTTATGGGATCTGATGCAATCTCCAGATAAACAGTGTCAGAATGGAATTGAATTGGAGGATTCTCAGCTGGTGTCCACTGTAGAACTGCTTGCTTACTTATTGGTGGGGAGGAACCTCAACACATTTGCTCACAGAAGTCTGCTTTGATTGTTGTGGTATGAAGGCAGAGGAAAAACAGTTTGTTTTTTTTCACAGTTTGTGTTTTCCCACTCATTTCCACAACAGGCTGCCTCAAGGAAACCCACAGGCTCCTTCTCATGGAAGTGGCTTCTTTTAGGAACATTGGCTCTGGCCATTCAGTGAAGGACTAAGACAACCACGCTGCCTTCCTTAAGGCCACCTCGACATTCCTGCTGCACTTGTCAGTAGGAATCATGCAACAAGGCTAGGCTTTGCTGATCTCATAAAGACTGACTGTGTCATGAGTTGTGCTGACTCAAGGTAGTAGGACTTCTGGGGCATGCAGCAGGAAGTCAAACAGATGTTAGCCAGGCGATCTTAGTAGGAAGGTGATGAATGAGGACGGGAGGCAGCAGCAAGCTTTGATGGAGACACATAATGGAACTAATACAAGCCCCTCTCCTCCCCTCCTGTTCTCCTCCCTGTCAAGAGGTGAACAGCTCATAGAGGACTAGAGTCCAGGCTGCAACACAGACCCCAGCGTCCATGAAAAGGATCTGCATCTGTGATGGGAAGGAGAAGTTCAATTAAAAGATATCAAAGGGCAAAATGTTTCCAGGCTAGTGTTCTTAAATTCCCTTACATTTATCTTGCTCAAATTGCCTCCTCTCTGTGCAGGGTTCAGCCTGCCCGGAAATGACCTCTCCTGCCTCTGAGCTCCTCCTTTGTTGGCCAACCACTCAATTCATTTAACAATTAATCATGTCCTATGCTGTGGCATCTCTTCTACTGCTCTCCCAAAGTCCTATTTCTCTCTTGAATTCCTGTTTGAATTTTCAAGTGTTTGGGTCTTAAGTTACACTTACGTTGCAAGTACCTGGATTTCCATGCATTCCACCATGCCTGGAGTGGTGCAAGGAGCAGGCTTTGGGGAAGACCAGGGAACATGATTTTCTTACTGGTTATTTTATTATGTCTTTGTGTACTTCATCTCTGTTTCTGCTTTTCTCAATTTATCTATTTCCCTCAAAGCGGATCCTTGTCATGTTGGAAGTTTATGTCTGAGATCTTTACCATTTCTTGTGAAGACTACTATTGAAGCACATATATATGTATATGTATACACACACACATTATATATGTGTGTGTGTGTGTGTGTGTGTGTGTATACCTATGTATTAGTCCATTTTCATGCTGCTGATAAAGACATACCCGAGACTGGTTAATGCATAAAGAAAAAGAGCTTTAATGGACTTATAATTCCACATGGCTGGGGAGACCTCACAATCATGGCAGAAGGCAAAAGAAATGCAAAGGGACATCTTACATGGTGGCAGGCAAGGAAGAACTTGTGCAGGGAAACTCCCCCTTATAAAACCAGCAGATCTCATGAAACTTATTCACTATCACAAGAACAGCATGGGAAAGATCCACCTCCATGATTCAATTACCTCCCACTGGGTCCCTGCCATGACATGGAATTGTGGGAGCTACAATTCAAGATGAGATTTGGGTGGGGACACAGCCAACCCATATCACCACACACATATATATATGTGTATATATGTGTATATATATATATACACAGGGTCTTGTTCTGTCACCCAGGCTGTAGTGCAGTGTAAATCATAGCTGAAACTCCTGGGCTCAAGCAATCCTCCTGCCTCAGCCTCCTGAGTAGGCAGTACCACAGGCCTGCACCACCATATCAATTTTTTATAGGTCTAAAAAAAATTAGAGTAATTTTTTTAAAGGTCTCGTCACGTTGCCAGGTTGATCTCAAACTGCTGGGCTCAAATAACCCTCCTGCCTCAGCCTACCAAAGTGCTGGGATTATAGGCATAAGTCACCATGCCTGGCCAAAGCACATACTTTTTATTAGACCATTTCATTCTTTCTTCATTGCCTTCACCAGCACTTGCAGTTGGCTTTCTTTTGGGTGTCATTTTCCACAAAGAAACAAAGTGGGCTGGATGTGGTGGCTCATACCTGTAATTCCAGCCCCTTGGGAGGCCCAGGTGGGAGGATGGCTTGAGCCCAGAAGGTTGAGACCCGCATGGGCAACATGGTGAGACCCAATCTCAAAAATCAGCCAGGCACGGTGGCGCATGCCTGTGGTTCCAGCTACTTGGGAAGCTCAGGTGGGAGGATCATGCTTGAGCCTGGGATGTTGAGGCTTCAGTGAGCTGTGATCATGCCACTGCATTCCAGCCTGGGTGACAAAGCGAAATGTCTCAAAAAAAAAGAAAAAGGAGGTGCTCATTATTCTCAAAAATTTTTATGTATGTTACAATGAAAGGCTGAGTAAAAATCTTTTTGGAAGAGAAGGTGTTGGCAGTCTGCTCTACCCATTAGCTTAGCCACTTCCTCCCTCAAGGCAGCCATGTGGGTGAAATATTCCAATTTATGCCCCAGGAAAATGACAAGTGACCCCTATGTCATGAACCTGGTAAATAGCAAAACTGTGAGGGTGGTTGCCATGATGCCAAGAGCCTCTCAGGTGTCTTTCAAGGTTTGGCTTAGCTAACTTGTTCCAAAAGCAGTTCTAAAACAATCTGATTATTCATTTTCCATTACCTATACTTCTTTTTCTGTTTTCAACTACTTTATTGAGATGAAATTCACATACATACAATTCATCCATTAAACATAACATTCAATGGCTTTCAATATATTCATCCAGTTGTGCAGCCATTAGCACAATCAATTCTAGAACATCTTCATTTCTCCAAAAAGAAACCCTGTGCCCATTAGCAGTCACTCCCCATTCCTGCCCATTTCAATGCCTCCAGCTTTAGGCAGCCATGAATCTACTTTCTGTCTCTATAGATTTGCCTCTTGTAACATTTCATGAAAATGAAAGCATACAATGTGTATGTAGCCTTTTGTGATTCACTTTATTCACTTAGCATAATGTTTTTAAAGTTATCCATGTTGTAGTGTGTATTAGAACTTCATTCCTTTTCATGGCCAAATAGTACTCCATTGCAGGGATATGCCACATTTTATTTATCCATTAATTAGCTGATGGACATTTGGGTGGCTTCCACTTTTGTTTGTTATGAATAATGCTTCCACAAACAGTTATGTGTGTTTTTCTGTGGATCTCTATTTTCATTTCTCTTGGGTAGATATCTAGGGATAGAATTGTTCTGTCATACCATAACTCCATGTTTAACATTTGAGAAACTGCCAGGCTGGGCGTGGTGGCTCAAGCTTGTAATCCCAGCACTTTGGGAGGGTGAGTCGGGTGGATCACGAGGTCAGGAGTTCGAGACCAGCCTGGCTAACATGGTGAAACTCCATCTCTACTAAAAATACAAAAATTAGTCAGGTGTGGTGGCGGATGCCTGTAATCCCAGCTACTAGGGAGGCTGAGGCAGGAGAATTTCTTGAACCCAGTAGGTAGAGGGTTGCAGTGAGCTGAGATTGTGCCACTGCACACCAGCCTGGGTGACAAGAGCAAGACTCCATCTCAAAAAAAAATAAAATAAAAAGAGAGAAACTGCAAAACAATTTTCCAAAGTATTGCACCATTTTGCAATGCCCCAGCATGTGAGGGGTTCCAGTTCCTCCACATCCTCACTAATCTTGTTTGTTTCTTCTTGATCTCCTTAAGTCGATTCCCTGTGCTCAGTTTCTCCAGTTTTCTGCTCCTCTCCAAGATGGCCATTACTATGGTCCAGATGTTTTTGTCTTCCCCAAGTTCATATGTCGAAATCCTAACCTCCAAGGTGATGGTGTTAGGAATTGAGGGCCTCTGGAAAGTCACTAAGCCATTGGGTAGAGCCCTTGTGAATGAGATTAGCACTCTAACAAAAGAGTCCCAGGACAGACCCCTTTCCCCTTCCACCATGTGAGGATACAGCTAGAAGGCATTATCTACGAAGAACTGGCCGTCACCAGGCACTGAATCTGCCAGTGCCTTGATCTTGGACTTCTCAGCCTTCAGAACTGTGAAAAATAAATTTCTATTGTTCGTAAGCCACTCAGTCTGTGGTATTTTCTTACAGAAGCCTGAATGGAGTGAGACAGCCATGGAGTGAGGTGAGCTGGGAGGAGACACTGCAGGAACTAGGAAGGGTCGGGATTCTGGGCAAGGTGTTCTCTGGCCCCTGAGTCCTCTAGTTATTACAATGCAGCTTGCAGGGCCACACGCTGGGAATCACACAGATCCCGAAATACAGTCAGGGCTCCCCATGCGAGCTGAACACCTAATCCTGGAGAAAAAGGTGGGGAAGAACACCCAACAGTTTTGCTTTCTTGCAATCTTTCAGGCTGTAACGGGGTGGAATTTAATTCTATTCCTT